>NC_000005.10:40743173-41375698 GCF_000001405.40 Homo sapiens
GATGTTACTTCAGACTGGGTAATCAGAGAGCAGACTGCTGAGAAAATGACAAATGAGCAGAAATCCAAAGGACAGGAAGACAGGCAGCAGAAAACCAGAGAAAAAAGGTTTTCAGACAGAGTCATAGCACAAAGTTGTATAATAACTATGTTCAAAAAAATGAAGAAGGCCCATCTGGCTAAAATGTAGTGAAAATAAGCACAGTTTAAGATGAAGTTGATTTGGTAGGCAGGGACTCAGTATTTTTTTTAATCTAATTTAATTATTCTTCCTTATATTACTTTCAATCAAGTTTAGTAGCCTCTTAAATATTTTTTTGCTGGGCATGGTGGCTCACACCTGCAATCTCAGCACTTTGGGAGGCTGAGGCAGGCAGATCACTTGAGGTCAGGGGTTCAAGACCAGCCTGGCCAACATGGCGAAATCCCATCTCTACTAAGAATACAAAAATTAGCTGGGCATGGTGGCACACACTTGTAATCCCAGCTACCTGGGAGGCTGAGGCAGGGAGGATTGCTTAAACCTAGGAGAAGGAGGTTGCAGTGAGCCAAGATCGCGCCACTGCACTCCAGCCTGGGCAACAGTGCAAGACTCCACCTCAAAAAAATATATATCTTTGTAGTTATTTTCTAAAGCAGTATATACATTACTCAAAAATAAATGCTAAAGAGCAAAAAATGTAATCATGTTATAGTGTTCTCCATCCAAAATAAAGCATCCAATCCCACTGGTTTTAGTGAAATGACTCAATGTTTCGACATACAGGCAGAAAACAAGAGTTATTGTGTTTGTCTACAATGCTGATATCTCTTCTCTGTCACAGGAAATTCAGAGGGAATCCGATGGCAATAACAGAACAGCTTTTCCTTCCACACATTAGTGTGGTTAAAAGTTAATGAACTTTTAACAGGCATTTACAGGAGTTCCTAAAGATGTTTTATGGATGTACTCAAAGTATTCATAAATGAGGAGAATTTACATTTGGTTTTCTTCTAAGACAGACTAGTCAATCTTACAGAGTTCTGTGAGATAAAAATCTTTATGCCTAAAATACCACAAATGAGAATTCACAACCTAACATTAGCTAGTTAAGTTAATTGATCTTGATTGCTATTTATTTTCCACCCTTTATTCCCAATTTGAGATGCTAGTATTTCATAGCTTAAGCACATTTTGTTTTATATTAAGTTATAATAAAAGATTACACCAGAATCAAAAATAAAAACAGACCTAAAAGCTAATATATTGGTTCCTCAACTTTGATTCATGTTTACAAAAATTATTAACAAGAAATCTTATCACCACTCTTACCAGTTTTTTTTTTTTTTTTTTAAGGAACAAAGAAAAAAGTGTGTCTTGCTTAGTATTAATTCATTTTCTTTTAAATTCTCAAACTCTTCAACACCACATGGAAGATACCAGTCAAAGGCACACAGGCCTGATTTTAGATTTCTGGATGATCTGAAGTGTATTCTGTCCCAAACAAAGGCCTATTAGGCTACTATTCCTGCTGGTCATACATATGTCTTCTAAAAATCATGTATTTATTCAAATCAACAATTCTTATACTGTCAAGTGTAATTTTTCTAATATATTTTCTTCACAGAGGACAATGCTTTAAGATTTTTATAAAAATATGGCTCTCAACAGATACCAAACACAGCAAAGAGACAGACATAGGCACAATGTCTTTCTAATGGCTGCACTAACAGAGATGGCAATATAATATTATTTATCTCCCAATATGATGCAGTATAAAGCACAAATGTTACCTACGACATATACTTGCCAAAAATATTTAGACTCAATCTCTACACCTAACTTTCAGTTTACAAGAAACACATGAGATAGAGGAACAAATTAAATGATACACACAAGGAAGCAATCAAATAGAAAATTGGTCTGGACTCTTCCAATAGTCAGTGTCATGGGGGATAAAAGTAGAAAACCCAAGGATGCCAAAAGACACTAAAGAGACATAATAACCAAATATAATCTGTGAACTCCTTAGATCCTGGTTTTAAAAACATGTACTGTAAAAGACATTTGGGGGAAAACAGGCAAAACCTAAACATGAACTAATATTAGATATAAAATTGTTAATTTTTGTAGGTTTGATAAAAGATATGTTAGGTAAGATAATATCCTTATTCTTAGAAAAAACATGAGGAATTAGGAGTAGGTGTCATAATGTCTGAAACTTACTTTCAAATAGATCAGCAAAAACACCCTGTAAATATGCAATTATGTATGCCTGTGTGTGTGTATGTGTATGCATGTGTAGAAAGACAGGGATAAAGCAAATATTAAGAATTGTTGAGTCTAGATAGAGGAAATACGAGATTGTCCTATTCTTTTGTTTTGTTTTGGAGACAGCGTCTCACTCTGTCACCCAAGCTGGAACCCAATAGCAGAGTCACACCTCATCGTAGCCTCAACCACTGGGCTCAAGCAATCTTCCTGCCTCGGCCTCTCAAAGCACAGAAATTACAGACACAAGCCACCACACACAGCCAGAATTTTTTAAAACTGGAACTGGAATCATACTAGATATACGATTTATTTATTTGTTTATTTATTTGACAGGGTCTCACTCTGTAGCCCAGGGTGGAGGGCAGTGGCAAGATCATAGCTCACCGCATCCTCGAACTCCTGGGCTCAAGCGATCCTCCCACCTTGGCCTCCCAAAGTGCTGGGATTACTAGTATAAGCCACTGCACCCAGCCAGTTGTACTATTCTTTAATACAGATTTGAAATTTTTTCAAAATAAAAAAGGCCTTTTCCACCATAGATTAGAGATACCATTCTATATTTTCTTCTATTAATTGCATAGTTTTACCTTTCACAAATTTTTAATCCCTCCAGGGTCCATCTTTGTGCATGGTATTAGATACAGACACAGTTTTATTTTCCTCTAGGTAGTAATCCAGTTTTCTCAACAGAATCTACTAAAAAATTTGTCTTTTCCCCACTGACTAATGAAAAATGATTTTTGGTCCTTCTTAAAAATCTAAGCAGAAAAAGGAGAAAAGGAATAAAAAAGTAAGAAAAAGAGGAAAGGAAAAAAGAAAAAAGAAATGGGTGCATATAGGAACAACTTAGCTAAAGAAGGGCTAAAAATAAATGAAGCTATTATCAACTTCCTGTACAGCAAGTCATATTTACTTAAGTATATAAGAAGTAAATGGCAAAGAATAACTAAATACCTATTTTTTTTTATGTATGTGCCCTCAAAGCTATTCAGGAAATGCCTAATTTACCTGATACATAATGTTATAAGCAGAAAGTTTCCAGTGATAAGACCACCTTTTACTGACCAATCACTTGAATTACATTTTACTTAGCATTTACTCTTCTTTAGGCACAACAAAAATGATGGCAAAGCAGGGACATAATTAGCATCCTGAAAACTATTTTACAAACTTTCATTGCATCCTGAAAACTATTTTACAAACTTTCATTTTTCAGGTGACTTTGAAACACCTTATTTCTTTGATTAATTTAGCACCTAGAATAGATTTTTAAACATGAATTTATCAAATTCATAACTCTTCATCCCATTACGGACAGTGAGCTAGAAAATGTAAGCTCTTCTCCATAAAAAAAAAACTTTAAATACATACCTTTTATTTTCAGCCAAACTGGCTCCTTCATCCTTCAGCTGTTTACTTTTCTCAGCACAGCCTTCAAGAAGAATTTCTTTCCTACGTTTAATGGCATGAAGCCAGTTCCCTTCATCGTTGTCAACTACATCCTTCTCATCAGCAGCTTCAGCTTCAAACTGCTGGGAAGTGACCTTTGAGACCTTCTCACCAATTTTCCTCTTCCACCCAAAGGAAGCCATTCTGGAAAATTACAAAGAAACAGCTTTAAAATTCTAACTTGATCTTTTTTTTTTTTTGAGATGGAGTCTCACTCTCGTTGCCCAGGCTGGAGTACGATGGCACGACCTCGGCTCACCGTAACCTCCGCCTCCCGGGTTAAGTGATTCTCCTGCCTCAGCCTCCCGAATAGCTGGGATTACACTCATGCACCACCCACACCGGCTAATTTTTGTATTTTTACTAGAGACGGGGTTTCTCCATGTTGGTCAGGCTGGTCTCAAACTCCCGACCTCAGGTGATCTGCCCATCTCGGTCTCCCAAAGTGCTGGGATTACAAGCATGAGCCACCACGCCCGGCCCAAAACTTGGTCTTTTATGGAAGTATTCCAACCCATAGGTAAAGAGGAAATAACAGGATTAGACTATCACCATTTTTCAACCCTAATTAGTGGCTGTAGGCAATAATCATCAATGGCCACTAACATCACTAAGAAAGACAACTGGACATCACACACCTCCTGATGGAAGTAGCATGTCACTCATGAAGTAAGTACTCCTACAAAAATTAACCCTGAGTCAGATCAGGCCTCTACCTATAAGAAATACAGGATAAAGTGAAGCATGCTCAATAACACATCAGAGATGCAGATAGCAAAAAACAGAAACTAAAGGAAAATAAAGCTGGTTTCTTCAAGAAATAAACTGCCAGGAAAGAAAGAAGAGAAAGAACAAGGTAACCCCTAAATTAAGAGAGACTTAAGAGACATACTAACCAACATAACATGTGGATCTTGTTTCACTCCTGATTCAAAAAAGCCAATGAGAAGAAAACTTTTTTTTTTCTGAGACAAAGTTTTGCTCTTGTTGCCCAAGCTGTAGTGCAACGGCCCGATCTCGGATCACTGCAACCTCTGCCTCCCAGGTTCAAGCAATTCTCCTGCCTCAGCCTCCCGAGTAGCTGGGATTATAGGCAGGCACCACCACGCCTGGGTAATTTTTTGTATTTTTAGTAGAAACGGGATTTCACCATGTTAGCCAGGCTGGTCTCAAACTCCTGACCTTAGGAGATCCGCCCACCTCGGCCTCCCAAAGTTCTGAGATAACAGGCGTGAGCCATTGCACCCAGCCAGAAGGAAACATTTATGAAATAGGAGGAATGGGAACACCGATTTGATATTTGATGATATTAAGAAATCACTGTTTTGTTTTGTTTTTTTGAGATGGAGTTTTGCTCGTTTCCCCAGCTGGAGTGCAATGGCACGACCTCGGCTCATTGCAACCTCTGCCTCCCAGGTTCAAACAATTCTCCTGCCTCAGCCTCCCGAGCAGCTGGGATTACAGGCATGCGTCACAATGCCCTTCTAATTTTATATTTTTAGTAGAGATGGAGTTTCACTATGTTGGTGAGGGTGGTCTTGAACTCCTGACCTCAGGTGATCCACCCACCTCACCCTCCCAAATTGCTGGGATTACAGGCGTGAGCCACCGCACCTGGCAAATTATGGCTATTTTTTCTTTGGTGTGATAATGGTATTGTAATTATGCTTACAAAAGGAACCCCTAGGTTTTAGAAATATAAACTGAAATATTTCATATAAAATTATAAGACATCTAGGAATTGTTTTAAAGCAATCAGTGGAGGTTGGGAGTGCAATGCAAGAGAAAATATACATGAAATTAGATTGCTTTTAATTGATAACTAATGAAGTTGAATGATGAGTACATAGTGTTCATTGTACTTTTTCCTTTCATATGTGTTAAAATTTTCCATAATAAAAAGGTTTTAAAAGATTCAAACTTGGTAAACGACTTAACTCACAAAATTATTGGGTAAATTTTAAAATAACAGATGCTGGCCGGGCACGGTGGCTCACGTCTGTAATCCTAGCACTTTGGGAGGCCAAGGCCAGTGGATCATTTGAGGTCAGGAGTTTAAGACCAGCCTGGCCAAACCCCATCTCTACTAAAAATACAAAAATTAGCCAGGCGTGGTGGTACATGCCTGTAATCCCAGCTACTCAGGAGACTGAGGCAAGAGAATTGCTTGAACCCGGGAGGCGGAGGTTGCAGTGAGCCTGGGCAACAGAGCAAAACTCCATCTCAAAAAATAAATAAATAACAAATGCTGAACTTTTCAGTAAATCTGCAATGATATACAAATGTAAGAAATAAAGAGAGGATAAATGATAAAACAAAGTTAACAGAAATCCTGAAATAATTCAACAAATATTTATTTAGAGAAGAGATTAACTGAGGGATCCAAAAATTTACTAGTTGTATAGATGGTCTTCAAGATACTAAGAAACACTGGGAACTGTATATAAATTGTACAAAATTCTTTATATCTGTGTACATTTTGGAGAATAGTGTTTAAGCTTTCATTCCATTCTTAAAGGAGTCTATAACCACAAGGAGATTTTGATCAAATGATCAACTAGAGAAACAGAGAAAAAAAGCAATGAACCAAAAAACATAAAGAAAAGAAAAGCAACGAATCAGAGGGCTTTATGAAACTACCAAAGAATGGGCACTGTGGGAGTATGGGAGGGAGAGAAATGAAATACTGCATAAGTTCGAGCAGGTTTCAAGGTCTTCATTACTGATGCACATGGCTGAAGTGATGTATAAGTACAGGCCTATCTCAGAGTTGTTGCACGGTCAGTTCCAGACCACTGCAATAAAGTGAATAATACTAAAAAGTGGGTCACACAAATGCTTTGGTCTCCCTATGCATATAAAAGTTATGTTTACACTATACTATAGTCTAATTAAGTGTTATAGCATCATATCTTTAAAAATGTACATGCCTTGCTAGGTGCAGTGGCTCACGCCTGTAATCCCAGCACTCTGGGAGGCTGAGGTGGGCAGATCACGAGGTCAGGAGTTTGAGACCAGCCTGACCAACATGGTGAAACCCCGTCTCTACTAAAAATACAAAAATTATCCGGGCGTGGTGGCATGTGCCTGTAATCCCAGCTATTCAGGAGGCTAAGGCAGGAGAATCGCTTGAACTCGGGAGGCAGAGGTTGCAGTGAGCTGAGATTGCACCACTGCATTCCAGCCTGAGCAACAGAGCGAAACTCCATCTCAAAAAAAAAAAAAAAAGTACATGCCTTAATTTAAAAATATTTTATTGCTAAGAAACGCCAATGATCATCTGAACCTTCAGCAAGTCCTAATCTTTTTACTGATGGAGAGTTTTTCCTCAATGTTGATGGCTGTTGACTGATCAGGGTGGTGGTTACTGAAGGCTGGTGGCTGTGACAATTTTTTAAAATAAGACAACAGCGGTCAGGCATGTTGGCTCACGCCTGTAATCCTAGCACTTTGTGAGGCTAAGGCAGGTAGAGGGCTTGAGCCCAGGAGTTTGAGACCAGCGAAATCTCATCTCTACAAAAAATTTTTAAAAACTATCCAGGCGTGGTGGTACACATCTGTAGTCCCACCTACTCAGGAGACAGAGGCAGGAGGATCACCTGAGCCCAGGAGGTTAAGGCTGCAGTGAGCCATGACCATGCCACCGAACTCCACCCTGGCACCCTGGGTGACAGGATAAGACTTTGTCTCCAAAAAAAAAACAACAACAATGAAGTTTGCTGCATCGACTGATTCTCCCTTTCACAAAAAATTTTTCTGTAGCATGCAGTCCTATTTGGTAGCATTTTACCCACAGCAGAACTTCTTTCAAAATTAGAGTCGATACTGTCAAACTCTGCCACTGCTTTATCAACTAAGTTTATATAATGTACTCTAAGTCCTTTGTTGTCATTTCAACCATGTTAACAGCATCTTCACCAGGCGTAGATTCCATCTCAAGAAACCACTTTCTTTGTTCATCCCTAAGAAGCAACTCCTCATCCTTTCAAATTTTATCATGAGATTGCAGGAATTCAGTCACATCTTCAGGCTCCACTTCTAATTTGAGTTATCTTACTATTTCCACCACATCTGCAGTTATTTCCTCCACTGAAGTCTTGAACCCCTCAAAGTTATCCATGAAGGTTGTAATCAACTTCTTCCAAATTCCTGTTAATGTTGATATTTTGACCACCTCCCATGAATCACAAATATTCCTAATGGTTATCTAGAATTAGAATCCTTTCCAGAAAGTTTTCAATTGACTTTGTCCAAATGAATCAGAAGAATCACTATCTATGGCAGCTATAGCCTTACAAAATGTATTTCTTCAATAGTAAGACTTGAAAGTGAAAATTGCTCCTTGATCCATGGGCTGAGGAAAAGATGCTGTTGTTAATAGGCATGAAAACAACATTAATCTTGTACATCTCCATCAGAACTCTTGGATGACAGGGTGCACTGTCAATGAGCAGTAAAATTTTGAAAGGAATCTTTTCTTCATGAGCAGGTCTCAATAGTGGGCTTAAAATATTCAGTAAACCATGCTGTAAACAGATGTGCCATCATCCAGGCTTTGTTGTTCCATTTATAGAACACAGGCAAAGTACATTTAGCATAATTCTCAAGGGCAACAGGATTTTGAGAACGGTAAATAGACATTGGCTTCAATTTAAAGTTCCCAGCTACATTAGCCCTCACAAAGGAGTGAGCCTGTCTTCTGATGCTTTAAAGCCAAGCATTGACTTCTCTGCAGCTATGAAAGTCCTGGAGAGTATCTTCTTCCAATAGAAACCTGTGTCATCCACATTGAAAATCTTATGGCCATGCGCAGTGGCTCACACCTGTAATCTCAGCACTTTGGGGGGCCAAGGCGGAAGGATCACAAGGTCAAGAGATAGAGACCATCCTGGCCAACATGGTGAAGCCCTGTCTCTACTAAAAATACAAAAATTAGCTGGGCGTGGTGGCGCACGCCTGTAGTCCCAGCTGCTCGGGAGGCTGAGGCAGGAGAATCGCTTGAACCCAGGAGGCGGAGGTTGCAGTGAGCCAAGATCATGCCATTGCACTCCAGCCTGGGCAACAGAGTGAAACTCCGTCTCAAAAGAAAAAAAAAAAAAAAAAGAAAATCTCATTTAGTGTAGCCAACTTCATCAATTATCTTAGCTAGATCTTTTCTGGATAACATCAGCATTTGCTGCTTTACTTTGCACTTTCATGTTATGAAAATGGCTTCTTAAACCTCACAAACGAACCTCTAGCAGTTTCAAACTTTACTTTGGCAGCTTCTTCACCTCTCTCAGCATTCACAGAATTGAAGAGAGTTAGAAACTTGCTCTAAATGAGGCTCCTGCTTAAGGGAATATTGTGGCTGGTTTGATCTATCTAGACCATTCAAAGCTTCTCCATATTAGCAATAAAGCGGTTTTTGCTTTCTTATCATTTGTGTGTTTACTGAAGTAGCACTTTCAATTTCATTGAAGAACTTTTCCTTTGCATTCACCACTTGGCTGTTTGGTGCAAGAGGCCTAGCTTTCAGCCTGTATTGGCTTTCAACAGGTCTTCCTAAAATCATTTCTAGCTTTTGATTTAAAATGAGAGATGTGTAACTCTTCCTTTCACTTGGACACTTAGAGGGCATTGTAGGATTAACTGGCCTAATTTCAATATTGCTGTGTCTCAGGAAATAGGGAGACCCAAGGAGAAGAAGAGAGATGGGAATAGCCAGTTGGTGGTACAGCATTCAAAACACACATTTATTGATTAAGTTCACCATCTCATATGGGCATGGTTCATGGCAACCCAAAATGATTACAATTGTTAACACCAAAGATCATCGATTACAGATCACCATAACAGATATAGTAATAATTAAAACATCTGAAATATTTCAAGAATTACCAAAATGTAGCACAGAGACACTAAGTGCACACATGCTATTGGACAAATAGCACGAAAAGACTTGCTGGACACAGGGTTACTGAGCACTTGCAATGTGCAAAAACGCAGTATCTATGAAGTGTGATAAAGTGAAGCACAATAAAATGATCCCTGTAATCACTAGAAGGAAGGTGAGAAAAAAAGTGAGGGTGGCTATGAGGTCATTCACATGGAAAGACCTACCGTAATGGCAGAATTTGGAGGGGTAAGAAAATTGTGAGTCGTATGTCTGAGTTCTTAATGAATATGAGAGAGTGCCAATAAATCACAGCAATCAAGAAATATACAGGCTGGGCGCGGTGGCTCACACCTGTAATCCCAGCACTTTGGGAGGCAGAGGCAGGCGGATCACCTGAGGTCAGGAGTTCAAGACAAGCCTGGCCAACATGGTGAAACCCCGTCTCTACAAAAATACAAAAAGTACCTGGGCATGGTGGCACATGCCTGTAATCCCAGCTACTTGGGAGGCTAAGGCAGGAGAATCGCTTGAACTTAGGAGGTAGAAGTTGCAGTGAGCCGAGATTGCACCATTGCACTCCAGCCTGAGCGACACGAGCAAAACTCCATCTCAAAAAAAAAAAGAAAGAAAGAAAGAAAGAAAGAAATATACAGGCTGATAATATAAGTGAACCACAAACTTTCCACAGGAACTGAGATTTTTTTTAAAACCTGGAGGACTAATGGATTATAAACTGTGCTGGGGAATAAGGACAATGCAAACTCTCTCCCCAGGCCGATCATATTATAGGAGAATGAGTTTCCCATGTTTGAAGATGACTATGAGTATTGTAGGGGAAGATGGCTGAAAACAGAAGTGTGGATACTATGGAACAGAAGTTAAAAGGCACACAGTGAGGACAACCTGAGAAAATACAGATCATTAGGAAAGACTCACAAGATATCAGTGTAAGACAAGATAAAAAGAAGTCTTGTATTTATGATTATCCCTAATGGTAACAAGAATGATGACCACGTTTTCCGGTTTCAAGATTCCAAATGAAACTTTCTTTATTCATAAGGTGAGGCACCAGGCACTGTGGGAACCCTACTCATACTAAAGGACACCTAGTGTGTTTACTGGAGGTAAACTACAATAAAAATCATTGATCAAAAGAAAAAAAAGTAAAAAAAAAAACCGTTGATCAGATCTGTAGATTACATGAGGGGCTGTGATAGGGTGGGAAGGAAAGGAAAAAGTGAGAAACAGACCCACACATCTTTTAAAATTAATAGGTCATTCAGATTCCAATTACCCTCCCCATCTTCCAACCCAAACCACTGTTATAAATGCTGGGGACAAGTATAAGTTATGGCCCAAGGTGGTGGCTCTCAACCATATGTGAAAAAACCACGCCACTATTGCCTCAGGTGTTTGAGCCATTCTCCTCCACAGATCCCTTGAGACCTAGAGATCAGGGGCTGCAGAGGTCAGGACAGACTGAGGTTATGAGGGTGTGGGAGGCCTGATGCCACTAGCAATCGACAAGTTTAACCTGAAAGAGGGAGACAAAAATACAGTCCTCTCAGACAAAAAAAGGAGTTAATATTGAGTGAAACATACAGGCAAGTTCAGGGATGGAGGGAAAGGAAAATGAGGAATTTCATGCCCCAAGCTTCACATTTCTCCAGCAAACAGCGGCTAGTCATCTGCTCAAAGTAAAAGGAAAATAACAGATCTGAGTTCTTGAGAAAAAGGGAAAAGACTAAAATAGTCACTGTGGAGATAAGGAAAAGCAACAAAGGAAAAATAGAGATACCAAACAGTAGTATCAAGGGCCCACTACTGTGTAAAAGCATGAATCTGTTATCAAGGCCATTAGCAAAGTTTTATATTTTCTTCAAAAGTGTCTGGAAACCACAGAGTACAGTCAATTTCATACACGATATGTGCTACAAGAGAGTAAACAAAGGATGCCATGACATCAGAGAAGAGACACTTGAGGCTTTCTGGAGGACTTAAGCTTTGAAGAAAACTTAGCCAGGCTTAAAAAGGTATGTGAATCCTAGAGCATGCAAAGCACTTTCTGCATTAGAAAATTTAACATTCCCAGTTGTTTCAGATATCTTAAGCCGAACGAGTTTATTGTTCCTCTATGACTATCTGAACATGAAATTAAAACTTCTTATGAAGGAGGCTTTCCTGAGTCTAGTTAGAAGCACGAGGCTTCAACATCCTAGACTTAACATTTTTTTACCAGAGTAAGAAACCATGAGAGTAAACCACAATCCACACCGGTTTCATGTTAAACTCATGAAACCAGACAAATTCAACCTTTTATATAGGATTATATTTCAGGAATGGCATAACGATTCTAAACAACGACGCTGTATTCTAAATTCCTGTACTGTTACAAAGATCCCTATAGTAGGCGCTCAACAACTGGCGACGGCTTCACATTTACCCAGCCGCCAGAGAGGGCTTGTCTTGAGTGTGTCTGAGGATGCAGCACCCAAAGGGAAAAACCACTACATGAACAAGATCAGGAAATCACAACAGCATCCTTCTGGGTAAAAGGAGGTATTCAGAGGTGAGGAATCCAAGAAACGATTTACCCAAAAACGCCACCGCAAGAGAAAAACCAGTATTAGTGACTTTCCCTTCATCGGTCAACAATAATAAAAACGCTCAGAAAGGCTGCCCCGGACGTCACCTGCGCGTTCACGGACCGCCCCGGGCCGCAGACACCTCTCCAGCGGGGAGCGGCCGGCTCGTCCCGCCCGTCCCACCGCTCAGGGAAGGTTGCGGCCGCGCAGCTCCGCGAAGGTGCCACGGCGGGCCCGACCCTCAGACTCGCTTGTCCCTGGAGACCAACCCTAGCGACCAGGCTCTGCCGGATCCCGTCGGGTTTCAACTCCTATTCCGAAGGTCCTTTCTCCCCTAATCACAACACCCACTCGCCTCTTTTTCCTCCTCTTCCTCAGCTTCCACCGCCGACCGGGCAGCCCCAGTTACCCGATAACGGCTCCCAAGGCCCCGTGTTTACATTCTTTCCCACTGGAAGCAGAAATTATCACGCCCAAATTCCTACCTGCCTTCCCTGGATTCCTGGTTTCCTAAGAAACGGGTTTGGCCCACCCCTGGGCGTTCGAACAGTCCACAGAAGCGGGCAAAGGAAAGACGACTCAGTCTTTCCCCTCCGCCAATCTCTTCTCCGGGACCACAAATCCCAGAAGTCACCGCGGCCGCCCCCACTGCATGACCTTCTGGGATTTGTAGTAGTCAGGGCCACGCGGCTGGGCGCGCCCTCTAGCAGCAGCCCTGAGTGACCGCAGCGCACGAGCGCGGGAAAATGAGGCTGCGCGGGCTGAAGAGCGCACCGAGAGGAGCCGCCCCCGCGGTACCGCGCAGCCTCGCGTCCCGTCAGTGGGGAACAAGGTGAGGGGAAAACTTATTTTACGGGATTCAAAGGATTAGGATATGCTCCTTCCCCGAAGGGGTTTATAGCCTAGCTGATGAGGTCGGCCAGACGCAGAGAACAGAGAGGCAAAATTCGGTTATAAAGGGCTCGAGGCGGCCGGGCGGGGAGGCTAGTCAGGGAGGCTCGAGGCTGAACTGCAGGCTTCACGTTAAAGTTACAAGTGAGTTGGACCCAGAAGGCAGAATTACAGCCAGAACGTAGCTGTGCATCATGTCTTGAAAATAAACGAGCACATGTAATAAAGGTAATCAAGATTGTTAATTTCTCCAACTCTCCTGCCCAAAAGACTCATTTTTGGAAGTCATACTTTCTCAGCCTCAGCACCATTAACATTTCAAACTGGATAATGCTTTGTTGGGGGACGGGGTGTTCTGTGCATTGTAGGGTGCTTAGCAGCATCTCTGGTCTCTGTCCACGGGATGTCACCACCAGTCGATTGTGACAGCCAATGGTTTCCCCAGTGAAATTTCCCCTGGAAGAAAAACTATCCCTCCCACCCTGCCCCGTTGAGAACCACTGATGTCGACCAACGATTGTCCTGAGGGTCAATGACACCCTTTCAAAGCCAAAATTATTTTCATACTAATATGAAGACGTGATTTGCCCTTTGCACAATGCTGACATTTGCACTGATGGTGGAAAAGCAATGGTAGGTCAAGGTGCTGGCCCCTCCACAGGAATTACAGTAATGACACCAAACCGTACTGGAGCTCTTCACCACCACACGCTCACAGTAAGAAAAATGGGCCGGGCGCGGTGGTTCACGCCTGTAATCTTAGCACTTTGGGAGGTCAGGAGTTCGAGACCAGCCTGGCCAACATGGCGAAACCCCATCTCTACCAAAAATACAAAAATTAGCCAGGCCTGGCGGCACGCACCTGAATCCCAACTACTCGGGAGGCTGGGGTGGGAGGATCCCTTGAGCCTGGGAGGTCGAGGCTGCAGTGAGCCGAGGTCATGCCACTGCATTCCAGCCTGGATGACAGAGCAAGGCACGGTCTCAAAAAAAAAAAAAAAAATGGAAAAATGAACGCTGTCACCAGAGAATATCCCTGATGAAGTTGTAAAAGTTACTTTATTATAACCACTCCGACACTTAATATTCTTTGTAAAAACTTGGAAGTCCTCACAAAGTACTTCTGCTGCATATTGAAGTATGACGTATCAAAGAAGAGCTACTGTGAGATGGCATTATAAACTGAAGTAAATACTTTTTTTTCCTGGAACACAAATTTTACTAAGATGAGTGACAAACCGGTTATTCGGACTTGGGTATTTGACAAACCTTTCTTGAAAATGAACAAAGGGAATCTGTAACTTCAAGAAAAACAAGGAAAGGGAAAGGGGAAGGGGAAAGGAAAGGAAAAAAGAGAAATAGGGAGGGAGGGAGGAAAGAAAAAAAAATTGAGTTTGTTGCCAATGATAAAATTCAAGATTTTAGGCAAAAAAAAAATATGATTTTGGAAAAATGGTATTCACCATAATGATCTTGGCAGCTTCCCAGTATCTCCAGAATTTTCTGATATAAGTGATTATCAGTTGTGACTTTTATTTACATTGTTTGCTTAAATACATCAATATTTGTGCAGGCTGCATAAGTGAACCAGTAGTATTTGAAAACGATCAATGCATGACTGCGGTAGCCAGCCTCCAAGATGGCATTCACTCCTGGCATTCACATCCTTATGCACTGCCTTCCTATATTGTACCACGGTTGGTCTGTGTTACCTACAGAAGAGGGCAGAAGTGACCGTTTATCACTTCCGATATTAATTATGAAAGACACTAAGATGGTGGCAATGTTTCTTAATCTGCCTAGAGGTTTACATGGTCATGTTTCCTGTGTACCTGAAATACTGAAAACTCATTAAGCCAAATACTCATTTGTGCACTTTTCTGTATATATGTCTATGAAAGTCTTAAATAAGAAAACATGTACCTCCCTAACAAGACATGCAGAGGGAAGATTTATCTTATGGTCACATTCATAGTGTCATTAGTTCATAGTAGCCAATAAGAAGGAATAGAGGTTGCAGAGTGAGTAAATGGTACTTGAAGCTGTGCCCCCTACCTAGGGGTCTTTGCTAAATCTCTCAAGTAACCTAACCCTGATCTCCTCTACTGTGTTTAAGGGTAGCTCCCACTAAGTTTTTATACTTCACCCACTACTTCTCTACTAACTCTGACTGGTCTATGATCTTGATTCACCTAATATATTTAATATATGTCTTATGCTGTCTTTTTAAGACAACATGATCATTTTCCAAAATCCTTTAAATTTATCATAATTTATTGGCATTTACAGTAAATAGTTTATTTACAATAAATAAAAGAGTTCAAAAATTCTGATTTTTCAAACAAGAATTTCTTGGACAATTCTTGTACAGCCAAGGTAAATACCTACAGCAATTTATACATTCCCTAAAAAAACCTTATATACTACTCATAGCACTCTTTAGCAGTTTTCTTTTGTTGTTTTAAAGATAACAGAGTGTCAACAATCTAGCACAAGCCCCTGCCTAATCATGTCATATGGATACAATATTTAATATTAATTGAATTCTAACAGTAGTAGGATTCTAACCAAATCAAGTGTTAGCAACTGATAAATGGCAGTTGCTTTGGCTTTTATTGTATCTATCATGTTTTATTCAAGTGGTTGGTTTTTAGATGAAATCAAGACTCATGTAGTCGAGATAAAAATCACAATGTTTGACAATTTAAATGTGGCCAGGCACTATATTTTATATTTCTAGGTACTTTTTTTGTTGTTGTTTTGGTGGGGTTTTTTTTGAGACAGAGTCTCACTCTTTTGCCCAGACTGGTAGTTCAGTGGCATGTTCTCGGCTCATTGCAACCTCCACCTCCCAGGCTCAAGCGATTCTCGTGCCTCAGCATCCCGAGTAGGTGGGACTACAGGTGCCCGCCACCACGCCCAGCTAATTTTTGTGTTTTTAGTAGAGACGGGGTTTCACCATGTTGGCAGGCTGGTCTTGAACTCCTGACCTCAGGTGATCCACCCACCTCAGCCTCCCACAGGGCTAGGATTACAGGTGTGAGCCACCGCACCTAGCCGGTACATTGTTAGAAAGAAAGGTGCACAGATACTTAGTTTTTTTTTTTTCCACTGAGTTTTCCCAGAGGTTAAAAAACATAAGTACATTGTAACAGATGATAAATGGAGTTTTTCTTTATTATATCATATTTCTAAATCAAGGAAGCTGAAATTATATACTTAAATATACTCTGGTCAAAATATACATGAACCACAAATATTAACTTCTACCTACCAACAATTTACAGTTATGTTGTATGTGGAATTTCATTCTTGTCAGAACTCACAATGGAAATAAAATTTCTATTATGGGTGAGAAGATGAGGGAAAGAATTAAGGGGAAAAAATTTGGACAGCACACACTTTTCTTTCATTCCAAAGGTGCCAGTCAGAACACAGATCCATGGAGTTCCACATCTAGCCCCAGGCTACCAAGCATTAATTCAATGTAAATGGTGTCACTACAACATCAAAAAGAGCAGTGCTAGGCAGAGGATTTTGTATAAAATCATCTAAAACTCTGAAAAACTACAAAAGCATCTCAAGAAAAAAATTAGGTAAAAGCAATGGAGTTTATTTCAGTGAAATTATTTTAAATTAGATATGATATATTAAGCTCCCATATGCCCCAACCTGGTAGAAAAGTTCCTCTCAGTGAGAAATCATTTATTTTAATGGCAAAATTTTTACATATCAGTAAAATCTGTTATACTTAAAACTATGTATACAGTACATTTCTGGCAAAAAACCTTATACATCTTTCAGTTGTCAAGACAAAGTAAAAATATGGTTGCATAAAGTCACAAAAAATATAAACTGCTGAAAAGATAATAAAAAAAGATTAAAAATCATTTGCATTGCCTCCCTTACCTCTTCAATATTAGTAACAATTTGCAAACAACAAAAAAATTGTGAAAATTCTGTTGCAACCTTGACACACTTAACCAAAGGTTGTCATTTCAAATATCCTAGCTTAAAAAAGAATTTACTGCAATTGTCTGTGCATTTATCATACTATTTATAGAAGTGCAATATTTAAATATTTTCAAAATAAAACACAGTAACTAAAATGAATCACAATAACTTATAAGAGAAGCAAAGTTTACAAAATTAACAATTTTTAAAAGGTCCTATTTAATTGGTTCCTCCTTTTCTTCCCCCCTCCCCACAACAGCGTATATAGCGCCATTACTTAATTCCATATACAAATTTGTAACTTTAAAAATACAGTCTTCTGTTAACATCAGGAACATTATGCTGCACTTAGAGACCCTAAGTAAAATTAGAATCCCCTAAAGAGAGGGCCACATAAAAAGTAAATACAGTTTTGAACTCATATTTAAATGGAACTTCTATTACTTTGTACAGCTTTCAAATTAGAAGTTGAATAGAACAAGCCCTGGACAAAAAGCAGCAAGATTTTTCTTTTGAATTCAGTGCATGATTCTAGAAGTGCTTGAGTCAAATCTACTAGAGTCACCATTTATGCAAGCTATCATGACATTTGAGTTCATTATCATCTGGTTACATAAGTGCTCACTGTATTTGCCAAAAATAATCCTAAAATATGATTCTTAAAATAGAAAAAATATAGCTCTGTTGCAATGGGAAAATGATTAATACAAAAAAATCAATTTCTTAAAGTTAACATAAGGCAAATATAAATGATACAATATTATCATACACGATACCAATTTTATCTGAGGTGACTACATCTTCATTTACATCTATTGTGTGATGCAATTAAGAATGACAAAAAAAAATATCAGTGTAAATCAGAAATCTTAGGAAAATCCAGTATCTTTAAAAAGTAATTTAAGCCCAAAACAAATGTGACCACTTATTAATAGAATTGATTTGTTCCATATTTTATCAAAATAATAATAATGTTATATCCAACTAAAGAGTTATAACCAAGTGTCATATGTAAACTTTAATTGGATCCTAGTTTGAAATAATCAGCTATAAAGAAATTTGGAGTTAACTTCAGAAATTTAAATATGGCTTGATTAGATGATATTGGGGAATTATTACTTTTACAATGGTATTACGGATTTTTAGGAGAATGTCATTATCTGTAGGAGATACTTGAAGTATTTTCACGGTGATAAGTATGTCTGTAACATCCAAATGGTTCAGGGGGAAAAAAGCATATATACATACACAAACAAACACATATATGCATATATATGCATAACTAGCTGTATCTATACATATATAGGTATAGAGAAAACAAATGACAAAACATTAACAACTGCTGAATCTAAATGGTAGATATACATGTGCTTACCAAACAGTTTTTCAATTTTTCTGTTTTTAAAAATGTTCATAATAAAATTTGGGGGGGAAGTCATATCAGAGCACTTAAAGTTTGTAAGAGATAGTTTTCTATGCACTGAATCAATTTAAAAGATACATAATCAAATAAGTAGCAATGTGTGCATATACTCAATAATGACTGACATGATGGGCCAGAGGAATTTGTGAAATTGGCAAAAATAATATGATTTATCTACAGTATATGCAACTCAGCTCTTGTAACAAAAAGAACATTTTGTGTACAGAATATCGTGGGAATATTTTAAGACTAAAATTAGTGCTAGAGTATCTGAATATATAAATTCTGTGTTTTTGGACTTGTAAAGCTAAAATGAAATTTAAATTAGGTCTGATATCTGATATGACTTACCATACACTACAGAATTTTAAAAGGGGGATATGGAGGCCGGGTGCGGTGGCTCACGCCTGTAATCCCACCACTTTGGGAAGCTGAGGTGGTGGATCACGCGGTCAGGAGTTCGAGACCAGCCTGGGCAACATAGTGAAACCCCGTCTACACTAAAAATACGAAAAATTAGCCGGGTGTGGTGGCACACGCCTGTAGTTCCAGCTACTCAGGAAGCTGAGGCGGGAGAATCACTTGAACCCGGGAGGTGGAGGTTGCAGTGAGCCGAGACCACACCATTGCACTCCAGCCTGGGTGACAAAGTGACACTGTCTCAAAAAAACAAAGAGGGAGGGATATGGAAGAAGTTATCCAGACTGTTACTACTGCTGGAAGATACTAGCTATTTATGAAGTTAAGGAGCCCAGAAAACAAAATCACCTATAAAGGTCTTGGGAATTCTAGGCAAATATTTATTGAATAAATTTATAACACGTAATATATAACACGTAATAATATATGAAGGCCTTTATGTAAATTAATATTTCAAAGCCCTGTGTACACTAAATATAAAATAGCCAAAAATCAAGTAAGCCTGAGACCTATAATTCACTGTGTATATTATGCTATATACATACTGCACAATGAACAACAAAATGATCTTAATTCATTTCTGCATATTAGGCTTTTAACTATAAATCATGTTCCAATCCCTGTGCAAATTGCATTCCAAAACGCCAGCCCTCGGTTATAATTATGTATAACTTGATTACAAATGGAAGCATTTGGCTGTGACTTATTATGCATGCTTATTGCTGCAAAAGAAATAAGCAAAGTTTTCTGTTTATTGTGCAAGAATTTTAATTAGATTTGCACACATCTCAAAAAATTCTATTGTGTGACTTCCAGGTCTTGGAGTTAGGTCAACAGGAGAAGAGTCAAGTGAGGTCACAGATGAGGTAAGAGAAACTTCTGAGGATTTTCCTTGAGCCTCAGCATCTGAATCACTCCTTTGGCAAGATCGATAGTTGCTAACTGATCCCGATCTCTGTGGAGTAGCAGTCCCTGATTTGGCTTCTGTAATTTCATCTGGGTAAAAAGAATTTCAATTTATTATAGTCTATGACCTTCTCCCAAAAATTTTTGTAACAGTATTGAATTTGCTTCTTTAAGTGGGGCTGCTGGCCAGCTATCAAGAGCACGCTTATTCTAAATACCTTCTAAAACAGTCAATGAGCCTGTATTAAACTATTCATCTTTTTTACATATAGTATGTATTCTCAAGATAGCTAACCAAAGTTGGGTACAGTATAGCTACTCATCAGTTGCAATCCAAGGTTAAGAGCCCAGTAAACCAACAATCTAGGGATTAATAAATATTATTCTATAGCAATAAAAAGTAATCCCTCTATATTAAAATCATAGAATCGATGCACTTAAAATTTGGAGGGTATACTGGAAACCATCTCATCCAGCCCCTCACTTTATTGATAAGAAAACAAACCCAGAGAAATGACTTGCCCAAGGTAACAAATGAACAGAAAGGTAAGTCTAGAACCCAACTCTCCTAAGTCTCAGCTCAGTGCTTTTTACTTTCCACTTTCCCTTCATATTTCATTTAGTATTTCATAAAAGAGCAACAATTCCAATGAATAAAAATCGAAGAAAAACTAAGGTTGGGAACACAGTACAAAAACAAAATGGGCATTCAATTGGTATACCCCAGTACTAGTAAATCTAAGGTTGCAAATTTGATCCAAATACAAGAAAAATAAAACTCATTCCGTATTTCAGACTGCATTAGTATATGTTAGCAGATACGTACTATATGGACCTAAAGATAACCAGACAAACTGGTTTGGCCAACATATCATGGCTCAAACCTGTGTCTTTCTGCTACTATGTGTGTACTATCTTTGAGTTTATAAAGAAGAAAAAAATTCAAACGTGAACCTCATCTAATAATTCTATGCAACCTTCCATAAGCAAAGGTGATACTATATATATATATTTTAATATTTTGTAAAGACAGAGTCTCAGTATGTTGCTAAGGCTGGTCTCAAATTCCTGGGCTCAAGCCATCCTCCCACCTCAGCCTCCCAAAGTGCTGGGCTGTTTACAGGCATAAGCCACCACACCTGCACTCAACAGCGTAGCTTAATGCAATTGAATTGGCCAATGAAGAATTGCCATAACTTCATTCTTAACTGAAAACTTATTTAATAATAAATAAAAGCTTACAGAAGAGTCAATATTTATTTCTAAATAAAACATTGTCTCTTATCAAAATGAACTACACCAAAAAAACAAATGCAGCAGAAAACTATCACCTTAGGATCAGACTACACCTGGCTTTAAGGATTTTACAAGATGATAATCTTAAAAGGACAATATGCTATAAGATTACAAGAAAAATAAGATTCATAAATGTTAATATTGCAAAGGCACAAGAAATCACATTTTTTATTCCTTTGCAGTTGAATTACTAGGAACAAGTCAAGAAGCCTCAAAAGAATCAAGGCGTAAAATACCAAGTTAGTAACAAGGTCTAATCTATGTTGTTTTGTGTGATGTACATACCATCAATACTACGGAAATCCAGTAGATAAGTTCTACTATCCACTTGGTATAACTGTAGACTCATTTTGGAGTAAGTGCTTGTCACAGGATTCTTCCTTCGTACACGCAAATAATATGGGTTTACAACCTAGCACATGGTATAACAAAAACCAAGTCAAAAGTAATTCTTCTATAAAACATTTTATAGACTATGGGTTTGCCAAATATGCTAATAATCAAAATGTTATTTCTTTCTTACCTTCCATTCATAATCCAATTGTTTGATTGCTCTACATACTTCTGCCATAATATCATTTGGTCGACTTTGACTTCTAATTCCTAAATGCCATTTTGCTTTCCTTACACCTTGGTGTTTGGATTTCTGTGGATTTAATTCATCAAGGGTATGGCGTGCCCTTGGTGTTTCAGCAACCAAGAATGGTACTCTTTCAGGATGGGGCCGAGTCAGGTGATGATCATCAAGAAAAGAATCAGGTGGGCTTGTCGCCAAATAGAAATCTTTGGCTTCATTCATTATTCTCCTGTTATCTATTATGAGATGGTAGGCAACTGCCAAAGGATCCTGGTGATTTCTGTTGTAAAGACAGCTGAGAACTTCCTCTTCTGAGCACTCAAACTTTTCACATACTTCTTTTAAGGCTTCATCATCAATCATGGTTGAACTATATGATGGATCCTCAGGAAAGAGATATTTTGGAAGGTCCTGTTTAAACCATTCATGTTCCCTGAGAGAAAAATGGCAGGATCAGGAGAAGGACTTTGAATAGAGCTGAGACTGAAAGTAACAGTTTAGGGAATTTAGAATATGACTTAATTTATATTTATATTCATACTGTATTATTGTCACTTTTTGCACTGAAATTTTCCTCTTCTAGCTCGCACTTCATTGTGTATGTTGAGGGAAATGCTCCAATTTCCCTCCAGTTTTAAGAGGGAGAATGTATTGACACAGCAATGGGGGGAAAAAAGTTATGGGACAAATGACAGCGACAAACAATGAAAAGAACAGCTTATTTCCAGCTTAGAAAGAGAACATATTAGGTAGCTTCATTATAATACTCTTTTGATATAATGTTAAGTGAAGATAATGTAACAACAAGAAAAATAGTAGACAACTACTGAGTACTTACTATATGCTAAGTTTTATGCTAAACACTTCATATACACTATCTCCCCTCATCATCGAAACAATTATATGAAGATAATATCTCTTTGTTTTAAATGAAGGAATTGAGGTTAAAAAAAAAATCAAGGAACATGCTCAAGGTCACAAAGACAGTAAGTGACAGAACCAGGATTATGACCCAGTTCTGTGTGACTGGAAAGGCCATGCCCTGAATGATTTCCTATTCTAATTCCCTAACTTCGTATATTTAAGAATATGTTTGACCTGAACTATGTCACTTTGCTAAAACTAAATAAAATCCAGAGACGAAAAAAAAAACAAGAAAAGAACAATGGTTATCTTCTGGGTCATGGGATTAAAGATAATTTTTTATTCTCTTCTCTATTGTTGGTGTTTTTCTAAGTTTTTTCAATTGTCATGTATTATATTTTAATTGGAAGAAAATAGGTAAAATACAAACAAAAACATTTCTTACCTAGATATCTTAAAATATAAATTTTAGAGAATGATTTGTCCTTTCCCTTTGGTGATAAAATCATGCCGTGCCATTCATGGTCTCTTTTTTAGCTAGTCTAAAACGTGTAGTAAGTGGAAAGTAATCAAGCTTCAAGTTCCACATATAATCTTTCCTTCTTCTTCATTATACTAATGCTTTCATATTTACTATTCCTAGATCCATATCTGATTTCTTTCTTCCTTCTCAGATAAATGTGCAGTCTAGCCATTAGAAGACCAAAAGGACCAAAATTTCCACAGGGGGGAAAAAAAAGAAACAAGGCTTGCAATAAAATTGTTTAAGTCTTCATCAGAAATGGCTCACTCTAATTTGAGAAGAAAATTTGTCATCGTCATTTTTGTCTAATTTAAACTATTAGGTTGAACCAGATGAAACTGGTTATACTGACTTTTACCTACAAAACAGGAATTTTGCATGTAATTCAATGTATACTACCAGGAAAAACATGTCAATTAAATCTCATTCCTTGGGATTAAAAAAAGAAAAAAAATACAATAATTCATGAGATAAGAAATAAAATAGCCACCCACAAATTTACTACTGAAAAGTATTAATCCTAACGCCAGGCATACTGGCTCACACCTGTAATCCCAACACTGGGAGGGAAAGGCACAAGGATCACTTGAGGCCAGGAGTTCAAGACCAGCCTGGGCAAAAATAGCAAGACCTGTCACTACAAACAAAAACAAAAAGCAAAACAATAACAACAAAAAACAGCCAGGCATGATGGTGGATGCCTGTAGTCTCAACTACTAGGGAGGCTAAAGTGGGAGGATCACTTGACCCAGGAGTTACTGGCTACAGTGAGCTATGATCACACCACTGCACTCCAGGCTGGGTGACAGAGCAAAACCTTGTCTCAAAAAAAATAAATAAATAAAAATAAAAGATATACATATATATGGGGCCTCGCTATGTTACCCAGGCTGGTCTCAAACTCCTGAGCTCACATGATCCTCTTTCCTCAGCTTCCCAAAGTGCTGGAATTACAGGTGTGAGCCACAGCACCAATCTTTCATTAGCTTTTTTGTTAATTTAAAAAGTAATATGATGTTCACTGTAAAAATTTCAAAACAAAGATGTGTAAGTAAAAAGTGAAAGCCCTCCCTCTTACGAATCTTACTTCCCTAAGGTAACCAGTTTACTATGTATTTCTAATAACAAAATAAAATAAATGTGTCTATACACTCTATTTTTTTCACATAAAAACAGGATTACACTGTATATTCTGTTCTGCAACTTTTTTTTTTTCACATAACTTTTATCATGGATACTATCAGATCTGATAACTTCCAAACTGCTTTATTACCTGATATCTTTGATTGTGGCCCTCTTCATGGGATCCACCTGCAGCATATGTTTCAAAAGGCTAATCACAGAAGGATTTAAATATTGAGGGGTATAGAAGATCCCATCACATATCTTCTTAAAAAGAGTTGGCACATGGTCATCATCAAATGGAAGGGTTCCACATAATAAAGCATAGAGAATAACCCCACTGCTCCATATATCTACCTCTGGGCCTGCATACAATCTGTAACAGGAAATAACAATTGGATTAAAGAATCATTTTAACCTAAGATTCAGTTCATCAAAAACTTCAAATATGGATATTTCATAAAGAATTCTTAAGCAGAATATGGTTTTTATAGCCACTACTACATGTTACAACGTTAATTCCATCAGTATTATCTTTGAAAACAAAAGTCAAGAAGTTTGTAAATTACACACCATGGCTAAAATTCTGTTCTACTATTTACTATGGCCCTGATGGGATCTGACAATAGGGCCAAATCTTGAACAAACATATCACTATTCAATTTAAAACCATTGGTTTTTGTTACAGAGGAGAGATTAAGTGATATTTCATCAACTGAGAATGTTCTTTAGTAATGGACTCTGAGCCCACAATCCCAATAACACAAGACCCCTTACACCAAGGTGAAAGGATCCTGAGGCTGTGAAAGAAAGCCAGGCAAATTGGTTCACAGAGTTTTTAAATCCCGTTTGCAGTGCATTGTAGTCAAGTGCCTTAACTAGCTGCAGACTAGTTAGATCACCCATTCAAAGCCTGGATTCAGGAAAAGGATTTCTTTAAATTTATGTACTGCTGAACTGATCGATAAATATTATTTTGAAAGTAAAAGTTCTCATACACCAAGAGCTTGAAGAAAGACTTTATCCAAACTAGAAAAATTAAATTTCAGTAATAGCCCATTGCATATATGCACAGTTATAACATTTCTTTTTATTTATTTAAATAACAACTTTCCACAGTCTCCATGTCCTGAATTGTTTTATTCCTAAAAGAATTAAGATAGACAACACCATTTTTTTAAAAATTTTTTAAATAATTTTTGACATTAAGTTAATATTTAAAAAAAAGATGAAACTTGACAAATCTAAAATTAGGTACTCCTGCCTTACTCACAGCCATATTTTTACACAAATCTCATTTCTTTGAGCAGTCTAGGCCAACAAGCTTATAAAAATAGAAAATACTACAGTATTTCTGCATTGAGTTAATCAAGATGCAAAACATTCACACAAATAAGCATGGTTTGGGTGAAAAGTTATTAAAAGTTCATTATAAATCTAGCAAACTTCAGCTTCTGTTTTCAATTTCAGTAGTATAGTGAAGGACAAAGAGTTATTCTTAAAAATATTAAATTCTCCTGTTTTCCAAACTATTCAAAAAGCGACACTGTACAAATATCTTCATGTTCTCAATGCTGGTAGTTAGTAAATTGAGAGGTTAAAATTCTTATAATATTGCAGTCTCTAAAAGGTTTAAAGAACAAAGATTCAACATAAATGAAGTCTAAAGATTACTTCAGCCCAGTTCCCCAAGACATTTTATCATGAAACATAAAGGTACTACAAAATGCCATCTATGTAAAAAATTAAAGCTACACATTACATGTTTAATTTTTCCTCTAAGTAAATAGTAATCCTTTTCTAACTACTAGATATTTCTGTATTATTCAAGTTTCCAGTGTCTTACCTACTTTTTAAACACCCTAGTTTTAAACTTTCCATTTCTTCCACCTGGGAAAAAAATTAATGTACTCTCTTCTAACAACTTTAATATAATGTTGACTTGTAGTCCTTAACCCTCATTCACATATAAATGTGGTTAAGAATAAGCCTTATCTTTCTTTCCTTTCATTAGAATTAAATATGACACTATAGACTAACAAAATCTAGGAGAAAAAGACAATTTCAAATGTATTGAGGGAGGCAGGGTATCAAATACTACCTTCCTGAAATTACTTCTGGTGCAGCATAGTTGGGTGAGCCACAACTTGTTCTTAAAAATTCACCATCTGACATCATGTTTGAAAGACCTGAAAGTGCACAAAATCAGCTACTCAAAAGATTTCCCAAAGACAAAAATTAAAATCCCATTAAACAATAAAATTGAGTTTGCATTAAAATGATAAATCATCATTTTGTTATTTGCTTCAACAAAATCCTATGGTCTATTGTAGCCAAATATTCTGCCATTATGCCCTAAAATGTGTAATCTATTTCAACATTTAAAGTTAGTGCACTGTTAGAGTTTAATACAAATATATTAAGCTGTTGGTTATTTTGCTTATTAGAAAAAACTTGCCATGTTTAAGTTTTATTAATACAGAAATCACTAGGGAAAATAATCTATAACAGATGAATAGAAGGATTAAAATTCAAAGTTCCTATTAAGCCTGTTCTGATTCTTTAAAAAAAAAAAAAAAAAAAAAAACAGTAATTTTGAATTTCAAAGTTCCCTCACAGTTTTACTCCAAAAAGAAACTGTTGCTCCCTCAAAAATGCACCCTATAAAAATAATCAACTGAGGAATAAGAAATTCAAATAATTTAGCCAATTACTATTTTAAAAAAAAACAAAACACCAAAACAACCAGCTCAGGTTTGGTTGGCATTTTCCAGTTAATCTCTGAACATTTAAATAGATATAGTTATAGATATAGATACATAGATGTAGTCAAAACTGAGGAAAATTTTTATAAGAATGTTCTCTGGGCCAGACATGGTGGCTCACGCCTGTAATCCCAGCACTTTGGGAGGCCAAGACAGGCGGATCACTTCAGCTCAGGAGTTCGAGTCCGGCCTGGCCAACATAGTGATTCCCCATCTCCACCAAAAATTAAAAAAAACATAGCTGCATGTGGTGGCCCACATCTGTGGTCCCAGCTACTTGGGAGGCCAAGGTGGGAGAATTACTTGAGCCTGGAAGGCAGAGGTTGCAGTGAGCCGAGATCGTACCACTCCAGCCTGGGTGACAGAGTGAAACTCTGTCTCAAAACAAAAAACAAACAAAAAAAAGTTATCTGATTTGAACTAAAACCAACCTAAAGAAAAGAAGAGATTCCTTTTTCTCTTAGGTTTAGTAAGGTCAATGGCAATTTATATAGGAAATACAGAAAAAATAAATTCTTTTTTTTTTTTTTTTTTTTTGAGACCGTGTCTCACTCCGTCGCCCAGGCCGGACAGGCGATCTCAACTCACTACAACCTCCACCTCCTGGGTTCCAGCAATTCTCCTGCCTCAGCCTCCAGGGTAGTGGGGACTATAGGCACGCACCACCATGCCCAGCTAATTTTGTATTTTTAGTAGAGATGGGTTTTCACCATGTTGGCCAGGCTGGGCTCGAACTCCTGACCTCAGGTGATCCGCCCGCCTCGGCCTCCCAAAATGCTGGGATTACAGGTATAAGCCACCACGCCCAGCCAAAATAAATTCATTTTTAACAATCAAAATGTTCTTTAAACAAATTATAATTTACTATCATTTAAAACATTTTTAAATTTTTAAATAAATTTTTTTAATTAAAAAATTGTTTTAAATAATTTTAAATAATTAAATTCACATAGTTCACTTCTGGTTTTTAAGGTTTTAAATAATTCCATCCCACTCACTTTCCTTCTTCTCCATACTTGATTCTTTTGAACATACTGGAAATAAAGCTGCTACCTTCTCTTTCACAAATAATACTCTTTTCAAATAGTCTCTCTAATACTACCAACTTAAGTTGTTTAAAATTTAATTTTAAAGATATTTAAAGAGCCAGGTGCAGTGGTGCACACCTGTAATCCCAATACTTTGGGAAGCTGTGGTAGGAAGATCACTTGAGGCCAGGAGTTCAAGAGCAGCCTGGACAACATAGTGAGAACTTGTCTCTACAAAAAGACAAAACAGCCTGGCATGGTAGTGCACGCCTGCAGTCCCAGCTACTCAGGAGGCTGAGGCAGGAGGGTCACCTGGCCCAGTAGTTTGGGGATGCAGTGAGCTATGATCACGTCGCTGCCCTCCAGCCTGGGCGACAAAGCGAAACCCTGCCTCTATAAAATAATAGTAATAAAGACATTTAAAGCTAAGAAAAGATGATTTCTTAGCTTTTCTTCTTTTTGTATCTTCATAGACAAAACAGAATACTTTGATATACTCAGTCTATTACTTTATGTAATCTTTTACAGTTATCTGAAGAATTCTAGGTAGGTTCATTGAAACTATAAGAACATTAGAAATGAACGTTAAGAAACTATAAAATTATCCTTACCAAAATCAGCTATCTTTGCATTCATGTGTGCATCAAGCAGGACATTTTCAGGTTTCAAATCTCTATGGACCACCATATGCCTGTGACAATAATCCACACCAGAAAGGATCTGTTGGAACAGACGCCGACTTTCTTTTTCATCCAGCTAAGAAAAGTTAGAGAGGCTTTTTAAAGGTGTGTCTTTCAAAGTAAATTGTCCTATCTATAATTCTCCAACCTATAAAATTGTCAAAATACATGAAAATCTTCCCAATGAACTTCACTTATGAGATACTTTTGACATGAGGAGGAGATACCTGCAGCACAAAACAGAAATGCTAAGATGGTCTTGGAACCCAAATCAGTAACTCAAGTTTCTAATATTATCATTTGCATATGACTACATTGTAACAGCTTGCCTTCCTCTATATCTCATGAGTTATTTCAAATAATTTCAATATCTACTTGAAATTTGGCATATTTCCTTTTATAAGCGGCAAATGTTTACTCTTTCATTCTTTTAACAAATTACTGAATACCTTCAACGTGCTACACATTGCTTTAGACACTCATTACACAGCAATGAATAAAACAAAGGCTAATCTAGTTGATGAAAATAGACTAATAAATATAGTCAGAAGGAGTGATACTGTTTTGAAGAAAAATAAAGCAAAATATAGGTGCAGTGAGTGATAGTGGGGTGAGGGACACTATTTTAGACCATGAGGAAGTAATATTTAAGCACTATTCATAAACCAGCAAGCAACTATGTTGCTATATGTCCTAAAATAGAAGACATTTTAACAACAAACACCTTAATTCATTTAATAAAATATCATAGCATTTTATCTTTAATATGCTTGCTAAAAAAAAAATCTTACATAGCAACTACCTTTTCATTTTTGTTTTTTGTGTTTTTTTGGGGGGGCGGGGTTTTAAATTTATCTATATTTTGAGATCCAGTCTCGTTCTGTCATCCAGGCTGGAGTGCAGTGATGCCATCACGGCTCACTGCAGCCTCGGCTTCCCTGGGGTCCCGCAATCCTCCCACCCCAGCCTCCTAAGTAGTTGGGACCACAGGCACATGCCACCACGCCCACTAATTTTTGTATTTCTGATAGAGACAGGACTTTGCCATGTTGCCCAGGCTGGTCTCGAACTCCTGAGCTCAGGCAATCTACCGCTTCAGCATCCCAAAGTGCTGAGATTACAGACATGTGCCACTGCATGCAGCCTGAAGTATTTTTTTTAAACTTCTCTATGTATCCATATATTATTACCACTTTTTTCAACATAAGTGACAGCCATTACTTGGACATGCCTGCTCCCAAGAAGTCATATTTAATAAATAAGCTATTAATCCTCTAGGCGAAGGACTCCAATATGCAATTCTCTAACACAGGTCACAAATTAGCATTCTAAAACCAGACTTACACCTTAAAGGGCATGGATAATATGGGAGAAAATACAAATCAGTAATTTATTTTGAAACAAGAAACTATTATAAGATACCATTCCTCTAGAAAAATACTAATCCTTTAGCATTCTAATACTTTTATTTCTAGATTTGTAGGTTCATGGGGAAAAAAAAGAGTATCTGTTCAAATATGAAAAAATAGGAGAAAACTTGATTAAACAAAATATAAAAAGTAAAATAGACAGGCTACAAAAATGAAAATTATACTGTATTAGTAACAAGTACAATTACAAAGGATGGAGAAAGGGATGTCTATAAAGGAAGGTTAGAAAAGTCAAAATACATTTCCAATTAAATGTAACAGATTAAATCTTTTGTCTCCAACTCTTGAAACATCACTAAAATGACATCAGCAATAAAACAGGCATATAAAGACAAAAAGAACAAAAGAGACAGCAGTAATCAAGAGGAGTCACCAAGGATGACAATAGATAAACAGTAATAAAGACTAAGCCTACAAGAGAAAGCTAAAACCTAAGCCTATAGGGGTAGAAACCAGTAAAAAATAAACATCTGCATACAAAGCCTGGGAAGCCTTAGAAATTGGAAACACAGGGAACTGCTCAAGGTAGAAGTGAGAGATGAGCTGAAAACAGGACAAGTGCTTGAAGTAAGAAGCTTTTAAACTCACCCATATTGGGGAATAAGACCTATAATTTACTCTAGTAAGGCTGAACCAGCTCTGCTCTCAAGGACACCAAGGCAGGGATAAGGCATCCTAAGGAAAACATGGGGGCTAAGACAAAGTCAACATACTAACTAGTGAGACTTGCATCTCTTTTCTCCACTCAGCTCCTGGAGCACTGGCAGCTAAGCTAAGGCCTTTAAGGAAATGGGAAGGTTTCTTCTGGAGCAAATATCTGATCCAAGAAAACATATTTGTTATTATTAGCATTTGGTATACAGTAATAAAACAGACAAGTCCCTACCTATTCAAGCTATGAGAAAACCCAGCAATCAGTAAGTCCTACCCACATGAGCCTGGCATTTAATACCCTATTCTTAAATATTTAGTGGACAGCCAAGAATCACCAAATATCTGAAGAAGGGCCATGCATCAAAGACAAAAATGAATAAAATGAATGCAGAGAGCACAGAAGGTACAGAACAAGACGGAACAGAGGAAGACTTTTTTTAAAATGCCATCCTCAGACTAGGTTATTATATCTGTGAGGCAAATAACAGCAGACTAAAAAAATGAAAATTTCAGAAAATAAGAAACTTTTGAAATAGAAAATACGGGTGCTGAAATTTTAATATTCAACTGGTAAAACTGAAGAAATACCCACAAGGTAAAACCAAGAAATAAACAACAACAGAAAAGATAAGAAAAATATATATCAATTGTGCCTGTTTCCCATTTCTCCAGGCAGAATTTTTTTTTTTTTTTTTTTTTTGGTAAGGAGAAGCAGGAGTAAAGGGGAGTACCTGAAATAGAAATGAATCATGTTAAGAAATAGTAAAATCAAAATTAACTTGGTTAATAAGTTTGATTTTGATAAAAGTAAATAGACATGCTATATAGAACAAATGAATGAGTAATGTAAATAACTTAAAATTGAGAGAAAAGCTCTCTTTTCAGGGCTAGCTACAGCTCTCCCACAAAGGGGCTTTTGCATACCACATAACCTGGGTATGAGAAAAAGTATGGGCAGAGGGCAGTGTTGAGTTTTTGTATCTGTAACTTAAGGTAGTGTTCAAAATGTCCTACAAAGTTCCTTCCAGCTGTAAATTCTTTATATCTAATTCCTACCTCCTTCGTGGAGCCTGTTTTTACTACTCCAGGTACATCAGATTTCTGAAACCAAAAAATGAATGCAATTTAAATGTGGCTAGAATTGACTAGCAAGGCCTAGATCTTTAAGTAATAATAATATATTTTGTAACGATTAATTACATTAAGATACATATTCAAAGTATTTGTATACCCTGGAAGCATAAGTCTGAGGATTATGAGTTCTGGGGGCTCAAGCCAATTCCGTCATTAATAAATCACGTTACTGTGAGCAATCATATAAGCCGCGAGGCTCAGTATCCACATCTGTATAAACAGGCTAAGGAGATAATCTTTAAGATCCTTTCTAGTTCTACATAGTTTATGATTCTAAACAAATATATGACTAAGGGAACTGGTTATTAAATAGACCTCTTAAAATTGGTTGCTGACATTTTGATGCTAGTAAAGGATAAAGGGGAGTTACAAAATACATACAGAATTAAAGCAGAACAGCTTACCCTTCCATTCTTACAGATATAATCAAATAGCTCTCCTCCTGAGACATATTCCATCACCATGAAAATATCAGATGGTGTACTGATGACCTGGTACCTGGTGAGAGAAAACATTGTCTACAAATATTAAAACACATATATTCATTCATTCAATAAATATTTACTAAGCACCTATAGTATACCAGGTACTAGGCTAGGAGCTAGAAAAACTGCAGGAAACAAAAATTCTCTGCTCTCATGGAGTTCATGTTCCAGGAACCAGGAAACAGACACTAAATAAATAAGCAATATCTCAGGTGGTGGAACATGCTATGAAGAAAAATAAAGCAAATGAAGGGGAATCTTTGTATACAGAGTGCTAAAGGAAAGCCTCTAATAAAGTAACATTTGAGCTGAGCCTAAAAGAAGAATGGGAACAAATTATGTAATTATCTAGGAGGAAAGCGAAACTGGGAGAGGGAATAGCAACTGCAAAGGTCCCCAAGTAGAAGCCTGCTTGGCATGTTCGAGGAATATTAGAGAGAAATAGGATGTAGAGTCAAAGGTGTTAACTGCAGGCCAGAAGACACAGAATTTTACAAGCCATGATAAGGCTTTGGCTTTTACTCCAAGGAAGATGAAAAGCTATCGTACGTTTTAAGCAGTCATGTGATCTGGCATATTAAAAGTAAAACTATGGCAGCAATGTGAAGAATTAACTGTCAACAGTAAAGGTAGCCACAGGAGGTTACTTCAGGATTTCATGAGACAGATGGTGGCTGAGACCAGGTTGACAGCAATAAAGGAACTGAGAAGCAATCAAATCCTAGCTTGATTGTGAAGGAAGAAATGAAATGCATGGTAGAAAGTGAAAGAAACAGGGAAGTTAAAAATGGTTCCTAAGTTTTAGCCCTGGGTCATTGGCTGTTAGCCAAGATGGTGAAAACTGTGGGAAGAGCAGGTTTGGGAGAGTAATAAAGAGTTCATTTTGGGCCGGGTTGAGTTTTAAATGTCTTGCGAACATCCAAATGGAAATGTAAAGTCAGCAGTGAGCAAATAAGTCTGGTGTAAGAAGAGATCTTAAAGCAAGAGATGTACATTTAGGGGTGGTCAGCATATGGATGGTATTTAAAACCTAGCACTCAACAAATGAGAAGAGGTAAGAGTGAAACAAGTTTGAGTCAGCCAGTTCAGGAGAAAAACCTAAGCATCTTTAAGTTATTGCCTGCATAACAAAGCAGAAGCTGAGCAGGAAATAGTTATTTGTAGACTCTATAACTGGCAACTGTAAAACAACAGTAAGATTACTGCCCTTTTGAAACCTTGGATTCCTGAAATTTTGTTATCTATATGTTCAGGTATAAGCAGGATGGGGAAAAACCCTTTCTACTACCGCATTCTCACTAGTGAGGCTAACTGACATCATGTGGGCATTTGGAGGTCAAGAGTTTTTACTAGCAGATCACTGTTGGTTTTACAGCAATGGGGCACCAAACATTACCAGAAGAGCATCTTTCCAGGAGACAGGAAAGAATGAGAAGATAACAGCTGATAAGCACAAGGGCAAAACATGAACACAGGCTTAAATGACCATCAATGGGGTTAGAAAAATACATGAATGGGAAGAAACTTTTATTTTTTTTTGGGACAGAGTTTCGCTTTTGTTGCCCAAGCTGGAGTGCAATGGCACGATCTCAGCTCACTGCAACCTCCGCCTCCCAGGTTCAAGCCATTCTCCTGCCTTAGCCTCCCGAGTAGCTGGTATTACAGGCGCCCACCACCATGCCCAGCTAATTTTTGTATTTTTACTGGAGACAGGGTTTCACCATGTTGGCCAGGCTGGTCTCGAACTCCTGACCTCAGGTGATCCGCCTGCCTCAGCCTCCCAAAGTACTGGAATTACAGGTGTGAGCCACCGCACACAGCCTAGGAAGAAACTTTTCAAAACCCTTAGGAAACAAAAAGAAGTGTCAGTCATTTTTCTCACTTGTCACATTAAGTAGGTTAACAAAAAAGATGAAAAGATGACTGGACTATATTTAATATAAACAGAGCTTACAGTTTAATTATATGAGGATGCCTGAAAAGCTTGAGGTTCTGAATTTCTCTGCGGATTTTTCCTACCACATCAAGGCTCCGAATCTTCTGTCGATTGAGTATCTTCACAGCTACTTTATGCCCAGTCAATTCATGTTTGCCAACTGTAAAAGAAGTAATTTAATAAATTAGTACTAAGTATGATTAATAATATATTTACACATATTCTGGCCCGGTGCAGTGGCTCATGCCTGTAATCCCAGCACTTTGGGAGGCCGAGGCGAGTAGATCACTTGAGGTCAGGAGTTCGAAACCAATCTGGCCAACATGGCAAAACCCCATCTCTACTAAAAAATACAAAAATTAATGGCCGGGAGCGGTGGCTCATGCCTGTAATCCCAGCACTTTGGGAGGCCGAGGCGGGCAGATCACCTGAGATCAGGAGTTCGAGACCAGCCCGGCTAACATGGTGAAACCCCGTTTCTACTAAAAATACAAAAAATTGGCGAGGCGTGCTGGTACACAGCTGTAATCCCAGCTACTCGGGAGGCTGAGGCAGGAGAATCGCTTGAACCCAGGAGGCGGAGGTTGCAGTGAGCCGAGATCACACCACTGCACTCCAGCTTGGGCAACAAGAGCAAAACTCTGTCTCAAACAAACAAACAAATACAAAAATTAGCTGGGTGCAGTGGTGGCACATGCCTGTAATCCCAGCTACTTGGGAGGTGAAGCAGGAGAATCACTTGAACCTGGGAGGCAGAGGTTGCAGTGAGCCCAGATTGCACCACTGCACTCCAGTCTGGGGTGATGATTGAGACTCTGCCTCAACAAAATAAAAATAATAATATATTTAGACATATTATAAGAGTAGTCATCTAGCATCCTCAGAAAATAGCTAAGCAAATATAAGTTATTTTCTCTTTTGCCAGATTCATCCCAAATGTTCAGATGTTTAAGAGTGATTACATAGGAGAATACATAAGAAATTGGTAACAGTGGTTTCTTCCAGAAGAGAAAGCTAGAAGACTAAAGGAAGAGGGGAAGGAGACTTTTTTGCTGTATACCTTTTCGTATTTTTAAATTCTTTTAATTTTTCACCTTTTAACCTATCATACACACAGACTAAAATTTTTCTTTTAGTATCATTTATATGGATATTAAAACATATAGAAATTGGTGTAACCAGCATTATATAGTCAGATACAGAACAGTTCCATCATCCCAAAAGACTCTCTCATGTCATAGATACATTTCCCCATCCATAACCTCTTATACCTTTGAAATTCTGGTTCATGTGCATGTGGTTTCTAGTTTTTTTGGTTTCTCTGTGTTTTAAATTTTTTTTCCTGTTTTTTAATTTTTTTTTTTTTTTTTTTTTTTTTGAGACAGGGTGTCACTCTATCACCCAGGGTGGAGTGCCGTGTCACAATCAGAGCTCACTGCAGCGTTAACCTCCCCAGGCTCAGGTGATCAGGTGATCCTCCCATCTCAGCCTCCCAAGTAGCTGGGACTACAGGCAGGCCCCACCACACCCAGATAATTTTTTTGTATTTTTCTGTAGAAATGATGTTTTACCATATTGACCAGGATGGTCTCAAACTCCTCAGTTCAAGCAATCCACCAGCCTCAACTTCCCAAAGTGCTAGGATTATAGGTGTGAGCCACCATGCCCAGCCTCTATTTTTTTAAATGCAGTTAAAAATAAAGGGAAAAAAAAAATCAAGTCATTTTATCTTTCCATTTTAAATGTTATCACTAGACAGTCGGTGGTGACAGAATTTGGGTTTAGGACATAATCCCAAAAGACACAATCCCAAATGCCATAATCCCAAATGTTGAAATCCCAAAAGATCAAAATCCCTAAAATCTAAAATTCCAAAAATCACAATCCCAAAAGAACAAAATCCAAAAAATTGAATTCTGGAAAAATAATTTGTAAAAAGTTCTCTAAAAGACACTTATTTCCATTTTTAAAAGATTTATTTGAGAAACATAAAAACACAACGGAACAGTTCATAGGCCCCTTTACACAATAAAATAGGCACTAATAACATATTTTTGCAAGCATAAATACTCAGGTATACTAACAACCATTGCATGGGTATAATAGGAACAGAGAAAATGTATTCATGAAGAAATAGATTAAAAAGCAAAATGGATAAACACGTATCACTATGGTTGGTAATCAGGTGCACCCAGATTCATAACTGCGGTCATCTGAAATACCAGACAACCTGAATCTTCTGACAAGATCGATCAAAAACTGCAATGGGTCACTACCGTTTGCACAAAAACTGCAATAGAGTCACCCAAAGAGCCAAGATCTTGAGAAATTTTATCTTTCACAAATACAGATGAACAAAACGGACATCTCTTCATTTACTGAGCAAGTTTCAACATTTTTATGTACATGCACAATGCTTACACATTACGTCACATTGTGATAATGCACTTTCATGGAGTCAAATATGCAAAAAAAAAGTGCATAAAATGAATTAGAATTCTCTAAAAGCCTTTACAGAATTTATACCTGCAGTATTAGAAATGATGCAAAGATAAAATACATAGCATAGCAAATTGGCACTATGTGTGAAAGGGCAGAAGTCATACCTGATTGAATAATTTGGCAGGGGAGCTTTCTTATATTTTTCACCTGCATATTCACTTCTATGATCTTCAAAACATTCACTTGTGTTTAGACTAGAGCGGTTGTGGTCTAAATATTTTGTAAGTATATGCTGACCATTTAGAAATCTGGTTATTGCTTGGCCATTGCAATTAAGTGATTTTCTGTCTTCACAACACCAATAATAATTAGCTTTTAAACTTTTCTCTTTCAGCATTAAGTAGCCTGGTATACTTAATTTATCACAGCCTTTTTGCAAGGGAACAATTTCACAGGTCTCTTCCACTGTGCTGTAAGGAATACAGTAAGAAGGAATGATATTTGGCTTTCTCAATACCAAATCCGTATTAGTCAGCATTCTCGACAGACATAATTCTCGACAGACAGCATTCTTGAGAGACATAACCAATAAGATATATATATACATAGATATATGAGAGACGATTTATTAGGGGAATTGGCTCATGCGATTATAGTGGCTGATAAGTTCCAGGACAGGTCATTTTCAAGCTGGAGACCCTGGCATGCTGGTAGCTTGGCTCAGTCCAAAGACCTCAGAACCAAGCCAAACCAGGTCTCAGTCTGAGGCTGAAAGCCCAGGACCCAGGGGGCTGCTGGTGTATGTCCTAGAGTCCAAATGCCAACAAGCCTGGAGTTCTGATGTTCAATTCAGCAGAAGAAAAGTCCGTTCCAGCTCTCAGAAAGGCAACAATTTGTTTTCTCTGGGCCCCCAGCAGATTTAATGGTGGCCACCGCTATTGAGGGCAGATCTTCCCCACCTAGTCCACTCAGACTCACATACTAATCTCCTCACAGACAAACCCAAAATAATGCTTTAACAAGTTTCTAGGTATTTCTTAATCCAGTCAAGTTGACACCTAAAATTAAATCCATGAATCCACCCCTCGTCAATTTGGCACCCATAAACCATCTCCTTAAACCATACTTAATTTCCAAATAAATACAATAAAAAGGCAATCGGTTCCACCTAATATGATGCAAGTAAAATGATGCAACTATCTTTCATACAACCGAATGTGCACTAATTTCTACCCCAGGTGTTGGCTTTCAGCATTTCAACATTTGGGATTTTAATCTTTCATGATTCTGATTTTCAGGATTTCAGATGTGTGAGATTTTTAGAATTTAGGGATTCTGATTTTTAGAGATTTTGATCTTTCAGTATTTCAACATTTGGGATTATGGCATTAGGGATTTGGTCTTTTGGGGATATGATCACCAGTAGAATTTAGACAGTCATGAGGCTAAGTCTCCAAAAATTTAACCTTTGTGCACCCTTTCTCAGGAACCTACTGGAGAATATATATTCCATCAAAATCAGGAAGAAACCCAAGAAAGATGGCATGGAATCCAGCAAAGAAGGGATCCAATATAGGAGAAAAACTAAGAGAATCTCAAAATGGTGAAGCAAAGTCACAGTAACATATGGAGAAGGCCTAGAAGGCAACAAATCCAGACAGGAATGTGACAGAGAATCCAAGATAGTTATTTCTGAGGGATTTTACAAAGGCACTGGAAGATGTAAGAAATTAAGCTTTAGGTAAAAAAATTAAACAAATGAAAAAAATGAGATAATTCATGAATGCCAGTAAAATTAAAGTTCTGTAAGAAATAAAACATAGTCATAGATACTGACTTAGCAAATAGTATTTACACAGCCACAATTATGAAAAAACCAAATATAGGTTTTATTAAAAGTACGATATAACTATATTAGGAGGATGGGGGTGTAGTATGAAATGTATAAGAGAAAGAAGGAAGGCAACCCTATAATCACAGCTGAAATCAACTGTGGAAATGAAGCACATTCTAATTTCTAATAAGGCTTTCTCCAATCTCCAGTACTAATTAGATGTGATTAAGAGCAGCCAACTTGACTGTTAAAGCTTGCTTCAGGAAGTATCTTTTTTCTTAGAACAAGTATGTTGAAACCTAAGCATGGTGCTAAACACATCCTCCAAGAATCTCCAAGCTCTGGCTTGGCACAGACTTTCTCTTGACAGCTGCTCAGCTGAAACAGGACTGGGAAATAGCCACAATACTGGATAATACTGGTGGACTCAAGACCTGGAAAGAATACTAAGACAGAATCCAATTTGGGCCTGAACTCCCAAACCATCACAAACCAACCAAACTCCTATGATACCCTGCTCAACTGAACTTCAACCCCAATTAACTTTAAGAAATGACTGGAGCTTATCCAAAACTCTGGACATATATCCTGTCATTTAATAAGGAACTGGAATAGGAATTCAAAGCATTCTCTCAAATTCATTATTTTGGCATTATGTACTGAGCATCTCCTACATGCCAGTTAATGCTGCTGGGGAAAACAGTATTGACCAAAAGCAACCTGGGCTATGGGACCTTCCCGGCCTGTAATGATGACAAAAATAACAGTAAAGTGAGAAAAAGCAAAAAGTCTTATAATACAAAAGAATAAAACAAAAAAATGAATAGACATTAAACTCATCCATGAAATGCATGATTGTATTAGCAAAATTTATTAACTATTTTCAGAGTGATAAGAAAATATAGGAGGTATGAAATTAGAGCAGAGCAAGAAGAATTTTACAATACAATTAAAATCATTTAGAAAACAGTAGGTAGTAGCAATAATAATGTGATGGGAAATTTTATAGAACACACAACAAAAAATGAGGAGGAAATTAGCAAAAATAGGAGGGAAGGTGGTAACTACGGAATAGGGAATTGAGTATAATTTAACTCATGAGTAATACGGAGCAGAATATTAATCCACCTGTAAATAACAGAAGCCCCCCAACCACCCAAAAGAAGGCATAATAAGCAGAACAAAATCCATAACCAATCAAGATATACCATAAAACTTTTTTCTAATACTTGAGCATTTCATCAAATTATAAATTAATTGTTTTAAAGTATGGTGGTATAACTTCTTCCCTTTTGAAGTAATAGAAGAAATCACAAAAGTATGATCGTATCACAGTGGCAGGAATAGAGGCAGTGCCCTGACAGCCATGCCAAGAGATCATTCAAATTCATAAACACACACACAAATTACATGATCAGGATCTTTTCTTTTTTAATCTGTAGTTTTCCTTCTAAGAATTTGATTTAAAAGTTGATGAAAAAAATGTGCATAAATATGTTCATTACAGTGTATTATGTAAGAACAAAAGGCTGACCAATTTCAGAGAACAGTTTAATACATTGTTATTCCAACCTAACAGACTCTCATAGGAAAACTATAGAAAATGTTCTTACAAACATAAAAAAAAATTATATATGCATTTTACATTTTTTAGCTACACAAAAAAATCATATAAAAATGTTAATATGCTAAAATGAAAAGTTATTCCACTGTGATCCTTTTTGAATTTTACTTGCTGCTTTGTATTCTTATCAGTTAGAAAAAAAATTTCCAAGGCCGAGTGCGGTGGCTCAAGCCTGTAATCCCAGCACTTTGGAGGACGAGGTGGGTGGATCACAAGGTCAGGAGTTCGAGACCAGTTTGGCCAACATGCTGAAACCCCATCTCTACTAAAAATACAAAAAAAATTAACCAGGCGTGTTGGCACGCACCTGTAATCCCAGCTACTTAGGAGGCTGAGGCAGGAGAATCGCTTGAACCCGAGAGGCGGAGGTTACAGTGAGCGGAGATCATGCCACTGCACTCCAGCCTGGGCAACAGAGCGAGACTCCATCTCAAAAAAAAAAATTTCCAAAGGGGAAAAAAACAATTGGAAGTAGTATTAGCAGATTCACCTTTTTTGGAAGTAGAGTTGAATAGGGTTGAACCCCTAATTCCAATTGCACATGTGAAAGCAGTATGTATACAAAGCATAGATTTTATAGTCGCACAGACCTCGGTTTTATTCCTGTTTGAAGGTACTTACTAGATGTTTGACTTGGGCAAGTTAAAGAAACTACAACCTTCTATTTACTCATCTTTAAAATAAGAATACCACATACTCCATAAGGGTGACTATAACAGATACATGGAATAGTGTTTGTAAAGCACTTTCCACAATGCCTGGCATATAGCAAGTGATTGATAAATAAATGGTAGCCTTTATTATTTAGGGTTATTTATTTTCCACTGCTCCCAGACCTGTTCCCCCATCTGTATCTAATCAGCCCTGAATTATTTGTTTTAATCTCTGAATAGCCAGTTTTATCTCAGCTCTGATTGGTGATACCTATCCATGTAGATGCAATAGCATTCCTTTATCCAGGTACATAAGTGCTAAATAAATAATAGCTGTCATTTTAATGTATCTAGCTCCCATTCCCATATACTTCAATCCCTCCAACCCGCTCCACCACTCCTACCCCACCACCACTACCACCAATCCTCAGATTTCTACCTTCCAAAGTTCAACTCATTTCCTGACTTTGGTTAATGTTCAACAGATTACTATCAGACATATATACACATAACACCAATCCTTGACAGTGATTTCACCTACTACAGGAACACTTGTTTGGTCACAGAAGAACACAGAGGAAAAAAGCAGCTTAATTTGATGTGAGTTTTAATAAACAAGGGCTCTTTTTTTAACAAAAACAATTTTTTACAACATAAATCTAGTTCCTTTACAATACATAATTAAAGTATACAACTTACTAGTTAATATTTGCAGCATACTCACTTTGTACCCAAACATACTGACACACTCTCACCAACCTGGAAGACTTGGCATTATTAGCAACATTTTACAGGAAACTGAGGCACAGAAAGATGAAATAACTTGCCCAAAGTTACACAGCTAATGAGTGGAAAAGCCAAAACTTCAACCCAGGTCAGACTCTTAAAGTTATGCTTTTTCCGAACATGGTTAAGTGAAATTTGATTTTTTTAAAAAGATAATCCTCAGAAGACATGTAAAAATACACATCCTTTTAATAAAACATAAATGGAAGTTAAACATATCAGAGAAATTCTTAATGTATATACAGTTTTGAAAAGAATAGACTGAATTCCTTGTAGTAATAAGAATTATCCAGAAATGCATTCAATCATACAAATTCATTCATTCAAGAAATATTTGAGTACCAGCACCTACTATGTGCCAGGCACTGCTACTATGACCTCCTTCCTGTATCAGAACATGAATCCAGTGTACTGAAAACCTGCCTCATATCAATTTCAATGTCTTAGGATTCCACAGACATTTTATTTTATTTTATTTATTTTTTATTTTTGAGACGGAGTTTTGCTCTTGTTGCCCAGGCTGGAGTGCAATGGCATGATCTCAGCTCACTGCAACCTCCGCCTCCTGGGTTCAAGCGATTCTCCTACCTCAGCCTCCCAAGTAGCTGGGATTACAGGCACCTACCACCTCGCCCGGCTAATTTTTGTATGTTTAGTAGAGATGGGGTTTCACCATGTTGGTCAGGCTGGTCTTGAACTCCTGACCGCAGGTGATCCGCCCCCCCTCGGCCTCCCAAAGTGCTGGGATTACAGGCATTAACCAACCACGCCCAGCCCACAGACATTTTACTAATACATTCTATCAAACCAATTTAAAAGTTACTCAAAAACTAAGAAAGAAAGCATAAAACTAAAAGTATACAAAATATAAAAACAAGTGTAGTGAAGTGAATAACGTCCCCACAAAATCTATGTCAACCCAGAATCTCTGATTGTTATCTTATTTGGAAATAGGATCTTTTCAGACGTGACTAGTGAAGGATTTGAAGATGAAATCTTACTGGATTTAGGGTGAGCCCTATATCTAATGCCTGGTATCCTTACAAGAAGAGGAGAGCACACACACACACACACAGAGAGAGAGAGAGAGAGAGAGAGAGAGAGAGAGAGAGAGCAAGCGAGCGCAGCCATTTGAAGACAGAGGCAGAGACTGGAGTTATGCTATCACAAACCAAGGAACATCAGGAGCCACAAGAAGGTGAAAGAGGGCTGGGCACGGTGGCTCACGCCTGTAATCCCAGCACTTTGGGAGGCCGAGGCGGGGAGATCACCTGAGGTCAGGAGTTCGAGACCAGCCTGGCCAACATGGCGAAACTCCATCTCTACTAAAAATAGAAAAATTAGCCAGGAGTGGTGGAACACACCTATAGTCCCAGCTACTTGAGAGACTGAGGCAGGAGAATCACTTGAACCCAGGAGGCGGAGGTTGCAGTGAGCTGAGATCATGCCACTGCACTCTATTCTGGGTGACAGAGTGAGACTCCGTCTCAAAAAAAAAAAAAAAAGCAGCAGCAGCTGGAAGAGGCAAGGAACAGATTCTCCACTAGAGCCTTCAGAAGAAACATGGCCCTGATGGCCCTTTGATTTCAAATTTCTCACCTCCAGTACTGGCAAAGAATAATTTTCTGTTGCTGTAAGTCATTGAGTCTGTGGCATTGTTACGGCAGCCCTAGAAATGGATATAGTTAGTTTATCAGTTGAAAAGTGGATTTTCTAAAGAAGTACCAAACAGTAATCATAGAGCTGAGGAATAGTATAACTGAACTGAAAAATTCAATAAAGGGGTTCAACCACAGGCTACATCAAGCAGAAGAAAAGATTAGTAATTAGAAGACAGGCCACTGGAAATCATACAATCTGAAGAAGAAAAAAGGATAAAGAATGAAAAACAGTGGTCAGGCATGGTGGCTCACGCCTGTAATCCCAGCACCTTGGGAGGCCGAGGCAGGCAGAGCACTTGAGGTTAGGAGTTCAAAACTGGCCTGGCCAACATGGTGAAACCCTGTCTCTACTAAAAATACAAAAAAAAAAAAAAAAAAAAAAAAAAGCTGCCAGTGGTGGTGCACGCCTGTAATCCTAGCTACTTGGGAGGCTGAGTGGAAGGATCACTTGAACAGAGCAGGCAGAGGTTGCAGTGAGCCAAGATCTCACCACTGCACTCTGGCCTAGGCAACAAAGTGAGACTTTGTCTCAAACAAACAAAAAGAAACAGAAAAAGAAATGGTAAAGAAACTTCTTCAAGCTGAATAAAGAAGACACTAATGAGTGACAGGAAAACATGAAAAGTATAAAACTCACTGGAAAAAGTAAGTATACTGTCAACCCCAAAACACACTAATACTGTAATGGTGGTAAGTAAATGAATTATATATCTAGTATAAAGGTTAAAAGATAAAACTATTAAAAATAGTTAAAGCTAGCCAGGCGCGGTGGCTCACACCTGTAATCCTAGCACTTTGGGAGGCCGAAGCGGGCATATCACCTGAGGTTGGGAGTTTGAGACCAGCCTGACCAACATGGAGAAACCCCGTCTCTACTAAAAATACAAAATTAGCCGGGCGTGGTGGCGCATGCCTGTAATCCCAGCTACTCACGAGGCTGAGGCAGGAGAATAGCTTGAACCCAGGAGGTGGAGGTTGGGGTGAGCCAAGATCACGCCACTGCACTCCAGTCCCGGCAACAAGAGTGAAACTCCATCTCAAAATAATAATAATAATAATAATAATAATAAAGCTACAATAATTTGTTAAAGATACAAATTATTTTTTAAATGTATATCGTGACATCATGAACATAAAACATGGAAGAGGGGGAGTAAAAATGTAGAATGTGTGTATGTGATCAAAGTTAACTTGTTATCAGCTTATATACCAGTTATAAGATGTTTTGTGTAAGCCACAGGGTAACTACAAAGCAAAAGCCTTTGCTTTTGCAAAAGATAAAAAGAAAAAATCCAAAGTGGACCACTACAGAAAGCAATCGAGCCACAAAGGGGGAAAGTAATAGAGAAAGGGACAAAGGTTCTACAGAAACACTAGAAAACAATTAACAAAATGGCACTACTAAGTCCTTACCTATCAATAATTACTTCCAATGTAAACAGATTAAATTCTCCAAACAACAGGCATAGAGTGGCTAAATGGATAAAAAACAAGATCCAACTCTGCGCTGCCTATAAAGAGACTCACTTCACCATAAAGGACACTCATAGACTGAAAATGAAGGGACTGAAAAAGATATTCCATACAAATGCAAACAAAAAGAGAACAGAGATAGCTATATTTATTTCAGACAAAATAGACTTTAGGTCCAAAGAGAACAAAGCTGGAGGCATCACACTACCATGTTTGAAAATATATTACAAACCTATAGTAATTAAAACAGCACGGCACTGACATAAAAACAGACATGTCCACCAATGGAATAGGATGGATAGCCCAGAATAAATGCATATATCTATAATCAATGGATTTTTGACAAAGGTGCCAAGACTACACAATGTGGAAAGGACAGTCTCTTCAATAATGTCATTTGGAAAACTGGATAGCCACATACAGAAGAATGGAAATGGACCCTTATCTCACCCCTTAACAAGTATCAACTTAAAATGGATTAAATTTAGGACCTGAAATTACAAATCTACTAGAAGAAAACTTAGGCGAGAAGCTCCATGACACAGGTTTGGGCAATCATTTCTTGTATATGATCCCCTAATGCACAGGCAACAAAAGCAATAATAAACAAATGGGATGACATCAAACTAAAAAGCTTCTGAACAGCAAAAAACAAACAAACAGGCCAGACGCGTAATCCCAACACTTTGGCAGGCCGAGGCAGGCGGATCACAAGGTCAGGAGTTCGAGACCAGCCTGACCAACATGGTGAAGCCCTATCTCTACTAAAAATACAAAATTAGCTGAGCGTAGTGGTGCACACCTGTAGTCCCAGCTACTCATGAGGCTGAGGCAAAAGAATCGCTTGAACCCGGGAGGCGGACGCTGCAGTGAGCCAAGATCACGCCATTGCACTCCAGCCTGGGTGACAGAGGGAGACTGCATCTCAAAAAAACAAACAAACAAGCAAAAACAAATAGAGTGAAGAGACAACCCAAAGACTGAGAAAACGTATTTACAAATCATGCATCAGATATATAGCTAATATCCGGCCAGGCATGGTGGCTCATGCCTGTAATCTCAGCACTTTGGGAGGCCGACGCGGGTGGATCACTTGAGCCCAAGAATACAAGACCAGTCTAAGCAACACAGTGAGACCTTGTCTCTATAAAACATACATAAATTAGCCAGGCGTGGTGGTGTATGCCTGTAGTCCCAGCTACTTGGGAGGCAGAGGTGGGAGGATCGCTTGAGCCCAGGAGGTCAAGGCTGCAGTGAGCCATGATCATGCCACTGCACTCCAGCCTGGGCAACAGAGTGAGACACTGTCTCAAAAATAAAAATAAAAAAAAAGACAAACAAATGGCCAACAGATAGATGAAAGAATGCTGAACATCTCTAATCATAAGAGAAATGCAAATTAAAGCCACAATAAGGTATCACCTCACACCTGTTAGACTGGCTATTATCAAAAAGGTGAAAGATAAGTGTTAGCAAGGTCACAGAGAAATGGAACACTTATACACTGCTGGTGAAACTATAAATACAGCCATTTTGTAAAACAGTGTAGAGGTTCCTCACAAAACTAAAAATAGAATTACTATATGATCCAGCAATCCCATTACTGAGTATATATCCAAAGGAATTGAAATCAGTATGTCAGAGGTGTCTGAGACTCACTTATATTTGGAATCTAAAAAAGTCAAACTCACAGAAGTAGAGAGTAGAATGGTGATTACCAGTAGCTGGGGTAAGTGGGGCTGGAGGGGAAAAGGAAGATATTGGTCAATGGCTACATAAAATTACAGTCAGGAGGAACAGGATCCTGGTGTTGTATTGCATAGCATCATGATTACAGTAAATATATTAATTTTTCAAAAGAGTTAAAAAAGGGAACTTTAAATGTTCTCACCACAAAGAAATGATAAATATTTGAGGAGATGGATATACTACTTGGCCTGATTTGATCAGTGCAGAATGTATACATGTATCAAAACATCACATTGTGCCCCATAAATATATACAATTGTTATTTATTAAAGATAGATTTTCTTTTTTATTTACTTATGGTAGGAATGGCCTTCATTGGTTGCAATAGGAAGCGAAAGAGGAGACCTGAAATCAAATGAAAAAGCGTAAGCATCCTGGGGAGAAGCCCACTGGATCTCAGTTCTGCCCTGCTCAGGAAAGTTCAGTATCCAGGTGACTGAGAACAGAACCGGCTGGCACCAAAGACATGATTTTGAGGGGGCCGGAGCCCTTTCCCTTTGCCTCCATACATAACAGGAGCAGGACCACACACTCAGTCCCTGACAAGAAAAGGAGGGTGGATTTTCTAAACTATGATATTCACCATTAAAATTAACAAGTTAACAGAAGTAATATTTTTTGAAAACAGGTTTTCTAATTGTACTACACATGATCATGACTTCTTAAATGGAACACATGTACATGAAGACTGGGAACCAAACAAATGTTAACTTATGAGTATCAACTGCTCCTTATACCCTCACACAGTGACAGCAGTGGGAGTTATTTAGCAGGATAGGGCTTTTTGCTCCCAGCCTATAGTGTTCCAGCTCGTGTGGTTTTCCGCTTTTTGAATTTGTATCCCAGCCTTCATAGTCTATCAGGAGTCAACTCTTTCTTTTTTTTTTTTTTTGTTGTTGTTGTTGTTGTTGAGATGGAGCCTCGCTCTGTCGCCAGGCTGGAGTGCAGTGGCACAATCTCGGCTCACTGCAACCTCTGCCTCCGGGGTTCAAGCAATTCTCCTGCCTCAGCCTCCCGAGTAGCTGGGACAACAGGCGCATGCCACCACACCCAGCTGATTTTTGTATTTTTAGTAGAGATGGGGTTTCACCATGTTGGCCAGGATGGTCTCAATATCTTGAGCTCGTGATCTGCCCGCCTTAGCCTCCCAAAAGTGCTGGGATTACAGGCGTGAGCCACCACACCCGGCCTTCAGTAGCATAATACTTTTTAAAATATGGCATCTAATAGCTTAGGAGACACTCACATTATCACATTTGAGCATAAACCTATGATGGAGGTATTGTCTTTTACAGATAAAGAAACTGAGGCTCTAAGAGATTCTGTAAGTTGTGGAAGTAAAGCTATTGTGATCAAGTTGGGACAGGTCTTCCGACTCCCAAGTCTTTTGACCTATCCACTCTCCCCACCATCACTGTGCAGTGAGAGGGACAAAGGGCTTGGCATGGTATCAGAAACTAAACTGTTTTCTCAAAACCAGGCTAAATATTCTCCCCAGTGAGTAAACTCAGTTGTAGCCAAACTAAATGCTGTTCCATAGTCAATCAATGAATGTAGTAAATGGACTCTGTCAGGCATATGCACTACTAAGGGATTCCCCCCTTTTTCAAAATTCAAACTTTATTCTTCAGACTGTCAGTTTTTAGAATAGTGCTAAGGTTTTGCTTTTAAATGAAACGGAAGACAGATATTTTGGCCACGGAAGACTTGCACATTACTCAGAGCAAATATTACCAGCATTCACAATGTCCCCCTCACAAGAATAGCAGATTAGTCAACTAAATATTAGCTAACAACCATGCTATTGCTATCTAAAGGGAACTTTGTCTAACTGCATAACATTGTAACAAATGCTCTTCTAATTAGATATATAATCCTGAAGGGAAACAAGATCATACTTTGAAACAGAGGATTTTAATAGGACAGAGAAGCAGCAAAGATAGAAATATCTACTAAAGATATTCTAGACACCTAACCATTTCATTCCCACTTTAAAATTGAAAGAATAAAAACGTGTTAAGGAAATAGCTTAATCCTGGGGAAGGGTGGGCTTTAAAAGCTATAGATCGTAATTTAAGAAAGCAAACAAACATTTCAAGCACACCAAGGGCATTCCAAATACCCATGAGCCACCATCAGCTTAAGCAATAAAACATTACAAATACAACTCAAGCCCTGCATGACTCCTCCCAGATTCCCTTATCCTTCATCTGTCCTCAGAAGTAACCACTATCCTGAATTTGGTGTTTGTGTTTCCCACGTTTAAATATTTTTACATGGGTAGGAATCCATAAAAAATATAGTAACATTATTTTTCATATTTATTTTTACAAATGTCATTGCATATATTTTGATAACACAATACCTGCACTATACACACAGTTCAAAAGTACAAAAGCATCTATGGTGCAACACAATGTCCTCCTTTACCTAGTCCCCTATACTGAGCAACTAACGTAACCAGTCTTGTGTGTATCTTTAAAGAGACATACTCTATATATAAAAGCAGTCACATTTAAGATACAGATTTGCCCCTGCCTTTTATACATAAGTGGTAGGCATATTGAACACACTGTTCTACTTTTTCCTCTTAAAAATACACCTTGGAAATTGTTCTCTAAAATATACAAAGTTCCTCCCTTTTTCTTCCTTAATGTTTGCAAGGTATTTCACTATATGGATAAACCATAACTATTACTATTAGAAAGGTTACTTCGAAAGTTTTGTATTAATATTTACAACAATATGGCAGCGAATAACCCATTATTTCATACACGAGTACATCTATAAAATAATTCCTAGAAGTTGAATTGTTAGGTTAATTTTAATAAATGCTGTCACTCTCTCATGTAGAGGTAGGATACCAATTTATACTCTACCAGCATTGTATGAGTGGTTCTGTAGGTTTCTAAAATTTATATAAATAACAGCAAACTATACATATTCTTATACAACTTGCTTTCGAGGTCTAACCTTATATTTTTAAGATTCATTCACACTGATATATATAGCTCTAGTTCATGTTTATAATTTTTACTTAAAGGAATTTTTAAATAACTTCTACTATGATTCATTCACAAAGTACCTATGTAGCTGAAATTGCAGTTTTACACAGAAATACTTACGAACTTAGGCCAAGCATGGTGGCTCATGCCTGTAATCCCAGCACTGTGGGAGGCTGAGGTGGGTGGATCACCTGAGGTCAGGAGTTCGAGACTAACCTGGCCGACGTGGTGAAACCCCATCTCTACTAAAAATACAAAAAAAAAATAGCTGGGCGTAGTGGTGGGCGCCTATAATCCCAGCCACTTGGGAGGCTGAGGCTGGAGAATCGCTTGAACCCGGGAGGTGGAAGTTGCAGTGAGCTGAGATCGCACCATTGCACTCCAGCCTGGGCGACAAGAGTGGAACTCCATCTCAAAAAAAAAAAAAGAAAAAGAAAAAAAAGAAATACTTGCCAACTTAATAGTTTATATGTATAAATAACTCATTTGCCGAAGATACACCCAGCCTACCAAAGAGACCATCTTCTCTAGAAAAACTAACAAAGACTGCCATTTTAATGATATTACTCTGCTCATCCATGCTTTTTTTGGGCAGAGGGAAGGCCCACAAGGGCACAGAACCTAACATCTTGATAACTAGAAGGAAAAAAAAAAGATGCCTTGGAAACAATAAAGACAATTCAAGCATAATCACAAAATAACCCTAGTTTTCTGTAAACTTTCCTCTCAAAATGCTACCACTAAGTAACCAAACAAATTTTTTGGCCTGTAACAGGAAACAATCACTCCGAACTTCCAGCCTACTCTCCCCGCAAAATTAAATTTCCTATAAGCATGGAATATCATACTTAGACTTTTTCTGCATATCAATATCATATATTTTATTAGATCCCTCTTCATGTTAAATTTACCAATATGTATAAGTAATTTTTAAAGCTTTCTTTACTCCAAATTGTCTAAACATATGGTTAACCCTATTATTTGCAAGAATTCTTGCATAATTAAGGCTGTTGGTGTTTAATTACCAACATCACCACAATAGTGGCCATTTCTGTGTGTTCACTGAGTATCCATGTCCCCCTTTCTCTCTCCTAACAACATCCATTTATGTGTAGGTGTCTACCCTGTCCCCCCACACTATCCAAGTACTTAGAAGATGTCTCCCAGCCCAGCACGGTGGTTCAGGCCTGTAATCCCAGCACTTTGGGAGGCCGAGGCGGGTGGGATCACCTGAGGTCAGGAGTTCAAGACCAGCCTGGCCAACATGATGAAACCCCATCTCTACTAAAAATACAAAAATTAGCAGGACGTGGTGGCACACGTCTGTAATCCCAGCTACTAGGGAAGTTGAGGCAGAAGAATCACTTGAACCTGGGAGGCAGAGGTTGCAATGAGCTGAGATTGCGCCAATGCACTCCAGCCTGGGTGACAAGAGCAAAACTGTCTCCAAAAAAAAAAAAAAGTGTTCCCTGTTCACCACATGCACACTAAAATCTATCTACTGCTTTTTGATTTTTTGATGATGGCCATTCTTGCAGGAGTGAGGTGGTATCACATTGTGGTTCTGATTTGCATTTCCCTGATCATTAGGGATGCTGAGCATTTTTTCATGTTTGCTGGCCATTTGTATATCTTCTTTTGAGAACTGTCTATTCATATCCTTAGCCCACTTTTTGATGGGACTATTTGTTTTTTCTTACTTATTTGTTTGAGTTCATTGTGGATTCTGGATATTAGTACTTTTTCAGATGTATTGATTAGGAAGATTTTCTCCCACTGTGTGGGTTGTCTGTTTACTCTGCTGTTCCTTTTCCTGTGCAAAAGCTCTTCAATTTAATTAGGTCCCATCTATTTATCTTTGTTTTTATTGCATTTGCTTTTGGGTTCTTAGTCATTAAATCCTTGCCTAAGCCAATGTCTAGAAGGGTTTTTCCAATGTTATCTTCTAGAATTTTTATAGTTTCAGGTCTTAGGTTTAAGTCCTTAATCCATCTTGAGTTGATTTTTATATAAGGTTGAGAGATGAGAATCCAGTTTCATTCTCCTACATGTGGCTGGCCAATTATCCCAGCACAATTTGTTGAAAAGGGTGAACAGGGAACACTTCTACACTGCTGGTGGGAATGTAAACTAGCACAGCTGCTATGGAAAACAGTGTAGATATTCCTTAAAGAACTAAAAGTAGAACTACCATTTGATCCAGCAATCTCTTCTGAAAAGAAGTCATTATTCGAAAAAGATACTTGCACATGCATGTTTATAGCAGCACAATTCACAATTGCAAAATCGTGGAACCAATCCAAATGCCCATCACTCAATGTATGGATAAAGAAACTGTGGTGTATACATATATATACACACACACACACACACACACACACAAAATGGAATACTACACAGCCATAAAAAGGAATGAATTAACAGCATTTGCAGTGACTTGGATAAGAGTGGAGACTATTATTCTAAGTGAAGTAACTCAGGAATGGAAAACCAACACAGTATGTTCTAATCACTGATATGTGGGAGCTAAGCTATGAGGACGCAAAGGCATAAGAATGATACAGTGGACTATGGGGACTTGAGGGGGAAGAGTGGGAGAGGGGTGAGGGATAAAAGACTACAAATATGATGCAATGTATACTGCTCAGGTGATGGGTGCACCAAAATCTCACAAATCACCACTAAAGAATTTACTCATGCAACCAAATACCATCTGTACCCCAATAACTTAAAGAAAAATTTAAAAAATAAAACAAATTTTAAAAAAAAGATGTCTCCCACCCACCCACCTCTGTTGCACACACACATCAAAGGGTGGGTCATACTCCTCCAAGGGCAATGCCATCCCCCTTGCTAATGCCTGCTTAGGAATACAAGCATAAGCCAACTGGCACATGGCATTCCTAGCCAGAGGGACTGGATGAGCCAATGAGACTCATAAGAGATATGCTGGCCTTCCCTGCTGGAAGGACTTATCTGTGGAAAGAGAACCACAGATAAGTTCTTTACTAGGCAAAGCTAGATTTTCTATTACTTGTGGCAAAAAGCATCCCAACTGTTAACTTAAAAAATGAACAGGTTAAAGATTCTGATCAACATCAACAAATGTGATCATGAACAAATTTAACCATATCTATGAAACCTATGATCCTTGGACTAATATTGGCCTTTGTACATTTGGAGAGTTTGTTGACTTTAACAGAATATGGTACTCCAAGAGAAGTTAGTGTGGGTGGGGAAGTGAAGGTTAAGAAACAGCAAAGTCACTGGAGACATTCGTGTCACAGCCATATCACAGATCAAATCCAGAAGATGAAAAATCTCTTCCTGCTTTACTACCTGCCATGCCAAAAACCACTTAGCAAATACGAAAACAGACCTGGCCGGGCACAGTGGCTCACGCCTGTAATCCCAGCACTTTGGGAGGCTGAGGTGGGTAGATCACCTGAGGTCAGGAGTTCGAGACCAGCCGGGCCAACATGGTGAAACCCCATCTCTACTAAAAATATGAAATTAGCCGGGTGTGGTGGTGGGCGCCTGTAATTCCAGCTACTCAGGAGGCTGAGGCAGGAGAACTGCTTGAACCCAGGAAGCGGAGGTTGCAATGAGCCAAGATCACACCACACGGCACTCCAGCCTGGGCAACAGAGCAAGACCCCATCTCGGGAAAAGAAAAAAGAAAAAAGAAAAAAAAATAGACCTGACTTTATTCAAGCATTCAAGTCTATATTAGGGGAATGATGAACACCCTAATCCAGGCAGAACTCTGGGAAGGGATGGGGGCAAAAATGAACATTTTTTTTTTTACAAACACTTGTAAACTAAAAAGCAGTTTGTAATTGCTAACAAGAAATATCATAGCCAAAGATAAAGTTAAAACTTCCATGGCACAGAAACATCTTACTGGCCTTATATGGACCTGTCCTAATAGCTGTTATTACCCAATTCTGGCATTTGCTTCTTACTTCCTCCTGACATTGTCCGCCTTGCAGATTTTCATAAGAAGGTTCAGGCAGTTGCTTCCCTGTGGGATATACAACAATTTTCCAATTCTATGACTCAGAAAATGGCAAGAGAAGGAAGCGTTCTTCTCTTCTAACCCTAAATAAAATCAGAAACTGTTTATTTAGCTCTGGAAGAGTAAGGCTCAGTTGAGTTACCGTACAGACTTTGGCAAACTTTTTTTCTTTCAAGTCAAATATTTACCAAGAACTTAGTATATGCAAGTCAGTCTATTATTTATCCAAAGCCAATGCATGAATTATTTTTATCAGTTCCAAACTTCCTTTCTCTGCATCCCTTATAACAAAGTCAAATATGTTAAAGAAAAAAAAAATCATGCCTTACAAAACTTGCAATTAAACGTTTTTTTGCCAGAATTGGTGGACTGTAGAGCAAGTTTATTTCCAGAATAGTGTTTTGAAAGAGTCCACACTTTTCTTTTAATTTCAATAGCTTTAGGGGTACAAGTGGCTTTTGGTTACATAGATGAACTGCATAGTGGTGAAGTCTGGGCTTTTAGTGTACCCGTCACCCGAATGCTGTACAATGCACCCAATACACCTTTCTTAAAACAAAAGTTCGAATGATGTGCACTTAAAGAGTTTATTAGAATACAAATAACCTTTGAAAATAAGTGGAAATGAACTGTACTAATAAAGTAATAAATACTATCTGGAGGCAACATCTGAACTAACAACGAAGTTTCGCACGGAGAAACTCCTGTTAATTCGGAAACACTAAAGGCACAGTCTCATTCAGAACGTAAACCATGCATCGCAAATACTGAACCAGTTTATACTCATTAACTGCTCCGAAGGAAACCAGTGATCCTTTCCGACGACATGGTCTTTAAAAAAAATGATGTCGGCTACCCACAAAGAAACCTTACTTCTGCGGAAACACATTTCGCACTCGGGAAACAGCAGGGGCCGGTAAATCGACAGCCTCCTACAGAGGACGGAAATACCGACAACGCCAAGGACCGCCAAGGAAGCGATGGGCTGGCCCTGAGCCAAGGGAGCACAACCCGGGCGCACAAGATGCCGCCTCCCCGGGGATCGCGCCCGGCGCCCCCTCCCAGCACCCAGAGCGCGCCGCGCCGCCCGCCTGCCCCACCTGGGAAAGTTTGCACCTTCGCATCCCAGCCCCTCGTACCTACCAGCCCCTCAGGCCGCGGCGCCGTCGCCATGGCGACTGGCCCCTACCCCACCCCCACCCCCACCCGGCCTGTGCTGGCCGCGCCGCAGCCCCGCGGCGGCTGGGGAGAGCTCCCGCAGGATCCGGGACAGGGGCTGCCCAGCCCTGGAAAGAAGGGACGCAGCGGGCGGGGGAGGATGAAGAGGTGCGGAAAGCGGAAGTCGTGCGGCTCCTCAGCTGGGGCCAAGCCTAGTCCCGCGGGGTTCTCACCCTTCACTTTGCCGAAGGTGCCGACCCCCAGCGTGTCACCCAGAATGTAGTGGCCGATCTTCACCCGCCCGTCGTGTTTCTGCTTCTCGGCTGTCGCCATCTTTCTCCAGGAACTGAGTCTGCGCATGGCGCTGCGGGAGGGGGCGGAGGGGGCGGGCAGGGCCGCGCCGGGGGCGGGCGGGGAGGGGGTGGGGACGCGGGAGGGCAGCCACCGAGCCGAGTCACCGCCCTGCGCCGCCAGCCCAGGCCCCGCAGCCTACGTCGGGCGCAGACGCTCCCCCTGGCGGGGCGGGCGGGGGCTGCCAGGAGAATCACCAGTACCCGCCTCCTCGCCCCGCATCCTCGGGCCTGAGCGCCCGCCCACCGGCACGCGGAGGGGCTTCCTGGAACGATTAGGCGGACCGTCGCCCCCAGGCTCCTTTCTCCCCTGGCGGAGTTTCTGCCCGCTGCGATCTTCCCTAACTACCACTCTGCGGTCGCAGAAGACCATCCAGAGGGGAGATGAGGACTGGGAAGCCCGCTTGAGTGATGCACATCTGTGGCTTGTTACGAGAGCCGCGTGAATTAAAGCAAGGCAGGGGACACCGCCCTGCCACTGCTTTCTAACCTTGATTTTCATCTTTCCTTCTCGGATGGAATCTAGAAGCCGCAGGAGTTTTCACTTGCGTCTGTGATGGAGTTTCCCGCTCCCCGCCCCCCCGCACCAACCCGAGCTCTTTTTTCGCTTGGAGCCCGTAAGTTGCTAGAGGGCACCACGATGGCTCTAGGAGCGCTGTCGGTGTTTTCTTCTGGAGGTGATCCTGAAATTTCCTCCCCAAAGCAAGCTCTGTTGCGAGGAGCAGGCTGGGGATATGTGCAAGTGAATGTGTATTCCAAGAGGGGGATGATACGCAGATCTTTTGGTGTATAGGAATTAATACTTTTAGATTATCAGTAAAATGTATACTTTCACTGGACTGAGAGAGAACAAGGCTTACGGTTACATCAACCGGATCAACAAATATTTATTGTACTTGTAATGAGTAATACTTAGTCTATTATATAAACATAAATGGAACCATACCATAGCATAAAGTCTGTTTATTTTTCATAAAATGTTTGAGTTTGTTACTCAATTCCACTCCTCTGATTAGTAGTCAAAATCAAGTGTTCTGTTTTAAAAAGTTTATATTCTCTCAATTTTGGAATGTCATAGCATTGGGCCAGTGTCAATGGCCCAAAAAAACAAAATTTACCTTCATGAAAAGAGTATAAAAAAAGAAAAAAACTAAAAATGTCATTTTTAATCCCACAAAAATCAATTACCCAACTCTCCTGATTTTCTCCTCTCTGTTTCTGAAATCAAAGTAACATGCATTAGGCACTGTTTTGTTCCGAGGAAGATATTGCAGGAGAAGCAAAAGTTTCTGCCTTTGAGCTTAGAATTACACCAGATAAGCAGGGAACAGTTCCAGCTAGCCTTAATCAAGTTCCTACTGTATTGAGGACTGCACATTGTTTGAAGGGCAAAAAGTTAAGAAATCTTTGATTACTGATGTATTTGGGGGGCAGGTGGTGTAGTGGTTACTGTTTTAACTTTTGGTGTCTGGCTTTTTCACTTTTATCTGTTTGACTTTTGAGTTTCTACACAAGGCATCTCTGTAAAGCAGAATTTTTGGATTTTGGATCTCTGTAAAACAGAAATAGCTCTCTGGATTCCCGTGTGGGGCAGGGAACCTTAAACTCCCTCCCCTCCCCAAATAGCACCTTAAATTACTTTAAGTTTTTATTATATCTAGAATTTAACCCAGGAAAGTTCTGCCATTTCTTCTAACCTGAAAGAAAAAGATCTGACAACATCTCTTCCCAGGCCCAAGGGTGGGAGAGTGCCCATAGGGGGAAAAAAAAAGGAAAAGATAGCAAAGTACCTCAGCTGTGTACCACTCACTGAGCATGCTGCAAGGAACAAACTGAAGCTGAGTTTTGCAAATCCATTTGCCAGTCTCTTCGTGAAACTATGAAAACTCAAGAAAGTAACATAACCTTTTTTTTTAGTAGAAACATCAGTTTGTTTCTGCTTTGTGCTGTTGTAGATTATAATTCTATTTAATAAATAGTCATTAAATGGCATTTACACTTAAAAGCATTGTTGGGGAGATAAAACCTAGAATTATAGATCAAAAAATTGGATAGAAACTTAGACATCATCTTATCCAGTTTCCCATAGTCTCTGTTTAAAGCAGCTTTAATTGCTCAGTGTTTTAATTTTGGTTTTGTTTCTTTTCCATTCATGTTGAGTTAAAAACCGAATCCAATTCACTGTTTGTAAGACTACTGTCTTGCCCCCCGCCCGGCCGGCCGCCACGTCCGGGAGGTGAGGGGCGCCTCTGCCCGGCCGCCCCTACTGGGAAGTGAGGACCCCTCTGCCCGGCCAGCCGCCCCGTCCGGGAGGGAGGTGGGGGGGTCAGCCCCCCGCCCGGCCAGCCGCCCCATCCGGGAGGGAGGTGGGGGGGTCAGCCCCCGCCCGGCCAGCCGCCCCGTCCGGGAGGGAGGTGGGGGGGGTCAGCCCCCGCCCGGCCAGCCGCCCCGTCTGGGAGGGAGGTGGGGGGATCAGCCCCCCGCCTGGCCAGCCGCCCCGTCCGGGAGGTGAGGGGCGCCTCTGCCCGGCCGCCCCTACTGGGAAGTGAGGACCCCTCTGCCCGGCCAGCCGCCCCGTCCGGGAGGGAGGTGGGGGGGTCAGCCCCCCGCCCGGCCAGCCGCCCTATCCAGGAGATGAGGGGCGCCTCTGCCCGGCCGCCCCTACTGGGAAGTGAGGAGCCCCTCTGCCCGGCCAGCCGCCCCGTCTGGGAGGGTGGTGGGGGGGTCAGCCCCCCGCCCGGCCAGCCGCCCTATCCAGGAGGTGAGGGGCGCCTCTGCCCGGCCGCCCCTACTGGGAAGTGAGGAGCCCCTCTGCTCGGCCAGCCGCCCAGTCCGGGAGGGAGGTGGGGGGGTCAGCCCCCCGCCCGGCCAGCCGCCCTATCCAGGAGGTGAGGGGCGCCTCTGCCCGGCCGCCCCTACTGGGAAGTGAGGAGCCCCTCTGCCCGGCCAGCCGCCCCGTCTGGGAGGGTGGTGGGGGGGTCAGCCCCCCGCCCGGCCAGCCGCCCCATCCGGGAGGTGAGGGGCGCTTCTGCCCGGCCGCCCCTACTGGGAAGTGAGGAGCCCCTCTGCCCGGCCACGACCCCGTCTGGGAGGTGTGCCCAGCGGCTCATTGGGGATGGGCCATGATGACAATGGCGGTTTTGTGGAATAGAAAGGCGGGAAGGGTGGGGAAAAAATTGAGAAATCGGATGGTTGCCGGGTCTGTGTGGATAGAAGTAGACATGGGAGACTTTTCATTTTGTTCTGTACTAAGAAAAATTCTTCTGCCTTGGGATCCTGTTGATCTGTGACCTTATCCCCAACCCTGTGCTCTCTGAAACATGTGCTGTGTCCACTCAGGGTTAAATGGATTAAGGGCGGTGCAAGATGTGCTTTGTTAAACAGATGCTTGAAGGCAGCATGCTCGTTAAGAGTCATCACCACTCCCTAATCTTAAGTACCCAGGGACACAAACACTGCGGAAGGCCGCAGGGTCCTCTGCCTAGGAAAACCAGAGACCTTTGTTCACTTGTTTATCTGCTGACCTTCCCTCCGCTATTGTCCTATGACCCTGCCAAATCCCCCTCTGCGAGAAACACCCAAGAATGATCAATAAAAAAAAAATAAAAAATAAAAAAAAAATTAAAAAAAAAAAAAAAGACTACTGTCTTAAGAAGCCTCCTGTATTCCTTTGCTTTTTCTCTTAATTACCTTTTTAAATTTTTTGTCACATTTTCTTCCACCCTGTCTTCCTTTCATTCTCCCATTGATCTATCCCCAAATGTTCACTTCCTTCATTCTTCAAGCTTTTGTTAACTGCCAGACGCTATAGAAAATTACATTTTTCTAAAAAATGAAAAGTCATAGTCCCTACCTTGAAAGAGCTCATGGTCTACAGTAGCAGTCCTCTATATTCCACCATCCCCCACCCATCCAGGAGAGATAATATTTACATACTCACCATTCTACCAGGGGGAAGCAAAGATAAGGTAGACCCTGGCTTACTCCCAGTTTCCTGACCTATCTGTTGTAACTCTACCCCATCTCAGTAAAATGTATTGGAATATAAGTGGGCAGGAGTTACATTAGAGAAGTAACTTTTTTTTTTTAAACAGGCGTTTATTCTGTTGCCCAGGCTAGAGTGCAGTGGTTAGATCACAGCTCACTGTAACCTCAAACTCTTGGACTCAAGCATTCCTCCTACTTCAGCCTCGAGAGAGTAGCTAGGACTAACGGTACGCACCACCACGCCCGACTATTTTTATTTCATTTGTTGTAGAGATGGGGATCTCCCTATATTAAAGAGGCCAGTCTAGAACCCCTGGCCTCAAGCGATCCTCCCACCACAGACTCCCAAAGTGCTAGGACTGCAGGCATGAGCCACCAAGCCTGGCCTATAGAAGTAACTTGACTCCTTTCTAGTTTAAGTGGGGGAAAAGCAGACCGGGCACAGTGGCTCACATTTGTAATCCCAGCACTTTGGGAGGCCAAGGCGGGCAGATCGCCTGAGATCAAGAGTTCGAGACCAGCCTGACCAACATGGAGAAACCCCACCTCTACTAAAAATACAAAATTAGCTGGGTGTCGTGGTGTGTGCCTGTAACCCCAGCTTTTCAGGAGGCTGAGACAGGAGAATCATTTGAACCCCGGAGGCAGAGGTTGCAGTGAGCTGAGATCGTGCCATTGCACTCCAGCCTGGGCAACAAGATTGAAACTCCATCTCAAAAAAAAAAAAGTAGGGAAAAAGTAAATTGTTTGCAAACTTAAGCACTGTAGCTTTTATCAGTACAAATAAATTACAGTACATCTCAGCACTGATGAAGACATACGAACATTGTGGTGGAGAATGTCCAGCCTCATGGAGGAGCTGTGTGGTTAGCAGTTAGCGGCTTCCTCTCTAGCCCTTTAGACATTGTAAGGGAGCAGATGCCTCCTCGGAGGTCATTACAGCATTACAGCATTACTAGACTCTACACTGCCAGGTGGATATTAAACTTCTCCAGTGACTATCTCTAAATATGGTGGCTGGAACTAAAACTTCTGAGTACTACACCACTATTAATGCAGCCTAATATTTCCTTGGCTTACTTGTAGCTACATTGTAACTAATATTTTAGTTTTGTTAAACAAACACTATGTACTGGGCAGTTTGCTAGATCCTAGGGACTCAAAAAACAAAGGAACATGGCTCTGCCTTCTAATAGGAGACAAAGCAATGTTATAGGTGCTATAATAAAAACACAAGTCTAGGCAATGTAGTAAGATTCTGTCTTTACAAAAAAAAAATATTCAGAATTAGCTGAGTCTGGTGGTGCACACCTACAGTCATAGATACTTTGGAGGCTGAGGTGTGAGGATCAGTTGAGCTCAGGAGGTAGAGGCTGCAGTGAGCTATGATTATGCCACTGTACTCCAGCCTGGGTGACAGAGCAAGACCCTATCTCTTAAAAAATGAATAAAAATAAAAACATATATGGTGCTAAAGTCCGTTATGAGAGGTCAGGATAACCTTTACCTGTGGAGGTCTGCCAAAGCTTTAACTTGAATCTGTTTATGGAGAAGTATTAAGAGATGATGTTTTCTACACACAAAAAAAGGGAGGCCACCCAGGCACAGTGGCTCACGCCTGTAATCCCAGCACTTTGGGAGGCTGAGGCAGGAGGATCACTTGAGCTCAGGAGTTTGAGACCAGCCTGGGCAACATTGTGAGACCTCATCTCTACAAAAAATACAAAAAATCAGCCAGGCGTGGTGGTGCTTGCCTGAAGTCCCAGCTACTCAGGAGGCTGAGGTGGGAGAATCATCTGAGCCTAGGAGGTCAAGGCTGCGTGTGTCATGTTCATGCCACTGCACTCCAGGCTGAGTGACAAAGTGAGACCCTGTCTCAAAGATATAAAAATAAAAAAGTAAAGAAGGCCGGGTGCAGTGGCTCATGCCTGTAATCCTAACACTTTGGGAGGCCGAAGCGGGCGGATTGCCTGAGTTCAGGAGTTCGAGACCAGCCTGGGCAACATGGTAAAACCCTGTCTTTACTAAAATACAAAAAATTAGCCAGGCATGGCGGTGTGTACCTGTAATCCCACTACTCGGGAGGCTGAGACAGGAGAATCGCTTGCACCTGGAAGGCAAATGTTGCAGTGAGCCAAGATTGCACCACCGCACTCCAGCCTGGGTGAGAGAGCGAGACTCCATCTCAAAAAAAAAAAAAAGTAAAGGGAGAAACAGGTGGCATGGGGGATGGAGGGAACTTGGGGAAGGCATTCCAGGTAGGAAAAAGAGCAGATATAAAATCACAGAGGGGGCCGGGCACGGCAGCTCATGCCTGTAATCCCAGCACTTTGGGAGGTGAGGTGGGCGGATCACCAAATGTCAGGAGTTCGAGACCAGCCTAGCCAACATGGTGAAACCTCGTCTCTACTAAAAATAAAAAAATTAGCTGGGCATGGTGTTGGGCGCCTGTAATACCAGCTACTAGGGGGGCTGAGGCAGGAGAATCACTTGAACCCGGGAGGCGGAGGTTGCAGTGAGCCGAGATCGCGCCACTGCACTTCAGCCTGGATGGCAGAGCGAGACTCCATCTCAAAAAAAAAAAAAAGAAAATCAGAGGGAAGTAGGCTGTTTAGGGAAGAGCTAATTGTTACAGGGGCTGGAATCTGACGTACAGAGGGACTTGTTAGAAGAAATGAGAGGTAAACCCACTAAAGTTAAATAGACGAAATCCTGAAATGCCTCATGTGCTTCTCAGTTTGGACATTATCTTGTAGAGTGATAAGTCATGGAAAGATGTGCAGTAGATGCAATTTAGAAATAAATTATTTTCTCCAAAATTGGTAGCTGTGGGTATATTTGGGAAGAGAAATTAGGTGACTAAGAGTCAGGGGCAAGGGGCAGACTTTTCTCTGTTTACCCTTTGTAAATTTCAATTTAGAGCCTTATGCATATGTTACAGAATCAAAAAAGTTAACTTTTAGAAAAATTTCTAAAAACTCTGACTTTATTTTGGAGGATATAGATTAGAGAAGAGCAAGACCAAAGTGGTAAATTAGGAAACTTGCAATCACCTAATGAAGAAATGAGGCAGCCACCACGTACGAAAAGGAAAAACTCAAGATCTATTCATAAAGTGGAATTAGAAAGGAAGGAATGGAGTGATGTGCATAGAGAGGGAAAGGAAGGAATCTTTTTTTTTTTTTTTTTGAGACGAAGTCTCACTCTGTTGCCCAGGATGGAGTCCAGTGACACAATCTCTGCTCACTGCAATCTCCGCCTCCCAGGTACACGAGATTCTCCTGCCTCAGCCTCCCGAGTACCTGGGATTACAGGCGCCTGCCACCACACCCAGCTAATTTTTTGTATTTTTAGTAGAGATGGGGTTTCACTGTGTTAGCCAGGATGGTCTCAAACTCCTGACCTTGTGATCCGCCTGCCACGGCCTCCCAAAGTGCTAGGATTACAGGCATGAGCCACCGTGCCCGTCCAGGAAGGAATCTTAATTACCTCCCAGGATTCTGGTAGGATTTTAGAGGAATGGATGTTCAACTGAAATTATGAATATTTGTAACATTAAGACATCAAAGAGGCCAGGTGTGGTGGCTCACGCCTGTAATCCCAGCACTTTGGGAGGGCAAGGCGGGCGGATCACAAGGTCAGGAGATCAAGACCATCCTGGCTAACACGGTGAAACCCCATCTCTACAAAAAATACAAAAAATTAGCCAGGCGTGGTGGCACGCACCTGTAGTCCCAGCTGCTCGGGAAGCTGAGGTAGGAGAATCGCTTGAACCCGGGAGGTGGAGGTTTCAGTGAGCCGAGATTGTGCCACTGCACTCCAGCCTGGGTGACAGAGCGAGACTCCAACTCAAAAAAAAAAAACAAAAAACAAAAAACATCAAAGAGACTTTCAGGTAAAGAGGTAAAGATATCCATGATGATACTGGTCATGCAGGTCTATAACTCCAAAGATAAGTCAGTCTAATGGTTAACAATGTATTGTATATTTCAAAATAGCTTAAAGAGATCATCTGAAATGTTTACAATACATAGAAATAATAAATACTCAAAATGCTAGATATCCTAAATACCCTGAGTTGATCGTTACATATTCTATGCATGCAACAAAACATCACATGTATCCCATAAATATGTGGAAATATTATATATCAATAAAATACTTATTAATTTATTTTAAAAATCAGCCCAGTGTTATAGATTGTTTGTCATCACCGAACAAATGGCAGGTGAAGTAGAGCAATGAATATGGATGTGGTCTCTCCACTTTATAAAGGGATCCAAGGGCAAAGCACTTACTTAGAAAACATGGATAATTAAAGGATCCTGAAGCAATACAAACCTGTGGAAGAGACAGAACAGCAGTCCATTTATATTAGAAGCTCCCCAATAAGTTACAGTGATTAAAATTAGCTTGTAGAAAATTGTCTCCCCTTACCTATGATAGATGATTTCTAGCTCCTGGTTTAGAAAGAGACAAGCTTTTTCTTTGTCACCCAGGCTGCAGTGCAGTGGGTGTGATCATGGCTCACTGCAGCCTCAGCCTCGGGACTCAAGGGATCCTCTCATGTCAGCCTCCTGAGTAGCTGGGACCACAGGCATGTGCCACCATGCCCAGCTCATTTCTTAAATTTTTTGTAGAGATGGGGTCTCACTATGTTCCCCGGGCTGGTCTTCAACTCCTGGGCTAAAGGAATTCTGCCTCAGCTTCTTAAAGTGCTGGGATACAGGTGTGAGCCACCGCACTGGGCCTTGAAATTATTTTAGGCTAAGATATTTGCAACCCCTTCATAGTGATGAATTTTAAGCTCAGTTGCCCTTGTAGAACAGGCCCAGACCTATTTTTTGTTTTTGGTTTTTTGTTTGAGACGGAGTCTTGCTCTGTCGCCCAGGCTGGAGTGCAGTGACATGATCTTGGCTCACTGCAACCTCCGTCTCCCGGTTTCAAGTGATTCTCCTGCCTCAGCCTCCCAGGTAGCTGGGACTACAGGTGCGCATCACCATGCCTGGCTAATTTTTGTATTTTTCATACAGACAGGGTTTCACTTATGTTGGGCAGGCTGGTCTCGAACTCCTGACCTCGTGATGCACCCACCTTGGCCTCCCAAAGTGCTGGGATTACAGGCGTGAGCCACACAGTTTTCCCATAACTGTCTTCTAGGGAAAATCTTGGCACCGTTCACAAGGACTCTGTCGGCCCATCTCCATGTGGATGTGGTTGGTTAGTCCTGGTTGGATTCCTTAGTGTTAATAAGAAGATATCAACCCTGTCCACCCCTCAGTTGACTTGCTGATTATCAGACGTATGGATCTATACATAATCAGCAGTACAAATTATATTCATTTGCCAGAAGACGTAACTCTAAATTCTTTGGTGCCCTATTCTTATCAGCTAAGAGAAAGTATATCCTTGGATGGGCACCTGAAGAATATGCTGATAGCCTAAACTGTACCCTTGGATCATTTGAGACCAATAGCAAGGGAGAGTAATTTGTCCTGTTTTTTGGTCACTGTTAGAATTGCTTTTACTGAATTATACTTTGGTAGTACAAAGAGCTGATAAACATGTAGATGCCTTTAGTAAGCTAATTATTTGACTCTCCATTCAAACCAGGAATTTAGTCTCCCTCAAAACAAAATTATTTAAAAATCTATCCAACATTAGCTGGGCGCGGTAGCTCACCCCTGTAATCCCAGCACTTTGGGATCCGTCCACCGAGGCGGGAGGATCACAAGGTCAGGAGATCGAGACCATCCTGGCTAACACGGTGAAACTCCATCTCTACTAAAAATACAAAAAATTAGGCAGGCATGGTGGCACGCGCCTGTAGTCCCAGCTACTCCGGAGGCTGAGGCAGGAGAATCGCTTGAGGCAGAGGTTGCAGTGAGCTAAGATTGTGCCATTGCACTCCAGCCTGGGCTACACAGCGAGACTCTGTCTCAAAAGAAAAAAAAAATCTGTCCAACATTTATTTGAGTGGAAAGGCAGAGAAAGAGGACGGCTGGATCAGTGCCCCAGCAAACAATGACCTTGTGGTAACCAGACTCTGACTTCTTAGACGTGTGTTTGTGGGTTGGGGAGTTTTATCCGCCCCTGACCAAGTGGTTTGTCAAAGTAGTTCTGTTTAACCACATCCCTCTGAGAAGAGCTCAGGTAAGAAGCTCAGGTAAATAGAAATTCTAGTGATGTTTTCAGGCCTCAGGGGGCGGGTTGGGGGTGGTGGTGGTGGTGTGTATAATATCACTTATAGATTACCTCCTGTGCAGCTGGCCCAGCTCAGCTCCCTCCAACCTTGTGCTGCTGCCCTCCAACCTCAGGCCCTGGGGGATGTTCTAAGAAACAAATCTGCAAAGCTTTTTCAATTCAGCTGACTCACACTGACAGCTAACTCTAACAAAGATGTAGTCACTTAAAGGCATGCATTTTAGTATTCTAACCTCATCCCTTGATTTATCTTACTTTCCTTCCTCTAAGATCCTTATTTTCTTGTTTATTTATTACTTACTTTGCTGGATATTATTCTCTAAGCTTCCCAAATACTTTCTGGTTTGTTTGTTTTGTTTTGTTTTTGGGGGATGGAGTCTCACTCTGTCACCCAGGCTGGAGTGCAATGGCACGATTCCAGCTCACTCCAACCTCTGCCTCCCAGGCTCGAGTGATTCTTCCACCTCAGCCTCCCAAGTAGCTGGGACCACAGATGCGGCCACCATGACTGGCTAATTTTTGTATATTTGGTAGAGATGGGGTTTCACCCTGTTGGCCAGGCTGGTCTCGAACTCCTGACCTCAGGCGATCCGCCCACCTCGGCTACCCAAAGTACTGGGATTACAGTCATGAGCCACAGTGCCCTGCCTTCCCAAATGCTTTTTGAAAATAGACTTTATTTTTCAGGACAGCTTTAGATTTACAGAAAAATTGTGAAACTAATATAGAGTTATCATATACCCTACATGCAGTTTTCCCGATTATCAACACCTTACATTCTGTAGTACATTTGTTATGATTTGTGAACCAATCAATATTGATATATTATGAGTAACTAAAGTCTTCACTTTATTCCACACCTTAGTTTTTACCTAAGTTCCTTTTTTTGTTCTAGGATCCCATCCAGGATACTTTATTTATGTATTTATGTATTTATTTATTTATTTATTTTTTAGATTGGAGTCTCGCTCTGTCGCCCAGGTTGGAGTGCAGTGGCGGGATCTCGGCTCACTGCCACTTCCGCCTCCTGGGTTCAAGCGATTCTTGTGCCTCAGCCTCCCAAGTAGCTGGGACTACAGGTGTGTGCCACCTGTAGCAGTGCTAATTTTTGTATTTTTAGTAGAGATGGAGTTTCACCATGTTGGCCAGGCTAGTCTGGAACTCCTAACCTTGTGATCCACCTGCATTGGCCTCCCAAAGTGCTGGGATTACAGGCATGAGCCACTGCTCCGAGCCTTGTCTTATACTTAGATGTTATGGATTGAATGTTTGTGTCCCTCCCAAAATTCATGTATTGAAATTCTAATTCTCCGTGTGATTATATTAGGAGGTGGGTCTTTGGTGGGTAATTAGGTCATGAAGGTAGAGCCCTCATAAATGAAAGCGACTCCAGAGAAGTCTCTGGCTCTTTCCTTTCACCACATGAGGCTACAACAAAAAGTCAGCAGTCTGCAAACCCAAAGGAGGCCCGCATCAGAACCCAACCATACTGGCACCCTGATTTCAAGCTTGCAGCTTCCATTACTGTGAGAAATTTCTGTTGTTTATAAAGCCACCCAGTCTATGGTATTCTGTTACAGCAACTGAATGAGATAGGGGAAAAAAAAACACTTTTTTATAGTTTCAAACACCACTCAATACAACACTTTTGACACCAGATTCTCCAGCAGACACCAACTGCATGTCCTATAATTCCGTTCTGACTTATTTCTATGTTTGTCTACTTAGAGGTAATGCCAGATCCCATAGGTTAAGGGTTCAGTCTCATAAGACTCTACACCCCCACAACTCCAGGTTGTGACTTGTATATGTTTCTGTCCAACTGGGTATAAATCAGAGGTTCCCACAACCCCCTCCTCAGGTTCTTTTAATTTGTAAAGCACTCACAGAACCCAGAGAAACAGTTTACTTATGTTTACTAGTTTATTATAAAGGATATTATTACAAAGGATACAGATGAATAGCTGGATGGAAGAGATTCATAGGGCAAAGCATCTGGGAAGGGGCGTGGAGCTTCCATGCCCTCTCAAGGCACACCACCCCCCAGGAACCTCCACATATCCAGCAGTCCAGAAGCTCTCCAAACACTGTCCTTCTGGATTTTTATGGAGGATCCATTAAATAGGCATGAGTGATTACATCATTGGCCATTGGTAATAAACTCAACCTTCAGCCCCTCTCCCCTCTCCAGAGGTTGGGAGGTAGGACAGAAAAGTTTCAATCCTCTAATTACATAGTTGGCTCCCTTGGTACCCAGCCTCCATCGTGAAGGCTGTCCATGAGCCCATCAAAAGTTGCCTTATTAGAACAAAAAATGTTCCTATCACCCAGGAAATTCCAAGAGATTTAGGAGCTCCGTGTCAGGAAATGAAGACAAAGACCAAATATTAGAGGAAAAGATTTTCCTGGTGCCCCTGTTTATGAGTGCTTTAGGAACCAGCAGCAGAGACCAAATATATATATACACATACATATATATACACACACATACATACATACACTTACATATATATACACATACATATATATGTGTATATATATATATATTTTTTGAGACAGAGTTTCGCTCTTGTCGCCCAGGCTGGAGTGCAATGGCGTAATCTCAGCTCACCGCAACCTCTGCCTCCCGGGTTCAAGCAATTCTCCTGCCTCAGCCTCCCGAGTAGCTGGAATTACAGGCATGCGCCACCACGCACAGCTAATTTTGTATTTTTAGTAGAGACGGGGTTTCTCCATGTTGGTCGGGCTGGTCTCGAACTCCTGACCTCAGGTGATCCGCCCTCCTCAGCCTCCCAAAGTGCTGGGATTACAGGCGTGAGCCACCACGCTCAGCCCCCCAAGTATGTATTTATTTTATCACAATATTACAGCATCCCAAGCTAAGAGAGTTGCCATATCTCCTTAGGAGCTTCTGACAATATCTCAGACATTCTTTGTTTTTGATGACCTTTACAGTTCTGTGGTGCATTGGTCCATTGTTTTGTAGAGCATCCCTCTGTTGGAATTCCTCTGGTGTTTTTCTCATAACTAGACTAGTATTATGGGTTTGGGGGAGGAAGAACACAGAGATAATGGTCCATATCATATCAAGGGTACATACTGTCAACATGAGTTATCACTGTAGACGTTTACCTTGGTTGCCTAGCTAAGGTTTATTTGTCAGGTTTTTCTATGTAAAGTTACTGTTTTTCCCCCCTTTCTATTATGTAATATTTGGAAGGAAGTCAGTGAGCACAGCCCACACTTAAGAAATGGAAATTTATGCTCCCTGTTTTCTAGAGTGGGATGTCTACCAAAATTATTTGGAATTCTTCGTGGAAGATTTATCTCTTCTTCTCAATTTATTTATGTATTCAATCAATCATTTATTTATAGCAGTGTGGACTCATGGGCTTATTTTATGCACTGGATTATAAACTAATGTCAATTTATCTTATTGCTCAAGTTATTCCAGCTTTAGTCCTTGGGTGCTCTTTCAGTTGGCTCCTGTATCCCTTTGATATACCTCCATCAACATAGTTTGTATTGTTTCTTTGTTTAGCACTTTCTTACTTTCTGCCACTACAAGATGCTCCAGACCCATTTTGTATATCCCCTGCCCTAGTTTTAGAATCAGCCATTTCTCCAAGGAGTCCCGATTGCTTTTATTGGAGAATGGTAATAGAAACCAAGATTCAGTGCTAGGTTTGCTCATTGTTTCTGGAGTGCTGTTGCATCTAGATCCTATCTGCTGACAGAGCAAAGAAATAGATGTGTGTGTATTAACCAATAAAAATATACATATTTCTAAATATTTCCACATGTGGAACCATCCTGTCTTAATATGATTGAGCTGCTATAACTCAATCATAACCATATAAACTGGGTAGCTTATAAACAACAGAAATTTATTGCTCACAGTTCCGAAGGCTGGAAGTCCAAGATAAAGGTGCTGGCAGATTTGGTGTCTAGTGAGGGCCTGTTTCCTGGTTCATAGATTGTGCTTTCTTGCTTTGTCCTCACATGGTAGAAGAGGTAAGGCAGCTCTCTGGCTATAAGGGCACTGATCCCACTCATGAAGGCTTTAACCTTATAACCTAATCACCTCTCAGGGCCCCACCTCCTAATACTATCACATTGGTGATTAGATTTCAACATATAAGGTTTGGGGGGACACGAACATTCAGACCATAGCACATCCTTATCTATGTTAAGCTAAACATGACTTCATACTGATCCATACAATCAATTCTAATCCACTACCCCATGGATTGTTCTAGCCTCCTACCTTTGCTTATCTATAAACTCCCACTCCAACAGTAAGAAAGCTAGCTTCCATAATCTACTATCCATTTACTTAATTGTTCAAGTGTACATTTATAGTAATATGCAAATTGTTAACCTTATCCTTGTCAATATCAATTTTTTTTACCATCTTCTTAAGTCCAGTGCTTTTGTGCAATTCCTTTTGCTTTTAGTCTTACAGACTCCACTCATTTCCAAGGGTAATCTTAGACTCTGCCATTTCCCTAGATAAGCACGTTATTTCCTCCACTCTTTTCTTTTTCTTTCTTTCTTTCTTTTTTCTTTCTTTCTTTTTTTTTTTTTTTTTTTTTGGAAAGACAGGGTCTCACTATGTCCCCCCAGCTGGAGTGCAGTGGCACAGTGTTGGCTCACTGCAACCTCCACCTCCTGGGTTCAAGCCACCCTCCCATCTCAGCCTCCAGAGTAGCTGGGGCTACAGGCACACACAACCACACCCGGCTATTTTTTTGTATTTTTTGGTTAGATGAGGTTTCGCTGTGTTGCCCAGGCTGGTCTCGAACTCCTAGGCTCAAGTGATCCACCCACCTCAGCCTCCCAAAGTGCTGGGATTTCAGGCGTGAGCCACCATGCCTGGCCATCCTCCACTTTTATTTATTTATTTATTTTTGAGACAGAGTTTTGCTCTTGTTGCCCAGGCTGGAGTGCAATGACGCGATCTCTGCTCACCCTGCAACCTCCGCCACCCGGGTTCAAGCTATTCTCCTGCCTCAGCCTCCCGAGTAGCTGGGATTACAGGCATGCACCACCACATCCAGCTAATTTTGTATTTTTAGTAGAGACGGGGTTTCTCCATGTTGGTCAGGCTGGTCTTGAACTCCCGACCTCAGGTGATCCACCCACCTCAACCTCCCAAAGTGCTGGGATTACAGGTGTGAGCCACCGTGCCTGGCCCATCCTCCACTCTTTTCAGTGAGGTTGTTTCATACATGTATCATACCAGATAGGTTATGTTGTCACAATCTGCATTCCATCTGGGATTTCCCCCAGTCCCCCAGTCTCTGTTTTAATCACTTGCTGTTCTCCCTGTTGGTGAAGGAGGGATTCCTGCCCTAGGGTAATGGGGATGACCAAACACATAACACCCAACACAACAGATGATGTGAACAGCAGTCTGTTAGTTACATATACTCTCAGCCTGGAAAAGAACACCGCATACCACTCAGGGCCACACTCTGCATTCAGGAGCAGAATGAACAATCAAGCTGTGGGAGGCAGGCTTTGTGGTATCAAGAGGATGGGGTGCCCCTGGTTCCTGTGGAGGATGTAATTGGTTGTTTGAGTAATTCCAAGAGCTGGCAGGAAACTGAAACCCACTACTCAGGGATTAGCAAAACTTTGCCCGTCCATTTGACAAAGAGCTGGGGGAGCTTACACATGGGAGCAGAGTGGGAAGGAGAACTTACCACTAGGCAATTTAAGGCCCTCCCAGTTTTACCAGATGTCAAGACAACACATAATATTGAGCCTTAATTTTAGGCCTTACACCACAACCACAACCTCCAAAATGTTTTATGGGGTGTTTTGTTTTGTTTTTTGAGACAGGGTCTCACTCTGTAGCCCTGACTAGAGTGCAGTGACATGATCATGGCTCACTACAGTCTCAATCTCTCGGGCTCATCTGATCCTCCCAGCTCAGCCTCCTAAGTAGCTGGGACTACAGATGCATACCACCATGCCTGGCTCATTTTTTATATGTTTTGTAGAGACAGGGTTTCGCCATTTTGCCCAGGCTGGTCTTGAACTCCTGGGCTCAAGCGATTTGCCCACTTCAGTCACCCAAAGTGCTGAGATTACAGGCATGAGCCACCACGCCCAGCCCAAAATGATTTTTTTAAGGATTTGCATACTTTAAGGTTCACTTTGTGCTATAAAGTTCTGTAGGTTTTGACAACTGTATAATGTCATATATCCACTATTACAGTATCATACAGAATAGTTTCATCACCCTAAAATAATAATTCCCTGTGCTTCACCTATTTAACCCTTCACCTCTTTTTACTGTCTCTATAGTTTGCCTTTTTCAGAATGTCATATAATTGGACTCATACAGTATATAGTCTTTCCAGACTGGCTTATTTCCCTTAGCAATGTGCATTTAAGGTTCATCCATATCTTTTCTGACAGCCTCAAATGCTTTTGCAAGAAGCAAAATATAAAACATAAAAACATTTAAGCAAGATTGGTCTCCACTTGAATATATTTTTTCAAACATTTGAAAATAGTTTATACTTTTTAAAGGAATCTTACAATGGTATAGTTTTGTCAAATATTACATTAAATGTATATTTCTTTTTTTTGAGATGGAGTCTCGTTCTGTCGCCAGGCTGGAGTGCAGTGGCACGATCTTGGCTCACTGCAACTTCTGCCTTACAGGTTCAAGTGATTCTCATACCTCGGCCTCCCGAGTAGCTGAGACTACAGGTGAGAGCCACCACACCCAGCTAATTTTTTTGTATTTTTAGCAGAGACAGAGTTTCACCATCTTGGCCAGGATGGTCTTGATCTCTTGACCTCGTGATCTGCCCGCCTCAGCCTCCCAAAGTGCTGGGATTATAGGCATGAGCCACAGCACCCGGCCCATTAACTGTATGTTTCAAGAGAAAATACTCCAAAGAACTAAGCAATTGTATAGCTTTGGTGGTTTCAGTAATTAATAATGTAAGAAAGAAAAGATAAAGACCTAATTATTTTTCTTTTTCTGTAAAGAACATTATTCCTTACGTAATGCTATGGTGTGAATGTTTGTGTCCTGCCAAAATTCAGATGTTGAAAACTAACCCTCAATGATATTAAGAGGTGGGGCCTTTGGGAGGTGATTAGATCATGAGAACTTTGCTCTTGTGCATGAGATTTAATGGCCTTATTAAAATGGCCCCAGAGAGCTGCTTTTCCCTTCTGTTACGTGAGGATAGCAAGAAGGCACCATCTTTGAAGCAGAGAGCCCTTACCAGACACCAAGACTGTCTGTGCCTTGATGTTGATTTCACAGCCTCTAGAACTGTGAGCTATACATTTCTATTGTTTATACATTATCCAGTCTAAGGCATTTTGTTATAGCAGCCCAAACAAATTAAGACACATACATAATCAGTATATGGAATTACTAATTTAATTCTCACAGTCTTTGTATCTGTTATTTCTCTTACACAGAGTAAAACAATTAAATTCAAGTATATCATGAAATGTGTTGAGCTTTTAATTTCAGAAATTAAGCTGGTTTTATGAGGGAAGTTCACTTTCTTTCTGTTAGGAATTTGTTCGGATATACTTTATTTTTTCTGAAATGGGTCAAATTGCTTAACTAAGAAATTTTAACACAGAGGATTTTCTAGGTGCTTCATTGGATTACGTATGCTATAATTGGCCTTTACTAAAAGCCTTTTTTTTTTGGTCTGGAATTAAGACTTTATCATGTTTTTTACTTGCTTAGGCTTCTATGTACTTATTATTAATTCAACCCAAACTCTCTACCAATTGTCTGAAATATTTCAAGACATTGAAATGCATACGGTGTGTTATCAGTTTCATCTTGAACACAGCTATCCTGGAGCTTTCTTACCTGCTTCAATTGTTTGCCTCCCACTCCCGTCTCACAGTTATCACCCAAAATTTTTCCTTCAACACCATCCTGGATATGCCTTTTCTCCTTCTCTTGTGTTGGATTTATTGTTTTCTGCATGCCATAGTTTTCCTTTTGTGTGTTTTTGTTTTTCTTTTTTTTTCCTCCCTAGTTTTAGGAGAAACGTGTCCCACAAGTAGTTTTATGAGAAAGGCTCAGGGAAGCACATTTTTCTGAGACTATATTTGTTGAAAATCTTTATTCTATTCTTACACTTTATAGTTTGGCTGGATATATATATATATAGGGTTTTAAGTTGGAAAACATTTCCTTCAGAATTTTGAAGGTATTGCTCCATCGTCTTCTAATTTCTCTTATTCTTTCTTTTCAAAGTTAAGTTTACTGAAGTATAATTTACATACAGTAAAATTCACCCTAAGTGTAGAGTTTTATATATATATATGTATGTGTATATATATGTGTGTATATATATATGTGTATATATATATATGTGTGTGTGTGTATATATATTTTATTAATTTTTTTTTAAGTAAAGACGGAGTCTCACATTGTTGCTCAGGCTGGTCTCGAACTCCTGAGCACAAGTAATCCTCCTGCCTCGGCCTCCCGAAGTGCTAGGATTACAGATTTGAGCCACCCTGCCTGGCCTAGGTGTAGAGTTCTATGAGCTTCAAAAAATGTATATAGTTGTGGCCAGGTGCAGTGGCTCATGCCTGTAATCCCACACTTTTGGAGGCCAAGGCGGGCAGATCACCTGAGGTCAGGAGCTCGAGACCAGCCTGACCAATATGGAGATACCCCTCTCTACTAAAAATATAAAATTGGCCAGATGTGGTGGCACATGCCTGTAATCCCAGCTACTAGGGAGGCTGAGGCAGGAGAATCACTTGGACCCGGGAGGTGGAGGTTGCGGGGAGCTGAGATTGCGCCATTGCACTCCAGCCTGGGCAACAAGAGCAAAACTCCATCTCAAAAAAAAAAAAAGAAAGAAAAAAGAAAAGAAACTGTATATAGTTGTGTAAATTCCATAATAAAGATATGAAATACCTCCATCACCCAAAAACATTCCCTTATGCCTTTTTGATTTCTGTCCCTCTAGTTTTGCCTTCTTCAGAATGTCATATAAAGAGAATTGTGGCCAGGTACAGTGGCTCATGCCTATAATCCCAGCATTTTGGGAGGCCAAGGCAGGTGGTCCATTTGATGTCAAGAGTTCGAGACCAGGCTGGGCGTGGTGGCTCACGCCTGTAATCCCAGCACTTTGGGAGGCCAAGGCGGGCAGATCCCAAAGGTCGGGAGTTGGAGACCAGCCTGGGCAACATGGCAAAATCCCGTTTCTACTAAAAATACAAAAATTAGCCGGGCCTGGTCGTGGGTGCCTGTAATCCTAGCTACTAGGGAGGCTGAGGCAGGAGAATTGCTTGAACCCAGGAGGCAGAAGTTGCAATGAGCGAGATCATACCATTGTACTCCAGCCTGGGCAACAGAGTGAGACTCCATCTCAAAAAAAAAAAAAATAGTTCAAGACCAGCCTGGCCAATATGGTGAAACCCTATCTCTACTAAAAATACAAAAATTAGGTGGGCATGGTGGTGAGCACCTGTAATCCCAGCTACTCCAGAGGCTGAGGCAGGAGAATTGCTTGAATCCAGGAGGCGGGGGCTGCAGTGGGTCAAGATCTTGCCACTGCACTGCACACCAGCCTGGGAGACACAGCAAGACTCTGTCTGAAAAAAAAAAAAAAAAAAAAAAAAAAAGGACCTGTACAGTATGCAGCCTTTTGTATCCAACTCCTTTCACTTAGCATAATCCTTTTGTTTTGAGACTCATCCATATTGTGTTGCATGTATCAGTAGTTCATTTATTTTTATTGATGAATAGTATTCCATTGTATGCATATACCAAAATTTGTCCATTCTCTACTTACAATGTTTAAGTTGTTTCCAGTTCTTGGAGCAGGAATAGCCTTCTATAAACATTCACACACAAGACTGTGTTTTCATTCTTCTCGAGTAGATATAGTTAAGAGTGGGATTGCTGGGGTTGTATAGTAAATGTATTGTTCACTTTATAAGAAACAGCCGCATTAAAAATTTTTTATTTCAATAGTTTTTAGGGTCCAGGTGGTTTCTGGTTACATGGATACATTCTTTAGTGGTGATTTCTGAAACTTTAACGCACCCATCACCCAAGCAGTGTACAGTGTACCCAATATACAGTCTTTTATACCTAATTTTCCTCCTGAACTTCCCTGATAAGTCCCCAAAGTCCATTACATCATTCTTATGCCTTTGCATCCTCATAGATTAGCTGCCACTTATAAGTGAGAACATATATTTGGTTTTTCATTCCTGAGTTGCTTCACTTAGAATAATGGCCACTAGCTCCATCCAAGTTGCTGCAAAAGACATTATTTCATTCCTTTTTATGGCTGAGTAGTATTCTACTGTGTATATAAAACACATTTTCTTTATCCACTCGTTGGTTGATGGGCACTTAAGTTGGTTATCTTTGCAATTGCGAATTGTGAGAAACAGCCAAATTTTTTTCAAAGTGGCCGTATCATTTTTCATTTCTACCAGCAAAGAATTTCTCATTGGCACTTGATATTGTCATTGTATATTTTTTATTTTAGCCATTCTAGTAGATGTGCAATATTATTCCATTGTATTTCAATTTGCATTTCCCTAAGGACTAATGATGTTGAGCATCTTTGCATCTGTTTATTTGCCATGCATATTTATTATTTGATGAACTATCTGTTCAGATATTTTGCCCATTTAAAAAAATTGGTTTTGGCCAGGCTCGGTGGCTCACGCCTGTAATCCCAGCACTTTGGGAGGCCGAGGCGGATGGATCATGAGGTCAGGAGATCGAGACCGTCCTGGCTAACACGGTAAAACCCCGTCTCTACTAAAAATACAAAAAAAAAATTAGCCGGGTGTGGTGGCAGGTGCCTGTAGTCCCAGCTACTCAGGAGGCTGAGGCAGGAGAATGGCGTGAACCCAAGAGGCAAAGCTTGCAGTGAGCCGAGATCGAGATCATGCCACTGCACTCCAGCCTGGGTGACAGAGTGAGACTCTGTCTCAAAAAAAAAAAAAATGTTTTTTGTTTTCTTTTCTTTTTTTTTTTTTTTGAGATGGAGTCTCACTCTGTGCAGTGGCATGATCTCCACTCACTGCAACCTCCGCCTCCCAGGTTCAAGTGATATGTATGTGTATATATATATATATATATATATACATATCATACATGTATTTATATATTTTCTCCAAACCTTTTTATTTTCTTGTGTCTTTTGGAAAACAGAGAGTTTAGTTGTGATAAAGCCCAATTTATCATTTAAAAAAATAGATAGTGCTTTTTATGTCGTATCTAAGAAATCTTTGCCTAACCCTAAGTCACAAAGATTTTCTCCTGTTTTTCTCATAGGTTTTTAGAATTTTAGGTTTTACATTTATATCGTTGATCCATCCTGACTTAGTGGTACAAGTCAAGGTTTGAGAGTCTTTTAATTTTATTAAAAATATTTTTTCTGTTCACCTGCAGTTCCATGCAGAGATTCTACTTATTTATTTATTTAACTCTGTTAAGTCTCAGAACAGAGACTCTATTTTTATTTTATTTTTGCATATGGATGTCTAGTTGTTCCAGTACAATTTGCTGAAAAGATTATCCTTTCTTGATTGAATTACCTTGACATCTTTGTCAAAAATCAATGACCATATTTCTGTGAGCCTATATCTGGATTCCATTATGTTTCACTGGTGTATATATCTATTATTACACCAATACTCACTATCTTGACTACTGAAGCTAGTAAAGCCTTGGTTGTTTTTGTTTGTTTGTTTGTTTGTTTGTTTGAAGAGCTGTTTTACTATTCCATTAAGATATGCCATAATTTATTTAACTCAACCTCAACCTCTACTTAGGGGATTTAGTTGTTTCTACTTTTCTTTTTCTTTTCTTTTCTTTTCTTTTTTTTTTTTTTTTTTGAGACACAGTTTCACTCTTGTTGCCCAGGCTGGAGTGCAATGGCATGATCTCAGCTCACTGCAACCTCCACCTCCCGGGTTCAAGCGATTCTCCTGTCTCAGCCTCCTGAGTAGCTGGGATTACAGGTGCCCACCACTACGCCCAGCTAATTTTGGGTATTTTTAGTAGAGAGGGGTTTTCACCATGTTGGCCAGGCTGGACTCCTGACCTCAGGTGATCCACCCACCTCAGCCTCCCAAAGTGCTGGGATTACAGGTGTGAGCCACCGTGCCCAGCCTTCACTTTTCACTCTTGTTGCCCAGGCTGGAGTGCAATGGTGCGATCTCGGCTCACTGCAGCTCTGCCTCCTGTGTTCAAACGATTCTCCTGCCTCAGCCTCCCAAGTAGCTGGGATTACAGGTGCCTGCTACCATGCCCGGCTAATTTTCTGTATTTTTAGTAGAGATGTGGGTTTTCACCATGTTGGGTAGGCTGGTCTTCTAGTGATCTACCCACCTTGGCTTCCCAAAGTTCTGGGATTACAGGCATGAGCCACGCCTGGCCAGTTGTTTCTACTTTTCTACTTCCTTTTTCTTTTTTTCTTTTCTTTTTTTTTTTTTTTTTTGAGACAGAATCTCACTCTGTCACCCAGGTTGGAGTGCAGTAGCATGCTCACAGCTGCAGCCTCAACCTCCTGGGCTCAAGTGATCCTGCCACCTCAGCCTCCCTGGTAGCTGGGGCTACAAGTATGTGCTATGATGCCTGGCTAAATTTTGTATTTTTTGTGGAGATGGGGTTTCGCCATGTTGTCCAGGCTGGTCTTGAACTTCTGGGTTCAAGCAATCTGTCTACCTTGGCCTCCCACAGTGCTGGGATTACAGGCATGAGCCACCACATCCTGTAATCCCAGCACAGCTGCTCTATTTTCTTGTATTATAAATAATACAGCAACAAATTTCCATGGGTAAAACATTGTGTCTTTGTGATAGTGTACATGTTTAGCATTTGGGAATGCTGGTCCAATGTTTCCCAAAATTTCCTCCTAGTTATTAGGTCTAGTTTCAGGTCCAGGCCCACTTGCATCAGCTGTATCATGTAATCAACCAAGCTGTGTGTGGCTGTGTTCTAAGGCACTATGTCTGATCTTAAACAGTGTGCCTTACCTACTAGCTCTATGTTAAAGATTCCCTACTTTCTTCCCTCTTTGGTCAGTTCATGCAAGCCATAGAAAGGTACTTCCTTAAGAAAACAAAAATAAGATGCCCTTTTAGAGTTGAAAAAGTGTGTGTCAGGTCATCAAGGATATTCTGCCTGCTTGACAATTATTTTTGATCATTAGCAAACCAGTGTTCAAACAAGTTTTGATTGGGAGTGAATCACTTTGCTGATTAATCACTGAGGCAAGTTGTAAAACTATTCTTCGTCTGTTTGGGCTGCTGTAACAAAATACCATGAACTGGGTAGATTATTCTTAGGCTATTCTTGCATTTCTATAAAGAAATACCTGAGATTGGGTAATTTACAAAGAAAAGAGGTTTCATTAGCTCATAGCTCTGCAGGCTGTACAGGAAACATGGCAACGACATCTGCTCAGCTTCTGGGGAGGCCTCAAGGAGCTTTTACTCATGGTGGAAGCCAAAGCGGGAGCAGGCATCTTACATGGTACGACAGGAGCAAGCGAGAGTGGTGGGAGGTGCCACACACTTTCAAACGACCAGATCTCATGAGAATTCACTAGCTAGAGGATGGCACCAAGCCATGAGGGGTCTGCCCCTCATGACCCAAATACCTCCCACCTGGCCCCACTTCCACCATTGGGGATTACTGTTCAACATGAAATTTGGTGGAGACATATATTCAAACGATACTATATATTCATATATATATTCAAACTATATCAATTATATACAACGAAAATGTATTTCTCACAGTTCTGGAGGCTGGGAAGTCCAAGATCAAGGTGTAGGCAGATTCAGTGTCTAGTGAGGGCCATTTCTGCTCCCAGGATGGTATCTTGAATGCTGCATCCTTACAAATGCTGTGTCCTCATATGGTGGAAGGGATAGAAAGACAAAAGGGGACAAACGCTATTTCCTTATGTGATGGAAGGCTTAGGGCAAACAGGGCCATACTGGGTGTGAAGCCTGTTTTATAAAGTCCTTATTCGCATTCATGGGGATGAGCCCTCATGACCTCACTACCTCCTAAAGGCCCCACCCCTCAATACTATAACATTGGGACATTAAGTTTCCACTTGAATTTTGGAGTGAGCTATTGTTAGAATATTTATCCCCATCAAAATGTATGTTGAAATTTAATTGTCATTATAACAGTGTTAAGTGGGACCTTTAAGAAGTGATCCTGGCTGGGCAAGGTGGCTCACACTTGTGATCCCAGCACTTTGGGAGGCTGAGGTGGGTGGATCATTTGAGGTCAGGAGTTCGAGACTAGCCTGACCAACATGGTAAAACCCCATCTCTGCAAAAAAAATTCAAAAATTAGCTGGGTGTGGTGGCATGTACTGTAGTACCAGCTACTTGGGAGGCTGAGCCAGGAGAATTGGTTGAACTAGGGAGGCGGAGATTGCAGTGAGCCGAGATGACACCACGGCACTCCAGCCTCGGTGACAGAGCGAGACTCCGTCTCAAAAACAAAACAAAAAAGAAGAGGTGATCCTGCTCTCATGAGTGGAATTAATAAGGGTGAATTCAGCCTCCTTTTGTCTCTCTTGTCCTTCGTTCTTCTGCCATATGAAGATGCAGTAAGAAGGCCCACACAAGCTGCCTGCACCTTGATCTTGGACTTCCAGTCTCTAAAATTGTAACAGTATAAATTCCTGTTCTTTGTAAATATCCAGTCTCAGTTATTCTGTTATAGCAGCAAAAAACAGACTAAGACAAAAGAACACAAACACAAACCATAGCAAGCTCTAAGCTGTATTAAAATGATATTTGGGACCGGGCGCAATGACTCATGCCTGTAATCCCAGCACTCTGGGAGGCCGAGGTGGGTGGATCACCTGAGGTCAGGAGTTCGAGACCAGCCTGACCAACATGGAGAAACCCCGTCTCTACTACAAATACAAAATTAGCTGGGCGTGATGGTGCATGCCTATAATCCCAGCTACTTGGGAGGCTGAGGCAGGAGAATCGCTTGAAGCCGGGAGGCAGAGGTTGCAGGGTAAGCCGAGATAACGCCATTGCACTCCTGCCTGGGCAACAAGAGCAAAACTCCATCTCAAAAAAAAAAAAAAAAAAAAAAAAGATAATTGGTAAACGTCAGAAAGGGGTCTGTCATTCCTCCAGGGCTAGGCTCCTGCAATGTGGTGGCTTCTCCAGCATTAGACTCCTGCCATGTGCACTGACCAGAGGCACCTCATGACTACAAGCTTCCCAAAGAACCTTTTTGAGCAGCTTCACAGCAGAATGCTGTTGACAAGCCACCTCCTCAGTGCAACTGGTGCTCTTTCTGGTGGTTTTCCAGGATGTCCCAGAGGCAAGACACATCATCTAGTGAGCTATGTTGCACTTTCTCTGACATCTAGATCTCAGCTCTGGGGATAAGGAGGACTCTTCCTTGGGTGCTGTATCTCAGCTCCAGGGACAGTGGCTACTCCATTTCTGCTTTCTCTTTAGAGTTCTTTTTAACTTCTAATACCCAGCCCCTCATTACCTGAATCCCTTAAACTTCGTGTTCAAATTACTGTTATTTCTTTCTCTTCACTGAACTCTGATATGCTGTTTTTATTAGATGTTTAAATGTTTTATTTTACATTCTGCTGCTGAGCAATGTTTAAATTTTTATACTCTACATGTTATTTATACGTACATAGTGAATTACCATGTTTTAGTCCAATAATCAAGGTTTTTTGTTGGTGGTGGTTTTTTTGAGACACAGTTTTGCTCTGTCACCCAGGCTGGAATGCAGTGGCACAATCTCAGCTCACTGCAACCTCCGCCTACTGGGTTCAAGCAATTTTTGTGCCTCAGTCCCCCGAGGAGCTGGGATTACAGCTGCTTGCCTCCATGACCAACTAATTTTTTGTATTTTTAGTAGAGATGGGGTTTCAGCATGTTGTCCAGGCTGGTCTCAAACTCCTGAGCTCAGGCAATCTGCCTGCCTTGGCCTCCCAAAGTGCTGGGATTACAGGCGTGAGCCACCACGGCTGGCCCAAGGTTTACTTATTGCAAAGAAATAAGAAAAACTTGGTTAGTGGGCTAAAACATGGTAGTTCATTACATACATATAGTGCCTGTCTATGCTTGCATCTACAGATTTTCAACATTGGTCTGAACTCAAGACGTTGAAAAATGCCAGAGGGCAGAGTGTGATACTATCCTTAAATCTCCAGGTAGTACATCTATTCAGACCCCAAGAGTTGTCTGATAAATATGAAATCTATTCAAAATTTAACTGTTCAAAAATTTTAAAACTTTTGAGGATTTTACTCCACAATATGTGCTCTTATAGAACCTTTCTTGTGGTTGTGGGGGGATCAGAAAAGGGCAGATTTGATCTAATCAGAATTACTGGAAAATGGCTTGCTATTACCTCTTAGATGAGCTAACCCAATGCTAAAATTACTATTATTGAGACAGAGTCTCACTCTGTCGCCCAGGCTGGAGTGCAATGGTGCAATCTTGGCTCACTGCAACTTCCACCTCCCAGGTTCAAGCAATTCTCGTCTCGGCCTCCTCAATAGCTGGGACTACAGGGGCGCGCCACCAAGCCCAGCTAATTTTTGTATTTTTTTAGTACAGACGGGGTTTCACCATATTGCCCAGGGTGGTCTTGAACTCCTGACCTCGTGATCTTCCCGCCTCAGCCTCCCAAAGTGCTGGGATTACAGGCGTGAGCCACCGCGCCTGGCCCAATGCTAAAATTATATGTGAGTGGTGTCTTAGATCTCTGTACTTTATGGCGTATGATTAGCACTATCATAGTATGGATCCTTATCATAGTATGGATATGGATATGGATCCATATCATAGTATGGATCCTATTTAAGACAAATTTGCTGCAAAAGTAGTATTTCATTGTACAATATCTTTATTAAAGAAATGCATTCCAGCAACACTGTCAGCATCTTTATTACCAAAGAAATACATAACTTTAACAGATAATCTCTGTATCTTAGTTTTTGCCTTTGCAAAACAAATGGAGATATATCAACTCTCATACAATTCTAAAAGCATTGTGCTGTGCTGCCTCACAGGGGTACGTTCCCAGAGGTTTCTCTCTCTAGAGCAATCCCTAATAGGACAATTGTTCACTCTGAGGCTTCTGGCTTCTTATCTCTCCTCTCTTGGGGAGCTGCTGCTTCTCTGTAGGTTGCTTCCCTGTGACGCAGGGACCATAGTTTCTGCTCTAATAACACCTTTTCCACTCTGACGTAGCTGAGCCATACACTACATTGCCTTAGTCCTGTTCACCCTTTGGTGATTCTGTTCCATTTGCCACCTGGCCTCTTCCTCCTCAGTCACTTTTTTCTTTTTTTGAGACAGTCTCGCTGTCACTGAGGCTGGAGTGCAGTGGTGCAATCTCAGCTCACTGCAGTCTCAACTTCCTGGGCTCAGGTGATCCTCCTGCCTCAGCCTTCGGAGTAGCTGGGATTACAGGTGTGTGCCACTGCACCTGGCTAATTTTTGTATTTTTAGTGGAGACGGGGTTTCGCCATGTTGGCCAGGCTGGTCTCAAACTCCTGACCTCAGGTGATCTACCCGCCTCAGAGCCTCCCAAGGCGTGTGGGATTACAGATGTGAGCCTCCGCACCCGGCCGCTCCTCAGTCAATTCTAAACAACTGTCCTCACTTGAGGAAGCTGGCCTTTCTCCTGTACTGTTTTACCAGTTGTCTTTTTAAAAAATAACTTTCCTCCAAATAACTTACTAATTTTATTCATATAACACTCCTCAGGAGTTCAAATAATTTTAATCATTTTTAAGGCAAAGAAAATACTTTTTACATTTGCTAGATGTTTATTTGCAGAGCTACATAAATATAACCTTATTAGAATGGGATTTTTCCTACTTTGGGTAACTATCAAAAGTCTCACACACACACACAACCCAAAGAAAACATATCCAAGAACGTGGTCAGTTTTCAGTTTTTATCATTATTTATTATTTTATTTTTTATATCCCAGCCCTCCCATGTAAGACTGGTCATTTTTTAGAATCCTCAGCCATATCAAGGATACAGAAGGGGTCTAGGATAGAGACCAATGAAGAAATTTCTTTGGAGAATTGTTAAGTGCTCAATTCAGCCTTCTTGGACAAAGGAGTTACTACCTTCTACTTTGAAACCCAGTGAAAGGAACTTCAAGGAAGCCCTTCAGAGAGCTTTGAAATGTGTTTCGTACAACCATTTAGCTGGGGAGCCCAGAGAGGGCTGCTGCCATGCGATCTCCCTGAAATTGTTTTTTTCAGGCCAGGGATGTGAGAATGTTTCCTGAGGACCAGATGTGTGACACTCAGGAGAGAGCCGGCATAAAATAGCCCCCAGAGGTAAAGAAAACCTCAGGACTGAGGCTGGATACTAAGGGTTAGGAAAGAATTACAGACTTTTCTTGAGACAGGGTCTTTGTCATCCAGGCTGGAGTGCAGTGGCACAATCAAGGTTCACTGCAGCCTTGACCTCCCAGGCTCAAGCAATCCTTCCACCTCAGCTCCCTGAGTAGCTGGGACTACAGGCACATACCACCATGCCTGGCTAATTTTTTGTATTTTTAATGGAGAAGAGGTTTCACCAGGTTGCCCAGGCTGGTCTCAAACTCTTGGGCTCAAGCCAATGGCACCTCTGAGCCTCCCAAAGTGCTGGGATGACAAGCATGAACCTCCGAACCTGGCAGAGTATTTTAAATTGAGATGGGTCCATCAGATACAAGGATAACTACCCAGCAGGGAACCTCCAAAGAGGTCATACAAATGCCTGAGACAGAAAAAGTCGATTTAATTATCTGCGGGGCCCAGGGATTATGAAGCCAGCCAGCCAAGGAAGAACTACCCTATCTCCTCACTCCTCACCTTTTGTACCTCCAGTCTACACTTTAATCCCACTGAGTTAACTTGCAGCTCACAGCTCCAGAAAAGTATAAGGAGAAAGCTGAAATCAGAGGAATCGTGCCCTCCACTGCCAGCTTGCAGTTTAAAGCACACCCAAGCTATAATTAAGATTACCTTCTGACGATTACATAGGACTGCACGTTTTACCTATTGAAATAAAACTGTTTTCGCAACTAATCATGATGAAAATACTTTTTGTTATCTGTGAGTAATCTAAAAATACATGGGTCAGGTCAAGTCTTCATCCTGGGGCACCAGGGTATACTCCCACCGTATAAAGACACAAACATAAAAGCAATGTTTTGATCTGAATCCAATCCACACACGATGCTTATTCTACATACTCGTGTACATGAGAACCATTTTTCCATTGCAACTTTTCTTGTCAAAACATCCTTCTACTTACAAGGAAGATTTTGCTTAAGTCCTTCCTTTATCCTTTTTTTTTTTTGAGATGGAGTCTCGCTCTGCCGCCCGCCGTTCTCTCAGCTCACTGCAACCTCTGCCCCCCAGGCTCAAGCGATTCTCTCGCCTCAGCCTCCTGAGTAGCTGGGATTACAGGTGTGCACCACCAGGCCTGGCCAGTCCTTCCATTCTTAGTTCTTGAGGTTATGCAGTGTCTTTGCCCTGTGCTTCTCTTGTATTATGATCCAAACTCCTTTGTTTAAAAAAAAATAAAACACCTAAATATAATCCAAATGTGCTAATAAATGTGAAACAGCCTCTTTCTCTGAAACAAGTTCTTCAGTAAAATAATTCTGTAATGTATTGCTTTGCTTTTCTTACATGAAGTTATGCTATTACAAAATTAAGTTTCAATTACAGGCAAGGTTAAACTCTGCAAGCAACCCAAAACTCAAAAAGGGCTGAATGATAAGTCATTCAGGTAAAGACAAAAGAATGGCTCCTTATCATTCAACTTAACCAACCTTCTAAAGGTTCCTCCATCCCCACTGTCTATTACGCTCGTGGTATCCTTGTCTTACACACTTATCACTATCTGCAATTGTCTATTATGTCACCTTCCACAAACATACATACAGTATATACATGATTGAAATCTGTCAGGGCAGGGTCTTTGTTTTGTTTTCCACTTAAAAGTTTCTGGGCCTAGATAGCTTTTGACACATAGTAGTCACTAAATAGATACTTGCTTCATGAATGAAGGGCACCATTTAGTCAATAAAAGGGAACCACAGAATAGGTAAACTTCCAAAAGTATCTAGTGTTGTCTTTTAAACTAAACTCCCCATTCCTCACTGCCCAATCTCGTGACCTCTTGGCAAACTGGTTTTTCTTTGCTGCTCTAACATGAGAGAGGTTTATGAAAAGTAAAGACTAGCCTAAATTTTGCCAAATCCAGAATTTTAAAATATATCTTCATTCTCTTTGGCCTCAGCCACATGTGACTGAGTGCCCCCCTCAAACAATCCCCTTCCTTGGTTTGTGTGACTCCATCCAATTCTAGTTCCTGGGCTAATTCTGCAACCACTGGAGTCAGAGGGCAGAAAACACATCTGGTTTTGCTCCCACTGTATCTCTAACATGGCTTGGCACACAGTAGGTGCACCATACATAAATATGTCAACAAATGAACTTCTCCCTCTCTCCACTTCTGTCTCCAATGGACATCTCCCCAAATCTTACTTTGAGACTCTAAATTATCTTTTTGTTTTTGGAGTCTGTAAATTCACAAATGGTTTCCACCAATACTAAGTCAAGGATAGTTACTGAAGTTCATCGATGAACTCAAGCCCTCTTGCTTACTCTGACTTCTACATGCCTATCAAATCTCAGTGTTCTCATTTTCATGCTTAAATTATACAGAAATGGGAAGCTTGGAAGTTAGCTACTCACTTGCACATTCAAGTTTTAGATGTTTTCTGTAGAGAACTCCCGGACAGCCCCACAGCCACTGCCTTAGTCTGTCATGATTTTCACATGAACTATTTAAGAACCTGTTACCTAGTTTCCAGCTTCAAGACTCATCACATGCACACTAACACTTTCCACATTCATCTTGCTAGAATAACTATTCCTAACATTCTGGTTTAAATCCTCTGTAATTTCTCAAGACAAATTCTTCATAATCTGATCGCTGCTCTTCCCTGAATTCTTTTCTTACCAACCCTACACCCCATCCTTCTAACCTGACAACCAAGGTGTCCAGTTTCATAGTTATGCCCTCCTCTGACTGGTTACCATTATGTCAGCTGTTTCATTGCTGGCAAAGCCACTTACCTTCTCTCTCATCATGATTCCTTCAAGTCCTCCCTGGCTCAGCTTAAATCTTAGCCTGGCTTCACCTATTGAGTGACAAACTCCTTTCCAATGCTCTCACAGAAACTCATGCATTTATCCATCATAGTGTGTGTGTGTGTGTGTATATATATATATATATATATCAACAATATATAATTGTGTCTCAATTAGAGGTGAGGCCTCTGCAGCTCACCGCAACCTCCGTCTCCCAGGTTCAAGCAATTCTCCTGCCTCAGCCTCCCTAGTAGCTGGGATTACAGGCATGCACCACCACGCCCGGCTAATATTTTTGTATTTTTAGTAGAGACGGGGTTTCTCCATGTTGGTCAGGCTGGTCTCGAACTCCCCACCTCACGTGAACTGCCCACCTTGGCCTCCCAAAGTGCTGCGACTATAGGACGTGAGCTACCGTACCCGGCCGCCACAGATTCAACCTTTCTATTTTTGTAACTTTACAGAACATAACCAGTTACATGTGGAAACAGGTAGTCTGCTTTGACAGCTGGGGGCAAATCAACCTGACTTTGTGAACTAAGATGGGAGGGAAGTAGGGGCTGGAGGGAGGCTTTTCAGGCAGAGGACAGAGTTGAAAAGCAGATGGGGTACTTAGGAAAAATAAATTTAACATTTTTGCACACCAACATATAACACTGCAGAGAAGATAAAAGCATAATTTCTGCTGAAAAATTTAAAGTATAATGGGTATCTATACATAACTATAACTTAAGGCAGGACTGAAGTGCTGTTAAAGATAGAAATATAGACAATAGGTGGGGTGTGGTGGCTCGTCCCTGTAATCCCAGCACTTTGGGAGGCCAAGATGAGAGGATCACTTGAAACCAGGAGTCCAAGACCAGCCTGGGCAACATAGTTTAACTCCATCTCCAATGCAAGATCCACTGCTTATTTTGTTTCATTTGAAAATTTGAGTCATTAGTTCAAGGATTTTTTTTTTTTTTTGAGGTGGAGTCTCACTGTGCCACCAGGCTGGAGCACAGTGGCATGATCTCAGCTCACTGCAACCTCTGCCTCCCAGGTTCAAGCGATTCTCCTGCCTCAGCCTCTCAAGTAGCTAAGACTACAGGCACATGCCACCACACCCAGCTAATTTTTGTATTTTTAGTAGAGTTGGGGTCTCACCATGTGGGCCAGGGTGATCTCGATCTCTTGACCTTGTGATCCGCCCACCTCGGCCTCCCAAAGTGCCAGGATTACAGCCGTGAGCCACCACACCGGCCTCAAGGGTTGTTTATATGGGGGTCAGGGTACCTTCACTAGACTTAGACTTCTGAAGCCCAAACTGGCCAAACTTCACCAGCTTTACATTATACCCACAGCAACTCAGCTGTCTTTCAAGGTCATTGTTCAATCTTCAACAGACTATCTTCACTTGAAAATTTGATGATGACAGCCGGGAGTGGTGGCTCACGCCTGTAATCCTAGCACTTTGGGAGGCCGAGGCGGCGGATCACGAGGTCGAGTTCGAGACCAGCCTGGTCAACATGTTGAAACCCAGTCTCTACTAAGAATACAAAAAGAATTAGTCGAGTGAATCTCCATCTCTACAAAAAACACAAAAATTAGCCAGGTGTGGTGGTGTGCATCTGTAGTCCCAGCTACTCAGAAGGCTGAGGCAGGAGAACCACTTGACTTGAGCCCAGGAATTAGAGGCTGCAGTGAGCCAGGATTGCGCCATTGCACTATCTGTAAACAAGAAAGGCAATGGCAATTGGACTCTAACCATACATCTTTAAAGTATAGTCTCACATTTCGGGAGGAAGCCCAAGAGAGATTTAATCAGCAGGGTTTCTTTATAAGTGAATGTTCTGAAGCTGAGACCTGAAGGGTAAATTAGGAGTTAAAATACAAGATGAGAGTAGCAATTAGCTAGCACATTATAAAGCCATTCCAGGTTACAAGTAAAAGTGATACCCTTCCAAGGCCAGGTTAAGAACCTCAGATGTTATTCTAAACACAGTGGAGAATTATAATTTAAATAGCATGACTTGGCTACATCACTATTTTATGTAGCTGTTCCAGCAATTCATGTTCCCTTCAACTGCCCCTGCCCTCTCACTCAGCAGTCCAGTTGACTTTGTCCCTTCATTTTAAAAAAACAAAAAAAACCCCCAACCCTGTCAATAAACCACGAAAACTAGGAAGGCACGACAGCAAGTTTCAGTGCTTTAACACAGAAACACCCAATTACCAAGTTGAGGGCTAAAAAAATTCGACCAAGTAGTCCCACATCATTGCCTTTAGTCTACAAATCTCAGGGATTATACTTGATTTTCCTTTATTTCCTGCTCAATCTTTACTTGCACCCAAGCCCTACTTTTTCTCAAACCTATTTACATATTCTTAAGTTGACTCACACCTAGCAGGCTTTTTTCACTTAGCTAGCCACCTTACACACAGCCCACAAGTCAGGTGTGCCAAGTGAGCATTACAGATACTAGGATAAGATCATCTTTTGAAAAACAGAAGCCACCTAAACTCCTACCCATACGTTTCCAGTGGTACTCCCAAGCTCTATGTGACTAATAATCATCCCCCTAGTCATGACAGCATAGCAGATGAACATGTTGCTAAAGGTAATTTAAACATCATACTCTTTCAAATTTACTCAAACATCTAAAATACCCACCTATGCCACATGAGCTGTGCTATTTTAATCTGCTATATTGTCTTCCAGTGCCCTCTGCTTCAAGGACTCCTGGAATTCTGCTTGTTTCTCATTGCCTTTAACCGTGTTACAAACCCAGTCCAAAAGTAAACATTCCAAAACAGTCACTTAACAAGTAAATCTGATATGAAGCTAGCCCAGTCCCTAAACCTACAGTATTTCACTGATACTACAAGCCTAATTGATTAAAAATACCTTACCAAAACCAGATATGTATTTTTTAAAACCAGAACATTTATTGCATGACTAATCGTTGACATTCTTAAGATGAACTGGATGCTGCAACAGCTGCCCTCTTGGGTTTAGGTGTTGTTCCTTCACGGAATCCATGCCTGCAGGATGTCAAAAACAAGAACAAGTTACTTCAGCAACATCGATGCATACATTTTAATTTTTGTTAAACAGATTTCAATGCGCTTATCTCAGTTAAATGCTGAAATCAATACTGCATTCATATGTTCAGACATTTATTTTTACAACATCACTGATAAGCTGAAATTCTTCACTTTGCTTAAAGATACCCATTTTCGGATATAGTTAACTGCAACTGCAATAAAGGCTCAAAAACTTATTTGGCTATACTAGTCATTGGGCCAGTATGTTTGTTCATATTTGGCAAGAGATCACAGATTATTTGTGAAAATGGTTCCCTATACTGAGAATAGATCCCAACTACTTTCACTAAGCAAGGAAAAAACAATTAGCATGTTTAATGGCAGACATTTTCTAAACCAAGAGCTTTGCATTTTAACTTATTTAACATCTGTATCTACTCTAAGAAGTATCTACTCTAAGAAAGGTCAACTATCCTACTTTTAAAAGCCTGGCTTCAGTTCAAGCTCTTAACTCCTATATTGTACTAACAGACCACTCAACATTAAGCCCACAAAAACGTTATGACCCTAAATGCAAAGAAAGTTGCTTCAGCACATGAACACACCTATGGGTGTCTACAAAGCCCTGAACTGTCTTGCTATCTTTAAAACTGGACACTCCGGAGACTGAGTGGGTAGAGGCTAGGGATTCTGCAAAATATTCAATTTTGCACTGGACAATCCCACCACAAAGAATTATCCAGCCCAAAGTATCAATAGCTGAGAATTGCTGAAATAGAACATAGTAACGGAAGGAGCACCAGCTTTATAGTTAAGTCTGCATCATTCTGAATCTTAGCTGAGATCTTAGATGGGTTAATCTCTTAGAAACTACTCTTTAATATGCAGGTTCTCTCAGCTAAGTCTACGGCGGAGCTGAGATTCTGCATTTATAACTCTAAGGCCAAGACTTGAGTAACAAGAGCCCAAGGCAACAGCAGCAACCAGGGCAATTTTCTACAGCACTCTTGCCCACAGCCACTATACTAAAGGTTGAACCAAGCCTGACTCCAGACCTTATTCACTACTGTCTTGACAAATTTTGACACCAATTAAACCTAATAAATATCAACACTTTGGGACCCTAGTTCAAACAATGCTCCTGTTATTTAATTTATACTACTGTTTAGTGAAAAAACTACTAATAAAATCCAAACTAACTGATGTCAAGGTTACAGCGGCAGAAGATAAAAGCTTTCAACATCTGGCCTGAGCCCAGGAGTTCCGAGATTATCCTGGGTAACATGACAATATCCCATTCTCTACAATAAATACAAAAATTAGCTGGGCATGTGGCAGCGCACACCTGTAGTCCCGGGTACTCGGGCGGCTGAGATGAGATTACCTGAGGCTGGGGAGACTGAGGCTGCACTGAGCCGTGATCGTGCCACTACACTCAAGCCTGGGCAACATAGTGAAACCCTGCCTCAAAAACAACAATAAATAAAAAGCTTCCAACATCTCATCCCCAGTAACCATCAGGGTACTGTTATCTTTTTACAAGTAAACACGAGGGTTTCATTCAAGCCCACTGGACCAATTATGATCGAACATACAAACTGTACCTGAATCTGCGGTATACAATTTTTAGGTGCCTCATTCGACCAGTTCCGGTGGTATTTCGTCTTTTAGCCTTGGCACTCCAGTTATCTAAAACATAAGTTCAGAAAAGATTTCAAACGGTGTTCTCCCACACACCTTGTAGGTGTTGTTAACACACGAGTTTTATGCCACCTCATCGGCATACAGATGTACGAGTTTTAAGATAGGCACCAAATAAAGTTCAAACCTATGCCCCCACTTAAGTGCAATACAAACAAAAGCTAACACAGTTGGCCTGAAAAATGTTACTTACACTTTCTCTTGCGCTTGGCAGGGTAGCCACATTTGCCACAGGTCGACTTCTGAAGGTGGTAGGCCTTAGAGCCACAGCGGCGGCACAACGTGTGCGTCTTATTGCGACGCTTTCCAAACGATGACGTTCCCTTCGTCTGCACATTAAAGGAATAAATAGTTCTGAAACCTGGCAACTTCTAGATTTACTCGAGTTCTCCGGGAAACCAATTACTGATAAAATTTAAAGGCAATCGTAAAGATCGAAACTGCGGGAGAAGCCTCTTTCCACGAATGCCAAGTCAGAGACCACTACCCGCATTTCACGTTACCTAAAACCCTCCGCAAGAGTTGCAATGTTCTGAAATGCACCTTATCTTTACAGACTCCGGCCAGAGAGCATCACCAATGAATTATTTCATTGTTACACAGAGCCAAACATTCCCAAACTCCTTCCCTCGGCTCCCAACCAAGGCTAGAGCCGTGAAAGGTCTCCAAAGGTTGGACCGAGGCAAAGGACACAATGCGGCTCTAGCACCACAATTACGGCGGGATAGGTCCCCCAGGCACCAGTTAGCAGTCATTCTTCTGGCTCTTGAGGGCCACCGCATGCCTCTTTCCAGCCCACCAGTTCCCCTTATCCGGAATCTTGCCAGCCCCCCAAGCACAGCAAACAGAGAGGCACAAAGGACGAGGATGGAACGCGATTCACAAACACCACAGTCACAACTCACCATCTCGCTTCTGCGGCCGAGACCAGAAAGACCGGAAGAGAAGGCACTTCCGCTATATCACGCTCAGAAGCTTCCGCCCAGGGAAGCACTTCCTGCGGGGCGCGGTGCAGCGTTCTCGAGCGTCCGTCGTCGTAGTGTAGGTGGGGTCAAGAGGAGGATGCGGTACCAGGCAGGGCCGATCGCGTTTCAGTGCCGGAAAGGCGGGCGGGACTCCCAGTTTTCTGGCGACCGGATGGGCGAGTCTTCGTCGGGCCTGCTTAGACCCTGAGGGCCGTTTAGATTACAGTTTTGCTTTTCGTGCTGCTGTTGCTGGTGCTACTGCTACTACTGATCGGTTTCGCACGTTAGCAGTCAGATCTGTTGCTATACCGTCGATTACTGTCTTCTAGGCACATGGAGAACCTGGAATGCGGGGCTGGCCCTGCCCAGGGGTACCCGCACCGACTGAGCGTCCCCGGCGTGTAATGACCGTGTGCGCCTGGGATAATCCCTTTTAGGAGAAAGCAACTTCTCCAGCAGCCTCCTCATTCCGATCCCGGAGGCTTTTGGCCGACGCTGACTTTCCCTGCGAGAGGTCGCTAGGAGTACGGAGGCATGGAGCTGGAGCTTAGAATATAAAGGGAAAAGCAGACAGTGATTTTGTTGTTGTTGTTACTGTAGTAAATCAGAGGCAAGTTATCTGATCCCATATTTCATTGTGCCAAGGAATCACACATGGAACTTGTTCAATATAGTTTCCAAGGGCCTGGCGCCGTGGCTTACGCCTGTAATCCCAGCACTTTGGGAGGCTGAGGCGGGCGGATCTCTTGAGCCCAGGCGTTGGAGACCAGCCTGGGCAACATAGGGAGACACTGTCGCTACAAAAAAAATACAAAAAATTATCCAGGCGTGGTGGCGCGCGCCTGCCAACCCAGCTACTCAGGGGGTGGAGGTGGAGGGAGGCTTGAACCCGGAAGGTGGAGGTTGCAGTGAGCCGAGATTGCGCCATTGCACTCCAGCTTGGATGACGGAGTGAGACTCTGTCTCAAAAAAAACTGAGAAAACTAAAAATAAAATGTTGCCAGAGCTGCTTTCCGTTCTAGGAGGGAGAATCTGTTTTCTTTCCTTTCTCAGCTTCTAGAGACTGCCCAAACTCCTTGGTTTATTGCTCCCTTGCATCTTCAAAACCAGTGATACTGTAGTTCCCCCCCGTTTCTGTGGGTTAAGTTCCAACACCCTCAGTGGATGCCTGAAACCACAATACCAAACCCTATATATACTGTTTTTTCGGTACATGTGTACCTGTGATGAAGTTAAATTTATGAATTAGGCACCATAAAAGATTAACAACAACTAATAGAACAATCATAACAGTATACTGTAATAAAAGTTATGTGAATGTGGTCGGTCTCTTTTTCTCAAAATATCTTATTGTCCTGTACTCAACTATTTTTAAACCATGGTTGGCCATGGGGTAACAAACCCTGAAATCCTGCAAAGGGAAACCTTGGATAAGTGGAGACTACTGTAGTCTTTCTCACATTGCATTACTCTTTATTCTGCATCTGTCTTATTCTTTTTCCTTTCCTTTTATTTTTATTTGTAGTAGAGACAAGGTCTCACTGTTGTCCAGACTGGTCTTGAACTCCTGAATCTTCCTGTCTTGGTCTCTCAAAGGGTTCGGGTGCCCTGCCATCCTTCTCCTACTTTTAAGGCCCCTTGTGATTACATTGACTCCATCCAGGTAACTTCCTTATCTCGAGTTTCGCTAATTAGCAACCTTAATTCCCTCTGCAATTATAATTGTCCTTTGCCACATAACCTAATTTATTCGTAGGTTGAGGGGATTAATACCTTGTTATCTTTGGAGACAGCCATTATTCTGCCTACCACGGGGACTATGAGAAATGAGGTCAGTGTAGAAAAGGTAGGACAGGTGTCAACCATTAAGGAACCAAGCAGTGTGACAGGCATTATGTCAGTCTCTTTACTCCAGACATTCCCAGAATTGAAGACAGGAGAGAATTATTTTTCCTCCTCTCTCTAGTGTTCGGTGGTTCTTTTTGGTGTATGTCAAACCATGTAAATTTTGCCCTGATCAAGTAAACCCTTGGCTTTCTTTAAAGAGGTCTATGAAGGCTAGTCAGACCCTCCAATTTTCTATACAATTGCTAGGTTTAGGTCAGGGCTAGTGACTGTATCAACTTTTTTTTTTTTTTTTTTTTTGAGACAGGGTCTCACCTGTCACCTGGCCTGGAGTGCAGTGGTGCCATCGCGACTCACTGCAACCTCTACCTCCCGGGTTCAAGCAATTCTTGTGCCTCAGCCTCCCAAGTAGCTGGGACTACAGGCGCACGCCACCACCACGCCTGGCTAATATTTTGTATTTTTAGTAGAGACAGGGTTTCACCATGTTGGCCAGGCTGGTCTCGAACTCCTGACCTCCAGTGATCAGCACCCCCTCAGTCTCCCAAAGTTCTGGGATGACAGGTGTGAGCCACCACGCCCAGCCAGGACTAGATCAACATCTGAAACGGATGATCTAAGGCTGTTAGCCTAGGCATTCACCCCCTGACATTTTGCTTTTTGGCAGTGATAGAAACTATGTTAAGTCCTGCATCCATGGTTCTGATACAATCAAGTCTCTTGACCACCAGGACTCAGCACTGAGACCTGCCTCTTTTTATTTCTACAATACATGAAATTACTGTTGACTTTTGTCTTTAAAACATCACATAAATTCATTAGGAGCAATTCAAGGGAGAATTTACTGTACATTCATACCTATGATAAAGTTTAATTTATGAATTAGCACGGTAAGATTAACAACAACTAATAATAAGGCTGGGTGCGGTGGCTTACACCTGTATCCCAGCACTTTGGGAGGCTGAGGCAGGCAGATCACCTGAGGTTGGGAGTTCGAGACTAGCCTAACAAAACAAAACAAAAAAAGCTCAAAAAACAACAATAATAAAATAGAACACATTTAAAACTTTTAATCCTGTGTTATTATTCTGATTTGAGGTCTATACTTTCAATTTTGTACCTCCTGGCTATATTTTATATAATAGAGAACATCCTGGTTACACTCATCCTTCCCCCACCTCACTTCCTTTGCATTCTAAGGCTGTGGTATGCAAATTTCTGTTATTAAGAAACAATTTTTTTTTTTGAGACGGAGTTTTGCTCTTGTTGCCCAGGCTGGAGTGCAATGATGCTATCTTGGCTCACCGCAACCTCCGTCTCCCGGGGTCAAGTGATTCTCCTGCCTCAGCCTCTCAAGTAGCTGGGATTACAGGCATCGACCACCATGCCCGGCTAATTTTGTATTTTTAGTAGAGATGGGGTTTCTCCATGTTGGTCAGGCTGGTCTTGAACTCCCGACCTCAGGTGATCCGCCCACCTCAGCCTCCCAAAGTGCTGGGATTACAGGCGTGAGCCACCGCACCCGGCCATCAACAAACAATTTAAACTAGACAGCCTGGCATGGTGGCTTACACTTGTAATCGCAGCACTCTGGGAGGCTAAGGTGGGAGGATCACTTGAGCCCAGGACAGCCTGGGCAACATAGAGAGACCCCATCTCTACAAATAATAAAAAAAATATGGTTCACGCCTGTAATCTTAGCACTTTGGGAGGCCAAGGCGGGAAGATTGCTTAAACCGAGGAGTTCGAGACCAGCCTGGACAATGTAGTGAAACCCTGTCTCCACAAAATTTTTTTTTTAAAAAGAGCTGAACAGGTTGGCGCAAGCCTATACTCCCAGCTGCTCAGGAAGCTGAGGGGGGAGGATTGCTTGAGCCCAGGAGTTTGAGGCTGCTGTGAGCTATGATTGCACCATTGCACTCCAGTCAGGGCAACAGAGTGAGACTCTGTTTCAAAACAAAACAAAAGGAAAACTTGTAGAAAGAAGTTTAAATTTCAGTGCTAAGTTTCCCACTTCAAGTGAACACTTTTTTCCCATTGGCTTTGAAATCTCAGAAAGGTTACTGTGAGAAAGGAGCATATTTAGGGTTGAGCATTGGAGAGGAGACTGGTGGTTTGGGACACCTGTTATTAAAGTACCTTCCTGGTCAAGTTGAACAACAACAACAAAAAATTGGCAATCTTTATGACAGTGCCAATCAAATTGTGGACATGAGGTGGGATGCATCACTTGAAAGCCATACTTTTGAGATACATATTTTAAAACTCTTACCTAGAGTATAATGGTGGTTACCAGAGAGAGGCTGGGAGTTGCGGGGAAGGGAAGGGTGCTGGTCAAAGGATACAAAGTCACAGACAGGAGGAATAAATTATAAGTATTGAAGGTGATGTATATGTTAATTTGAGTGAATCATTCCATACTGCATACATATAAAATTACTGAATATCCCATAACTATATATGATTATAATTGGTCAAAGTAAATAAAAATTTTAAAACTCTTCAATTTTATAAAACTCTTACCTAATATTAATTTTTAATATCATATGAGGATTTTTTTTTTTAAGAGCCTAGGCTAGAGTAACTTACTACAACCTCAAACTTCTGGGCCGAAGCAGCTCTCCTGCCTCAGCCTCCTGTCCCAAGCAGCTGGGACTACAGATGCGCACCATCACGACCAGATAATTTTTAAATTTTTTGTAGAGACAGGGTCTTGCTATGTTGCTCAGGTTGGCCTCAAACTCCTGGTCTCAAGTGATCTTCCTCAGACTCCCAAAGTGCTGGGATTACAGGCATGAGCCACCTCGCCCAGCCAGGATTTTAAAATTCTTTTTTAACCTTGGAGATACCAGAATTGTATTACTCATTATCCTTGGTTCCTAATAGCATTGGTTCATGCATGTTCTGCTTTTATTTACATATTAGCTATTTACCTTTAACAATATAGTAGCCCTGATAGGCCCAACTCCTACATTGTAGGACATCCATGATCTCCTCCCCAATCCCATCCCATCCCCAAGCTCCCCATATGCGAGGTAACCATCATTCTGAATTTCATATTTATCATTCTTTGCTTTTTGTTTTGTATAATTTTAATGACTTCATGTATACTCTTAAATGTAAGGGTGTGTTTATTTTCAACTTTTAAAAAGGTTGTCATACTGTATATAATCTTTTGGGATTTACAGTTTTTCCTTACTATTGTTATGATTTCTCTATATTGTGGGTCACTGAAGTTCATTCTTTTTGAATGCCATGTAATATTATGTTATAAGAAATATCACAGTTTATTCATCCAGTATCCTGTTGCTAGTTATGCAGATCGCTTTCAGGTTCTTGTGAACTATGAAGGAGTAAATAAAGACCAACCAGGTAATTTTCTTAAAATAAATAATAATAAAAAACCAAAAATGTAAAATATTAAATAGTAATGTTTAAAGTGGAAGTATAAATCTCCCTGTAGTCATATTCTCAGAGATAACCAGTGTTAAAATTTGGGATATCTCTTGTCTTCTTTAAAATATAATGCATATCTGCATATACATATTATATACATATACTATATACACATTAAGTTTTTTAAAACAAAAATGAGATCTATAACTTGCTGTTTCCATAGCAATATATCATGGATATCATTACTTGTCAATATGTAGAGATGTACTTTATCCTTTTTAACAGTTCTTTGGTGTTTCACTGTCGACATGTCAATATTTATTCCCTAAACCCCAACTTTGGTTATTTTCAATTTTGTACTGTTGTAAACAATGTTGTAATGCAGATTCTTGTACATACATCTTCGGGCATTTGCTCAATTATTTCCTTAAGATAATTTCCTAGAACTGGAATTGCTGGGTTGAAGGATATGAAGTTTTATTTTTGTCTGTCTTCAACTTTATTTATTTATTGCTGTATATTGCCATATTGCCCACCAAATATCAATTAATAATTTACATTCTTGGCATCATAGTATAGTTCTCTGAGCAGGGAATACCTAGTCCAACCTGAAGTTCAAGAGCGACTTCTTGGAGGAGGTGACCCTGGGTCTGAGTCATGGTGAGAATTTATCAAGACTTCAAAAGAGCAGATAAATAATCCACAAGGACCCCGGATCAGAGAGTGCTCCGAGCTGGGTTGCCCCACTGTGCTTGTATCTGCACTCTCCAACACTAGGCATCATTGACATGTTAAAGCTTAGCCAAATAGAATTGTTCTTTGTCATTCTTTTTTTAACTTTTACTTATTCATTAGGATGATTTCATAATATATTTCCTGGTTTAGAGGAAACAGGAACAATGGCTACCGAGAGTACTCCCTCAGAGATCATAGAAAGAGAAAGAAAAAAGTTGCTTGAAATCCTTCAACATGATCCTGATTCTATCTTAGACACGTTAACTTCTCGGAGGCTGATTTCTGAGGAAGAGTATGAGACTCTGGAGAATGTTACAGATCTCCTGAAGAAAAGTCGGAAGCTGTTAATTTTGGTACAGAAAAAGGGAGAGGCGACCTGTCAGCATTTTCTCAAGTGTTTATTTAGTACTTTTCCACAGTCAGCTGCCATTTGCGGCTTAAGGCATGGTAAGTTGACTTTGTATACTTTTTGGGGTGAGAGGAAGGGGGCAGACTTTCTGAAAAAGAAAACAAAATGAAAGAAAATTGTTGCCTTTTATTTTTGTTAGTCTTTTTCTGGAGATAATTTTCATTGAAATATGAAATAGGGAAAAACTGGAATTTAAAAAGTTTCTGAAATTTAACATCTTATTGGTCTACTGAATCGATAATTTGTTTTTCAGACTGTACTCAAAACTTGAAGTTGTTTTAGTGCTAACAAACTGCTCATTATTCTGGCAGTAACATGCTAAAATCTCACAGTTGGAAGGAAAATACTTTAATAATAACACAATCCAGGGTTTGTTTTTCAAGTAGATGAATTCGTGGATATTTACAGTGCCAAGACCACAAGCTGTATCTTTCACTTAGTATAGCCGTTTTGAAAATACAAGGAAAATAATTTTTAACACATAGATGGCAAATCAGTAGTTTCATTTTTTTGGTGATAAGAATGCCAGCAGCAGCTGTTTTCTGGAGCAATTCCAGTGCTAATTCTTAAATGGTTCAAAGATAACTAGTAGTCCATGAAAAAGCAATTCTTCCAGTTATTTAGCAATTCTGTAAATTACTACTAGGACTAGGTCTAGCTCTTTTTCTAGGAATCTAAAAAAAAATTCAAAATTATTTTAAGGGATGTTAGAGAGGTAGAGGCTCAGATAAAAAGGTGAATGTTAGTGATACCTAATTTAGGACAAGATTTATATGCTTAGAAATTTTTCTTTTATTATTTCTAAAGCACACTATTCCAAATAGAGCCATTTGCTTACTGATTAGAAATTATTTGTGATCAGATTTCATTAGCAATGACCCCAAGAGACGTGAGTCTGTTGTGAGTCACAGTAAGTCCACAAGTAAACACTGTTCATATGATTCAAATTTTTCGTTTTATTCACTTACCCTGTAAGGTTGCTAGGAAGGACTCAAACTTTAAGCAAGACAGTGGTGTGATCTGATTTTTTTTTTTAGTGGAAAAAAGAAAGTTCTGAAAGTTGACATGTTGACATGCAAGTTATATAGGAGGTGTTAGGTATTCCTGTCCTCCAGTGAAATAAGAGGTGGCTGGGCGCTGTGGCTCACACCTGTAATCCCAGCACTTTGGGAGGCCGGGGCAGATGGATCACCTGAGGTCAGGAGTTTGAGACCAGCCTGACCAACATAGTGAAACACTGTCTCTACTAAAAATACAAAAATTAGCTGGGCATCATGGCGCATGCCTGTAATCCCAGCTACTTGGGAGACTGAGGCAGGGGAATCACCTGAACCCGGGAGGTTGAGGTTGCAGTGAGCCCAGATCGTGCCATTGCACTCCAGCCTCGGCAACAAGAGTGAAACTCTGTCTCAAAAAATAAATAAATAAATAAAAGGAGAGGGATGAAGCTTTGAGGCCTCAGGAACTCTAGCTGTTATACAGCTTCTTTTTCTTAATTGGGAAAAACAATTCTTTTCTTTGCAGAAGTTTTAAAACATGAGAATACAGTACCTCCTCAATCTATGGGGGCAAGCAGTAATTCAGAAGATGCTTTTTCTCCTGGAATAAAACAGCCTGAAGCCCCTGAGATCACAGTGTTCTTCAGTGAGAAGGAACACTTGGATTTGGAAACCTCTGAGTTTTTCAGGGACAAGAAAACTAGTTATAGGGAAACAGCTTTGTCTGCCAGGAAGAATGAGAAGGAATATGACACACCAGAAGTCACATTATCATATTCAGTTGAGAAAGTTGGATGTGAAGTTCCAGCAACTATTACATATATAAAAGATGGACAGAGATATGAGGAGCTAGATGATTCTTTATACTTAGGAAAAGAGGAATATCTAGGATCTGTTGACACCCCTGAAGATGCAGAAGCCACTGTGGAAGAGGAGGTTTATGATGACCCAGAGCACGTTGGATATGATGGTGAAGAGGACTTCGAGAATTCAGAAACCACAGAGTTCTCTGGTGAAGAACCAAGTTATGAGGGATCAGAAACCAGCCTTTCATTGGAGGAGGAACAGGAGAAAAGTATAGAAGGTATGGAAATATCTTGTATAGTTAGTTAGGCAACAACTTAATAAGTTAATAAGCTTGCCATGACATAATGGGGATGGGGGATGAAAAAGGGACAGATGTCAGCAGAAAATCAACTACTAAGAAATTCCTCGTGCCTCTCTGACCTGGAATCTCCTCGAGGTAGGTGTTGACTTAAAGGAGCTCCCAGGACCTAGGAAATGATGGACAGCATAAGCAAAAGTAAATATTGATTGTCAGTTTGTAAATTTCTGTAGTTCGTATAAGGAGTTGCCAATCATTAATTTCCCATTATACGTACGAGGAGTTGCTAATCATTAATTTCAGGCTAACCTATTTCTCAGGTTAAACCACTTTAGTTATTTTAGTGCCTTTGTGACCAGAGAGATATGGGGATTATGGGTTTGACTATTTAAGTGAAAACAGTCAGTAAATGGCTAAGATCCCAAAATATTGTTACTTGGCTTGATCCAGTCCACATAATGCCATCTTGATGAGAATTATATTTGTATCTTGAATCTGAATATTTCTTTATTTAAAAAAAATTTGTTTTTAAACAGGGTCTCACTCAGGCTGGAGTGCAGTGGCACAATCATGACTCACCGCAGCCTCTACCTCCCAGGCTCGGGTGATCCTCCTACCTCAGCCTCCTGAGTAGCTAGCATTACAGGTGCCTGCCACCACGCCTGGCTAATTTTGTATTTTGTAAAGATGGGATTTTGCCATGTTGCTCAGGCTGGTCTCGAACTCCTGGGCTCAAGTGATCTGCCCACCTTGGCCACCCAAAATCCTGGGATTACAGGTGTGAGCCACTGCACCTAGCCAAATCTGAATATTTCTTAATGAAAATTCAAAATATGAGAAGTGTTTCATTGGAGTGATATTGCCTGGGAAAACAGACATCACTAAGTTCTGAGTAGAGGATGAAAATGTAGCTACCATCTCACATTAATTTCAAATCTTGGGGACTCATAATCCACTTATGGGTAGGAAGAGAGTCATTTCTTCCTCATCACACCTTGTATCAGTTTGTGAGGGATGCTGTAACAAAATACCACAAAATCAGTGGCTTAAACAATAAACACAGATTTCTTGTCTCACTCTTTTGGAGGCTAGAAATCTGAAATCAAAGTATCAAAGTACTGACAGGGTTGCTTCCTTCTTTTTTTTTTTTTTTTTTTGAAACAGAGTCTCACTCGTCGCCCAGGCTGGAGTGCAATGGTGTGACCTTGCTCACTGTACCCTCCGCCTCCCGGGTTCAAGCGATTCACCTGCCTCAGCTCCCCAGGTAGCTGGGATTACAGGTGCGTGCCACCACGCCTGGCTAATTTTTGTTGTTTTAGTAGAGACGAGGTTACACCATGTTGGCCAGGCTGGTCTCGAACTCCTAACCTCAAGTAATCCACCCACCTTGGCCTCCCAAAATGCTGGGATTAAGGCATGAGCCACTGTGCCTGGACAAGGGTTGGTTCCTTCTGAAGGATGTGATCTGAAGGATCCTAGCTTTCCTGGTGGTTTGCTGGAAATCATTGACACTGCTTGGCTTGTGCAAGCATCCCTCTGATATGCCTTCACCTTCAAATGTCCTTGTCCCTGAGTGTGCACCCCTTTGGCCAAAATAAAAAAGGACACCAGTCATATTGGATTAGGGCCCACCCTAATAACATTATTAAAACTAATTACATCTGCAATGGCCCTATTTCCAAATAACATCACATTCTGAGGTACTGGGGGTTAGGATTTCAACATATGAATTTTGTAAGGGACATAATTCAACCCATGCCTCTTGCCCCACCCCCAAATAACTTCTTAATACATGATTATTTTGGGGCCCCATTCTTAATTTTTATTTATTTATTTTAGTTGGTGCATAGGGTTGAATTAATTAATTCATTGCATAGTATCATCATTATTCTGCAAAAATCCCCTGTTTATCTATTCTGTTTTTTTCTCCATTTCCCATTTACCTTCTTCCGTAGGTAACATTCTAATATTGCAGTGCATCTCTTACATATTGTTTGGTTTTCATGAAATTTTTTTTCTGTATCAGGTACTGACTGGGTTTCACCACGTTGCCCAGGCTGGTCTTGAACTCCTGGCCTCAATAATGCTACATAACAAATCATCTGAAAATTCAGTCACTTCAAACACTGAGAGTTTATTATTGTTCACATGTCTGTGGTTGGCTGGGCAGTTCTGCTGGTCTTCCCTGGGTTCACTCATGCATCTGTGATGAGGTGGTTGAAGGCTGGTCTCTCATCTTCAAGCAGGCTACTCTGGGCTTGTTTTCAGAATAGATGCAGTATATTCTTTTTTTTTTTTTTGAGATGGAGGCTCACTCTGTTGCCCAGGCTGGAGTGCAGTGGCATGATCTTGGCTCACTGCAACCTCTGCCTCCTGGGTTCAAGCGATTCTCCTGCCTCAGCCTCCTGAGTAGCTGGGATTACAGGTGCCCACTACCACGCCTGGCTAATTTTTGTATTTTTAGTAGAGATGGGGTTTCACCATGTTGGCCAGGCTGGTCTCGAACTCTTGACCTCAGGTGATCCACCCACCTCGGCCTCCCAAAGTGCTGGAATTATGGACATGAGCCACCGCGCCTGGCCAAGTATATTCTTATGATGAGGGTAAAGGAGAGAGAAAGGGAGAGAGAGCAAGGTGGAGGGGGGGAGACAGAGAAGTAGTGAAGGCCTTTTGAGTCTTAGCTTTAGAACGATCATCATGCCATCTATGCCATCTGTATCTGTTTCCTAGGGCTGCTGTAACAAAGTACCACAAATGAGTGGCTTTAGAACAACAAAAATTTCTTGTCTCACAGTTCAGGAGGCCAGAAGCCTGATATCAAGGTATCAGGAGGGTCATGCTCCCTCTGGAGGTGCTAGGAAAGGATTTGTCTCAGGCTTCTCTCCTAGCCCCTGGTAGCTTCGTGCATTCCTTGACTTACAGATGGCCATTTTCTCCCTGTGTCTCTTCACATCATCTATCCTCTGTGCATGTCTCTGTGTCTAAATTTTTCTTTTTTATTAAGACACCAATTATACTGATTTAGGCCCCCCTCCATGACCTTATTTTAACTTAATTACCTCTGTAAAGATAAAGATGCTATTTACAAAATAAAGCCACATTCTGCATTACTGGGGGACTTCATATCTTTTTGAGGGGGACAAAATTCAACCCATAACACCATTACTTCTGCCACATTCTGTTGACCAAAGCAAGTCTCAAAGCCAGGTTTAGGGTTGGGGGAAAACAAGTTCTACTTCTTGCAAAATAAGATAGCAAAGACTATGGATACCAGAAAGCCATTAACTGGGGACATTATTACAATCAGTCTAACATCTTTAGTAAAACAGATCAAGAGAAGTCTTAATAATAATGTAGTTATGATCTGCAATGTAATTCTAATGGCTGCCCATCCACTCTAGTTGACTGGAGGCACGTGGCTATTCTTTGTTTCTTTCCCAAGTAATATTTGTCTGTGCAGCTGAGAAATGAAAAAAATAGTTCTAAATCAAAGGAAGGTCTTCATGCTCTTTGTCATGTGAAATTTTATGTAAAAAATATCACAGTGTCACAGTCTCAGAAAGGCTTAAACTATTGCCTTGTGTGCTCTGCACTATAGAAGTTCAACTTGTATAGACAGTATCAATTGACTCTCTTCCCCCTCCAGCTTGTTGTTGGGTTCAACCATTGGGTGGAACCAATATGTTTACCTTTCCCTGTGGCCTTTCTTTTTTCCTGAAGATCCAGGTTTTCATTTTATATTATTTTCCTTTAGCCTGAAAAATTTATTTATTTTTTCTCTTAGTACAAGTCTGCTGGTGGTAAATTCTCTTAGTTTTTGTTTATTGAAAGATATTTTTATTTTGCCTTCATTCCAGAAGGTTGCTTTTGCTGGATATAGGATTCTACAACTTTTGCCTTTAACATGTTATGGATGCCATTCCTCTGTCTTTTAGCTTCCATTGTTTCTGATGCTAAATCTTCAGTCATTTTATCATTGATCCTCTGTAAGTGCTGTGTCATTTATCTCTGGTTGTTTTCAAGATTTTTTCTTAATTTTTTTTGAGCAGTTGACTCTGATGTGTCTGGGGTGATTTTTTTTTTCTCTTAGTGTTTGCAGAGTTTCCTGAATCTATACAAAAACTTTTAATCAAATTTGGAAACTTTTCAGCTGTTATTTACCGAGATTTTTTTCTTTCTCACTTCTTCTCTTCTCTCTTTCTGAGACTTCGAGTACATGAATTTTAGAGTTTTAAAAATATTGTTCTACAGGTTCCAGAGACTTTGCTCAGTTTTCTTTAATATTTTTTCTCTCTGTTCTTCAGGTTAGATATTTACTTTCTTCTGTCATCTCCAATTTGTTGTTAGCCCATCTAGTGATTTTAAACAAATTCATATATTGTGATTTTTAATTCCAGAATTTCCTGTTTAAAAATACTTTATATTTTTTTCTGAGAATTCCTATTTAATCATTCATTGTGGACTTACTTAATTTTAATTGTTTTTTTTTTTTTTTTTGAGACAGAGTCTTACTCTGTTGCTCAGGCTAGAGTGCAGTGGCACAATCTTGGCTCACTGCAGCCTCAGTCTCCTAGGCTGAGGCTCAAGCCATCCTCCCACCTCGGCCTCTCAAGTAGCTAGGGCTACAGGCACAGACCGCCAGGCCTGGTTAATTTTGTATTTTTTGTAGAGACAGGGTTTTCACGATGTTGCCCAGGCTGGTTTTGAACTCCTGGGCTCAAGTGATCCTCCTGCCTCAGCCTCCCACTGTTTTGGAATTACAGGCATGAGCCACCATGCCTGACTGTAAAATTCTTATATGCTAAATCTAACATCTAGGTCATTTTGGATTCAGTGTCCATTGAGTATGAGTTACATTTCTTGTTTCTTCCTATGTCTATTAGCTTTGGATTGTGTTCTATCCATTGTATATAATAGGTCATAGAGACTCTAGATTGTTATATTTCTCCCAAGAGTCTGAATATTATTTTAGTCTGTTTTTGTCTCCAGTTAACCTAACTGTATTTAAATTCAAAATTTAGACTCCTTTTCCATGGGTGGCAGCTGAAATCTCTGTTTATTTCTTTTTGCCTTAGCTGAGTTATTTTTATGAATTTTTAATTTATAAAATTGAGATTAGTTTCCTGATATTATTGCTTACTTTTTTCACCTAGCTCTGTGCTTAATTAGATACATCTCTGTTTTGTGTGTACATCTACTCTGTTGCTTTGATCTGCTCCATAGTGACACTGTTATTACCTTGTCGACACACCTGGCTTGGATCCTGTGGGTATTGATGTCTTTCTTTTTTTTTGAGATGACAGGCTGGAGTGCAGGGCCACAATCTTGGCTCACTGCAACCCTGCAACCTCCACCTCCTGGGTTCAAGTGATTCTCCTGCCTCAGCCTCCTGAGTAGCTGGGACTACAGGCACCTGCCACCACACCTGGCTAATTTTTGTATTTTTAGTAGAGACGGGGTGTCATTATGTTGGCCAGGCTGGTCTCGAACTCCTGACCTCAGGTGATCTGCCGACCTCATCCTCCCAAAGTGCTGGGATTATAGGTGCGAGCCACTGCACCCAGCCATGGGTACGAATTTCTGGCTGAAGAAGTAGAGAATTGCTTTCCTAAGGCAAAGTATGAGACAGGAAAAAGCAGAACTTAAAAGCTGTCCTGCAACCTATTCTCTCACTGCTTCCTCTGTGAACTCTTTCTTCATGCTAGATTCAACTTCCCCCTCACCTTTTTGCCCCAACACATATATCAGTTCAAGCAACTTTGAGACTACTCAAGGGCTTCTTATAGTTACTTTTATTAATTCCTAAAATCTATGCTTTTCTCTTATTTCTGTTGTTTCTTCAAAGCTATTTTTAAGGGTAATTTTACATTTTTACACTAGCTGGCCGTCTGTCAGGAGTAGAAAATCTAGGCTGATCTTCTCTCTCTGTTATGTACTATCTCTGTATTTATAAGATGTAGGTAGGCCAGCCAGGGTGGCTCATGCCTACAATCCCAACACTTTGGGAGGCTGAGGCAGGCAGATTAATTGAGCCCAGGAGTTGAGACCAGCCTGGGCAAAATGGTGAGACCCTGTCTCTACAAAATGAAGAAATGAAAAGTTAGGTGGGGTTGATGGTGTGCACTTGTGGTCCCAGCTACTCCAAAGGCTGAGGCAGGAGGATCACCTGAACCCAGGAAGTTGAGACTGCAGTGAGCTGAGATTGCACCACTGCACTCCAGCCTAGGTAACAGTACAAGACCCTGTCTCAAAAAAAAAAAGTAGGTAGAAGATAGTTTGGAAAATGGGAGATCAGGAAAAATTAGGTATAGCATGTAAACTCCGAGAAAAACTTTGAAGGAAATAAAATCTTCAGTTCCTGTAAACTTCAGCAAGAGATAAATTTAAGAAAGAACCAGTATCGGCCAGGTGCGGTGGCTAACGCCTGTAATCCCAGGACTTTGGGAGGCCGAGGCAGGCGCATCACGAGGTCAGGAGATCGAGACCATCCTGGCTAACATAGTGAAACCCTGTCTCTACTAAAAATACAAAAAATTAGCCAGGTGTGGTGGCACCCGCATATGGTCCCAGCTACTTGGGAGGCTGAGGCAGGAGAATCGCTTGAACCCAGGAGGTGGAGGTTTCAGTGAGCTGAGATCGTGCCACTGCACTCCAGCCTGGGTGACAGAGTGACACTCCATCTCAAAAAAAAAAAAAAAAAAAAGCCAGGCACAGTGGCTCACACCTGTAATCCTAGCACTTTGGGAGGCTGAGGAGGGTGGATTGCCTGAGCTCAGGAGTTCGAGACCAGCCTGGGCAACACAGTGAACCATCTCTACTAAAATACAAAAAAAAAAAAAAAATTAGCTGGGTGTGACGGCGGGCGCCTGTAGTCCCAGCTACTCGGGAGGGTGAGACAGGAGAATCACTTGAACCCGAGAGGCGGAAGTTGCAGTGAGCCGAGATCGAGCCACTGCACTCCAGCCTGGTGACAGAGTGAGACTCCGTCTCCAAAAAAAAAAAAAAAAAAAAAAAAACCAGTATCAACCTAGAGTATTTCTCATAGATGTATATAATTTAACATTAATAAATTTTTTTTTCATTGCTGCATGTAAATGTTAGCACATTTTTTTAAATAAAAAACCTAAATGATCATCCATAGGCAATTGTTAAATAGTTACATCCATCCAAACCATGGAGTACCATGAAATAGCTAAAATGAGTTAGGTAGATCAGTATATATGCTGACTTGAAATAATTTGCAAGGAATACCACTAAGTGAAAAGAAGCTGAAGAATCATTTGTTTAGTATAATATCATTTATGTAAAAAAAAATAGCATGGGCTGGGCACGGTGGCTCATGCCTGTAATCCCTCATTTTGGGAGGCTGAGGCAGGTGGATTACTTGAGGTCAGGAGTTCGAGACCAGCCTGGCCAACATGGTGAAACCCCATCTCTACAAATACAAAAATTAGCTTGGTGTGGTGGCACATGCCTGTAATCCCAGCTACTCGGGAGGCTGAGGCTGGGAGAATTACTTGAACCCAGGAGGTGGATGTTGCAGTGAGCTGAGATCTTGCCACTGCACCCTAGCCTGGGCAACAGAGCCAGACTCCATCTAAAAAAAAAAAATAGAATCTACTAAGTAAAACTATATATTTCTATATATGCATGCATACTTAAGTACTTGCATAGAAAAAGGATGGGAAGCAAACATACTGTACCATATTGATATCTCCCCTAAAAACGAAGCTGACTTGCCAGAATGGTGAAAGGAGACTTCCACTTTATTTATATTGTTTCAGCTTTTTGCAGTGAAAATGTAGATTAGACCGGGTGTAGGGGCTTATGTCTATCCTAGCACTTTGGGAGGCTGAGGCAGGCTGATCACTTGAGTCTAGTTCAAGACCAGCCTAGCCAACATGGTGAAATCCCATCTCTACTAAAAATACAAAAATTAGCCGGGCATGGTGGCATACACCTGTAGTCCCAGCTACTTGGGAGGCTGAGACACAAGAATAGCTTGAACCCAGGAGGTGGAGGTTGCAGTGAGCTGAGATGGCTCCATTGCACTCCAGCCTGGGTGACAGTTTTCTTTCAAACTCTGCCTCAAAGCAAAAAATAATGCAGATGACTTAATTTTAAAAGTCAGGCTGGGCACAGTGACTCATGCCTGTAATCCCAGCACTTTGGGAGTTTCGCTTGAGATCAGTTCAGAGTCAGCCTGGGCAACATAGAAAGACCCCATCTCTATTAAAAAAAAAAAGTAGCCAGGCATGGTGGTGGGTGACTGTAGTCTCAGCTACTTGGGAGGCTAAGATGGTAGGATTGCTTGAGCCCAGGGTGATGATCATGCCCCTGGATTCCAGCCTAGGTGATGGAGTGAGACTGTCTCAAAAAAAGAAGTCGATGGGGAAAATTGAAACTCTGAACATGGCATTCACTATTATCTTCTCTCCTACAGAAAGAAAAAAGGTGTTTAAAGATGTCCTGTTATGTTTGAACATGGATAGAAGCAGAAAGGTTCTGCCAGATTTTGTTAAACAATTCTCCTTAGATCGAGGATGTAAGTGGACCCCTGAGAGTCCAGGAGACTTAGCCTGGAATTTCCTGATGAAAGTTCAAGCACGAGATGTGACGGCTAGGGATTCAATCCTCAGTCACAAGGTTCTGGATGAAGATAGCAAGGAGGATTTGCTGGCTGGAGTGGAGAATTTGGAAATTCGAGACATACAAACCATTAATCCCCTTGACGTGCTTTGTGCCACCATGCTGTGTTCAGATAGCTCTTTGCAACGCCAAGTCATGTCAAACATGTATCAGTGCCAGTTTGCTCTTCCCCTGCTACTGCCAGATGCAGAAAACAACAAAAGCATCTTAATGCTGGGGGCCATGAAAGACATTGTGAAGAAGCAGTCAACACAGTTTTCAGGGGGGCCTACAGAGGATACAGAAAAGTTTCTGACTCTCATGAAGATGCCTGTCATCTCTTTTGTGCGTCTAGGATACTGTAGCTTCTCTAAGTCCAGAATCCTCAACACACTTCTCAGCCCTGCCCAGTTGAAATTACACAAAATCTTTCTTCATCAAGATTTGCCTCTTTTGGTGCTTCCCCGGCAAATCTCTGATGGCCTGGTTGAGATAACATGGTGTTTTCCTGATAGCGATGATAGAAAGGAAAACCCCTTTTTCCAAAAGCCTGTTGCTCTGGCTAATCTCCGTGGAAATCTAGAAAGCTTTTGGACTCAGTTTGGTTTTTTGATGGAAGTTTCTTCAGCTGTGTTTTTTTTCACTGACTGTTTAGGTGAGAAGGAATGGGACTTGCTAATGTTTTTAGGAGAGGCTGCCATTGAAAGATGCTACTTTGTTCTCAGTTCCCAAGCCAGGGAGAGTGAAGAGGCTCAAATTTTTCAGAGGATACTGAACTTGAAGCCAGCACAGCTACTGTTTTGGGAGAGGGGAGATGCTGGGGATAGAAGGAAGAACATGGAGGGCCTTCAAGCTGCCCTCCAGGAAGTGATGTTCTCTTCTTGCCTCAGATGTGTGTCTGTGGAGGATATGGCCGCCCTGGCCAGGGAGCTGGGGATTCAGGTAGATGAAGACTTTGAAAACACTCAGAGAATTCAAGTTTCCTCTGGAGAAAACATGGCTGGGACAGCTGAAGGTGAGGGTCAGCAAAGACACAGTCAGCTAAAAAGCTCATCTAAAAGCCAGGCTCTAATGCCAATTCAAGAGCCTGGGACTCAATGTGAGCTCAGCCAGAATCTTCAGAATCTCTATGGTACCCCAGTATTCAGGCCTGTTCTAGAGAACTCCTGGCTCTTTCCAACCAGAATTGGAGGTAACTTTAACCATGTTTCCTTGAAAGCCTCCTGGGTTATGGGCCGCCCCTTTGGGTCAGAGCAGAGGCCTAAGTGGTTCCATCCTTTGCCTTTTCAGAATGCAGGGGCCCAGGGCCGAGGTAAAAGTTTTGGTATTCAATCCTTCCATCCCCAGATATTTTATTCAGGTGAAAGATTCATGAAATTTTCCAGAGTTGCTCGGGGATGTCACTCGAATGGAACATTTGGGAGACTGCCAAGACCCATTTGTCAGCATGTACAGGCCTGCCCTGAGAGACCACAAATGATGGGAACTCTTGAAAGGTCTAGGGCAGTAGCCTCCAAGATAGGTCACTCCTATTCCCTGGATTCACAGCCAGCAAGAGCAGTAGGGAAGCCATGGCCTCAGCAAGCTTGCACCAGGGTAACAGAGTTAACTGAAGCAACTGGAAAACTGATAAGAACATCCCATATTGGAAAGCCTCACCCTCAGTCCTTTCAACCAGCAGCAGCCACACAAAAACTAAGACCTGCTTCTCAGCAAGGAGTCCAGATGAAGACACAAGGTGGGGCTTCAAATCCAGCTCTCCAAATAGGGTCCCATCCCATGTGCAAGAGCTCTCAGTTCAAATCCGATCAGTCCAACCCATCCACAGTCAAACACTCCCAGCCTAAACCCTTCCATTCTGTGCCCTCTCAACCTAAATCCTCTCAGACAAAATCCTGTCAGTCCCAGCCCTCCCAAACTAAACCTTCTCCATGCAAATCTACTCAGCCTAAGCCAAGCCAGCCCTGGCCTCCCCAGTCTAAGCCTTCTCAGCCCAGACCCCCTCAACCTAAGTCATCCTCAACCAATCCTTCACAAGCTAAGGCACACCACTCAAAAGCAGGGCAGAAGAGGGGAGGGAAGCATTAAAGAGCTAACTCCAGAGATCTATAAAGCATATCCTTTACCCAGGCCATTCCTATCATATAGTAAGCAGAAGAGTTGCCATGAAAGTAAAAGACTACTGTCATTAGCATGTAAAACAAAGAAAGATATACATGACTGAATTGGATATCTTTGTTTGTTTGTTTGAGACAGAGTTTCACTCTTGTTGCCCAGGCTGGAGTGCAATGGCACGATCTCGGCTCACCGCAACCTCTGCTTCCTGGCTTAAAGTGATTCTCCTGCCTCAGCCTCTCGAGTAGCTGGGATTACAGGCATGCACCACCACACCCAGCTAATTTTGTATTTTTAGTAGAGGCAGGGTTTCTCCATGTTGGTCAGGCTGGTCTTGAACTCCCGACCTCAGGTGATCCGCCCACCTAGGCCTCTCAAAGTGTTGGGATTACGTGTGTAAGCCACAGTGCCCAGCCCGAATTGGATATCTTTAAGATATCTGTAAGTGTTATATCCCTAACCAAGAAGAAAAATATGAAAATAATTAAGACTAGAATCAAGCAGTAGATAATTGAATCCAATCTTGGGTATTATTAGATAATGTATAACTTGCACCCAGGGAATGGGGGTCTATGAGACAACCCCACTTGGAGAAGAATGGGGTTAGGGTCTCTAATTGCAAAGTGACTGTACAATAGGACGAAAGTTGCCTCTGTGTCTGAGAAAGTATCTTAGTTGTTGGCTGCTCCAGAGGTATCTTTGTCAAAAGCTTCTGGTTCAATATCAGCCACTGAGCAGATAACCCTGCTTATTTGGTGTGGTTAAATCAACTAGCTTCTGCTAATAGCCCCAATTTGCTTGAATGGGAAAACTCTCTCATTTGACCCTTATAGGTAGAAATAATGAATTAACAACCAATAAAATTAATCATTTGGCATTAACTTTGTGAAAGATCTATGTTTGTTTCATATTTGATATGGTTTGGCTCTGTCTCCACCCAAATCTTATCTCGAATTGTAATCCCCATGTCCCTCAGGAGGGACCAGGGACCTGGTGGGAGGTGATTGGATTATGGGGCCGGTTTCCTCCATGCTGTTCCTGTGATAGTGAGTGAGTTCTCACGAGATCTGATGATTTATTTTTATTTTTTTGAGATGGAATCTCGCTCTGTCACCGAGGCTGGAGTGCAGTGACATGAACTTGGCTCATTGCAACCTCTACCTCCCAGGTTCAAGCAATTTTCCTGCCTCATCCTCCCAAGTAGCTGGGATTACAGGTGTCTGCCACCACACTTAGCTAATTTTTGTATTTAGTAGAGATGCAGTTTCACCATGTTGGCCAGGCTGGTCTCAGACTCCTGATCGCAAGTAATCCACCTACCTTGGCCTCCCATACTGCTGGGATCACAGACATGAGCCACCAAGTCCAGCCGAGATCTGATGGTTTAAAAGTGTGCCACTTACCCCCTTGTTCTCTCTGTCTTCTGTCGCCACGTAAGACATACCTTGCTTCCTCTTCACCTTCCATCATGATTGTGTTTCCTGAGGCCTCCCCAGCCATGCAGATCTGTGAGTCAATAACTTCTTTCCTTTATAAATTACTCAGTCTCAGATAGTTCTTTTTTTTTTTTTTAGATGGAGTCTTGCTCCGTCACCCAGGCTGGAGTGCAGTGGCGCACGCCGATCTTGGCTCACTGCAACCTCTGCCTCCTGGCTTCAAGCGATTCTCCTGCCTCAGCCTCCCAAGTAGCTGGGACTACAGGCGCCTGCCACCACGCCTGGCTAATTTTTGTATTTTTAGTAGAGACAGGGTTTCATCATGTTTGCCAGGCTGGTCTCGAACTCCTGACCTTGTGATCTACCTGCCTCAGCCTCTCAAAGTTTTGGGATTACAGGCGTGAGCCACCGTGCACGGCCTCAGGTAGTTCTTTATAGCAGTGTGAAAACAGACTAATACAATAGTTTAAATATTTGTAATAGTTAAGAAAATTGGACTTATTAGAGGGTCTGGTATTAATATACTAATACCTCATGATTCAAATTTAAAATGTTATTGAGTTTTCTTTTTTTTTTTTATACTTTAAGTTTTAGGGTACATGTGCACATTGTGCAGGTTAGTTACATATGTATACATGTGCCATACTGGTGCGCTGCACCCACTAACTCGTCATCTAGCATTAGGTGTATCTCCCAATGCCATCCCTCCCCCCTCCCCCCACCCCACCACAGTCCCCAGAGTGTGATATTCCCATTCCTGTGTCCCTGTGATCTCATTGTTCAATTCCCACCTATGAGTGAGAATATGCGGTGTTTGGTTTTTTGTTCTTGCGATAGTTTACTGAGAATGATGATTTCCAATTTCATCCATGTCCCTACAAAGGACATGAACTCATCATTTTTTATGGCTGCATAGTATTCCATGGTGTATATGTGCCACATTTTCTTAATCCAGTCTATCATTGTTGGACATTTGGGTTGGTTCCAAGTCTTTGCTATTGTGAATAATGCCACAATAAACATACGTGTGCATGTGTCTTTATAGCAGCATGATTTATAGTCCTTTGGGTATATACCCAGTAATGGGATGGCTGGGTCAAATGGTATTTCTAGTTCTAGATCCTTGAGGAATCGCCACACTGACTTCCACAATAGTTGAACTAGTTTACAGTCCCACCAACAGTGTAAAAGTGTTCCTATTTCTCCACATCCTCTCCAGCACCTGTTGTTTCCTGACTTTTTAATGATTGCCATTCTAACCAGTGTGAGATGGTATCTCATTGTGGTTTTGATTTGCATTTCTCTGATGGCCAGTGATATGTTAATGAGTTTTCAGTTTTAGAGTTGTAATTTTCTTAAGTTAAAAGATAAGTTTACAAAAAACATTGAAATGTTAAAGAGAACTTAAGATTCACAAAATTTATACTTTTATTAGATTCATATTATTCTAAACATTTGGGTAAATTCTGCTTGTTAGAGGCATTAAGGAAAAATAGTGTATTAAATTTAAAATATTTAAGTCACATTTAGTTAACTAGGTTTGTAAATGACATCAAATATGGATAAAAGGACACTTTAAAAGTATCTGTTAAAAGTCACTAGATTAAGAATAAAATAATAACATTTATAAATTGAACTTAATAGCTTCAGTTTGTGAATTGGCAACTCTAGTAAAATTAATATTAATTTAAAGCACTACAGTAGTCCCCAAATAGTCTTTCATATGTAAAAAAAGTACCTTCAAGTACATCAAAAAAGAAAAAGTCATATTGACAAATGAATGAGAGCTGGTCTTTGAAAAGCAATAATTAATCCTTGAGAATGGTATCATATCACAACAGATATTTTTCCTTTGTGCATGTATTAAACAATCAATATTGAGTGTGTCCATGTTTTTTTTTTTTTTTTTTTTTTTGAGACGGAGTCTCTCTCTGTTGCCTAGGCTTGGAGTGCAGTGGCACAATCTCAGCTCACTACAACCTCCTCCTCCCGGGTTCAAGTGATTCTCCTGCCTCAGCCTCCCAAGTAGCTGGGATTACAGGCATGCCCCACCAAGCCCAGCTAATTTTTGTGTTTCTCAGTAGAGATGGGGTTTCACCATGTTGGCTGGGCTGGTCTTGAACTCCTGACCTCAAGTGATCTGCCCGCCTTGGCCTCCCAAAGTGCTGGGATTACAGGTGTGAGCCACCATGCCTGGCCCTAAAGGAAGTATTTCTAAAGGGCTGAACAAGATAAAGGGAAAGAAAATGCAAAGGAGAGTGCAGTACCCTGGATCCAGTAAAAGCACTCTAGAGAGGAGAAGAAAGTGCCTTCCCCAGTCAGAAGAGCTGTATGGAAATGGTCTTAGGTCTAGTTGGTTGAGGGATACAGCAAGCTACAGTGAGTGACCTGAAGCAAATAAATATCTCCTCCCTACCTCAGGTCGGCTGCTGGTGCATCTCCTTGGCCCAACCCAATCAGAAGCCAGAGGGTAAGGTAGCCCGTCCAGGCAGCCCATGTAGACCAGCCTTTTAGGATTTAGAGAAGAATGGACAGTGAATTTGCAGGGTCAAGCAGGAGACGTCCAGCAGATTCCTCCCTTTCCATCCCATTCTTCTTTCCTTTTCTTTTTTTTCTTTCTTCCTTCTCTAACATTTATTTATTGAGCATCTATTACATGCAAGGCTTTGGAATACAAACTGGGAAGACATGGGAAAAGAATGAGAAATCCCACGGTAGTTGTGACATCCTATAAATCTCCATGTTCCCTCTTTATTATAAAACTATTTAATACAAGCTCATTATAGATAGTTTTGAAAATGCAGAAATAAGGCCAGGCGTGGCGGCTCACACCTTTAATCCCAGCATTTTGGAAGGCTGAGGTGGGGGAATCGTTTAAGCCCAGGCATTCAAGACCAGCCTGAGCAACATAGTGAGACCCTGTCTCTACAAAACAAAACAAAAAGCCAGACATAGTGGAGTGCCCCTGTGGTCCCAGCTACTTCACAGCCCGAGCCCAGGAGGTCTAGGCTGCAGTGAGCTGTGACTGTGCTACTGCACTTCAGCCTGAGTGACAGTGAGACCCTGTCTCAAAAAGAAAAAAAAAAAAAGTATAAAAATAACCTGTAGTCTTTTTTTTTTTTTTAAAAGATGGAGTCTCGCTTTGTCACCCAGGTTGCAGTGCAATGGTGCAATTACTGCAACCTCCGCCTCCCAGGTTCAAGCGATTCTTCTGCCTCAGCATCCCGAGTAGCTGGGATTAGAGGCACCCGCCATCATGCCTGGCTAATTTTTGTATTTTTAGCAGATACGGGATTTCACCATGTTAGTCAGGCTGGTCTCGAACTCCTGACCTCAGGTGATCCACACGCCTCGGCCTCCCAAAGTGCTGGGATTACAGGCATGAGCCCGGTGAACCTGTAGTCTTATAATGAAGAGTAAGTAGTAAGGTAGTCCCATTACTCATGAATAACATTTTCCTGGACTTTCTCTCTCTCTCTCTATATATATATTTACAGGTAGCCTATTACATTTTTGAGTTTGTACTAGGGTTGAATGTGTCAAAGTCAAACATAGTGTTAGGAGCAGGCAGTATAGATAGCACAAAATGTTGGTTTGTTCAGATGTATTAAGAAAGTCTGGGCTGGGAGTGGTGGCTCACGCCTATAATCCCAGCACTTTGGCAGGCCGAGGCGAGTGGATCAACTGAGGTCAGGAGTTCAAGGCCAGCCTGGCCAACATAGTGAAACCCCATCTCTATTAAAAATACAAAAACTAGCCAGACGTGATGGTACACACGTGTAATCCCAGCTACTCGGGAGGCTGAGGCAGGAGAATCGCTTGAACTTGGGAGGCGGACGTTGCAGTAAGCCGAGATGGTGCCTATGCACTCCAGCTCAGGGTGATAGAGCAAGACTCCGCCTCAAAACAACAACAACAGCAAAACACAAAAACTTGTTTATGTATGTATACATATATATATTATTTACTACATTGAGAGCATTCAAATTTGTACTTGACTATTTTTGTAAGCAGATGCCACAGTCTACTCAATGATTTACCACTTTCGACACCTGAAAATCCTATTTTCTTCTTTCTATATTGCCCAGGCTGGTCTCGAACTCATGGGCTTAAGCGATCCTCCCACGTTGGCCTCCCAAAGTGCTGGGATTACAGGCGTGAGCCACCCTGCCTGGCCTGAAAATTCTGCCTCAAACATCTCAAACATCCATTTATATTTTGTACAAGAAAGTAAATAAAATTTTTCTTTTTAACATTAAAAAAATTGTGTTCTTTGTTGAGATGCTTGAAAGGCATGCATACCAATGTGATACAAAGACTGGGCGTTGGGACAAAGTTGTGCACTTAATGAATCAAATTAACTTCATAAACCTAGGTTTTACCTGTATTCACTTGATCTCCTACATTTCCTTAGGTCTTTGAATTTTTCGTAGTCTCCTCTTGTGATTAAGGTATAATCACCTTTCCAATGTTTGCTATATAGGATTCATGGAGACAAAATATTTGGTGCGGAAGATAAATGTCATTCTGATTGCCAATGGTTCAGTCTGACTTAATAAGTGCCTTTAAGTGCTAATTAGCTAAGGGCATCTTAGCCTTTACTCTAACAAATACCAGTGCCTTTAAGTGCTAATTAGCTACTGGTATTTGTTAGAGTAAAGGCTAAAATGCTGTAGTAAAAATAAGGCAAAAGTGTAATGGCTTAAATAATATGGGAACTTATTTCTCTCTCGTTTAACACTTCAGCCTGTCTAGGTTGATGGAGCAGCTTTTCTTAGTAGGGTTAATCAAGAACTAAATTTCTTCTAGTTTGTTGTTCTTTCATCTCCTTGGCATCATCCTGTTGTGTATGAATGAAGCTGGTCTTTCTCATTTCTTTGATTCAGTTTACAAAAACATTAGAAAAGCCAAAGTTCAGAGGAACCAACTTGAGTTTAAGTTAGAGATGACTTGGAAATTTTAGATGTTTTACAATCAGCTCCCATTGGCTCAGACTTGGTCATATGGCCACATGTAGCTGCAAGGGAGGTTGGGAAATGCTGTTACTAGTGGCAAGACCATGCATCCAGGAACAAGAGGAGGAGAAACAGTCAATCACAATATTGTAGAATATCAAAAATACTAGGCTGGAATAGTGGCTTATACCTGTGATCCCAGCATTTTGGGAGGCCAAGGTGGGAGGATCACTTGAGCCCAGGAATTTGAGACTAGCCTGGACAACACAGTGAGGCCCCATCTCTACAAAAAGTAAAGAAGATTAGCTGGGCATGGTGGCACGTGCCTGTGGTCCTAGCTGCTTGAGAGGCTGAGGTAGGAGGATCCCTTGAGCCAGGGAGGTTGAAAATGCAGGGATCCCAGATTGTGCCACTGCACTCTAGTCTGGGTAACAGAGTGAGATCTTGTCTCAAAAAAAGAAAAGAAAAGAAAGAGGCCCAGGTAAAGTCAACAGATAGTATCTCAAAACAAACATTGATCACAATTTACTACTTATTATAGACTATACATTATTTTACTGATGGGGAGTGGTAGCAATTGCCTAAATTGAAGAGCGAATTTTGAATGATGTTGCAATGATGAAAAGCTTTTAGCTTATACACTCATTTGATAAAGGAACATTGCTATTGTGATCTGGGTATGGCTGCTTCTTACCCTAAAGCACACATGAAGGCTGTGAAAGTTATCAGAATCAAAATGGAGTCATTAACATTAAGAAAACACTGATAAAGGGAGTGAGGGAAAGCTATAAAGAGAGAATTCTTGGCGGGGCGCGGTGGCTCATGCCCGTATTCTCAGGACTTTGGGAGGCCGAGGTGGGTGGATCACCTGAGGTCAGGAGTTCGAGACCAGCCAGGCCAACATGGTAAAACCCCGTCTCTACTGAAAATGCAAAAAATAGCTGGACGTGGTGACACGTGCCTGTAATCCCAGCTACTCAGGAGGCTGAGGCAGGAGAATCCCTTGAACCTGGGAGGCGGAAGTTGCAGTGAGGCTGAGATCGTGCCACTGCACTCCAGCCTGGGAGACAGAGTGAGACTCTGTCTCAAAAAAAAAAAAAAAAAAAGAGAGAGAGAGAGAGTTCTCAGGCGGGCACGGTGGCTCAGGCCGTAATCTCAGCACTTTGGGAGGCCAAGGCAGGTGGATCACTTGAGGCCAGGAGTTCAAACGCAGCCTGGCCAACATGGCAAAACCCTGTGTCTACAAAAAGAGAGAGAGAGAAGGAGAGAGAGAGAAGTCTCATGTATTATGCCTAATAACAAAAAAGACTACAAAAAACACAACCTTGCACAAAGACCATCTCAAACCTTATACAAAAAGATACTACTACAAGGACATTTGCCCAGCAACTGTCTATCTGAGCTTGGACTGATGTCACCCTTGTTATTGATCTTTGTAGTCAAAGGTAATTATCTCAAAACAATTACATAATCCTCCTCATTCTTTCCTTTAAAAACCTTTGTCTTCCTTTTCCTCCCCAAATACATAGTTTACCAAGCATGCCTATTCCCATTGCACACTGTATTCCCAGATTAACATTTTCCGTTAGAGAGCCTCTCTGCTTATAATTGAGGTTGACAGGGCCATAAAGATTTCTTTATTTTTTTCATGTTTAAAAAAACTTTATTCACCAAAAACCTTGCAAGGCCCTAAAGATTTCTGTTATTCCATAAACTAGACTGTAGACTGTCTTTTCTTTTCTTTCTTTTTTTTTTTTTTGAGACAGAGTCTCGCTCCATCGCCCAGGCTGGAGTGCAGTGGCATGATCTCGGCTCACTGCAACCTCTGGGACTAATTGCAACCTCCGCCTCCCAGGTTTAAGCGATTCTCCTGCCTCAGCCTCCAGAGCAGCTGGGATTACAGGCGCCTGCCATTATGCCCAGCTAATTTTTTGTATTTTTAGTAGAGATGGAGTTTCACCATGTTGGACAGCTAGTCTTGAGCTCCTGACCTCGTGATTCACCTGCCTCGGCCTCCCAAAGTGCTGGGATTACAGGTGTGAGCCATCGCACCTGGCCTTGCCTTTTCCTTCTTTCATTTTTTTTTTTTTTTTTTGAGATGGAACCTTGCTCTGACACCCAGGTTGGAGTGCAGTGGGCCATCTCGGCTCACTGCAACCTCTGCCTCCCAGGTTCACGATGTTCTCCTCCCTCAGCCTCCGGAGTAGCTGGGATATTACAGGCACATGCTACCACACCCGACTGATTTTTGTATTTTTAGTAGAGACAGGGTTTCACCATGTTGGCCTGGCTGGTCTTGAACTCCTGACAAGTGATTCGCTCTCCTAGACTGAGCCCAGACTAGATTGTCTTTTTTTTTTTTTTTTTTTTTTTTTTCTGAGACGGAGTCTAGCTCTGTCGCCCAAGCTGGAGTGCAGTGGCACAATCTCAGCTCACTGCAAGCTCTGCCTCCTGGGTTCACGCCATTCTCCTGCCTCAGACTCCTGAATAGCTGGGACTACAGGCACCCGCCACCACGCCCAGCTAATTTTTTTTTGTACTTGTAGTAGAGATGGGGTTTCACCGTGTTAGCCCGGATGGTCTCGATCTCCTGACCTCATGATCCACCTGCCTCGGCTTCCCAAAGTGCTGGGATTACAGGTGTGAGCCACCGTGCCCGGCCCCTAGATTGTCTTTTCTAATCTGAGGTGTCAATATTTTTCATACCCTCCTGGCCCGGTGCGGTGACTCACGCCTGTAATCCCAGCACTTTGGGAGGCCAAGGCAGGCAGATTACCTGAGGTCAGGAGTTCGATACCAGCTTGGGCAACATGGTGAAATCTCATCTCTACTAAAAACACAAAAATCAGCTGGCTGTGGTGGCACGCACCTGTAATCTCAGCTACTTGGGAGGCTGAGGCAGGAGAATTGCTTGAACCTGGGAGGTGGAGCTTGCAGTGTGGCTGAGATTGGGCCGCTGCACTCCAGCCTGGGTGATAGAGCCAGACTCTGTCTCAGAAAAAAAAAAAAAAAATCTAAAGCAGTGGTTTTAACATTTGAATGTGTGTAAAAATCATCTAGGGTAGATGTTAAAATTGCATATTCAGAGCTTCACCCTTAGATTCTGGTTCACTAGGTCTGGGCTGGGCCTGAGAAATCTGCCTTTTTTTTTAAATTTAATTTTTAAAATTTTCATTTTTTTGTGTGGATACAGGGTCTCACTGTGTTGCCCAGGCTGGTCTCAAACTTTTGGACTCAAGCAATCCTGCCTTGGCCTCCCAAAGTGGTGGGATTACAGGAGTGAGCCACTGTGCTTAACCTGAGAAATCTGCTTCTTAACAGGAACCCCTGCTGAGGCAGATAGCAGGGGTTCTCCGTGAAAAAACCAGATATAGCCTGGGTGAAAAGCCTGTTTTCAGGTGCTCAGAGAAAGATATTTCCATTTAGACCAAGAATCCTGGCTGGGGTAGTCTTTTTCGTTACTCTTATTAAACTCATTATTCATCTCCTCCTGGAAAATTGGGCACAAAAGCTGGTGAAATATGTTGCAGGAAGTCAGGGACCCCAAACAGAGGGACCAGCTGGAGCCGTGGCAGAGGAACATAAATTGTGAAGGTTTCATGGACATTTATCACTTCCCTAATAATACTCTTATAATTTCTTACATGTGTCTTACTTTAATCTCTTAATCCTGTTATCTTCATAAGCTGAGGATGTACGTCACCTCAGGATCACTGTGATGATTGTGTTAACTGTAAAAATTGATTGTAAAACGTGTGTTTGAACAATATGAAATCAGTGCACCTTGAAAAAGAACAGAATAACAGCGATTTTTAGGGAACAAGGGAAGACAACCATAAGGTCTGACTGCCTGCGGAGTCGGGCAAAAAGAGCCATATTTTCCTTCTTGCAGAGAGCCTATACACGGACGTGCAAGTATGGGAGATATCACTAAATTCATTTCCTAGCAAGGAATATTAATGTTAAGACCCTAGGAAAAGAATTGCATTCCTGGGGGGACGTCTATAAACGGCCGCTCTGGGAGTGTCTGTCTTATGCAGTTGAGATAAGGACTGAAATACGCCCTGGTCTCCTGCAGTACCCTCAGGCTTATTAGGGTGGGGAAAAAAACCGCTCCCTGGTAAATTTGATGTCAGACCAGTTCTCTGCTCTCAAACCCTGTTTTCTATTGTTTAAGATGTTTATCAAGACAATACATGCACAGCTGAACATAGACTCTTATCAGGAGTTTTTGATTTTGCCCTTTGCCTTGTGATCTTTGCTTTGCCCTTTGCCTTGTGATCTTTATTGGCCTCAGAAGCATGTGATCTTTGTTTTTGCCCTTTGAAGCATGTGATCTTTCTGACCTACTCCCTGTTCGTACACCCCCTCCCCTTTTGAAGTCCTTAATAAATACCTGCTGGTTTTGTGGCTCAGGTAGGCATCACGGACCTACCGATATGTGATGTCACCCCTGGAGGCCCAGCTGTAAAATTCCTCTCTTTGTACTCTTTCTCTTTATTTCTCAGACCGGCCGACACTTAGGGAAAATAGAAAGAACCTATGTTGAAATATTGGGGGTGGGTTCCCCTGATAGAAATGAGATGATAATGAGGTAAAAATCTATAGCCCTTTAAGATTAGGGCTGTTCTACCTATAAGTTTCTGTATCTAGCACTTTTAATTTTGTCTGCAAATTTTGTACCTGATTAAATGTAAGTGACCTCCTTATATTTTTTCAACATGTGCTTCTTTCTCCTTGCTCCATGGCTAGGACTTGATTTTTTTTTTCTTAAGCCTCAATCCTTCCTTCTTCTTGCCCAGTGTCACTGGGGAATATAATATCATTCTTTCAGTGTTGAGAGAATCACTTTACGAGGGTAACATGCAGTATAATTTTTGGCTTGGGGCTTGATTTGATACTGCCATGTCTTTAGGCCTCATGGACTAGATGAATTTCTCAGGGACGGTCAAGGCAAAGAGAGTGGAGAATAGATCAAGATATTGAGATACTGGCCAGGTGCAGTGGCTCACACCTGTAATCCCAGCGCTTTGGGAAGCTGAGGCAGGCGGATCACCTGAGGTCAGGAGTTCAAGACCAGCCTGGTCAACGTGTGAAATGCCGTCTCTACTAAAAATACAAAAATTAGCTGGGCGTGGTGGTGCATGCCTGTAATCCCAGCTACTCAGTAGGCTGAGGTGGAAGAATTGCTTGAACCTGGGAGGTGGAGGTTGCAGTGAGCCGTGATCGGCCACTGCACTCCAGCCTGGGTGATAAGAATGAGACTCCATCTCAAAAACATATTTCACCAGATACTGCAACATATTTCACCAGATACTGAGATACTGAGATGCTGTGAGTTCTCCTGAAGGGCCTCGGCTCCCTAGTCCCTGTCCTTGGTAATCTCCACCCCCATTTCTGGGTATCAGGATAAAGAATAAAACCCAAAGACAGGTTTGACTACTGCATGCCTTTAATATCTGTCCTATCTCCCACAACTGAATTCAATGAAGGGATGGAGTAAGAAAGCAGGAAATACTATTAATACAAAAATATGTCAACCAATACTTGAGATATCATCCCAACACAACAGTAGCCTGGGCCTTGGGGACAGAGTGGCAAGAGTGGCTTGAGCAAGGGCAGCCTGTAATGCACATTAAGAAGTCAGTAAGCTCAATTCCCCAGTCTGGGTGAGGTCTGGGTGGGGAAGAGGAGCCCCGAGGGGTGCTGGGAAGCCCTGGATGGGGCACTTTCAAGAAGACAATGGAGACTCAGGCTTTTTATCAGATTAGGGCCAATTTCCTTACTTTTGAACAAAACCTACTTCAGGTGCTTTTAAGATAAGGAATGAGATAAATGTTTCAGAAGCTAAGAGACAGCACCATCAAAGGAGTATTCTGCTGCGTCTTTACTCTGCCTAAACTATGTTTAAAATTATTCAGATATCACCAATACAGTTTCAGTCCAGGGCTGCTTGATGAGAGTGTTGCTTCGTTCTCCCTTCACAATAGCTCCTGTGGTAAGGAGTGTGCTTGGCCGGCTGTCCCCCTCCGTGACACCTTGGGGGTCCACTCTGCAGCTTTGCTGAAGCCACACTCTCATAAGCTGCTTCCAGCCAGTGACTGGGCATGGTAGTGTAATAGAGCTGGGCCAGTCTTTGTCATGTGGGACTCTTCTACCAGGCAATCTTTGTTCTGGGGCTCTTTGTTGGCCTGGTTGAGACTTTCTCTGAGCTGTGCTGTAGTCAGAAGCTCGTCCATTCCTCCATCCCCTCTCTTTCTCTTTATAGGTATCAGCCCCGCATGGCAGTGTGAGGCTATCCCTGCCTTCTCAGGCTCTATCCTCCCTTCATGCTTCAAAGACTTTTCTTACACTTCTAATTCCATCTCACCGTCTGCTTCCCAGAGGACCAGAACTGGCACAAGATCTTTGTGAAAAGTGTTTCTTCTTTTTTCAAATGTCTGGGCGGTTTCACATACTTACCCCACTCTCCTTTTTGTGAGAATCCAGACCCAGGGATTTTTGTCTGTAACTATTGAGATGGGATTTTTCCCTTGATCTTGACCCCCTTCGTGGGCAGGAACTGGAGTGTCTCGTTTCACTCAGCCTGCAGTTCATGGACGGCTAAGTGTTAACAGCTCAGTGAAGGGTCAGGGTGACAGCCTCCTGCACCTGCCCTTTTTCAACACCCAAGTTCTTGTTCGGTGTCCAGGAAGAATCAAGTCACAGGAACTCTTTGAAAGACAATGAATGTGGAAGACTTTATTGAGCAGTAGAAGTGGCTCTCATGGAAGGGGAGCTGGAAACGGGATGGTGCAGGAAGAAGGTGATCTTTCCCTGAAACCCAGCCATCTCTGGCTGGGCTCCCCTCCAAAATCGCACCGTCTGAAGTTAGCCACATTTATCCATAGTCTCTCATGCTCAGTTGTTTCTCTGCTCACCTCTCAACTGCTTGCATCCCCAAGGCTCAGCAGCTTGTATCCCTGAGGTTCAGCCACTTGTGTTGCTCTTTTTTTCCTTTTTTTTTCTGCCAGCTGGTCTGGATTTTATGGGCACAGGATGGGGGAGGGGCTGTTGAGGCATGTAAACCAGAGCAACTCCATCTTGAATGGAGATAGGTAAAATGAGGCTGAGACCTACTGGGTTGCATTCCCAGATGGTTAAGGCATTTTAAGTCACAAGATGAGATAGAAGGTCGGCACAAGATACAGGTTATGAAGACCTTGCTAATAAAACAGTTTGCAGTAAAGAAGCCAGTTAAAACCCATCAAAACCAAGATGGCAATAAGAGTGACCTCTGGTCTTCCTCACTGCTACACTCCCACTAGTGCCATGACAGTTTACAAATGCCATGGCAATGTCAGGAAGTTACCCTATATGGTCTATAAAAAGGAGGCATGAATAGTCCACCTCTTGGCATATAATCAAGAAATAACCATAAAAATGGGCAACCAGCATCCCTCAGTACAAGTCCCTCTTTTATTCCTCTACTTTCTTAATAAATTTGCTTTCATCTTACTCTATGGACTCGCCCTGAATTCTTTCCTGTGCAAGATCCAATAACCGTCTCTTGGGGTCTGGATCAGGACCACTTTCCTGTAACAGGGTGGGTCCAAAAGGCAATCATTTGGGCCGAAAAAAGCGGGGTCAGCTGTTTTCACTTAGGGCCAGAGTTCTAGGCTTGAGGGAGGTGTTTAACTGGGAGCCCAGCCATTCTGTATCATTGTGAGAGTCTACTTCAAAGAGTAAAGTGATTTGGCTCTGTTTAAATTATTTTATTTATTTATTTATTTGTTTTTGAGATGGAGTTTCACTCTGTCGCCCAGGCTGGAGTGCAGTGGTGCTATGTCGGCTCACTGCAACCTCTGCCTCCTCTGCCTCCTGGGTTCAAGCAATTCTTCTGCCTCAGCCTCCTGAGTAGCTGGGACTACAGGTGCTCACCACCACGCCCAGCTAATTTTTCATTTTTAGTAGAGACAGGGTTTCACCACGTTGCCTAGGTTGGTTTATGAACTCCAGGGCTCAGGGAATCCTCCTGCTTCAGTCTCTGAAAGTCCTGGGATTACAGGTGTGAGCCACCACACCTGACCTGACTCTTTTTTTTATTAACTCTCTTGGGGTGGAAATCATTGACAGAAATTATTAAATCCAATCTAAAGTAAGTAAATTGATTTGGAGTGGGTGAATGAAAAAAGTTTCTATCTTTTGGTGGTGAAGCTGCCTTTGCAAAAATTGTAGTAGTAAGGGAAATCTGACATAACTGACTCCATCTTGCTTCTACCAGGCTAAATTTCCTTTTTTTTTTTTTTTTTTTTTTTTTTTGAGAGTCTTGCTTTGTCACCTAGGCTGGAGTGTGGTGGTGGAATCTTTGCTCACTGCAACTTCTGCCTCCTGGATTCAAGTGATTCTCATGCCTCAGCCTCCCAAGTAGTGGGGATTACAGGCATGTGACACCACACCTGGTTACTAATTTTTGTATATTTTGTAGAGATGGGGTTTCACTATGTTGCCTAGGCTGGTCTCAAACTGCTGGCCTCAGGCAATCCTCCCTCCTTGGCCTCCCAAAGTGCTGGGATTACAGGCGTGAACCACCACACCTGGCCTACCATTCTATCTTTAAATAAAACCATAACAAAACTTCTCTATTGCTTCCAGTGGTTTTTCTCTAGAAAGTGCTTCTCAAATTTCAGTGTGCATATGAAATCCCAAGAGACCTTGTTAAAATGCAGATTAGGATTCATTAGGCAGAGAGGAGTGCAGAGCTGAGATTCAGCTGAATGTTCATGCTGATGCTGGTGGTTCACAGACCACTCTTTGAGGAACAAAGCCCTGGAGCAGTGGTCCTAAACTTGACTGCATTATGGGAATCACCTACAGAGCTTTAAAGAATACTGATATTTGAGTGCCACTCAGATTCTGAGGTCTTTGATATGGGCTGTGGGCTTGGTATCAGACTTTTTTTAAAACCTCCCCAGGTTATGTAATATGTAGCCAATATTAAAAACTCCTCTAGCGGCTGGGTGCGGTGGCTCATGCCTGTAATCCCAGAACTTTGGGAAGCCGAGGTAGGCTGATCACCTGAGGTCAGGAGTTCGAGACCAGCCTGGCCAACATGGGGAAACTCCGTCTCTACTAAAAATACAAAATTAGCTGGACGTGGTGGCTCATGCCTGTAATCCCAGCTACCCCAGAGGCTGAGGCAGGAGAATCACTTGAACTCAGAAGGCAGAGGTTGCAGTGAGCTGAGTTTGTGTCATTGCACTTCAGCCTGGGCAACAGAACGAGACTCTGTCTCAAAAAAAAAAAAAAAATGCTCCTCCTAGCTACAGGGGCATCCTACATCATATATTTCTACAGTGTTTGAAATTTTTTCCAAATATTATGTTGCTTTGGATTTTAAGAAAAGGAAGATGAATTGGAAGAATGAGGAGAAGGAAAAGGAAATAATTAAAGAAGAAAGGGAATGAGGAAGAAGGGAAAAGAAGAAAGGAAGAAAAACCTTTCCTGGCCCTACAGCCCTTTCCTTCTCAATCAAATTTCATAAATGTCCACTTCCAAACTTCCCATTCACACCTCAGCCCTTCTCAGCCTGGCTTCTGTGTCCTTTTCTTCCTTAAATGTACTGACAATGACCACAATGCAAGGAGACACATCTGTTATTATCTTACTGATTTTTCTGACTTATTTGATACAGCTGGCTAATGTTTTTGGAGCCCCTAGGAAGCAAAAGCACTGTCCGTTATTTTTCTCTTTATATGAGAATAATACATTATAAAATGATTATTGTCACCAAGCAAAGAACAGTGTTTAATGATACATGGGAACATAAAATGCTCAATGCATGCACAAAGCTCTAGTTAAAAAAAAAAATCTTCGTGTCCACAACTGTGATTGTTTTTTACTGTTCACCATTGCTACTGATAACCCAAATGAGTGACCAAGGCAAGGATCTCAATCAATCGAGGTTTATTAAGCCAGCTTTATGGTGTGCCTGAGAAAAGCACAAGCTACAGACACATCTGTGGCTGTTCTTTCCAAAGATGTTTTCGGGAAGTTTAGTATTTCTACATTTATACAGGAGGCGAAAGCATCTAGGAAGAGGGACAGGTAGGCAGTAAGGCAAATGGCTACATTCTTGTGAGACTTTAGCTAGTGCCCAGTAAATCTACACTTTATATATGATAAGGTGAATGTCTGAATTAAAAAAAGGGAGTAAGCAAAGAATCGATTATGCAGACCAATCTGGGTGAGTGGAGGAATGATTGATCTCTTCTTGTCTTTGTTCCACATCTGAAAAGATAGGCTTGCAATTGACATTATCAGTGTAGAATTGAACAGACTTTAGTTTTAGGAGCTAAACTTAGATGGCAAATCGAAAGTTACAATTGGCGTTTCCTTGTTTATGGGAGGCCAGAAAAGAATTTACTTATGAATGATCTGTGAGGGCTGTCATTCCCAGGTGCCTGGGGTTTTTACCTTTCTGCAGGAATCTGGCAGATGCATAGTGCTAGTAACAGCTATTCATTTGGAAGAGGGCGTTGCATGACTCAGCCTCCAGGCTTTACTTTCCCTTTGGCATAAGGAGGTTGAATCTCCTGAGATTTTTTATTTTCCTTTATACTGCTATTACAGCCTGACAGGTTCTTCTTGCCAGCTGCCTGAAAAAAACAAATGCACCGAGAACAGCAGGTTTTTCAGCAAAGAAAGTTTAATTATCCCAGGGCCAGCCAAGCTTGAGGGTGGGAGAAATTTCTCAAATCCACCTCCCCAATAATTCAGAGGCTAGGGGGTGGGATTTGTTTTTTTTGTCTGTTTTTGAGATAGCGTGTCATTCTGTCTTCCAGGCTGGAGTGCAGTCATGGTGCAATCATGGCTCACTGCAGCCTTGCCCTCCGGGACTCAAGCTATCCTCCTACCTCAGCCTCCTGAATAGCTGGGACTACAAGCGTGTGGCACCACACCCAGCTAAGTTTTGTATTTTTGTATACAGATGGAGTTTCGCCATGTTTCCCGGGCTGGTCTCAAACTCCTGGGCTCAAGCTATCCACCCACCTTGGCCTCCCAAAGTACTGGGGTTACAGGTGCGAGCCACCACACCTGGCAGAGGCTACGGTTTTTAAGCGTACTTTGGTGGGCAGGGGGCTGGGGAACTGAAACAATTGATTGCTGGAGATGAAATAACAGACAATCTAAATTGTCTTCACGCCGCTGATTCAGGTCATGGGAGGGGGTCTGAAGGCCTGTTGATGTCTTCTTGGTCTGCCAAAATGCTAAATTGGAAAAATATCTCAAAGACCATTTCTTTAGGTTTTCTAATAGTGATGTTATCTATAGGAGTAGCAGGGGAAGTTATAAATATTGCAGTCTCTGGTTACATGACTCTGGGGCAGTAAGCAACTTATAGAAGAGCAAGCTAGAGGCCGGGCACAGAGGCTCATGCCTGTAATCCCCGCATTTTGGGAGGCTGAGGTGAGAGAAGAGAGATAGACTCTCTCATATTGTTTTATATTGCTTTATACTCAGAAAAGGAAAGAGAAGCGAAACTAAAGGCAGGTAGCCTGGCGCCTAGGAACCAGACCCGAAACCAAGGAACCAGACTCGAAACCAGGCCTGGGCCTGCCTGACCTAAGCCTGATAGTTAAAATTCAACCTCTGACCTAGCAACTGATGTTATCTATAGATTCCAGACATTGTATGGAAGGACACTGTGAAACCTCCCGTTCTGTTCTGTTTCACTCTGACCACCAGTGCATGCAGCCCCTGTCATGTACCCTTTGCTTGCTCAAATAGATCACGACCCTCTCATGTGAACCCCCTTAGAGTTGTGAGCCCTTAAAAGGAACAGGAATTGCTCACTCAGGGAGCTCGGCTATTAAGACAGGAGTCCTGCTGATACTCCCGGTCGAATAAACCTCTTCCTTCTTTAACTCGGTGTCTGAGGAGTTTTGTCTGTGGCTTGTCCTGCTACAGAGGCGGGAGGATCACCTGAGTTCAGGAGTTTGAGACCAGTTTGGCCAACATGGTGCAACCCCATTTCTACTAAAAATACAAAAATTAGCCAGGTGTGGTGGTAGGCGCCTGCAATCCCAGCTACCACGGAGGCTGAGGCAGGAGAATGGTGTGAACCCAGGAGGTAGAGGCTGCAGTGAGCCGAGATGGTGCCAATGCATTCCAGCCTGGCGACTGAGAGAGACTCTGTCTCAAAAAAAAAAAGCAAGCTAGGCAGTGGCAGGTCATTATTTAACTATGTTTATTCTTTAGTAAAGGTCAGGCCCTTTCCATAATTCTAACCTGAGACCTATTGTTAGTTTTCACAAATATGGTTGCAATTTTTGAAAATGATGGGGATCAGTTCAAAGAAAGGACTGTTATGGCCTCAGCACAAGAATAAGCAAAAGTGGCCAGGCATAGTGGCTCACACCTGTAATCTCAGCACCTTGGGAGGCCAAGGCAGGCAGATTGCTTGAGGCCAGGAGTTCGAGACCAGCCTGGGCAACATGGTGAAATCCCGTCTCTACCAAAAAATTAGCCAGACATGGTGGCACATGCTTGCAATCCCAGCTACTCGCAAGGCTGAGGCATGAGAATCACTTGAATCCTGAGGGCAGAGGTTGCAGTGAGTCAAGATCACCCCACTGCACTCAAGCCTGGGTGACAAAGCCAGTCCCTGTCTCAAACAAAAATGAGAACAAAAACAAAAAAGCAAGAAGATAGAATGAAGTCATATATTTATAGGCTGAAAGGAAGAAGCTAGAAAGGGAGAGGAAGGGAAAGTGTAAGACAGAATGTCATAATTGGTAGGGCAACATCTCAGAAGAGGTGGAAGTAATAGAATTGACAGCCTGTTGAAAAAAATGAACTTAGAAAAGGAAAGGGAATTTGTCTTCTGATACTGAAAGGAGGAGGAGATGGATGATAGACTTACAAGTGAGTTTGAGGGTTGGGGAGAAGGAAAGTGATGGAGTTGCCTTCTGCAGGTCTTTGCTTCCTGTTTTTCTCAGGGAAGTAAGAGGAGAGGTTATTTGCTAAAAATGAATGGGTCAAAGATGAATAATGGCTATTGAACATTTACTATGTGCCACAGAGGGCTTTGCATACAAAATCATGCACAATCCTTTTGATAGCCCTATTACAATTCTGCTATACAGATGGGCACATTGATGCTCCATTGGATTCTCCTGTGCTCAGTCTCTAGCATCTATTCTGAGGTTCCTTCTCTATTTCTCCACTTCAGTGATATCCCTCAGTGGCCTGACTGTAAATATTATCTGCAAGACTCACCTCCAGATCTACACTTCTAGTCCTGACTTGTGCTGCAAATTCCACCCAATAGTTTATCTTGCATTTCCAAAAAGGGCTCTTGATAGGAATCTCAAAACTACCATGGACAAAATAGAACTCTTCCTAACCCTGCACCCCAGCCTCCCCACAACCTGTCAAAATAATGCTAAAAATTCAGAAATTATCTTGAAAGTGTATCTTCCCTTTCTTTTCCAACTCACTTCAACCCCATCCCAAATCATCAAGAAGTCTTGTCAATTTAATTTCCCTAGTATATTTTGAGACCATCCACCTCTTTAACATCTCCACCACCACCACTAGTCTAGTCCACCAGCTCTTCGTACATGGACCACTGCAACAGTGTTCTAACTGCCATCCCTGCTTTCACTATTGCCTCCCTGCAACCCATTCTCTGCATTTCAACCAGATTGAGGTATGTGTGTATACACGGGGAAATTTAAAAACATATATATAATATAAAAAATTAGCCAGAAGTTGTGGCATGTTCCTGTAGTCCTAGCTACTTGGGAGGTTGAGGTGGGAGGATTGCTTGAACCTAGGAGTTTGAGGCTGCTGTAAGCTATGATTGCACCACTGCATTCCAGTCAGGGCAACAGTGAGACCCTGTATTAGAAAAACAAAACAGAGGCTGGGTGAGGTGGCTCACGCCTGTAATCCCAACACTTTGCGAGGCCAAAGCTGGCAGATCATGAGGTCAAGAGATTGAGACCATCCTGGCTAACATGGTGAAATCCCATCTCTACTAAAAATACAAAAATTAGCTGCGCATGGTGGCACGTGCCTGTAGTCCCAGCTACTTGGGAGGCTGAGGCAAGAGAATCACTTGAACCTGGGAGGCGGTGGTTGCAGTGAGACGAGATCATGCCACTGCACTCCAGCCTGGTGACAGAGCGAGACTCCATCTCAAACAAAAAAAAAAAAAAAAAGAAAAACAAAACAGAACAGAACAAAACAAAACCAACAACTACCACCACCACTACCACCAACAAAAACACAAAAAACCCCACACACATAAATAGAATAGTATATCACTTTTCTTTATGCTACCACAGCAGTTCCAAAAGTTATCAATAATTTCCCCATCTTTATCTATTTTCCCAATAACACATTTTCTTTTTTTTCTTTTAAGTATTTTAAAGCAAATCCAAGATATATCATTTCAACCATAAATGTTTCAGTAGATATCTCCAACAGGTATGAATTTTAAAGAGTAAAACCAGTATGGAATAATTACACCTAAAAATGATCAATTATTTCTCAATATATGCTTTGTTATTTAATTATCATTAAATTAAACACATTGCATTTGGTTGGTATGCCTCTCTAGCTTTTTTTTTTTTGTTGTTGTGTTTTGTAAGACTATACTAGTATACCCATTTTATCCATTTGTTTTTGGAAAATAAAATGTTATTTATCCTGTAGAATACTCCACTTTCTGTATCTAGCTAATGGATTCCTTGTAGTGTTGTTAAACATGTTCTTCTAACCTCCAAATTTTCTGTAAACTGGTAGGTAGAGCTTGAGGCTTAGTAAGATCCGGGTTCAATTCATTTGGAAAGAATACCTCATAGGTTGTACTGGGCTTTTCCTATTGCATGACATCAGGCGGCACAAGTCTTGTTAAGATTGATGAGTATTTTCAAGTCAAAATCATTTCTAAAAAGTTTTAAATCACATCACTTATATATTTCTTGATTAAAACTATCTAGTGGCAACTAATTGCACTTAGAATGAAATCCAAATTCTGCAATTTAATTTGCAAAACACTAAACGGGCTGGGTGCAGTGGCTCATGCCTATAATCCCAGCACTTTGGGAGACCTAGGAAGGTGGATGGCTTGAGCCCAAGAGTTTGAGACAAGCCTTGGCAACGTGGCGAAACCCCATCTCTACAGAAAGTAAAAAAAATTAGCTGGGCATGGTGGCATGCGACTGTAGTCCCAGCTACTTGGGAGGCTGAGGTGGGAAGATCAGTTGAGCTCAGGGGGTCAAGGCTGCTGTGTCATGATTGCACCACTGCATTCCAGCCTGGGTGACAGAGCAAGACCCTGCCTCAAAAAACAAAACAAAACAAAAAAACAAAACAAAAAAAAAAACAGCCCCCAGCCCCCACCCACCAAACCAAAAACAAAGCACTACATGACCTGACCTGGACTGAATGTGTCTCCAAGCAGCATCTCATACCACTCATCCCTTTATTCATAAAATCTAGCCACATTGCATTCACAGTCTTCCCAAAAGAAGACTTCCATCTAAAATGTTCTCCCCGCTGGCTGCGGTGGCACATGCCTGTAATTCCAGCACTTTGGGAGGCCAAGGCGGGTGGATCACCTGAGGTCAGGAGTTCGAGACCAGCCTGGCCAACATAGTTAAACCCCGTCTCTACTAAAAATACAGAATTAGCTGGGCATGGTGTCACGAGCCTGTAATCCCAGCTACTCGGGAGGCTGAGGCAGGAGAATTGCTTGAACCTGGGAGGCAGAGGTTGCAGTGAGCTGAGATCATGCCACTGCACTCCAGCCTGAACAACAAGAGTGAAACTCCACCTCTGTAATCCCAGCATTTTGGGAGGCTGAGGCAGGTGGATCATGAGGTCAGGAGTTCGAGACCAGCCTGACCAACGTGGTGAAACCCCATCTCTAATAAAAATACAAAAATTAGCCAGGTGTGGTGGCCCGTGCCTATAATCCCAGCTACTCAGGAGGCTGAGGCAGGAGAATCACTTGAACCCGGGAGGCAGAGGTTGCAGTGAGCCAAGAGGGAACCACTGCATTCCAGCCTGGGCCACAGAGTTTGCTTTGTTTTCAAAAAACAAACAAACAAGCAAAAACTCCATCTCAAAAATAAAAAAAAAAAAATAAAATGCTCTTCTGCTCCTATTTTGGCATGATCTGCTCCTCCTTGTCATTAATAGTCAGATAACATATTTCAGATTCATTTTTCTTGTCATTCAGATTTCCCTGACCACTCCCTTTAGAGTATCTACCCTGTCATTCTCTATTACATCACCTTATGCTAATTCTCTGCATATAACTTTCTACATTTGCCTTTTTTTTGGTTTATTTATATGCTTGTAGTTTTCTTCTCCCAACATCTCAAATTATAAGTTTCATGGGTCCTTTAGTACCCAACATGAAAACATTTATATCGTGTTTTACTCCACGTTCGTTATTTCAATCAAACCTGAATCTTGTCTCTAGATGAACTGTCACCACATTCAGATTCTTTTATAACTTGTTCAAATGTTTAGGGTCTTTTCATTTATAGTCTCACTACTCAAAATGTGGCCCTCAGATCAGCAGCATTGACATCACCTGGGAGCTTTTTAGAAACATAGACTCTGTTATAAATAAAGTTTTGGTGCCACAAAATAAATGGCACTCAAATATAAAATTTTCTTTTTTTCTTCTCAGCAAGGCAATTTACTCCTATAGAAGGGTGCACCCTCACAGATGGAGCAATGGTGAGTGCACAGCTGGACAAGGGAGGGGAAGGGGTTCTTATTCCTGAGGCATGTGGCCCCTGCTGCTGTGTCGTTCCCCTGTTGGCTAGGGTTAGACCGCACTGGCTAAACAAATTCCGATTGGCTAATTTAAAGAGTGACAGGGTGAGTGGTACGGTGGGAAAAATGGTTATGGCAGAGTGGAAATCTGAATGAGTCAGGGTGGGGAATGAGTCAGGGCAGAGCAGGTAATCAGAGTGAGTCAGGGTGGAGCAGGTAATCAGAATGAGTCATGGTGGAGCAGGTAATCAGAATGAATCAGGATGGAGCAGGTAATCGAAAAAGATTGCTTTACGAGGAAATTAAGTTTAAAAGTAGAAGGCAAAGAATTGAACATACTGACATACTGATTCTTTGAAGAGAAATTCAGAACTCATATCTAACAACTCTCAGGCTACATCCCAGATTATGATTTAAATAATAATCTCAACGTGAATGATACCTGGAGGTTACTTGTTCACCTAAAGTTTGAGAAGCACTGGCATGTAGTCAGTAACTATTAGCCCTAATCTGTGCCTCTCTGTAATGCAACTCTAATGTACCTTATTTACCTAATTTCTTTCTTTCTTTTTTTTTTTTTAGACGGAGTCTCGCACTGTTGCCCGGGCTCTAGTGCAGTGGCGTGATCTTGGCTCACTGCGATCTCTGCCTTCCGGGTTGAGGCCATTCTTGTGCCTCAGCCTCCCGAGTAGCTGGGACTACAGGCACTTGCCACCACGTCCAGCTAATTTTTTGTATTTTTTAGTAGAGACGGGGTTTCACATGTTAGCCAGGATGGTCTCAATCTCGTGACCTCGTGATCCGCCCGCCTCGTCCTCCCAAAGTGCTGGGATTACAGGTGTGAGCCACAGCGCCCTGCCTATTTACCTAATTTCTAGAGAAGTCAAATTATTCATTGATGGCCTTCCAAACACACCCAGAGCTGTACCACTCCTACCTCTGAAATACCTTTTCTCTTCTCCTTCAAATATCAAATTATTTCCTTTTATTTTAGGTGAAGACTTTTCAGAGCATCATACTCGCTGGAGACCTTTTTTTCTCTTCACTGCCTTGCACTGTTACCTGCTTAGGTAATTCTTTCCCCACCCCTTGAGGAGGGAGGACATTCTCCTGTGTGTCTTATTACCCTTTTTCAAGATGTAGGCCTTTAACATAATAGGTTTTTATTATATATGTATGAGGCTTCTATTTCATTGTTTCCTAAACAATATTATTCTAAGTCTTGGAGTAGTTCCCTACAGAACTGCATAAAATAATATTGATTGGGCCGGGTGCGGTAGCTAATGCCTGTAATCCTAGCACTTTGGGAGGCTGAGGCAGGTGGATTACTTGAGGTAAGGAGTTGAGACCAGCCTGGCCAACATGGTGAAAACCCCGTCTCTACTAAATATACAAAAATTAGCCGGGTGTGGTGGCGCATGCCTGTAATCCCAGCTACTTGGGAGGCTGAGGCAGGAGAATCGCTTGAACCCGGGAGGTGGAGTTTGCAGTGAGCCAAGATTGTGCCACTGTACTGCAGCATGGGCAACAGAGGGAGACTCCATCTCAAAAAAAAATTGATTGAATGCTTGTTACATTCTTATGTTCCAGTGTGCTGCGTACATTTAAATAATTTATCTCGTTTAGTCTTCACAGTGGTCTTGTGGGTGGACATTGCCATATGATTTCACCTACAAGGAAACGTAGACTTCAAGATTAAGGGACTTGCCCAAGGAGCTGAAATTTGTAGCGAGTTCTCTAATTCCCTACCTGAGCACATTCCATCCCCTCACGGTTCCTCTTTCTGTAAGTGTGTGGAGGTTTCCTCCTCTTGTTCCTTAGTGCTTTGCATTTTATGATCGTGCATCACTTTAAGAAAAGAGAAAATAAAAATGGGAACAATCTATATATTTTCAGATAATCTGGGTCCAAAATTTAGGAAAACATTATTATACTGCCACCTTCTGGATCTTTTGAATACTTACACATTAATAACGGATATCTGAAACCAGGTCTGTCCAACTCTTTCAAATCTCGTGGTGACATATTACATTTTGTTTATAATTATTTTTCTTTAAAGACAGAGACAGTAAAAACATTTCTTTAGTGAATTGAGAGAGTTCTTCTCAACTTAATACATATCAAATATGGAGGATAAAATTAAATGTATTCAGAGGTTGGTTATTATTTTTGTTTGTAGAGGATGGAGAAAAACGTGTACAGTTAAACTTTACTAGTAATTCAACAGCCACTTTTTTTTTTTCGGAGACCAGAGTTTTATTATTACTCAAACCAGTCTCCCTGAGCATTCAGTGAGCAGAGTTTATTTATTTTTATTTTTATTTTATTTTTGAGACCGAGTCTTGCTCTATCGCTCAGGCTGGAGTGCAGTAGTGCTATCTCGGCTCACTGCAACCTTTGCCTCCCATGTTCAAGCGATTCTCTGCCTCAGCCTCCTGAGTAGCTGGGCTTACAGGCGCCCACCACCACTCCCAGCTAATTTTTGTATTTTTAGTAGAGACCGGGTTTCACCGTGTTGGCCAGGCTGGTCTAGAACTTCTGACCTCAAGTAATCTGCCCGTCTTGGTCTCCCAAAGTGCTGGGATTACTGGTGTGAGCCACCGCACCTGGCCCGGAGCAGAGTTTTTAAGGATAACTTGGTGAGTGCGGGGAAGCCAGTGAGCCAGGAGTGCTCATTGGTCAGAGGTGAAATCATAGGGAGTGGAAGTTGTCTTCTTGGGCTGAATCAGTTCCTGGTTGGGGGCCACAAGATCAGTTGAGCCAGTTTATTGATCTGGGTGGTGCCAGCTGATCCATCAAGTGCAGGGTCTGCAAAATATCTCAAGCACTGATCTTAGGAACAGTTTAGAGAGGGTCAGAATCTTGTAGCCTCCAGCTGCATGACTCCTAAACCATAATTTCTAATCTTGTGGCCAATGTTAGTCCTATAAAGGCAATCTAGTCCCCAGGCAAGAAGGAGATCTGCTTTGGGAAATGGCTGTTACCGTCTTTGCTTAAACTATAAACTACAAACTACAAAGTTTCCCCTAAAGTTAGTTCAGCCTATGCCAGGAATGAACAAGGACAGCTTGGAGGTTAGAAGCAAGATGGAGTTGGTTAAGTTAGATCTCTTTCACTGTCTCAGTCATAATTTTGCAAAGGAGGTTTCAATCCCTCCCTTTGGGTTTTATAACAACTTAATCTTCAGGTCAACAGCCACCTTTTGGCCGTTAGGTTCAACCTCTTCCAATTACAGTTTTTAAGATTAATGTTAATAAAGGTGTGGGTATAAAAGCACATTCACTGCATGTGAGGGTATAAATTATTATTGCCTTTGGGGAAAGCAATTATATTTTATTCATAAAAAATAAAAATAAAAGCCAGGCATGGTGGCTCACCCCTGTAATTCCAGCAGTTTGGGAGGCTGAGGCAGGTGGATCACTTGAGGTCAGGAGTTTGAGACCAGCCTGGCCAACATGGTGAAACCCCGTCTCTACTAAAAATACAAAAATTAACTGGGTTTGGTGGCTCATGCCTGCAGTCCTAGTTCCTTGGGAGGCTGTGGCAGGAGAATTGCTTGAACCCAGGAGGCAGAGGTTGCAGTGAGCTGAGATCATGCCACTGCACTCCAGCCTGGGCAACAGAGCAAGACTTCACCTCAAACAAACAAACAACAAACAAAACCATGGAACTTTTGACCAAGAAAATTTACTTTATGAATTCTACTTACGTATGTTCTTTTTAATGTCTGTAAAAATGTATATATGTAAAAGATGTACAATTTTACATTGTTTATAAAAGATTAGGAAAACCCAGAATACTTAAGAAAATGATGATACTATGCTTATGCAATGTCATTCTATGCAAGTGATGTGGTTTTGCTGTGTCCCCATCCAAATCTCAACTTGAATTATATCTCCCAGAATTCCCATGTGTTGTGGGATTGACCCAGGGGAGGTAATTGAATCATGGGGATTGGTCTTTCCTGTGCTATTCTCGTGATAGTGAATAAGTTTCACAAGATCTGATGGTTTTATCAGGGGTTTCTGCTTTTGCTTTTTCCTCATTTTCTCTTGTCGCCACCATGTAAGAAGTGCCTTTTACTTCCCACCATGTGGAACTATAAGTCTAATTAAACCTCTTTTTCTTCCCAGTCTCTAGTATGTCTTTATCAGCAGCATGAAAACAGACTAATACAGTAAATTGGTACTAGGAGTGGGGCGTGGCTGAAAAGATATCCGGAAGTGTGGAAGCAACCTTGGAAGTGGGTAACAGGCAGAGATTGGAACAGGTTGGAGGGCTCAGAAGAAGACAGGAAAATGTGGGAAAGTTAGGAACTTCCTAGAGAATTGTTGAATGGCTTTGCCCGAAATGCTGATAGTGATATGGACAATAAAATCCAAGCTGAGGTGGTCTCAGATGGAGATGAGGAACTTGTTGGGAACTGGAGCAAAGGTGACTCTTGTTATGTTTTAGTAAAGAGACTGGTGGCATTTTGCCCCTGCCCTAGAGATTAGTGCAACTTTGAACTTGAAAGAGATGATTTAGGCTATCTGGTGGAAGAAATTTCTAAGAAGCAAAGCATTCAAGAGGTGACTTGGGTGTTGTTCAAGGCATTCAGTTTTATAAGGGAAGCAGAGCATAAAAATTTGGAAAATTTGCAGGCTCTGTGATAGAAAAGAAAAACCCATTTTCTGGGGAGAAATTCAGGCCAGCTGCAGAAATTTGCATTAGTAACAAGGAGCCTAATGTTAATCCCCAAGAACATGGGGAAAATTTCTCCAGGCCATGTTAGAGACCTTCACAGCTGTCCCTCCCAATCACAGGCCTGGAGGCCCAGGAGGAAAAAGTGGTTTTGTGGGCCAGGCCCAGGGTCCCCATGCTGTGTGTAGCCTCGGGACTTGGTGCCCTATGACGCAGCTGCTCCAGCTGTGGCTGAAAGGGGTCAACGTACAGCTTGGGCTGTGGCTTCAGAGGGTGGAAGCCCTAAGCCTAGACAGCTTCCATGTGGTGTTAAGCCTGTGGGTGCGCAGAAGTCAAGAATTGAGGTTTGAGAACCTCTGCCTAGATTTTAGAAGACGTATGGAAATGCCTGGATGCCCAGGCAAAAGTTTTCTGCAGTGATGGGGCCCTCATGGAGAACCTCTGCTAGGGTAGTGCAGAAGGGAAATGTAGGGTTAGAACCCCCACACAGAGTCCCTACTGAGGCACTGCCTAGTAGAGCTATGAAAAGAGGGCCACCATCCTCCAGACCACAGAATGTTAGATCCAACAACAGCTTGCACTGTGCACCTGGAAAAGCCACAGACACTCAATGCCAGCCCATGAAAGCAGCTGGGAGGGAGGCTGTATCCTGCAAAACCACAGGGGCAGAGCTGCCTAAGACTATGGGAACCCACCTCTTGCATCAGTGTGAGCTGGATATGAGACCTGAAGTCAAAGGAGATGATTTTGGAGCTTTCAAATTTGACTGCCCCACTGGATTTCAGACTTGCATGGGCCCTGTAACTCCTTTGTTTTGGCCAATTTCTCCCATTTGGAACTGCTGTATTTACCCAATACCTGTATCTCCATTGTATCTAGGAAGTAATTAGCTTGCTTCACAGGCACCTAGGCAGAAGGGACTTGCTTTGTCTCAGAAGAGACTTTGAACTGTGGACTTTTGGGTTAATACTGAAATGAGTTAAGACTTTGGGGAACTGCTGGAAAGGCATGATTGGATTTGAAACGTGAGTACATGAGATTTGGAGGGCTAGGGGTGGAATGATATGGTTTGGCTCTGCCCACACCCAAATTTCAACTTGAATTGTATCTCCCAGAATTCCCACGTGTTGTGGGATTGACCCAGGGGAGGTAATTGAATCATGGGGGTTGGTCTTTCCTGTGCTATTCTTGTGATAGTGAATAAGTCTCACAAGATCTGACGATTTTATCAGGGGTTTCTGCTGTTGCTTTTTCCTCATTTTCTCTTGTTGCTGCCATGGAAAAAGTGCCTTTCACCTCCTGCCATGTGGAACTGTAAGTCCAGTTAAACCTCTTTTTCTTCCCAGTTTTTGGTGTGTCTTTATCAGCAGCATGAAAACAGATTAATAAAACAAGTGTCTTAAAAAATGGTATAAACATGCTGGCAATAATAACTGATATTATAAGAGCTTTGTAATGTGTTTTAAATATTGGCCTGAAACTGGGAAATATTATACAAAATAAGTACCATTTTCATATTTCTTACTAGCAGATATTTATGCAGTAAAAACTGCATTTTGGTTTCTGCTGCTAGAAGAGAGATGCACTCAGATTTTTAAAAATGGAACATGAGGCAGTAAAATATAATCTTAGCTTTATAATCTATGATACAATAAATAAGATAAAAATAAATTGAGTATAAGTTGTACTATGTAGTTTCTACTTAATACAAATATGAACTAACAAAAAGAAAAATTTAGTGCTCTGTGAAATGCATGCCATGAGGCTGAATCTACTGTACAATGTCTTTTTACTTATATTCATTTCTCTATGAATAAAATTTTAAATAGTTATGATAATGATGACTGATCTAATTTATTAAATCTTTTCTACATGCCAAGTGTTGTCCTAAGTGCTTAACAGGTAATGTCACTTGATCTTCTCTATGATTCTGGAAAGACTTGTAAAGGTAATATTCCTATGTAATAAAATTGAGAGTAAGGAAAGTTAAGTGAGTTGCTAAAGATCACACAGCCAGCAAGTGGTCAACTCAGGACTTGAGCCCAAATATTCTGAATTCATATGAAACGTTTTTTCTGTTATACCAAAATGGGTCAAAAGGGAAAAAATAGTGCAAATGCTATATTAGAATGTTTGGTAATGTATATGAAGTACTTAACTCACTGTCTGGCACACAGTAAGTACTGAGTAAATGTTGACTCTTCTTCCTTCTTCCTTCTTTCTCCTTCTCCTTCTCCTTCTTCTTTTTGAGACAGAGTCTTGCTCTGTTGCTCAGGCTGGAATGCAGTGGCATGATCTCAGCTCACTGCAACCTCTGCCTCCTGGGTTCATGCAATTCTCTTGCCTCAGCCTCCCTAGTAGCTCAGATTACAGGTGCCCACCACCACACCTGGCTAATTCTGTATTTTTAGCAGACGGGGTTTCACCATGTTGCCCAGGCTGATCTCGAACTCCTGACCTCAGGTGATCCACCTATCTTGGCCTCCCAAATTGCTGGGATTACAGATGTGAGCCACCATGCCTGGCCCTCTTCTTCTTCTTATGTTGAAAGAGAATAAGGGTAGGTCTTTTTCTAGTGATGTCAACAAGCATCTTTTCTGCTCAGCCCTTTCACTGAAAATCCTGAAGGGCATTTTCATGTTTTCACACGAATAAACAGTGTAAGCCCCAAGAGAGCAGGAGATTTGTCTGTTCTGTTCACTGCTATATTCCTGAGGCTTAGACGAGAGCCTTGCTCACATTAGGTGCTCAGTAAACATTTGACAACTAGATTGAGAAACCATAACATTTTCCTGCTTCTTTTTTCATCTTTTTGACTGTGACATTATTGACCTATTCTAGGTCTGCTATCTTGCAAACTTTGTGTGCTTTAGAGTAGTACTTTTCAAGTTGTAGTGGTGAAAGAAACCTCCTTGGCACTTGGATGGAGTACACAATGCCTTATGCCTCTGTTTTAATTATTTCTTTATTACTAAAAAAATTTTTGGCCAGGTGTGATGGCTTACTCCTGTAATTCCAGCACACTGGGAGGCTGAGGTGGGTGGATCACTTGAGGCCAGGAGTTCAAGACCAGCCTGGTCAACATGGTGAAATCCCATTTTTACTAAAAATACAAAGATTAGCCCAGTGTAGTGGTGGGTGCCTGTAATCCCAGCTACTTGGGAGGCTGAGGTGGGAGGATCACTTGGACCCAGGAGATGGAGGCTGCAGTGAACCGAGATTGCACCACTGCACTCCAACCTGGGTGACAGAGCAGGGCTCTGTCAAAAAATTTTTTGGGGGGTGGTTGTTCTATCAAGTTCTTTTTTTTTTTTTTTTGAGATGGAGTTTCACTCTTGTTGCCCAGGCTGGAGTGCAGTGGTGCGATCGTGGCTCACTGCAACCTCTGTATCCTGGGTTCAAGTGCTTCTCCTGCCTCAGCCTCCTGAGTAGCTGGGACTACAGGTGTGCGCCACCATGCCCCGCTAATTCTGTATTTTTAGCAGATGGGGTTTCACCATGTTGCCCAGGCTGATCTTGAACTCCTGACCTCAGGTGATCCACCCAACTTGGCCTCTCAAAGTGCTGGGATGACAGGTGTGAGCTACCACACCCAGCCAAGTTTTTAAGTTTTTTTTTTTTTTTTTTTTTTGAGACGAAGTCTCGCTTTTGTTGCCCAGGATGGGGTGCAATGGCGTGATCTTGGCTCACTGCAGCCTCCGTCCCCTGGGTTCAAGCGACTCTCCTGCCTCAGCCTCCTGAGTAGCTGGGATTACAGGCACCTGCCGCCATGCCTGGCTAATTTTTGTATTTTAAGTAGAGACAGGGTTTCACCATATTGGCCAGGCTGGTCTTGAACTCCTGACCTCAGTTGATCTGCCCGCCTTGGCCTCCCGAAGTGCTGAGATTACAGGCGTGAGCTACTGTGCCTGGCCTTTTTTTTTTTTTTTTTTTTTTTAAGACAAGGTCTCACTCCGTCACTCAGGCTGGAGTGCAGTGGCATGATGATCAGGGATCACTGCAGCCTCAAACTTCCAGGCTCAAGTCATCCTCCTGCCTAAGCCTTCTACGACTTGGGACCACAGGCACATACCACCATGCCTGGCTAATTTTTTTAAATTTTTTGCAGAGATGGGTTCTCCCTATGTTGTCCAGGCTGGTCTCTAACTCCTGGGCTCAACCAATCCTCCTGCCTCTGCCTCTCAAAGTTTTGAGATTACAAGTGTGAGCCACCACACCTGGCCTTGCCTTGTGCCTTTGGACAGGAGTCAGCAGCAATCTGTTTGCTCATAGCAATCGGTTGTAAATGACAGAGCAGCTTAACCCATTTGATTGAACCACTGGAGTCTTGGAGATAGCAGTGGTGGTGATGTTGCAGCCAAGAAACCCTTTGCAAAGTAGATGACCAGTTCAGTCATGGCAGCAGAGTGGACTGTAGGAGAAGGTGAGGTCAGAGTGGAAGCTTTGAGAGCCAGAGCTGTTGGCATTACTTGCTTGGCCCTGCCACAGCTGAGACTGAAAGACTAATACACTGCTTAATTGCTTTCCTGTCTTTCCCTTACCCCCTAATATAGTATGGATGCTTGTCCCTTTCAATTCTCAGGTTGAAATGTGGTCACCAATGTTGGAGGTGGGGGGCCTAGTAGGGGGTATTTTGGTCATGGGGGCAGATCTCTCATGAATGGCTTGGTGCCCTTCTTGTAGTAATAAGTGAGTTTTCACACTGTCAGTTCACACGAGAACTGGTTGTTAAACAAAAGAGCATGGCACCTCACCTCTCTCTCTTGCTCCCTCTCTTGCCATGTGACATACTGGCTCCCCTTGACTTCCCCCATGAGCAAAAGTTTTCTAAGCCTTCACCAGAAGAGCAGATGCTGGCACCATGCTTCTTGTACAGCTTGCAGAACCATGAGCCAAATAAACCTCTTTTCTTAAATAAATGACTCAGCCTCAGGTATTCCCTTATAGCACACAAAACAGACGAACACTCCCCTCTTTTCTCTTTTCTTCCACATGATCAGTACTCTTTTCTAGTATAATACTTTTAAGTTGCCCAGACTGGAGATGAATTGTTGGAAGCAAAGAATAAATTGTTAAGGCTATAATGTCAGGGCTCATGAGAGAGAATAGTTAGGTCAGGGGTATCTGGAAAATATGCCTGAAAGTGCATGAAAATTTACATGGAAGAATTTTTTTTTGGTTGAAAGAGAAGTAAAAAAAGGGAGGGCAGAGGACAGAGGCTGCGTCACAGTTAAGTCTTTTCAATGAACTTGTGTTACCAATAACTCATGAGAAACACTGCTTTAATGTATTCCAAAATAATCAGGATCAATAGCACCTTTCATTGCCTAGGAGCTTAATTCATCAGTGACATTCCTCCCATGATTTTTTTTGAAGGTTGCTCTCAGATAAAATATAAAATGCTTAAGAAACCCAATTTTAGTTATAGGCAGTGTCATATTTTTTATGTTCTTGCTGAAGGGACTTAGGGTGAATAGAGGGTCAATTTTATCTTTTTGCACTAGAAGGGCACACAGGCAATTTACTCAGCAGAGTATTTATTAGTTATGAGAGTGAAAAAAGTTCCCTTGGCATAAGGTATGAGGAATTTATTGGATTAGATTATATAATAAGCTTTCTCGGAATGGGCCACATCAATATACTTTATAGCACTTTACTGGGGTCATTCATCAATAATGGATCAAGCACTAGGTAAAACCTTTCCTAGTTAGAAACTCTCTGGCTGAAGTTGCAGCCCTGAGATCTGGGATTGTGTCTATGAATGTTAGTCAATGTGCAAAATGCTATGAGAACCTACTATGGGCCCAAAGGCAGAGCATCATCGAGTCTTAAAATGCAGATTGTTTGGAGGAATGCTTACAAATGTTTGCCAGAAGAAGGGCCACATAATTTCCCTGCCATGCAAAGTGAATTGTAAAGAGAGTAGGGATGCAGTCTCATGTGGTGCAGGGTTGTTCCTGAGCAGAGGTTTTAAGATGGATGAAGGCTGGCTTTTCAGGCTCTAATTGTGAGTGGACGAGATGGGATCTGGTATACAAGTGGAGGAATTTGCCTCAGCAAGGAGCATGTGGAGTTCACCTATGGTGACAAAACGTAAGGCAGAGTATTTTGGGCACAGATGTTGGTGGGTGGATGGATAGACAATAAGAATGTGTGTAAATACTCTTGCAATGGATTCCATTTTATCAATGACATAAGAAAATTATTGGCTAAGAATGAATATGAGACAGTAGATATTGGAGATATGAGGGAAAAATGAAGTGTGAAATGGTTATCCACAGTCTTTCAGTGTAAGAATTCTTAGATTCTTTCAGTCTAAGGTATACTTATCAACTTTCCCCATCACACTCACCTATCCCTGGCATCCAAATTATCAACATTATATAGAAACCAGTGAAGAAAGATTCACTGTGATGAACAAGAGAAGAATATCACAGGGCACAGACATGCAATGGTTAAGCTCAGTACCGATTCTACTAAGCCCCATGGGGCTGAGAGGGAGCTCTGTTCCTGTCACCTAAAGTCTTGGTAGCATCAACTCACCCATCTTCATGCCCATCCCAGTGCCCCCCAAAGACATCAGCTTGATTACATGGGTAGGAGTAGGGGCAGAGGCATTTTCCTGTCTGGAATGCCTGCACAAGAGTATTCTTTTTTTTTATCAGACAGGGTCTCACTCTGTCATCCAGGTTGGAGTGCAGTGGTGCAATCTCAGTTCACTGCAACCTCTGCCTCCCAGGTTCAAGCGATTTTTGTGCCTCAGTTTCCTGAGTAGCTGGGACCACTGGCATGTGCTACACAGATAGCTAATTTTTGTATTTTTAGTACAGACAGAGTTTCACCTTGTTGGCCAGGCTGGTCTCAAACTCCTGACCTCAAGTGATCTGCCCACCTTGGCCTCCCGAAGTGCTGGGATTACGGCATGAGCCACCGTGTCTGACCCTGCTCAACATTATTCTTAACCAATTTGCTCTGATAAGTACCCCAGGAATTCTAAAGATGGAAAAGACACAGTTTGAGTCCACACTTACCTTCCTTCCATTCAGGGCCTCTCAAGGAGAAACATGAGACAGAATTTCTAGCTACTGAGTTACGAACATACAGAAGTAATTCACTGTAACAGGAAGAAAGGCAGAGTGCATTGATTCAGTGGGAGCAGGTTTAAGTTTTTTCAGTTTGTTTTGCTCAATGAAGTAGGAAAAAAGATTATTACCAGAAAGTGAGTTTATGGGAATAGGTTTAGAGAAGAAAGTGTGAAATAATCGTAGTGAATTACTCGGTGGACTAGGCAAAGTGGTGTGATTGCCACTTGAAGGTCCACTTGAAGTTCATAATCATGAATTTAAAGTAAGACCAATCACAGAGTATAGTCAGCTAACAGGTGGACTGTATTTAAATAGGGCTGTGATTTTGACATACTACATTTTGACATGTTAGTTAGCATGGTAGAGATAAATGAGGGGTGGAATGAGGATAATTAACAAGGGTAGGTCAGACTGAAAGAATCCAAGGATGCTTAGACTGAAAGACTTATGGCTGTTTCATGATTTTCTTCTCTTCTCATAACTTCAAACTCTCTGTCTCTCTGTCTCTGTCTGTCTCTCTCTCTCTCTCTTTTTCTCACTCTCTCTCTCACACACACACAAACACAAACACAAACACAAACACAAACACATACATACAGGGAGTTTGCATATACAAATTACGTGTAAGAGGAGAAATAAAAGCATATATTTGTATTTTCTTTTCTTTTTTTTTTTTTGAGACGGAGTTTCGCTCTTGTTGCCCAGGCTGGAGTGCAATGGCGCAGTCTCGGCTCGCTGCAACCTCCGTCTCCCGGGTTCAAGTGATTCTCCTGCCTCAGCCTCCTGAGTAATTGGGATTACAGGCATGCACCACCATGCCTGGCTAACTTTGTATTTTTAGTAGAGACAGAGTTTCACCATGTTGGTTGAGCTGGTCGCGAACTCCTGACCTTGTGATCTGCCCTCCTCGGCCTCCCAAAGTGCTGGGATTACAGGTGTGAGCCACTGCGCCTGGCCTTGTATTTTCTTATATTTGTATGAAAAGAACACTGAAAGGGTGCCCCAAAACTAACACAAGTGGTTACTAATGAGAAGATAGGCAGGAGGATAGAGATGGGCAGAAATGGAGTCCTTCCAATCCTTTGCAAACCCTTCCAAAAAATAGAAGAGGAAAGAACATGTTCCAACTCATTCTACGAGGCCCCATATTACCTTGAAGCCAAAAGCAGAAAAATATATCAGAAGAAAAGAGAACTACAGACCAATATTCCATATTAGTATAGACATAACATTCCTCAAAATACTAGCAAACAGAATCAAACAGTGTATAAAAAGGATTATACACCATGGCCAAATGAGGATTTATTTTAGGAATGTAATGTTGTTTCAACATGAACACCAATCAGTGTAATGCACCATATTGAGAATAAGGGACAAAAAGCACATGATCATCTGAATAGATGCATACAAAATTTTGACAAAATCCAACAGCCTTTCATGACACAAACATTCAACAAAATAGAAATAGAAGGGAGCTTTTTCAACATTATAAAGGGTGTCTATGAAGAACTCGTATCTAAAATTATACTTTATGGTGGGGCGCGGTGGCTCATGCCTGTAATCCCAGCACTTTGGGAGGCCAAGGCAGGCGGATCACAAGGTCAGGAGATCGAGACCATCCTGGCTAACATGGTGAAACCCCGTCTCTACTAAAAATACAAACAATTAGCCGGGCGTAGTGGCGGGTGCCTGTAGTCCCAGCTACTCGGAGGCTGAGGCAGGAGAATGGCATGAACCTGGGAGGCCGAGCTTGCAGTGAGCCAAGATTGCACCACTGCACTCCAGCCTGGGCGACAGAGCCAGACTCTGTCTCAAAAAAAAAAAAATTATACTTAATGGCGAAGAACTTAAAGCTTTCCTTCTAAGATGAAGAACAAGACAAAGATGTCCTCTTTCAATTTCTATCTTCTATATAATATTGTACTGTAGTTTCTAAACAAGGTTATTAGGCCAGAGAGAGAGAGAGAGAGAGAGACATCCAGATTGGAGAGGAAGAAGTAAAATTATTTCTACTTGCAGATAACATAGTTTTAGACACAAAATTATAAAGAATTCACACACAAAATACTATTATATCTAACAAACCAGTTCATCTAGGTTGTGAGATACAATGTCCACATACAGAAATCAACTTTATTTCTATACACTATCAATTAACAATCCAATTTTTTTTTTTTTTGAGATGGAGTCTCGCTCTGTAGCCCACGCTGGAATGCAGTGTCGCAGTCTTGGCTTACTGCAACTTCCACCACCTGGGCTCAAGCAATTCTCATGCCTTGGCCTCCCGAGTAGCTGGGATTACAGGCACCTGCCACCATGCCCGGCTAATTTTTGTTTTTTTAGTAGAGATGTGGCTTCACCATGTTGGCCAGGCTGGTCTCAAACTCCTGACCTCAAGTGATTTGCCCGTCTTGGCCTCTCAAAGTGCTGGGATTACAGGCATGAGCCACTGTGCCTGGCCAGAAAAAAATTTAAATTCCATCTATAATAGCATAAAACAGAATAGAATAAAATGCTTAGGAATAAATTTAGCCAAACATCTCAAAATTTATACATTACAAACTTTAAAACATTGCTGAAAGAAATTAAAGAAGGCTTAAATAAATAAAAAGACATATCATGTTCATGGATTGAAAGACTTAATATTGTTAGGATGGTAATACTACCCAATGCAACCTTAAGATTCAGTGCAATTCCCATCAAAATCAAAATGGTGTTTGTTGTAGAAATGAAATAATTGATCCTAAAATTCACATGGAATTGTATGTAAGTAACCCCAAATAGCCAAAATAAACTTTAAAAAGAAGTATGAGTTAGAAGATTCATACTTCTTGATTTCAAACTTTATTACATAGTTGAAGTAATTGAAATACTGTGGTATTAGCATAAGGATAGACATTTAGATAAATGGAATAAAATTAAGGGTCTAGGAATAAACCCATATACTTATAGTCAATCGATTTTTGATAAAAGTGCCAAGAATATTCAATGGGTAAATAAAAGTCTTTTCAACAGATGGTGCTGGGATAACTGGAGATCCAAGTGCAAAAGAATGAAGTTGGACCCCTATCTCACAACCTATGCAAAATAAACTCAAAATGGATGAAAGACCAAAAAAGAGCTATGACACTCTTTGGAAAAGAAGGATTAAATCTTCATGACCTTTAATTTGTCAATACATTCTTAGATATGAAAACAAAAGCATAAACACCCAAAGACAAATTAGATAAATTGGACTTTATCAAAATTAAAAACTTTAGTCCATCGAAAGTCTATTAAAACTTTTCTCACCAGAAAGTGAAAAAAGAACCTACAGAATGAGAGAAAATACAAGCATATTTCATTTTATTGTGCTTTGCTTTATTGCGCTTTGCAGATATTGCATTTTAAAAAATAAATGGAAGGTTTGTGCTAAACTCTGTGTTAAGCAAAACTATCAGTACTGATTTTCCAATGGCACATATTCACTTCAGTAGCATTTTTTAGCAGTAAAGTATTATTATTATTATTGAGATGGGGTCTCACTCTGTCACCCAGGCTGGAGTGCAGTGGTATGATCTTGGCTCAGTGCAACCTTTGCTTCCTGGGTTCAAGAGATTCTCATATCTCAGCCTCCCAAGTAGCTGGGATTATAGGCGTATGCGAGCATGCCCAGCTAATTTTTGCATTTTTAGTAGAGATAGGGTTTCGCCATGTTGCCCAGGGTGGTCTTGAACCCCTGGCCTCAAGTGATCTGCCCACCTCAGCCTCCCAAAGTGCTGGGATTACAGGCATGAGCCACTGTGTGTGGCTGAGAGTTTGTTATATGCTTTGGGTTAGTCATATTTAAGTTGAATCTGTTTGATGTTCTCAGATCTTCTTGTGCCCAGATATTTATATCTTCCTCAAGTTTTGGAAAGTTTTCTGTTATTATTTCTTTGAATAAGATTTCTATCCCTTGTTCTTGTTGAGCTCTGGATTTGTTCTTTTAAGGTAATTCTCTATGTCTTGTAGGTGGTCTTTGTTCCTTTTTGTTCTTTTTTCTTTTTCTTCTCTGACTGTGTATTTTCAAATAGCTGGTCTTCAAGCTCATTAATTTTTTTTCCTCTGCCTAATCCATTCAGCTCTTGAAAGTCTGTAATGAGTTCTTCAGTTCAGCAAATGTATTTCTCAGTTCCAAGATTTCTGTTGGATTTTTTTTATTACTTCAATATTTTTGTTAAATTTCTGATAAATTTCTGAAGTGCTTTTCTGTATTATTTTGGAGATCACTGAGTTTCCTTAAAAGGGCTGTTGAATTCTTGGTCAGGGAGCTCACAAATTGCCATCTCATTAGGGTCAATCACTGGATTTTTGCTTTGTCCTTTTGAGGGAGGTTGTCGTTCCCTGTTTACTGTTGTTTCTCATGGGTATAAATTTATGTCTTTGCATTGAAGAATTTATTTATTCCAGTGTTCTCTCTCTGGCTTGTTTTGGTTTTTATTGGATATATTTTCTTAGCAAGTCATTACTGCTAGGTCACTGCCTTTTTTCAGCTTTGGGTGTCACCTTAAGTCCAGGGTCTCCTTGGCTCTAGAAAATGACTGCAGTGTTACCTATCCCAAAGGAATTATCTTGGCCATGTGGGTAAGCTTACTAGGGGTGTGCCCAAAGGGACCTATGAAACATACTTCCTATAGTGTGCTGCTGCTGAATACCCACTCTAATTTGGCATTTCCTTTGGCCAAGTTATAGAGCAGAGTTTCCAGGGCTGGGGATGCTAATCTTGCCTCTACCTTTTGTCGCTGCCCATTCTTAGGTATATTTCTCCCTTCAGACAGCTACAATGCTTCTCATGGGTTAAGGCAAGGACAGGTCTCCTGCCAGAAAATCCAAGATGTTGGAAAAGCTGGTTGACCACTTCAATCTCAGTTTTTCTAGTGTGGAAACGGTGCTTTGGGGGGAGATTTTTTTATGCACTTGTTGCTGGGCAGAATGGGGTGGGCCTTGCAGATGAGGAAGAATCATCTCCTACGACCTGCTCAGAGTTTTTTTTTTTTTTTTTTTCATTTCTCTGTGGCCCCAGGATGTGTCTCATTCTCATATTTGAGTTCTGGGTTGTTGCTGGCGAAAATCTTCGTGCTGTATATTTGTTTTAGGTTTTCTTTGGGGAGTAGTGAAGCCCGTTTACTTCTACACTGCTATTTTAAAACCTTCTTCCTGGCTTATTCACAAATGAGGTAGCCTCTTCTTCATCCTGCATTGGACTACATGTTTTGAGATACTTTTTTTTGATAATAAAGCATTTACTAACATAATTTGTTTCATCTTTTGCTTAATCAAAGTTATAATATATGCAAATGTTAACTAGACCTTCTGATTAATGTGAGCCATACCATCACTATCACAATGCTAGTTGATATAATGTTCAATCCAAAGAAAAGAGTTTTGATACTTTAATAGGCTGCTGCACTCTCATTTTGGATCATGTAAATTTAAAAATAACCCTAGGTACACAATGACTGTCTTCACAAACTCATAAGAATCTAATTTCATATAGTTGGCAATTACTCCGGTAGTAATTACAGTTGGGTTCTTTCTGGACTCCTGGACTGAGTGTTTGTAGGTTGATTTAGTTGTGTATTATTGAAGGCATATCTTTGGATAAACTGTTTTTTTTTTTTTTTTTTTCAGAGACAAAGTCTTGCTCTGTCACCCCGGCTGGAGTACAGTGGCATGATCATAGCTCACTGCAGCCTCAAACTCCTGGACTCAAGCTATCCTCCCACCACAGTTCCCAAGTAACTAGGACTATAGGCATGCACCACCACCATATCTGGCTTTTTAATTTTTTTTTACTTTTTGTAGAGATGAGGTCTCACTATGCTGTGCAGGCTGGTCTCAAACTCCTGGCCTTAAGCTATCCTCCTGTCTGGGTTTCCCAAAGTGCTGGCATTATAAGCATGAGCCACTGTGTTTGACTAATAAACTGTTTTGAGACGGAAGGAGTGAAGATGGCTGAATAGGAACAGCTCCGGTATGCAACTCCCAGCGTGATTGACACAGAAGACAGGTGATTTCTGCATTTCCAACAGAGGTACCTGGTTCATATCACTGGGATTGGTTGGACAATGGGTGCAGCCCAGGGAGGGCGAGCAGAAGCAGGGCTGGGTGTCGCCTCACCCAGGAAGTGCAAAGGGTTGGCGGATTTCCCTTTCCTAGCCAAGGGAAGCTGTGACAGACTACCTGGAAAAACAGGACACTCCCACCCAAATACTGCACTTTTCCCAAGGTCTTAGCAACTGGCAGACAAGGAGATTCTCTCCCGTGCCTGGCTCAGCCGGTCCCATGCCCACAGTTCCTTGCTCACTGCTAGTGCAGCAGTCTGAGATCGAACTGCGAGGTGGCAGCCTGGCTGGGGGAGGGGCGTCTGCCATTGCTGAAGCTTGAGTAGGTAAACAAAGTGGCCAGCAAGCTCAAACTGGGTGGAGCCCACCGCAGCTCAACAAGGCCTACTGCCTCTAGACTCCACCTCTGTGGGCAGGGCATAACTGAACAAAAGGCAGCAGACAACTTCTGCAGACAAATGTCCCTGTCTGACAGCTCTGAAGAGAGCAGTGGTTCTCCCAGCACAGTGTTTGAGCTCTGAGAATGGACAGACTGCCTCCTCAAGTGGGTCCCTGACCCCCATGTAGCCTAACTGGGAGACACCTCCCAGTAGGAGCTGACAGACACCTCATATAGGCAGCTGCCCCTCTGGGACAAAGCTTCCAGAGAAAGGACTGGGCAGCAATATTTGCTGTTCTGCAATATTTGCTGATCTGCAGCCTCCGCTGGTGATACCCAGGCAAACAGGGTCTGGCAAACTCCAACAGACCTGTAGCTGAGGGACCTGACTATTAGAAGGAAAACTAACAAACAGAAAAGAATAGCATCAACATCAACAAAAAGGTCATCTACACCAAAACCCCATCTGTAGGTCACCAACATCAAAGACCAAAGGTAGATAAAACCACAAAGATGGGGAGAAACCAGAGTAGAAAAGCTGAAAAATTCTAAAAATCAGAACGCCTCTTCTCCTCTAGAGGATCGCAGCTCCTCGCCACCAACGGAACAAAGCTGGATGGAGAATGACTTTGATGAGTTGACAGAAGTAGGCTTCAGAAGGTTAGTAATAACAAACTTCTCCGAGCTAAGGGAGGATGTTCGAACCCATTGCAAGGAAGCTAAAAACCTTGAAAAATGGTTAGATGAATGGCTAAGTAGAATAAACAGTGTAGAGAAGACCTTAAATGACGTGATGAAGCTGAAAACCATGGCACGAGAACTTTGTGACACATGCACAAGCTTCAATAGCCGATTTGATCAAGTGGAAGAAAGGGTATCAGTGATTGAAGATCAAATTGATGAAATAAAGTGAGAAGACAAGGTTATAGAAAAAACAGTAAAAAGAAATGAACAAAGCCTCCAAGAAATATGGGACTATGTGAAATGACCAAATCTACATTTGACTGGTGTACCTGAAAGTGATGGGGAGAATGGAACCAAGTTGGAAAACACTCTTCAGGATATTATCCAGGAGAACTTCCCCAACCTAGCAAGGCAGGCCAACATTCAAATTCAGGAAATACAGAGAACACCACAAAGATACTCCTCTAGAAGAGGAACCCCAAGACACAATTGTTAGATTCACCACGGTTGAAATGAAGGAAAAAGTGTTAAGGGCAGCCAGAGAGAAAGGTCAAGTTACCCACAAAGGGAAGCCCATTAGACTAACAGTGGATCTCTTGGCAGAAACCCAAGAAGCCAGAAGAGAGTGGGGGCCAATATTCAACATTGTTAAGGAAAAGAATTTTCAATCCGGAATTTCATATCCAGCCAAACTAAGCTTCGTAAGTGAAGGAGAAATAAAATCCTTTACAGACAAGCAAATGCTGAGAGATTTTGTCACCCCCAGGCCTGCCTTACAAGAGCTCCTGAAGGAAGCAGTAAACATGGAAAGAAACAACTGGTACCAGCCACTGTGAAAACATGCCAAATTGTAAAGACCATTGATGCTATCAAGAAATTGCCTCAATTAACAGGCAAAATAACCAGCTCACATCATAATGACAGGATCAAATTCACACATAACAATATTAACCTTAAATGTAATGGGCTAAATGCCCCAATTAAAAGACACAGACTGGCAAATTGGATCAAGAGTCAAGACCCATCAGTGTGCTGTATTCAGGAGACCCATCTCACATGCAAAGATGCACATAGGCTCAAAATAAAGGGATGGAGGAAGATCTACCAAGCAAATGGAAAGAAAAAAAAAGCAGGGATTGCAATCCTAGTCTCTGATAAAACAGAGTTTAAACCAACAGAGATCAAAAGAGACAAAGAAGGCATAATGGTAAAGGGATCAATTCAACAAGAAGAGCTAACTATCCTAAATATATATGCACCCAAGACAGGAGCACCCAGATTCATAAAGCAAGTCCTTACAGACCTACAAAGAGACTTAGACTCCCACACAATAATAATGGGAGACTTTAACACCCCTACTGTCAATATTAGACAGATCAATGCGACAGAATGTCAACAAGGATATCCAGGACTTGAACTCAGCTCTGCAACAAGCAGACCTAATAGACAGCTACAGAACTCTCCACTGCAAATCAACAGAATATACATTCTTCTTAGCACCACATTGCATTTTCTAAAATTGACCACATAATTGGAACTAAAGCACTCCTCAGCAAATGTAAAAGAACAGAAATCACAACAAACTGTCTCTCAGACCACAGTGCCATCAAATTAGAACTCAGGATTAAGAAACTCACTCAAATGCAAAAATAGGAAGCATTCCCTTTGAAAACCGGCACAAGACAAGGATTCCCTTTCTCACCACTCCTATTCAACATACTGTTGGAAGTTCTGGCCATGGCCAGGGCAATCAGGCAAGGGAAAGAAATAAAGAGTATTCAATTAGGAAATGAGGAAGTCAAATTGTCCCTGTTTGCAGACGACATGATTGTAATGGGTGCAGCACACCAACATGGCACATGTATACATATGTAACAAACCTGCACATTGTGCACATGTACCCTAGAACTTAAAGTGTAATAAAAAAATTTATATATATATATATATATATATATATATATATATATGAAAGAAAACCCCATCGTCTCAGCCCAAAATCTCCTTAAGCTGATGAGCAACTTCAGCAAAGTCTCAGGATACAAAATCAATGTGCATAAATCACAAGCATTCCTATACATCATTAACAGACAAACAGAGAGCCAAACCGTGAGTGAACTTCCATTCACAATTGCTACAAAGAGAATAAAATACCTAGTAATCCAACTTACAAGGGATGTGAAAGATCTCTTCAAGGAGAACTACAAACCACTGCTCAATGAAATAAAAGAGGACACAAACAAATGGAAGAATATGACATGCTCATGGATAGGAAGAATCAATATTGTGAAAATGGCCATACTGCCCAAAGTAATTTATAGATTCAATGCCATCCCCATCAACCTGCAAATTGACTTTCTTCACAGAATTGGAAAAAAATACTTTAAAGTTCATATGGAACCAAAAAAGAGCCCACATTGCCAAGATAATCCTAAGCCAAAAGAACAAAGCTGGAGGCATCATGCTACCTGACTTCAAACTATACTACAAGGCTACAGTGACCAAAACAGCATGGTACTGGTACCAAAACAGAGATATAGACCAATGGAACAGAACAGAGGCCTCAGAAATAACACCACACATCTACAACCATCTGATCTTTCACAAATCTGACAAAAACAAGAAATGGGGAAAGGATTCCCTATTTAATAAATGATGCTGGGAAAACTGGCTAGCCATATGTAGAAATCCGAAACTGGATCCCTTCCTTACACCTTATTCAAAAATTAATTCAAGATGGATTAAAGACTGAAATGTTAGACTTAAAACCATAAAAACCCTAGAAGAAAACCCAGGCAATACCATTCAGGACATAGGCATAGGCAAGGACATGATGACTAAAACACCAAAAGCAATGGCAACAAAAACCAAAATTGACAAATGGGATCTTATTAAACCAAAGAGCTTCTGCACACCAAAAGAAACTACCATCAGAGTGAACAGGCAACCTACAGAGTGGGAGAAAATTTTTGCAATCTACCCATCTGACAAAGGGCTAATATCCAGAATCTACAAAGAGCTCAAACAAATTTACAAGAAAAAAACAAACAACCCCATCAAAAAGTGGGCAAAGGATATGAACAGACACTTCTCAAAAGAAGACATTTATGCAGCCAACAGACACACGAAAAAACGCTCATCATCACTGGCCATCAGAGAAATGCAAATCAAAACCACAATGTGATACCATCTCATGCCAGTTAGAATGGCAATCATTAAAGTCAGGAAACAACAGATGCTGGAGAGGCTGTGGAGAAATAGGAACACTTTTACACTGTTGGTAGGAGTGTAAATTAGTTCAACCATTGTGGAAGACAATGTGGCGATTCCTCAAGGATCTAGAACTAGAATTACTGTTTGACCCAGCAATCCCATTACTGGGTATATACCCAAAGAATTATAAATCATGCTGCTATAAAGACACATGCACATGTATGTTTATTGCAGCACTATTCACAATAGCAAAGACTTGGAACCAACCCAAATGTCCATCAATGATAGACTGGATTAAGAAAATGTGGCACATATACACCATGGAATACTATGCAGCCATAAAAAAGGATGAGTTCGTGTCCTTTGCAGGGACATGGATGAAGCTGGAAACCATCATTCTGAGCAAACTATCACAAGAACAGAAAAAAAACACTGTATGTTCTCTCTAATAGGTGGGCATTGAACAATGAGATCACTTGGACACAGGGCAGGGAACATCCACACACCAGGGCCTGTTGGGGGGTAGGGGGATGGGGGAGGGATAGCATTAGGAGAAATCCCTAATATAAATGATGAGTTGATGGGTGCAGCAAACCAACATGGCACATGTTTACCTGTGTATCAAACCTGAATGTGGTGCACATGTACCCTAGAACTCAAAGTATAATAAGAAAAAAATAAACTGTTTTGATAAAAATTTCTCTTTGGTTCACATTTACTTATGCATATTTAAAAGAAACTCATTTATTGTTCATGAGTGTGGAGCTTATATGTGCTCAAGATGATGTACTATGGTTTTTATATATCTTGAATCTCATCAATCCTATAAAAAGTTTCATTCCCTTTGTTATGTAAGAAAATTGAGGCCTATGAGGATAATACAGATAGCAGATTGTGAACTCTAAATTTGAGACAAGATTTGTTTGATGCCTTTTTTGGCAAGCCACATTTTCTTTCCAGAAACAGGCCCAAATCAGTAGAAGATGAAAAGGAGAAAGAAGAGAATGAAACCAATTTCTTTGTGAGTCTGGGTAATTTATTACATTTCGTGTATATTTAATTACATAGCAGCAGTGATGTTTACTCATATGCTCACTTTGAGAGCTTGCATTTGGAAACTTGGTCACATAAATATCAAAGAAATAGATTGGTGGTGCACTAAAGTAAAGATCTATGAATTACTATATCTACCTTCCAGACCATCCTTTTGGTCCTGGTGACCATGAAGCATTTTAGTAAGATTGCTGTTACTTTTAGTGCTATGTGTATCCCTACAGTATCCCATGATTCATTCAAATAAACAAATGAACAAACAAGCAAACAAACAAAGGACAAAGAATATATTAGGACGCTTATTCTTTTTTTTTTTTTTTTTTGAGGTGGAGTCTCACTTTGTCACTCAGGCTGGAGTGTAGTGGTGTGATCTTGTCTCACTTCAACCTCCACCTCCTGGGTTTAAGCGATTCTCCTGCGTCAGCCTCCCAAGTCACTGGGACTAAAAGTGTGCACCACCACGTCTGGCTAATTTTTTTTTTGTATTTTTAGTGGAAATGGGGTTTCATCATGTCAGCTAGGCTAGTCTCAAACTCCTGACCTCAAGTGATTCTCCTGCTTTGGCCTCCCAAAGTGCTGGGTTTACAGGCATGAGCCACCACATCCAGCCAGGATGCTTATTGTTTTGTACTTTGAATTATAAAATAATAAAAGCTAACAAAATAAAATTAAGTAATTATATTTTTAAAAAATCAGAAATACATTCATTAATGTATTAAAACTATAAAACTAGTGGAAAGTAAAATTCTTAGTCCCACCTTTTTCTATTCATTCTGTTTCCATCTCTTCACCTAGTTTCCTTCCCACATTAATCTTCAGATAAGAATTTTTATTAGTTTCTTTGTGTATCCTATGAGAGTTTTTTCATGCAAATGCAAACAAATAGAATATATATTCTTATTCTCCTCCCTTCTTTTAACCCAAAATGCTATACTGTTCTGCACCTTTTTTTTTCACCTCTAGAGTATATTTTGTAGATCTTTCCATATCAGTGCATAGAGTGTTTCTTCCATTTATTTAGCTGAATAATATTCCATTTAATGTGTGTACATACTGTCGTTGGGTGCAGTGGCTCACGCCTATAATCCTAGCACGTTGTCAGGCCAAGACAGGTGGATTGCCTGAGCTCAGGAGAGCAAGACCAGCCTGGGTGACATGGTGAAACCCTGTCTCTCCTAAAAATACAAAAAAAATTAGCCAGGCATGGTGGCGCATGCCTGTAGTCCCAATTACTTGGGAGGCTGAGGCACAAGAATAGCTTGAACCCAGGATGTGGAAGTTACAGTGAGCCAAGATGGCGCCACTATACTCCAACCTTGGCAACAAAGCAAGTCTCACAAAAAAAACAAAAAAAGTGTGTATATGCTATACATTATTTAACCAATCCATCATTGATGACTATTCGGATTGTTTCACTGTTTTTTTTTGTTTGTTTGTTTGTTTTTGAGACGGAGTCTCACTTTGTTGCCCGGGCTAGAGTGCAGTGGTGCAATCTCAGCTCACTGCAACCTCCACCTCCCAGGTTCAAGCGATTCTACTGCCTCAGCCTCTCAAGTAGCTGGGACTATGGTGCATACCACCATGCCCGACTAATATTTGTATTTTTAGTAGAGACAGGGTTTCACTATGTTGGTCAGGCTGGTCTCGAACTCCTGACCTCAGGTGATCCACCCACCTTGGCCTCCCAAAGTGGTGGGATTACCGCTGTGAGCCACTGCGCCCGGCCCAATTTTTTGTTTGTTTGTTTGTTTGTTTGAGCCATGTTCTTACTTTGTTGCCCAGGCTGGAATGCAGTGGCACGATCATGGCTTACTGATGCCTCAATCTCTTGGGCTCATGTGACCCTCCCACCTCAGCCTCCTGAGTAGCTGGGACCAGAGGCATGCACCACCATGCATGGATAATTTTTAAAATTTTCTTGTAGATATGGGGTCTTGCCATGTTGCTCAGGGTGGTCTTGAATTCCTGGCCTCAAGCAATCCTGCTGCCTTGGCCTCCCAAAGTGCTGGGATTATAGGAGCAAGCCACTGTGCCCAGCTGGATTGTTTATGATAATTTGCATACTAGTTCATATTTATTGGAGTAAGCTCACTATATTCTGGGCATGATGCTATAATTGTTGTATTTGGATTATCTCATTTAATATAATACCCCTAGGGGTCAGATAATATGATTTCCACCTTTCAGATATGAAAACAGAAAGTCAGAGAGATGAACAAACCTGCCCAAGATTTGAACCCAGATTATCTGTTTTCAGAGCACATATTTGTATAAATGAAACACAAATTAGAGGCCCACAGCACTTTGGAAGGCCAAGGCAAGAGGTTCACTTGAACTCAGCAGTGTGAGGCCAACCTGGGCAACATGATGAAACCTTAGCTCTACAAAACATATAAAAATTAGCTGAACATGGTGGCATGTGCCTGTGGTCCCTGCTACTCAAGGGACGGCTAAGGTGGGAGGATCACCTGAGCTCAGGAGGTTGAGGCTGCAGTGAGCTGTGGTCACACCACTGCACTCCAGCCTGGGTGACAGAGCAAGACCCTGTCTCAAAAAAATAAAAAAATAAAAAAAACAAAACAAAAGAAATACAAATTAGTACTCATTTTGGTTTTAGAAAAATTTTCCTCCTAAGAAGTTTCTAGTTAGGTATTTGTGAATATTCTTCCCTGGTTACTAAGATTTTTTTTCACAAACATTTTAAGAGGTTGCACAATTCAGGATTTTACTTCTTTTTTTTTTTTTTTTTGAGACAGAGTCCCTCCCTGTCACCCAGGCTGGAGTGCAGTGGCACGATTTCGGCTCACTGCAGCCTCTGCCTCCAGGGTTCAAGCAGCTGTCCGACCTCAGCCTCCTGAGTAGCTGGGATTACAGGCATGTGCTACAGGTGTGCTACCACACCTAGCTAATTTTTGTATTTTTAGTAGAGATGGGGTTTTGCCATGTTGGCCAGGATGGTCTCGAACTCCTGACCTTGTGATCCACCCGCCTAGGATTTTACTTTTTTTAACCACATTGTTTATTCTTTCTTGGCCTGTGGAATATTTAACGATGAATCTGATATTAAAACATATCTGTTTAAAGATTGTTTAAAGAATTATAGCTTAAAATTAAGGGGTGGCCTGACATTTTCTGAGTGATTGATTTTTATTTTAGGTCTATTGCATGCTGAGCTCTTGGTATGAAAACAAAAACAACTTTCCGTTTAGGCACCACAAGTTTGAAGTGTAGATCAAATAAATGACCTTGTCCTTTTTTACCCTTCCTCCACAGGACTTTACATAAGGCAGTTACAGAACCACTGAAATCTTTGTATTTTATGTCTTCCTTCTCAGAGCTGTTTGACTTAATTCAAATTTAAACCAAATGAAATGTATCTTGTACTTGCAGGCTACTGCTACAATGTGCATTGCAATAACTGAAAAACCCAGATGCCATTCAGAAACCCAAACAAATCTGGGCCTTCTCCTAAATTTAGCAAATGCCTGTCGCTATTAAAAACCATAACGACAAAACTTCTTATCTCCTCGTGATTGTAATTTGATTCTTGCCATTTGCAGCCATCGGGGTCACCAGGGCAAAAGCTTGTCCAGTGTGGAAAAGTACAACGGCACCTGTCCAGAAGTCTGTCCAGAAGGGAAGTGTGAAACCTTGTATTTCCTAATCTATTTAAACCTTAAACAACTTTCCTATGAAGAACCGGATGCCAACAGAGAGTATTAATCTAGTGGCCTCACTTTAAATTAATGCACAGATCACAGCATTTAATGCAGTGCTTCCAGCAGAGATGGGCAGCATCTTATTATGTGTAATGATAAAGCATTTAATAATCATCATTTTACTGAAATCTTCCTTTGAATAAGGCATTGCTTGGCAGCCATTTTTCATTCTCAAACTGTTCACAGTGTGACACTTTAAATGGAAAAAGCAACACCACCTGGAGTACTTATTAGCTTAACAAGCACTTGCCTGGGAGCCTAGGAAGATTCACTGTGTTTCACTCCCTCCTGAGTGGTTTAACTCCAGAGCTTAATGGTATTCTTTGACTCTAGGGCCTGGAGCAGTCTGCCACTAGGGGATGCTCTTGCTTCTTCACTCCAACTCCTGGCCGGTTCAATTCTGACCTTATCAGCCTCAATACAAGAGAGGAGGAAAAAGGAGGCTTTTACTCTTCCCCAGTGAGTTTGTTCCTCTGAAACCCCCAGAGTCAGCTAAATCTGTTGGAACAATTCAGAGCAAAATGAAATGACTAGTAAATGAAATAGCTTCGTTAAAATGTTTTCAAATATCTCCCTGTGGTGAACCAGAATTGCTTCCTGATATCATCGGTGGAGTAATAGTTTCATTAGGGTTTGGGGATGTTAACAGTGTTTGAAGAGCTGCCAAGGGAGGTGAGGGCAAATGGGGAAGAGCTGGTGTCACAGGAGATGAGGAGAGGGCTGTGCCCTTATTGACCCTTCCCCAGTCTGGCAGAAATCTGCTTTATCCTTCTACTGATTTAGCTTTGGCTCAGACACCATTTATTTGCCAAAGCATGCCCATATACCAGTTTTGGGGTTTGTTAGAAATAAAAGTCCAGGGGGTCACATGAACTTGAGAAATTCTGGGTTGAAAAAGTTAAAAAAGTTTTACTTGTTACAGAACTTTCAGAACATTTAATTTACAATGCACTGTGCTTTGCAAATCCAAGCTGGGCATTTGCTGGGAGTAATTGTTGACTGGGTTCTTCATCTTGAAATTCTCCTGAATTGGCTTGATGTTGCACTGTTTTGGTTTTTCTTCTTTTTCTGTAACCTCTCCTTTTTGGGACTTTTTTTCTTCTTACTCCTGAACAGGGGCATTTCTTGTGGTTTTATGGTTCATTATGTTCAGTCTCTAGAAGATTCACTGAAGTCCATGATTTTAGTTAGATACCTCCATGCTAGCAGCTCCACCCATGTCCCCCTCCAAGAGACATAGGTGAAGCCTGTCTCTTCCCAAAGAGACCTCCATTATATGTTGGATGCTTTCCCCAAAGTAAAAATGTCCCCTCTCCAAAACCATCTCTTCCTTTTTGACTTCTAATTTTCTTCCTCCTTTAAATTTTTCTTAAATTCTTTCAATTCTCTGAGTCAATCAGACTTGAAACCATATTTAATCACTAAACCCTGTGAATTCTTCTGCCTTTTTTGTCTTTCCTTTTTTTTTTTTTTTTTTCCTGGGACAACGTCTTGCTCTGTTGCTCAGGCTGGAATGCAGTGGTGCCATCTTGGCTCACTGCGACCTCTGCCTCCCAGGTTCAAGTGATTCTCCTACCTCAGCCTCCCAAGTAGCTGGAATTACAGTTGTCCACCATGTTGTCCAGGGGTTGTCACCATGTTGGCCAGGCTGGTCTTGAAATCCTGACCTCTCCAGTGATTCACCTGCCTCGGCCTCCCAAAGTGCTGGGATTACAGGTGTGAGCCATCGTGCCCAGCCCCTTCTTTTTTTGTTGTTTCTGTTTTTGTTTTTGTTTTTGAAACAAGGCATTGCTCTGTCACCCAGGCTGGAGTGCAGTGACCTGCTCATAACTCACTGCAGCCTCAACCTTCTGGGCCACCTCAGCTTTCTGAGTAGTTGAGACTACAGGCATGTGCCATCATGCCCAGCTAATTTTTGTGTTTTTTGTAGAGACAGCTGTGTCAATCCCTTTTTAAATGAGGCCTTGATCCCCTTGTCTAAACTACTGAAATAAATTCCAAGTCACGCTTCCTGCTTCCTTTCCTTACCTATTCTATGTAGGCTGCACACAGCTACTGTTTCAATCAATCTAAAACACTGCTTTGATTCTTTCTTAAAAACTTCCAGTGGGTGAATTCTCAGTGACTCATTGTGTGAATAAAGTCCATACAACTTATGCTAGCAGTAAAACTTCCCACAGTGTTGCTCCCACCTGCATTTAAAGCCTTTGTGCTAATGGTTCCTCCATTAAAATTGCAGACAGAAGAAATGCTCTTGTGATGTTACAGATATGAAGGTAGGAGTGTGCAAGGCAATTGGGGAAAGGAAGTTTCTGTAACCCTTTCAGAATTGAATGATCTATGGGATACCTGAGCTGAACAATTCAAGTTCTAAATTACTATAAATATATCCAAATCATCCTCTAGATTAAGGATATTCTGTAAATGGGCTAATACGGTCCTTTATAGCATGTAAAGAACAAAAATAAGGAAGGATATAGCTTAAGGCTTCTACCTGTCAAAGCTGATAGCCTATCATATTACACATTTTAGAAAATATTGATCAAATTCAGGATGAAAAAATTAATACATGCATGTATATATAAATAAAAAGCTACTGTAGCAGATGCTGTTGGTACCCTACCCATATTCCTTCATCGCTCGCCTCTAAATGACAAAGGTAAACACCTGCAAATATTGCAAATGCTACAATTCCCTGCTTGAAAACCTTTACTTATGGCTGCAGGCGTGTGCTTAGCTTGCCCCCAGGGCAAGCTGGTAGTGCCAGAGAGCCAATGGGTTCAGAAGCTACCTTCATCATCAGCGATGGGTTTCCTTACCCCTTAATTGGACTAACTCTTTTTTTTTTTTTTTTTTTGGGGGACAGGCTCTCGCTCTGTCACCCAGGCTGCTCTTCAGCAGTGCAGTCTCTTCAGTGGTGCAATCTCACTTCACTGCTGCCTCTGCCTCCTGGGTTCCGGTGATTCTCGTGCCTCAGCCTCCTGAGTAGTTGGGATTACAGGCATGAACCACCATAACTGGCTTTTTTTTTTTTTTGTATTTTTAGTAGAGATGGGGCTTCACCATCATGGCTAGGCTGGTCTTGAACTCCTGACCTCAAGTGATCCACCCACCTCAGCCTCCCAAAGTGCTGGGATCACAGGTGTGAACCACCACACCTGGCTGGACTAACTCTTAATTGCAGAGTTCGTGTGCAATGTCTTTCAGAGTTCCTCATTAGAACTGAACTCAAATTGCCCACTGGAGTCTCTTGCTTGATAAAACACCCTTTATTGACTTTCTTTTCTCCCCAATCTCACTTTCCCACTTCCAGTGGTGCTTTCTAAGATTATCTCTTAAAACAAAAACAAAAACAAACTACTTGCAATTGAATTCTTGTTTCTGAATCTACTTCTGGGGGAACCCAAACTAAGAGAGCCGCTGAAATGGAATTGTATATTGAGAATTTAAGATGAGTCTATGGCATCTGGAATTTATGCAGTTGGAGCTGAATAAAAAATATTTCTTTCAGGAGTCAGGATCTTTGTCTCTGTGACAAAATTTCTTCCACACAAATCACTAAAGCTTTGAACAAAAGATGCGGAAGCTTTGTCTCTGGAAACCACCATTAATTTATGAGGGGAGGATAGGGGTTGTCTTTATTATTCCAGTGCTTTGGATATAGGAAGAAAAAGTCATTAAAGCTAGAAAATCTTCACTAATGGAATGTTTACTTATAAAATTATTCTTAACTCAAATTTTCTTTCCCGCTTAACATTTATTCTACCTCACTCATAATGCACTAGCAGCTAGTGTTAGAATATTTGGTCCAACAATACAAATAAAACTGTAGCTCAATTTTTTTTTTTTTTTTTTTTTTGAGATGGAATCTCACTCTGTCTCCCAGGCTGGAGTGCAGTGGTGCGATCTCAGCTCACTGCAACCTCCGCCTCCTGGGTTCAAGTGATTCTTCTCTCTCAGCCTCCTGAGTAGCTGGGACTACAAGTGCATGCTACCATGCCTGGCTAATTTTTTTGTGTTTTTAGTAGAGACGGGGTTTCACTGTATTGTCCAGGCTGGTCTCGAACTCCTGACCTCTTGGTCCGCTCGCCTTGGCCTCCCAAAGTGCTGGGATTACAGGCATGAGCCACCGCGCCTGGCCAACTGTAGCTCAGTTTCAATAGGAAATCTAAAATCTTGCAAAATAAGCAGCATTTTATTAAATGTATGAAGGTGATGTTGGGGACTTGCTAGAATCAATGCAAAGCTATGGGAAAATAAAGACCTGGTAGAATAAGACAAGATAAAAAGCAAAGGAGAGAAAATGGATGTGGATAATGACCCTGAGAAGAACTTTCCAACACAGTGATCTGATTATCAAAGGATTAAGTGAAGTTCTTGAGAAAATTAGTGATGTCCTCAAATATGTTTACAAAAATTGATATTCTTTCTGATTATTCTGTGAAAGTTAAGCATGAAGGGATGACTATTGGGTTGTATTAGGCTGTACTTTGGGGAAAAATTCTACTCCAGAACATTCTATTTAGATTTTGAGTGACAGAACTGCATTTAAATATTTTCTTTCATAAAATATTTAATCTCAAAGTCTGGCATATAACACCTTTTAAGAGAATCATGAAAACATCCACTTAGTTTAGTAGATTGAAACAAGAAGGAGGCTCATCCCTTGCCTTACAGAGTCTCCTTTGGTTGAAAATCACTTAAACATTGAACTGAGAACATTTGCTGTGTTTCCTGATTTATAGATATGTTTCTAAGAAACATATCTATAACTTCCAAACAGTCCCAGCTGGCTGTAGCTAAGGCTGTGTAATTGATAAGATGCATCTGGTTTCAAGGCACAGATTAAGTACAAGGTCAGGCTCTTGCTGTCGTTGGAGAATCCGGTTGGGGTAGGAGCTAAATCTCAGGACCACTTGCTCTATATATGAGTGCCAAGATAATCTAGAGCAGGGAGAGGCAGAGAGGCAGGCAGCCTGCTGGGCTCTTCCTGCTGTTGAAAACTTACCCGGCCCTTACAGAGGAAATCTTCCTCCTCTCTTCTGCCCTGAATGTTTTCCCAAACATGAAGGTAAGACAATAAATTCATTACTTTTGTAAATGAAGCTATCTTTTCAAATGAACGGGGGTAATATAAATGTAATTTAAACGAAGAGGTGTAATACCTAACTGAAAGACATCAAATAAATAGAAGGCCAGAGGAAAATACAGAAGAAAAAGACCTGGGGGTGATGTTTAGAAATCCTTATTTAAACATATTTAACAGTTCAGCCAAAGTGAATTCCTTTTTCTTATCTTGTGGTGAAATTATAGGTCCAGAGGTCTGGGAATCAGGAATTGGAGACAATGTTTATGAAAGTCCCGATAAAGTCATAAAGAAATACAATAGTACTATTGTTATTTCTTGGGAAAAACTTTCCTCTGGTGTATTTTTTTTTTTTTTTTTTGCTTGTTTGGATTAGGAGCCATGCAGTAGGGTCCTGCGATTTATCTAAGAGCTAATAGAAAAGCAAATTTGCAGGCTTGGAACTTGAGAATTTGAAATCCTGGATGAAAGAGTCAGCATTGTGAGAATAGAAGATATGAGTAGATGGAATAAAACTAAAGGTCTACCAAGTATACATGTTGGCCCAATGCAAAAAGGCCAAATATTAAAAAACAAAACAAAACACAACCAAAAAGCTATTCAACAAAAGATAAGACCAAAGATAGAAATCGCTATCATAGACTAAATCTCTGGAATGCAAAAATAAGTTGAGATTGCTATTCAAATTTTATTATTGTAAATTTTGGTATTTAAACTTTAAAAATGTTGCATTGTAAGACTGTAGGAATAATTTCACAGATCTGTCAGTGGCTAGATTGCTTCCATAGTCACTGTATTGTCCATTGGGGCACCGAATCCAAGCTCGCTCATTATTGGGGTTAGAGGAGGAGCAAGATATGGATCTTGATTAAGCCATGCCTTCTGTGAAATTAAATAATTAAAATTAAACACAAATAACAAAGTTAATTTGTTTAAAGTTATGATGGGCAGTCATAAAAAAGAATGAAATCATGTCCTTTGCAGCAACATGGAGGCAGATAGAGGTCATTATCCTAAGAAAATTAACGCAGGAACAGACAATCAAATACCCCATGTTCTTAATTTTTAAGTGGGAGCTAAATATTGGGTACTCATGGGCATAAAGATGGCAACACTAGACACTGCACTCCAGCCTGGGCAATAAGGTGAGACTCTCTCTCAAAAAAAAAAAAAACAAAAAAAAAACAAGAAAAGAAAATGATGCTCTTCTGAAAGTTATCTAGCCAAAATGTTTTTTCCTAATATTTGTGTTAACTATTAATCTTTTACTTTATTTTACAATAAGAAATCTTAATAATTGCTTTGTGCTTAAAAACATGTTTACAATCATTATTATAATATTTTACTGCTGTAATAATAAATATACTTCTATCCTTTAATTAGTTGACAAAATATCAACAAATAAAGCAATTAATTTTTTAAAAATTTTACATATAGGGGCTTTCCAGCAAAAATTGGGAAGCCTGATAGACAAGTTCTAAAACAACTGTAACACTAAAGCAATTATTTCACTCCAAGTCGCATGTAGAGTTCTTACCTGTATTTGAAAGTGGACATTCATATTTTTACAGTAAACCTGAAGGACATGCTTTGGTGATATGTGACAAAGAAGGGACACTTGTGAAAGCCTTGGGCTATCAAGAAGCTAGAAATGGTTTCTATGTCAGACTTTTTAAGAGGAAGCAATGTTTTGGCCCCACAGCCCCCACGTGAACTAAATTCAGAGAGACAGTCACAGGATTCCCTTTGGTTCTCTCTGTGTTCTTGGATAGGAAATAACTTGGATCTGAGGTGTTGGAGAAGGATGTCAGGGACAAGGGACTTCCCTCGGAGCTGGCTGTGGCCCAGCCATTTGTTCCGTCCCTCCAGGAGAGAGCTGAGCTTGGGGCCTGTGAATCTAGGGAATGGTCGTCACAGTGCCCAAGCACAGTGATGGTCAAGCACAGTAATGTCTCAAATCAGGATTGTAGCTGGGACATACTGGAAGAAGGAGGTAGAGCTAATGCTCATTCATTGATGATAAAGAGGAGAAGATAATTCAGGGGAATGTAGTTCCAGCTTAGCTACATTGACACAGAACAAAAATACCACACACTTTTTCTTTCTTTCTTTTTTTTTTTTTTTTGAGACAAAGTCTCACTCTGTTGCCCAGGCTGGAGTGCAGAGGTACGATCTCTGCTCACTCCAACTTCCGCCTCCTGGGTTCAAGCGATTCTTCTGCCTCAGCCTCCTGAGTAGCTGGGGCTACAGGCGTGCGCCACCATGCCTTGCTAATTTTTGTATTTTTTTTTTTTTTTTAGTAAAGATGGGGTTTCACCATATTGGCCAGGCTGGTCTTGAACTCCTGACCTCATGATCCACCTGCCTTGGCCTCCCAAAGTGCTGGGATTACAGGCATGAACCACCACGCCCGGCCCCACATACTTCTTCAACCAAGCAATTCTTTTATAGAGTCAGTTCAGATGTATGTCTATCACTGTCATTCACATGATTTATTTGTGTTTGTTCTATCTCTCTTGTTCATTTATAAGGTATTTTTTCCAAAGGTAATTATCCTAAGGCTAGCCAAATTTCAAGAAATGCTTTTGGTTAGTAGATTCACTTTGTATAACATGAACAGAACTGGTCTTGTAATAAGCAGACCTTGATGGGTTATAATGAGTATGTATATGAAGAAGGTGATGACAAAGGCATCCATGATGATAAAAAGTATATTTCCTAAAATTTCATTGAAATTCTTTATTTTAAAAAATGCTTTTAAATTTGAGACAAGATCTTGCTCTGTTGCCCTGGCTGGAGTGTAGTGGTACAATTATGGCTCACTGCAGCTGCTACATCCTGGGCTCAAGTGATCCTCCCACCTTAGTCTTCTGAGTAGCTGGGACTACAGGTGCCCGCCACCATGCCTGGCTAATTTTTGTATTTTTTGTTGCAACAGGCTGGCCTCAAATTCCTGGGCTCAAGTGATCCTACCACTTTGTCCTCCCCAAATGCCAGGATTACAGGCATGAGCCACCAAACCTGGCTGAAATTATTTTAAAACACCTGTGACAGAATGTTAGAAATAATTATTTTCATTATCCACATTTTGGCTGAGAGTCAAAGGCCAAGAACAAGTACTCAAGATTTTTTGAAATTTTATGGTTTTTTTTGGAAATTTTATTCATTTAGTTATTTTATTTGTATACATTTAAGGGGTACAAGTGCAATTTTGTTACATGGATATATTGGGTAGTGTTGAAGTCTGGGCTTTCAGTGTATCTATCTTCCAAATAATGTACATTGTACCCATTAAGTAATTTCTCATCACTCTTCCCCTTTCTATCCCCAACTCTTCTGAGTCTCCAATGTCTATTATTCCATACTTTTTGTCCATGTGTACACATTATTTAGCTCCTACTTGTAAGTGAGAATATGAGGTACTTGATTTTATGTTTCTAAGTTGTTTCACTTAATATAATGGCCTCTAGTTCCATCCATGCTGCTGCAAAAGACATGGTTTCATTCTTTTTTAAAAAATTGAACAGTATTTCATTGTGTATATACTGCATTTTCTTTATCCAATCATCTGTTGTTGGACACTTAGGTTGCTTCTATATCTTTGCTATTGTGAATAGTGTTGAGATAAACATACGAGTACGGGTATCTTTCTGATATAATGATTTCTTTTCCTTTGGGTAGATACCCAGTAGTGGGATTGATGGATCCGATGGTAGTTCAATTTTTAGTTCTTTGAGAAATCTCCATACTGTTTTTTATGGAAGTTGTACTAATTTACATTCCCACCAATAGTATATATTGGTGGGAATATATACTATTCCCTATTCTCACTTATCTCTGCATTCCTACCAACAACTGTTATTTTTTGACATTTTTAAAGAGAGATGGTGTCTTGCTCTGTTATCCAGGCTGGAGAGTAATGGTGCAATCATAGCTCACTGCACCTTTGAATTCCTGGGCTCAAGTGATCCTCCTGCTTCAGCCTCCTGAGTAGCTGGCACTATCTGGGCATGTGCCACCATGTGCAAATATATATATATGTATATTTTGTATATTTATATATTTTAAGATGGAGTCTTGCTCTGTCACCCAGGCTGGAGTGCAGTGGCATGATCTCGGCTCACTGTAATCTCCACCTCCTGGGTTCAAGCGATTCTCCTGCCTCAGCCTCCCAAGTAGCTGAGACTACAGGTGCGTGCCAACATGCCTGGTTAATTTTTTGTATTTTTAGTAGAGATGGGGTTTTACCGTGTTAGTCAGGATGGTCTTGATCTCCTGACCTCATGATTTGCCCGCCTCAGCCTCCCAAAGTGTTGGGATTACAGGCGTGAGTCACTGCGTCCGACCGCCCCAAATAATTTTTTAAGAATTATTTTTTGTAGAGACAGAGTCTTACTATGTTGCCTAGGCTGGTCTCAAACTTCTGGCTTCAAGCAATCCTCCTGCCTTGTCCTCTCAAAGTGTTGGGATTACAGGTGTGAGCCATCACATTCAGCCAGTTTTTTTACTTTTTAATAGTAGCCATTCTGACTGTGTAAGATGATATCTCCTTGTGGTTTTAATTTAATTCTCTGATGATTAGTGATGTTGAGCACATTTTCATATGCTTGTGAGCCATTTGTATGTCTTTGAAAAATGTCTATTCATGTCCTTTGCCCACTTTTTAATGTTTTTGTTGTTGTTGTTTTTGTTGTTATCATTGTTTGAGTTTCTTGTAGATTCTGGATATTAGTTCTCTGTCAGATGCATAATTTGCAGATATTTCCTCCCATTCTGTAGGTTGTCTGTTCACGCTGTTGATTATTTCTTTTGTTGTAGAGAAGCTTTTAATTTTAATTAAGTTCCATTTGTCTAATCTTGTTTTTGTTGCTTGTGCTTTTGAGGCCTTAGTTATGAATTCTTGGCTTAGACCAATGTCCAGAAGAGTTTTCCCTAGGTTTTCTTCTAGTGTTTTTATAGTTTCAGGTCTTACATTTAAGTTTTCAATCCATGTTGAGTTGATTTTTGTATAAGGTGAGAGACAGGAGGACCTTCACATTTTAAAGTGAGATGCTAGACATTCTATGCAATATTACAAAGAGAGTATTCCCAAATCTGTTTGGTAACCCTTGGGCCATCCCTATTCTCAAGAGAATACAAGATTGTGCATCGGAGATATAGGAAATGCTACCCTATGCACATTTGAGAAAATGTAAAGGTACAGACCTCCTTTAGCAGAGTAAATAAACCCAGCAGTATCAGTTACAGCGCGGACATTCAGAGTTTGGCAGGACACGGATGTGTGCAGGGATCCCATGGCCCGCATATGGATGGTTAAAAGGGAACCAGATTTGGACTGTCAGAGACACTGCCTGAGAGAGTGCTTGACTGCAGGATGAAGCAACCCCAAGAAATAGCATCAGTTTGGAAAGGACCCCCAGGAAGCAGGCATGGGTGAGAATCGAAAGTGATTAACAAAGGGATGAATCATTTGTGCCAGAGTACAGTGGCTACAGAGTAGTAGGAAGACGTCCAAAGAACCACAAAAACACTGGGAGAGATAAAGAATCAGCAGTCAAACGTCTAACACATTGATTTGCCATCACCAGACTCCAACTGGATCAGTCAAGCAAGATTCTGTTTTACTCTTGTCTCTCTCATTCCTGTTGCTCTGATTTTGGAGAGGAAAGAGGCAGCTTGGGGAGGTGGGGAAGAGGAGTCAGGTGGCGCAATTTTGAAGTGGACCCACTCCTCCCTCATTACAAGCACTCAGAAACTGAAAGTAAGAGAGACAGATTTAAAATTGGAGGATAAATTGAAGTTTGAATATTATAATAGATTGTTTTCTGAAAATGTGACTAGTGGTTAATGCCTAAAAATGACTAGTAAAGCTGTGAGATAGGCTTTCCCAGGGACAAGACAAAATGAGCTGACACAGCACGGAGGAAAGCCACATTATTGGAAAAGAAAAAACACACCCCACATAGCTTATAATTTAAAACAAAAACGTCTTAAAAACTTATACGATCCACATGTTTGTTGAAGTCAGAAAAGTATTCATAGTCTCCCCCAAATAACCTCCCCCAACATTGTTCACAGTTTCCCAACTCCTTGGCACCTTTTCACCCTTTCAGATATGCTAATCAGCACAATAGGCTTAAACATTTTTAGAACTCTAACAGCCAGAAGCAGGCAGGCAGAATTTTACAACTGAAAAAAAGATACCTAATAAGAGAATGGGTTATCTAAGAAGGATAGTGGAAAGATCCAGAAAATAATGTTAAGAAGACTTTTCATAGGTACATTGAGAAAAAGAGTTTTGGGGAGTTCAGGAAGAAGAGAGAAAATATTGGGCTATTAAAATGTGAGATGATTTTAAAGTCCTTTATCCAGAGTTATAAATTGGATGCATTTGATATTCTTAGAGAATCAGTAAAGATTTGAATTGTATCTTCTCCATCACCTTCAGCTATCAGTTAAAGTAGGAAAATACATACAGTTAAAGTAGGAAAATATATAATAGAAACTACCTATAATTTGACAACCAGAAATAAACTATTATGCTTTATTATATTTCTTTCTAGATTTTGTTTTTCAATGCACATTTGATTTTTCAAACAAAATGTAATCACATTTTATGTACAATTTTGTAACCTATCAGATCCTCTGTATTTATTTAGGCTTGTGCTATCACATAAAGATGATCATAAAAGGCCTCAGGAGTGTTTTAAACATCAAACGGACCACCCACAGTACTAAAGAATAAGATGAGAGTCACTGCCCCCTGCCTACTGCTGTGCTTCAACCTTGATTACCAACTTAGGAAGCTTGGTTTCTTTTTAAAATCAGCCATTTGCACTGCTACTTCATTCAGGTTTTCTCTCCTCTTGGTATCCCTCCGGAGTGCTGTAGTCAGAGAGAACCGGAGTGGAATAAGGGATTAAAAGATGATGGGACCTTAAGGAAATGCTCGAAACCATTTAAGTCTACTGAGTATTTTCAATTTGTGTGTCCATGGCATCACCCAACCCTTACTTGTCTTTAGAGAATTCAGCGGTAGGAGATAGAGTTTGACAGGATTGTACCAAATTTTTATTTTTTTTTTAAAAAAGCATTTATTTATCTTTGTAATTTATTTCTTTTAACTGACAAATAAAAATTGTGTCTATTTATTGTGCACAACATGATGTTATAAAATATGTATATATTGTAGAATGGCTCAATTGAGCTAATTAACCATATGCATTACCTCCCATACTTTTGTAGGGAGAATACTTAAAATCTACTCTCTTAGGAGTTTTTAAGAATATAATACATTGTTCTAGAGCAGCCTGGCCAACATAGTGAAACCCAGTCTCTACTAAAAATTCAAAAATTAGCCAGGCATGTTGGCGCTCACCTGTAATCCCAGCTACTTGGGAGGCTGAGGCAAGAGAATCACTTGAATCTGGGAGGCAGAGGTTGCAGTGAGCCAAGACTGTGCCAATGCACTCCAGCCTGAGTGACAGAGCGAGACTCCATCTCAAAAAAAAAAAAAAGAAAAAGAATATAATATATTGGTATTAAGTAAGTCACCATTTTGTATGATAGATCTCTTGAACTTATTCCTTCTATGTAACTGAAGTTTTGTAACCTTTGACCAACATCTCTTCAACAATCCCCACCCTGCCCCCATGGCCCTTGGTAACCATTTTACTCTTTACTTATTAGACTTCAACATTTTTAGATTCCAAATATAAGTATTTTTCTAGAAAGAAAAATACTGAATGTTTTATTTCTGCTTGTTTTATTTCACTTAACATAATGTTATCTGGGTTAATCCATGTTGTCACAAATGACAGAATTTTCTTCTTTTTTTAAGGCCAAGTACTATTTCATTGTGTCTCTTTACCACATTTTCTTTATCCCCTTATCCTTTGATGGACACTTAGGTTGGTTCTGTATCTTGGCTATTGTAAATAATGCAGCAATGAACATGGGAGTGCACATTTCTCTTTGATATACTGATTTCATTTACTTTGGCTATATACCCTGTAGGGGATTGCTGAATCATATGCTTGTTCTATTTTTAATTTTTTGAAGATCCTTCAAACTTCTATTTAAAATAGAAACTTAAAAAGATAAGCAGAGTCACTTAGCCTTCTCCATGGTTCTTTCACTTTTTATACTGCCAAGTCACAAATCTTGACTTGTACAAATGTAATAGTTTTCAAATCATTTAAGAAATGTAAGCTAGAACTATTAATGACAACTATAGTAACACTAAAATAACTTTTCAAAGGATACACATGATGTAAATTCTGACATCAAAAAAATATAAACTGTTTGACGGGAGAGTAAAAATGTAGAGTTGTATGCAAAGTTAAGTTGTAATCACCTTGAAATAAGCTGTTGTGATTATAAGATGTTCTCTGGAAGCCTCATAATAAGCACAAAGCAAAAATCTTTAGTAGAAGCACAAAACAGAAATAGTATTCAAAGAATACCACTATTGAAAACTGCGAAACCACAAAGACAACAAGACAGAAAGAAAGAAAAATGTATCTTCCAGCCTGGGCAACATAGGGTGGCCCTATCTCTACAATAACTTCAAAAAAAATTAGCTGGATGTGGTGGCACGTACCTGTGGTCCCAGCTACTCACAAAGGCTGAGGTGGGAGCATCATTTGAGCCTGGGAGGTCGAGGGTGCAGTGAGCTGTGATCACACTACCGCACTCCAGCCTGGGCAAGAGAGGCCCTATCTCCAAAAAAAAAGTATCTACAATACCACAACAACAACAACAAGAAAAACAACAACAACAACATAACAAAATGGCAGTAGTAAGTCCTTATCTATCAATAATTACCTTGAATGTAAATGAATTAAGTTCTCCAGTAAAAAGATATAGAGTAAGTGAATGAATAAAAAAACAAGAGCCAACTATACGTTACCTGCAGGAAACTCACCTCACTTTTAAGGGCACACAGATTGAAAATTAGGCAATGGAAGAAAGATATTCCACATCAATAGAAACCAAAAGAAAGCAGGGATAACTATACTTATATAAGACAAAATAGACTTAAAGTCAAAAACTGTAAAAAAAAAAAGTAAGGACATTATATGATGATAAAGGAGTCAACTCATCAAGAGGGTATAACAATTGTAAATATATATGCACCCAACTTCAGAGAACCTAAATATATAAAATAAATATTAAGGATATGATGGAAGAGACAGATTGCAATACAATTATAGTAGGGTATTTCAATACGCCACTTTCAACAATGAAAGATAATCCAGAAAATTAGTAAGAAAACATTGGATTTGAAAATCGCTTTAGACCTAATGAATCTAACAGACACACACACACACACACACACACACACACACACACACACACAGAACATTCCATCCAACAGCAACAGAATGCACATTCTTCTCAAGTGCACACAGAACTTTCTCCAGGACAGATAACATTTTAGGGGGAAAAACAAGCTTCAGCAAATTTAAGAAGATTGAAATTATATCAAGTATCTTTTTTTTTTTTTTTGAGTTGGAGTCTTGCTCTGTCACCCAGCCTGTAGTGCAGTGGTCTGATCTCAGCTCACTACAACCTCCACCTCCCAGGCTCAAGTGATTCTCCCACCTCATCCCTTCCGAGCAGCTGGGACTACAGGCGTGCACCACCACATCCAGTTAATTTTTGTATTTTTAGTAGAGACGGGGTTTCACCATGTTGGCCAGGCTGGACTCAAACTCCTAACCTCAAGTGATCTGCCCACCTTGGCCTCCCAAAGTGCTGGGATTACAGGTGTGAGCCACCACAACTGGCCTCAAGTATCTTTTCTGACCACAGTGATATGACACTAGAAATCAATTATGGGAGGAAGCTAGGTGTCATGTTATGCACCTGTAGTCCCAGCTAATTGGAAAGCTGAGGTGGGAGGATTGCTTAAGTCCAGGAGTTCAAGGCTGCAGTAGCTATGACTGTGCGAGTGCACTCCAGCCTGGGTGACAGAAAAAGACCCTGTCTCTAAAAATAAATAAATAAAAATAAATGAATGAATATAGGGGGAATTTTGAAAAATCCACAAATATATGGAAATTAGCATGCTCCTCAACAACCAATAGGTCAATGAAATTAAAAGGGAAATTAAAAATCTTTAGATAACAAGATAAAAATCTTGTTATCTTAAGATAAACAAAAATGGAAACACAACATAGCAAACATATGGGATACAGCAAAAACAGTTCAAAGAGGAACGTTTATAACAATAAATGTCTACATCAAAGAGAAGAAAGATTTAAAATAAATAAGCTAATGTCATACCTCAAGGAAACAGAAAAAGAAGAATAAACTAAGCCAAAGTTAGCATAAGAAAGGAAATAATAAAAATCAGAGCAGAAATAAATGAAATAGAGACTAGAAAAACAATACAAAAGATAGATAAAATAAGTTCTTTTTTGAAAAGATGAACAAATTTGACAAACTAGATTAATTTAAAAAAAAGAAGATTCATAATACCACAAAAATACAAAAGATCATCAGGGACTATCATCAACAATTATACATCAACAAATTGGATAACTAAGAAGAAGTGGTTAAATTCTTCTGTTCATTTAGGTCCTGTAAAGTGTTTCTGTAAAGTGTTGTTCAAGTTGAATGTTTTCTTATTAATTTTCTGTCTGGATGATCTTCCAGCATTGAAAGTGAGGTATGGAAGTTTTCTACTGTTACATTGCAATCCATCAGATCCTGTGGATCTGAAGAAAGAGATGGGTTGCAATACAATATTTACATATTGTATAAATATAAATATCTGTTTTATATGTTTAGGTGCTCCAAAGCATACAACATACAAAGACTGAATCATAAAGAAATGGAAAATCTGAACATACCAATAATGAGTAAAAAGATTGAATCTGTAATAAAAGTTCTCCCATTAAAAAAAAAAAAAAAAAAGCAGAGGACTTGATGGCTTCATGGCTGAATTCTACCAAACATTTATTTTTTATTTTTCCTCACTGTCACCATTTTTATTCAATATAATACTGAAAGTCCTAACGATAGCAATTAGGCAAGACAACAAAATAAATGGCATTCAAATTTAAAGGGAAGAGGTCAAGTTATTCTTGCTTTTAAACAACATGAACTTATATTTAGAAAAAAATGTAGGCTGGGCATGGTGGCTCATGCCCATAATCCCAGCACTTTGGGAGGCCAAGGAGGGTGGATCACCTGAGGTTAGGAGTTTGAGACCAGCCTGCCCAACATGGGGAAACCCCATCTCTACTAAAAATACAAAACTTCACTGGGCGTGGTGGTGCACGCCTATAATCTCAGCTACTCAGGAGGCTGAGGCAGGAGAATTGCTTGAACTTGGGAGGCTGAGGTTGCAGTTAGCCAAAATGATGCCACTGCACTTCAGCCTGGGCGACAGAGCAAGACTCTGTCTCCAAAAAAAAAAAAAAATGAAAGACTACACTAAATAAATCTTAGCAGTGATAAATTAATTCAGTAAATTTGCAGGCTACCAAATTAACATGCAAAAATCAGCAGCATTCCTACATGCTAACAGAGATGGTTCTGAAAAGAAAATCAAGAAATAAATTCCATTTATAAAAGCTATAAAATAAAATACCAAGGAATAAATTTAATCAAAGAAGTTAAAGATTCTACAAAAAATACTATAAAACACTGATGAACGTAATTTAAGAGAACACAAAAAAGGAAAGATATCCCATGCTCATGGATTGGAAAAATTAATACCATTAAAATATCTATACTCCCCAAAGTGATCTACAGATTCAATGTAATCTCTATCAAGATACCAATGAAATTATTCACAGACATAGAAAAAATTCTAAAAATTTATGAAACAGCAAAAGACTCCAAGTAGCTAAAGAAATTCTGAATAATAACAGTGCTGGAGGTATCACACTACCTGCTTTTAAATTATACTACAAAGCTACAACAAAAGTAGATTATTAAAAAAAACAAAAGTAGTTTATACAAAAAAAAAAAGTAGTATGCTAACAAAAATAGCATACTACTGTCCTAAAAACAGACACATAGATGGCTGAACAGGATAGAGAACCAAGAAATAAATTCACGTATTTACAACCAACTCATTTCTGACAAAAGTGGTAAGAACATACATTGGGCTGGGCATGGTGGCTTATGCCTGTAATCCCAGCACTTTGGAAGGCCGAGGTGGGTGGATCACGAGGTTAGGAGTTCGAGACCAGCCTGACCAACATGGTGAAACCCCGTCTCTACTAAAAAAAATACAATAATCAGCCAGGCGTGGTGGTGCGCAACTGTAATCCCAGCTACTCAGGAGACTGAGGCAGGAGAATGGCTTGAACCTGTGAGGTGGAAGTTGCAGTGAGCTAAGAACATGCCATTGCACTCCAGCCTGGGTGACAGAGCAAGACTCTGTCTCAAAAACAAACAAACAAACAAACAAACAAACAAAAACAACAACAAAAAATACATTGGAGGCCATGTGCAGTGGCTCATGCCTGTAATCCCAGCACTTTGGGAGGCTGAGGTGGGTAGATCACAAGGTCAGGAGTTCAAGACCAGCCTGGCCAACATAGTGAAAGCCCATCTCTACTAAAAATACGAAAATTAGCCAGGTATGGTGGCACACACCTGTAGTCCCATCTACTTGGGAGGCTGAGGCAGAAGAAATGCTTGAACCCAGGAGGTGGAGGTTGCAGTGAGCAGAGATTGTGTCACTGCACTCCATCCTGGGCAACAGAGTGAGACTCTGTCTCAAAAAAAAAAAAAAAAAAAAAAAAAAAGAAGAACATACACTCGGGGCTTGGGCGCAGTGGCTCAGAGCTGTAATCCCAGCACTTTGGGAGGCTGAGGTGGGCGGATCATGAAGTTAGGAGTTTGAGACCAGCCTGACCAACATGGTGAAACCCCGTCTCTACTAAAAATACAGAAATTTTGCTGGGTGTGGTGGCACGTGCCTGTAATTTCAACTACTAAGGAGGCTGAGGCAGGAGAATTGCTTGAACCCAGGAGGAGGAGGTTGCAGTGAGCCAAGATCGCACTACTGCACTCCAGCCTGGGTGACAGAGTGAGACTGTCAAAAAAAAAAAAAGAAGAACATACATTGGGGAAAGGACAATCTCTGTAAGAAATGGTTTTGGGAAAACTGGGCATCCATATTTATAAGAATAAAACTAGATTCCTATCTTCTGCCATATACAAAAATAACTCAAAATGAATTAGACTTAAATGTAAAATGTGAAATTATGAAACAACTAGAAGAAAACATAGGGAAACAGCATAGATCAATGGTCTAGGCAACGTTTTTTGGGGTAAGATCTCAAAAACACAGAAAACAAAAGTAAAAATGGGCAAATGGGATTATATCAAGCTAAAAAGCTTCTACAAAGCAAACAATCAAAAGAGTAAAGAGGAACAACCTATGGAATTAGAGAAAATATTTGCAAGCTGTTCATCTGACAAGGGATTAAGAATCAAAATGTAAAGGGAAGTAACTCAGTAGCATATGTTAATAATAATATTAATCTGATTAACAATGGGCAAATGCTCTGAATAGACATTTTTCAAAAGAAGACATACAAATGGCTAACAGGTATATGAAAAAATGCTCAATATCACTAATTGTATTAGGCCATTATTTGTGTTGCTATAAAGAAATACCTGAGACTGGGTAATTTATAAATAAAAGAGGTTTAATTGCCTTGTGGTTCTGCAGGCTGCATAAACATGGCATCAACATCAGCTCAGCTTCTGGTGACGCCTTCAGGGAGATTTTACTCATGGTAGAAGGTGAAGCAAGAGCAGACATGTCACATGGCAATAGTGAGAGCAAGAATGAGTGAGGGGTCCAGGTGTGGTGGCTCCCGCCTGTAATCCTGACACTTTGGGAGGCTGAGGCAGGCAGATCACCTGAGGTCAGGAGTTAAAGACCAGCCTGGCCAACATGGTGAAACCCTGTCTCTACTAAAAATACAAAATTTAGCCAGGCATGGTAGCAGGTGCCTGTAATCATAGCTACTCAGGAGGCTGAGGCAGGAGAATCACTTGAACCCAGGGGGTGGAGGTTGCAGTGAGCCGAGATTGTGCCATTGCACTCCAGCCTGAGCGACAGAGCAAGACTCTGTCTTAAAAAAAAAAAAAAGTATGCGAGAGGGGGAAAATGTCATGCACTTTAAAACAATCAGATCTTAATGAGACTCACTATTGCAAGGATGACACTGAGGGGATGGTGCTAAACAATTTATGAGAAATCCACCCCTTCCAACAGGCCCCCACCTCCAACATGGGGATTACATTTCAACATGAGATTTGAAAGGGACATCTAAACTATACCATTCCACCCCTGGCCCCCTGAATCTCATGGTCTTCTCACACTATAAAAGACAATGATACCTGCCCAATAGTCACCCAAAGTCTTAACTCATTCCAGCATTAACTGAAAAGTCTCAAGTCTCAAGGACAAGGTCCAATCTGGAGATAAGTTTCTTCTACCTATGAGTTTGTAAAATCGAAACAAATTACTTACTTCCAAGATAGAATTGGGGTACAGGCATTGGGTAAACTCTCCTTTCCCAAAGAAGAGAAATCAGCTACTAGAAGGAGGCTACAGGCCCCATGGAAGTCTGAAACACAACATGGCAGTCATTAAATCCTAAAGCTTCAAAATAATCTCCCTTGGCTCCAGGTTCCACATCCAGGACATACTGCTGTGAGGGGTGAGCTCCACTCCACCTCTTGGGCAACTTTACTTCTTTGGCTTTGCAGGGTTCAGCCACCACAGTTGCTCTCATGGGTTGGAGTTGAGTGCCTAAAGCTTTTCCAAGCTCAATATGCAAGCTACTGGTGGATCTGCCATTCTGGGGTCTGGAGGACAGTGATCCCCTTTCCACTAATTCACTAGGCAGTACTCCAGTGGGGACTGTGTGGGGGGGTTCCAACCCTGCATTTCCCCCTTTACAGCCCTTGTAGAGGTTCCCTGTGAGGGCTCCACCCCTACAGCCAGCTTCTGCCTGGGCAACCAGGCTTTCTCATACATCTGAAATCTAGCTGGAAGCTGCCAAGCCTCCTTCACTCTTGCACTATGTGTGCCTATGAGCCTAATACCACATGGAAGCTGCCAAGGCTTACAGTTTGCACCTGCTGAAGCAGCAGCCCAAGCTGTATCTGGGGCTCACTGAGCCAAGGCTGGAGCTGGAGAGTGGCCTGCATGCAGGGATCAGTGTCTTAAGGCTGTGCAGGGCAGCAAGACCCTGGGCCTGGCCCATGAAACCATTCTTTCCTCCCAAACCTCCTGACCTGTGATGGGAGGGGCTGCCTCAAAGATCTCTAAAGTGCCTTCGGGGCCTCTTCTCCATTGTCTTGGCTATTAACACTTGGCTTCCTTTTAGTCATGCAAATCTCTGTAGCAAGTGCTTGCTCCACAGCCCTCCTTGAATTCCTCTCCTGATGATCCTTTTTCTTTCTCTGCTGCGTGGCCAGGCTGCAGATTTTTCAAACTTTTGTACTCTGCTTCCCTTTCATGTATAAATTCCAACTTTAAGTCATTTCTTTGCTCTTAAATCTGAGTGTAGGCTGTTAGAAGCAGCCAGACCACATCTTGAAATTTGCTGCTTAGAAGTTTGTTCTACTAGATACCCTAAGTTATCACTCTTAAGTTCAAACTTCTACAGATCCCTAGGGCATAAACAGAGTGCAGCCAAGTTCTTTGCTAAGACAAAACCAGGTGACTTTTGCTCTAATTCCCAATAAGTTTCTCATTTCCATCTGAGACTTCATCAGCCTGGACTTCACTGTGCCTATCACTATCAGCATTTTGGTCACAATCATTTAACCAGTCTGTAAGAAATTTCAAGTTTTCTTTCATTTTTCTATCTTCTTTGGAGCCCTCCAAACTTTTCAAACCTCTGCTCATTACCCAGTTCCAAAGCTGCTTTCACACTGTTAGGTATCTTTATAGCAATGCCCCAATTCTCAGTACCAATTTTCTGTGTTAGCCTGTTCTTTGTGTTGCTATAGAGAAATATCTGAGGCTGGGTAATTTATAAAGAAAAGAGGTTTAATTGGGTCTTGGTTCTGTAGGCTGTACAAGCATGGCATCAACATTTGCTCAGTTTCTGGTGAAACCTGCAGGGAGATTTTACTCATGGCGGAAGGCAAACTGGGAACAGGCAGGTCACATGGCAACAGTGGGTGCAAGAGATAACCCAAACATTTAAAGTAGAGCTAATACTAATCATTTTCAAACCCTTCCAAAAAATTGAAAAGGAGGGAATACTTTCAAATTCTTTTTACAAGGCCAGTGTTATCCTGATATCAAAGCCAAAGAAGCACATTACAAAAAAAGAAAACTACATGCCAACATTCTTGATGAACATGGTGAACATAGATACAAAAATCTCAACAAAATAGTTGCAAACTGAACAACCCATTAAAAGTATCATCTACCACGATCAAATGGGATTTATTCCTGAAATGCAAGGATGGTTCAACACAAATCAATAAATATGTTGTATGAGATTAACAGAATGAATGACAAAAACTATATGATCATCTTGTTAGATGCAGAAAAACATTTGACAAAGTTCAACAACATTTCAAGATAAAGACTCTCACCAAGTTAGGTACAGAAGAAAAGTAACTTGACACAATAAATGCCACATATGAGAAGCCCACAGCTAACATTACACCCACCAGTGAAAAATTGAAAGCCTTTTATTTAAGCTCTGGATCAAGACAAAAATGCCCACTTTTGCCACTTTTGCCACTTTTATTCAACATAGTATTGGAAATTCTTGCCAGAGCAATTAGGCAAGAAAAAGAAATGAAAGGCATTAAAATAGAAAGGGAAGAAGTGAAAATGCCTGTGTTTGCTGGTGACACAATCTTATATGTAGAAAACCCTACAGACTCCACCAGAAAACTGTTAGAACTAATAAATGAATACTGTAAAATTGTAGAATATAAAATAAACACTAAAAAGTACATTTCCATAAACTAACAATGAACTATGTGAGAAAGACATTAAGAAAACAATCACATTTTCAATAACTACAAAAATATTTAGGAATAAATTTAACCAAGAAAGTTAAAGACCTGTACATTGCAAATTATGAAACATTGATGAGAAATTGAAGAAGACATAAACAAATGGAAAGGTATCCCTTGTTCATGGATTAGAAGAAAATATTGCTAAAAAGTCCATACTACCACAGTGATCTAGAGTTTTAATGCAATCTTTATCAAAATTCTAACATCATTTTTCAAAGAAATAGAAAAAAATCTTAAAGTTCATATGGAATCACAAAAAAACCCAAATGGCTAAGGCAATCATGGGCAAAAAGAACAAAGCTGGAGGTGTTACTCTGCCTGATTTTAAACTATACTACAAAGCTATAGTAATTAAAACATCATGATCCTGGCAAAACAATAGACCCATCAACCAGTGGAACAGAATAGAGAGCCCAGAAATGCACCCCACATATATGGTCGATTGGTTATTTTTGCAAGGTTGCCAAGAATACACAATGGGGAAAGGATAGTCTCTTTAATAAATGGTATTGGGAAAACTGGATATCCACATGCAAAAGAATTAAATAGGACCCTTATCTAGCATTGTATATAAAAATCTACTCAGAATGGGATGAAGCCTTAAGCATAAGACCAGAAACTGAAAAATTAATTGAAAAAAATCTAAGGGAAAAACTGTATTTTTCTAGGTGGGGATTTTTTGGATCTGACTCCAAAAGTGCAGGCAACAAATGCAAACATAGACAAATGGGATTACAACAAACTGAAAAGTTTCTGCATGGCAAAGGAGACAATGATCAGTTTTCAGAGATGTACAGATTGGGAGAAAATATTTATAAGTCATACATTCAAGAAGAAGCTAATATCAAAAATATATATGGAGCTCAAACAACTCAATAGCAAGAAGACAAAAAACCCAATAAAAAATTGGCAAAATACCAGGAAAGGGAGTTGGAAGTAAAGTAAAAATAAAAAATGGGCAAGAGACCTGAGTAAACATTTCTGAAGAGAAGACATGCAAATGGCCAATAGATACGTAAAAAAAGTGCTCAACATTGCTAATCATTAGAGAAATGCAAATTAAAATCACATTGAGTTATCATCTCACACCTGTCAGAATGGCTATTATCAAAAAGACAAAAGGTAACAAGCATTGGTATGGATGTGGAAAAAAGGGAATCCCTGTACACTTGTACACTTGGTAGGAATGTAAATTAGTACAGCTCTTATAGAAAACTGCATGGAGGTTTGTCATAAAACTTAAAAAAATTATCATATGATCTAGCAATCCTACTTTTGGGTATTTACAAAAGTAAATGTTCATTTTAGCACTATTCACAATAGCCAAGTTATAGAATCAACCTAAGTGTCCCTCAACAGATGAATGGATAAAGAAAATGTGGTGTGTGTACACAATGGAATAGTATTTAGCCTTAAAAAGGAGGAAATTCTGTCATTTATGACAACATAGATGGAATTGGAAAACATTATGTTAAGTTAAATAAACCAGGCACAGGAAGACAAATAGCACGTGTTCTCACTTATATGATGTAAAACAATCGAACTTGTAGAAGCAAAGTAGAATGGTGGTTACAGAGACTGGGGTAATAGGGAAATAAAGGTCAAAGGGTACACAATCTCAGTTAGCAGAAATATATTTTGAATTCTATTGTACAGCGTGGTGAATATAGTTAAATTGGGGTATCATACATTTCAAAATTGCCAAAAGTAAATTTCAAATTTCTTTGCCACAAAAAATGTTAAATATTTTAGGTGATAGATATGTTAACTGGCTTGATGAAATTATTTCACATTGTATTGAGAAATAATAACATCACTTTGTACCCCATAAATTTATACAATTATAAATTGTCAATTTATAGTTATAAAAAGAAATGCAAGCTAAAATAATACTTTATTGTTTTTCTTCTCCAGGTGATAAGCTTATTCATTTTGGTGGGATTTATAGGAGAGTTCCAAAGTTTTTCAAGGTGAGGACTTTTTGGGTTGTGTGTAAAAATCATTAAATTTAAAAAATGTTTTAGTAATTCTTTAGTCTAATTTTGACATTGCACTTTGAATCTGTGTATCCCTCCAACATATTTTCTCTTTCCATATTTTTATAAAAGACAATGATAACAAAAGCATGTGTTTTTAATTATTATTCTTTTACTTAAAGAAGAATAATTCTCTTGTAAAATTATTTTTAAAAATTGAAGACTAAAAGTATAAGTTTTTTGTCTCAGTGCCGTGGTTTTATCTGTAATGCAGATAATCACAGTGGACTTATATATCTTAGAGCAATATTTGATCTTTAAATGTAATCCTTGCAAAGCATCCTCTGGATTTTAAAGGTTGAGAGTTTTTTAAGAAAATAGTCTTACCAAGTTCTTGAGGCCTGGAAAAAAGCCAGCATCATTTATCCAAGGCTTTGTTATGCTCTCACTGTGTCAGATTGATGAGACAGAGCCAGGTCAGTTCATTTTATGGAACTATCAGAAAATGTGTCAGGGGCTGTGCTAGGTACTGGGGATACCACAAGGAGCAAGAAGGCACTGGGAGCATGCTGGGTGATTCGTATCTTGAGCCAGTTCATTGCAATATGAATGTGTTAAGGGCTCTGACAGAAGCCTGCTCAGGGTGATGTGAGAGCACAGCAGGAAGGTCAAGCAAACTTCCTCTCCTAAGTCTCCATGTTTGGGGAAGCCCTCTCCATTTCCCCAGGACAGAGGCTAGAAAAATAACAGTAAGTTCAGATTGTTCAAGGGTCAAAAGTATTTAGGTATTTTGATCATTGGTACCATACGAAAACCACAGGTTGGCAAGATTGGCCCTGTAAAAGCAGCCAAGGCACACACTATAGAATGAGAGTCATTACTTTCAGAGTAACCTGACCCTCTTAAGACATGCAAGAATCATCTTGACTCAAGATATTGCCCAGCCGAGGAATGTGCTGGGAATCCAGAAATCAGGAATACTAGTTCTTTTATTCTTCGTAGAGCATCATTTTAGGCAAGCCTTCCTTAGTCTCTTAAAGCTGACTCAGGTAGTCTTTTCCATATGACATGGCCAGAATGTGAGCATTTTATGAGAGTCAACTCTCCATTTTCACATGTACTTTATTTTAGTGGAGCTGTTTAAGCTCAGATTGTCCTCCTTGGTTGTGTGCTTGAAAAATGGCCTAAATGAACAGGGGATGCATTTAAATAAATTCCTGTCCATTCAGCCTCTGCCAATTTTTAGTTTTCCACTTCTCATGGGGACTTTTTATAGTTTCTTGTCTTTCAGTTAAGTGTTTCTGGATAACTTTTCAACTCATCATTCAGAATCCCTTCAAAGGCCATAAAACCTTGCTCCTTTCAAAGGCCATAAAACATATTTACATATGTTTTCACCTACCCTCTTAACTCAAACTCTCCCTTATCTATATTCCCATAACACATTATATTGAATGCATTTCTGTTCTGAAATCCATCAAATGAGATATATTGTACTATGATTATTTGTTTACACATCTGTGTCTCTGTCCTTCCTTCTATCAATAGTCAATGACCTACCTCTTTTTTTTTTTTTTTTTTTGAGATGGAGTCGCCCTCTGTCACCCAGGCTGGAGTGCAGTGGTGCAATCTCAGCTCACTGCAACCTCTGCCTCCCAGGTTCAAGCAATTCTCCTGTCTCAGCCTCCCAAGTAGCCGGGATTATAGGCATGCACCACCACGCCTGGCTAATTTTTGTATTTTTAGTAGAGACGGGGTTTCACCATGATGGCCCTGTTGGTCTCAAACTCCTGATCTCAAGTGATCTGCACTCCTCGGACTCCCAAAGTGCTGAGATTACAGGCATAAGCAACCATACCCGGCCAATGACCTACCTCTTTTATTATTTCTACAATTCTAGTGTCTTTAGAACCTGGTACATAATAGATTTTGTTTTTTTGTGATGGAGACTCCCTCTGTTGCCCAGGCTGGAGTGCAGTGGTGCAATCTCCAGTAACTGCAGCCTCCATCTCCTGGGTTCCAGTGATTCTCCTGCCTCAGCCTCCCGGGTAGCTGATATTACAGGCACGCGCCACCCTGCCTGGCTAATTTTTTTTGTATTTTTAGTAGAGACAGGGTTTCACCATGTAGGCCAGCCTGGTCTCGAACTCCTGACCTCAGGTGATCTGCCCGCCTCAGCCTCCCAAAGTGCTAGGATTACAGGTTTGAGCCACTGTGCCAGCATAATAGATGTTTATTAAGTGTTAGTCTCTAAGAAAGTGGGGCTCCCTCCATTTTTATATATTTTAGGATCCTTTTAGTGTCTCTTCGGAAAAAATATTTGAGGCAACATTTAACTATTTTTGACTGTTTTCACTATTCTTTGTGTTCCCTTGCGTATCTTTCCACCTGCTTTATGATGGACAATTTGACACTGTGGCAGTGCCTCCTCTCCAGTCAACTGCCAGTGGGACTTCTATGCCCCTTGGTCAGAATGCAATGGCTGTACCAAGACTCAGGTAGGACCATGCAAAACTTTGTATTTGATTATTTATTGCAGAAATACTTTGGCATGGCCAAAATGGTATTAACTTTTGAATGTTCATTAAATAGTGTCAATATTTTTTGAAAACTATGTTTGTAATTTTGAGGGGAGAAAAGTATGACTTGTTTAATAATTAATATGGTAATAAAGTAACTTGTAATATTGTAATAAAGTAACTTGTATATTCATTTTTCTAGATCTTATCTTGGAGCTAGAAATGTATATAGGCTAAAAGTTCAAGGCAATTTACTAACTCTTTAACTATGAGAGAAATAGGAATAACATAGAATGACATTTTTAGATAATGTAAAATGTTTTATGTTCACTGAGTTCAACTTTTCTTCTCATCTCAAACAAACACTAGCAAATAGCAAAATGGCTGCTTGATTTTACTTCACAAATAGCGAACAACCATGAAAAAAATTTTGCAAAATGTCTTAAAGTTTAATTGCTAAGTAACACAAATACAATGTTGGACTTAATGTGGATATTATAAAAAGCTTCTAAAAATGTTTGTATTCCTTATTATAAAATGTTCACTGGAGAGAATACAGAAAGTTATGAAGAAATAAGGCATTATTCACAATTCTGCCTTTTTCTTTTTTTGTTTTTGAGTCGGAGTCTCCCTCTGTCGCCAGGCTGGAGTGCAGTGGCACGATCTTGGCTCACTGTAATCTCCGCCTCCCGGGTTCAAGTGATTCTCCTGCCTCAGCCTCCCAAGTAGCTGGGACTACAGGCACGTGCCACTACACCCGGCTAATTTTTTGTATTTTTAGTAGAGATGAGGTTTAACCATCTTGGCCAGGATGGTCTCGATCTCTTGATCTCGTGATCCACCTGCCTCGGCCTTCCAAAGTGCTGGGATTACAGGTGTGAGCCACTGCACCTGGCCAATTCTACCATTTAGAAGAAACAAATTATATAACAGCATTTGGTATTTATTCCCTCAGCTCTGTCTACTTTTTCTCTGTGTGTGCTTATAATTAAAAAAATTGAGATTATTTTATCATAGTTTTGTATTCTATTTTAATCTAACATTATACTATCAGCAAAATAATTTATAACAGCAGTATTATGTTCCATGATATGAATATAGCCTTCTTATTTTTCCACTTTTTTATTGTTTGATATTTAAGTTGTTTCCATTTTTGTTATAAAGAAAACTTTAATAAACATTTTTGAATGTAGATATCTGTCCTCTTTTCCCATAATTTTCTGAGGATAGTCCTAGAAATAAAATGTTTATCTTAAAGTTTCTGAACATTTCAAGAGTTAAATATTCTAGAAATAGTCCAGTTTGGGTAAAATTATATTTAAAAATCACTTTTAATTATTAAAATAACAGAATCATACCATAGAAGATAATTATTATTTTGAAGCATCATCATTAAGATCAGGTATTTATTTAGTACCTACATGAGTAGTATTTTCAAAACAAATTACATGAATAAAGAATTTGGCTTCTAGCAAGTATAATAAATAACAGCTCTGATTACAGGCAACCAGGTACATGAATAACAAGCAAAGGTCAAAGAAACATCAAACACGTTAAATATTTTTATCATTTAAAGAGAAGAAAGAACACTAAATAGAAGCAGAGAGATAGAGGGTGTTTTTTATACAAGCAATTTTTTTCTTTGAGTGAAGGTCATTATGCAATGGATACATCCTAGATTATAAAAACAAAATTTTCATTCAGAAAGAGACAAGTGAAAATGAGAAAGGGGTTGTAGGGTCAGACTTTGACAGGTGAGAAGGAGACTGTGGAGAGTGGCTGCCATCAAGGGCTCCCTGGTAATATGGAGAAGAAAAACACTTTCTTATGCAAACAACACCATCTGGGCTCTGGAACTTCACAAAAGGACACTGTTAAGTCACACATGAGCGGTATCTTCATCACTTACAAAGGGACTAAAAATGGTATCAAGAAACCTTACCGAGTTCCATTCCCCACTCATATTCCTCTGTGGCTCCTTTGCTTAAACATGATGAAAGACACCAGAGCCATGCTCAGGCTGGTGCGTACCTGCTCAGAGTTCAAATTATGGCCACTGTGACCCCTCATGCCAAGGAATTCCCACTTCTAACCCAATTTAGGATGGATGAATAAGTTCGACATTGATATGTACAGCAACTCTTCCCTGTTGATCTTCACTCAAGGTTTAAATCCTCAGGACGCTCAGTTTTGGTTCCGTTTTGTTTGTTAATGGAGAAGAGGTGAGTAGAGGAAGAGGCCTGGAAGATGCTCACTGATTGCCAGGGGTAGATCTTTCTTTTTGTTTGAATGTTAGATACATGTCTTCATAGTGAATGAGGATTAAATAAACTTTAGTATGAATTAGTTGTAAGTTTCTCATTTAGTTTGATAATTTCTTCAGTTTTCCTATATTCTTTTCCCTCAAGAGGTTTGTATTTTACGTATTCCTTTGTAGATGTAGCTTCACCTTTGGATTACTTAGGCTTCTGTTTTGTAAATTTGACTTCCATATTCATGTATTTCTCTCTGAATTGTTTTTGCTTGCCTTTCTTCCTGAAGAAGGCTTACAGTTTAGCTGAAAGGAATCACCATCACTCTTCTGAAGGTTTCCTTAACTCTGCTTCATCTTAACCCCTTTCCCAGTACCTTATCCTCTCTCCAGAAAAAGTCATTTCACTTTCTCTAATGAGCTCTTGGAACACAGATTTGGTAAATATATTAATCATTCTATGCTCTAATGTATTTGCTTATGTGTCTACCCTCTAAGCTTTACTCAGGTTACTTTCTTTTTTCTTTTCTTTTTTTTTTTTTGAGACGGTGTCTCACTTTATTGCCCAGGCTGGAGTGCAGTGGCATGATCTCAGCTCACTGCAATCAGGTTACTTTCTTAAAGATTCACTAACATCATTTTTTTTTTTTTGCATTTAATCCTGAAAGTCAATATATGCCTGGGAGCTCTCTATAAATAATAGCCAACATGTTGCTTAACTCAAGGACAAATAGGTCTGTGAATTCATTGATTTTGAGGTTTTATTTCTGTAGAACACCAGAACAATTTTCCAGACGTTGTTTTTCTAATTGTATTACTTTTTCTCAGATTTTATTACTCAGATAAAGGAAACTAGAGATTTCTTTGAAAACAAACAAATAAACAAACAAACCACTGCCTGCTTTGTGTTTAGACTCGCAGGCGGTCAGTTGCTGTGTATGGGCAGTATGGAGGCCAGCCTTGTGTTGGAAATGCTTTTGAAACACAGTCCTGTGAACCTACAAGAGGATGTCCAACAGAGGAGGGATGTGGAGAGCGTTTCAGGTGCTTTTCAGGTAACTTGTTTTCCATAGGCTCAGCATGCAGATTGTAAATTCAAACGTTATTTGGTGAACTTGCTCGTTATATATTTGTTAAATTTTACTGAATTTATATTGGCCTAAAGTTAATTCCCCCAAATATCATCAGGATTTTTGTTGGTATGTTAATCATCCACTCAGCTATCATTTTTTCAAATGCAAGGGGATGCATCTGGTAATAAACATAGGAATGCTCTTTGTCTCTTTGAATGGAACTCTAGTTACTGACAGACCCAAAAAGTTCTTGACAGTGTATTTTGAGTAAAGATGCAGAGTGAGTCTTGTACATATATTGAGATTAGACGAAAACAATGTTACTGCCTAAATTATTATATCTACAAGAAAAGCAACCCTAATGAACTGATTAAGGAGCAATACAGTTCTCTCCTATGCATGGGGTGATTGAAACACCAGTTTTGGCATAGAATATTATTTGACCAATACTCTATGTTGCATTTATGCAGTCAGATTAATGTAACAACATTTAGTAAACATTTATGATTCTTGTTTCAAATAGTGGTGAGAGTTGTATATACAAGTGAAACACATGCCTCTTCCCTCACAAATATTAAAGTTTTATGGGCAGAATAGTACATAAATAATCCCTGTGTTAGAAGTGCTCCTCAGTGATACCTGTTGAACGCTTATTTTACTTTCAAAATCCAAATTAGATAACCACTCCTTCAGGAAGCCTGCCCTAAATCCCCAACTGATAGAAGTAATTAAGCAATCACTTCCATATTTTCCTTATGCATATTGTACCATCTGTCATTTGGATGATTCGTTGGCCTGAATGTCTCTCTTGGTGAACTGTGAACTCCTTGAAGACATGAATTATATTTCTTACATGTTGACTTCTGGAGTCCCTGGTACATAATAAGTTCTCAACAAATGTTTGCTGCATTGGATTGAGTGGCAGTATAGCAGGGTACATGTCCTATAAGGACAGCTGTGCACCAAACATCCTATGAGGACATAGAGGAAGAACATGCATCAGAGCCTGTGAGGCAGCGATGGTTTTCAAGAGGAGATAATGTTTAATTTGATTCTTGAAGGACAAGTAAGAGATAGGTAGAGAAAACCCATCTAGGCAGAGAGAACTAACCAAGCGCAAGATCATTGGAGATGACAGAAAGCTTGGCCTTTTATTCATGCAGGTAGTCTGGTATGACTAGGGTATAAGAAGCTAGTAGGAGAATGGCTGGGGATGATGCTGGGGAGATAGGCAGGAACTAGATCATCTGGTACTCTCCAGTGCTTCCTTGGTACTCTAGATTTATGGCTATCATAACAATTATGATCTATGTCTTTGTAGTATTTCCTATTAGATTGTAAAGTATATGAAAAGCTGGCAAAGGCCATTTTTATTCATATTCGTATCCTAGCCCCTATTGTGCTACGGAAATGTTGAATTTTAACCTTTTGATAAAATTGTCCGGCTCTTAAAGCTTACAAATTTAAATTACCAAAAAAAGCTCAACTTTGTCATCTTAGAATGACAGAAAAAAAGTGAAAGTTGAAGGGCAGGAAGTCAGTCTATTTTCTCAGTAGTCGGAATTATATAATTTAGACAAGCTGCTTGATGATTATGGGTGAGATCCTGAAATTCTGAATTCAGATCCTATTTTCAATTTTGTGTCTGATTGAGTTAAGAACCATTTCCATGTGCCATAAAATGGAGACAAAATACTCACTAGTCCTTTCCGAGACACTCTGAGGATTTATCTCCCATTTACATTGGCGTATCAGTGCAGTGTTACAGGTAGCAGGAAAACCCTTTTTGGTCCTGGGTAGTGTTTCTCCTCTTCCCTCTTTTACATTTGCACGTGGATTTCTCTGGTGTTCAGGTCAGTGCATCAGCAAATCATTGGTTTGCAATGGGGATTCTGACTGTGATGAAGACAGTGCTGATGAAGACAGATGTGAGGACTCAGAAAGGAGACCTTCCTGTGATATCGATAAACCTCCTCCTAACATAGAACTTACTGGAAATGGGTAAGGTGCTGGGCAGCCTCCTGAGTACATCAGTGAATTGTAGTTTTAAATTTTGTTTTATTTTATAGTTTGGTAAGTCTACGAACAAGTCTTCTAATAGGCAAGATTATTCATTGGCTCAGAGCTCTTTGCCACATCCTGAGACAGTATTTTTGTTCACACATGTATACCTGTAGATACATGTGGTAGATGCAGAGTGACCCCTTGTCCTGGGATGGTCCTAGTTTTAGCGCTGAAATTCTAATTCCAAGAAACCCCTCAGGCCCAGGGAAACCTGGACAGTTGGTCACTTCATGGGGGTTGGAAGGGAGGGAGAGAGAGAGAAAAAATACTAATTCAATAATGTGGGGCTATTCAAGAGAATGAAGAGACAATAGAATGAGAACAGGATGAGAAGAGAGACAGAAGCAAGTGTGTTGTAATATCCAGGCTGAACAGCAATTGTCTAAACTAGCCAAGAACCTGTTTCCAAGTGAAGGTTGGAAAATACTGTGTTTACGTTATCAAAGAGAATTCTGAAGAATTTTTAAGGGTCATATGACTTGTTAAGGTTTCAAGACCTAAAAATAACCTATTTTAGAGTGAAAGAAGTAATTTTTCTGAAATATTTTAAAATTTATTAACAGAGAAATAGGGTAAAATTATTTGAAAGAGTACACCATTCAGTATGCTAAGAGGCAATTAGTTAAAATTTATTATAGAGAGCTCTCTCTCCTCAAGAGTAACCTTAATTGTATTGGTTTTATCTACAGATTCAATTCAAAACCAGCTGTTGCCATAGATACGAAAGAGCCATGTGTTTCCCAAATATGTTCTTAGATGGAAAGAATGTTGGATTTTCTGAGCCATTAGTTTTAGTGATTATACCAAGCAGGGGAAGCTGGATAATGTATGGTGTGTATTAGGATGCTGTGCTCTTCATTTGAACTCTCTCAAAGAAGTGTTTAAGTGTAATGCATTTTAAGAATTTGTAGAGTTCTGTAATAAACTTTTTTCCCCACCAAGTGCTATTTCTGGTTTTTAACGGCTTTTTATTTCCTCCTTCTCCTCCTCCTCCTTTTAACAGTTACAATGAACTCACTGGCCAGTTTAGGAACAGAGTCATCAATACCAAAAGTTTTGGTGGTCAATGTAGAAAGGTGTTTAGTGGGGATGGAAAAGATTTCTACAGGCTGAGTGGAAATGTCCTGTCCTATACATTCCAGGTACTTACGACGTTATTGATTTCCAATCTGGAATTGTCAGAGAGCATTATTTATATGATATTGACTTTTACGTATTTGTTGAGAATTTACTTATGGCCTAATGTGTGGTCAATTTTTATAAATGTTTTATGTTGACTTAAAAAGTATACACAGTGTTTTTGCTTTGGGGTACAGGGCAATGATACTTTTAACATGTGTCATTCAAGCTGACATATCCTTATACCTCATTTGTAACTTCATGTTCTATATAGGCCCAAGACCTTATTGTCTGTGCTGGTGTAGGCATTAAACTGAAGACCCTGTCCATGACTGGTAATGATAGTCTCCTGACACTGCTACAGTGTCAGCTCACTTAAAATGCTTTTATTTTAAAATTGTGAACTATTTCATATATACAAAAGGGTGTGGATAACATATATGTGTAATTTGAAGAAAACTGCCCTTATATGCCCACCATCTGCCTTAAGAAATAGAATATTGCCAGTGACTTAAAGGCTCCTCTATGCCCCTCTCTGATCACATCCCTCTCACTCCTCAGGCAACTACTATTTTATATTTTGTATTAATTATCCTTGTTTTTTCTATAAATGCTTATTCTTTATATGTTTTTGTCCCTAAATATAAATTTGTGATTTAGTTTTGCCTATTTTTTCCATTTGTATAAATAGAATCATATCTATTCTTCTGTTACTTTTTTCACTAAAAGTTATGGATTTGAGATTTACTCATGCTGTTGCAGGTGGCATTTTTATTGCTGTTTCCAATTTTTTCTTATGAAAATGCCTTGAACATTCTTGTGCCTGAGTCCCATACAAATGAACTAGAGCTTCTCCAGGGCATACACCTGGAACTCAAATTGCTACCTCATAGGATATGTATGTACTAAATTTTACTAGGTAAAGTATCCAAAATGGCTGGATCATTTCATACCCCAGCAGTGGGGATGAGTGGCCTCCACTTCACATGCTTGCCAACGTTGGTATTGCTTAACTTTTTAATTTTGCTTATGATCTCAGATCTCCTCTGTCTCCAGGCTTCTGTTTCTCAAAAGCTATTTCTGTCATACACACCTAAACTCACCCGTGAGTAGGTTTTGATCAACACAATACGTACTCATGCAAAACAGTTATGGCTTTAGGAAACTTTACGGAAGATTTAGAAGGAAGATAGAGGAGAGATTTTCTGTTGCAGTAATGCAAACATGTTGAAGCAATAGCGGTTGGCATCTTCTATCTTAAAACACTTCCACAGCCTCAACACAACGAAATTTCTGGTCTCATCGGGTGTTAGCTTCTTTCTTGCTCTCGTCTTTCAAGATCCCCTCTCTCACTCCTTTTCCTCCCTTTGTCCCCAAACTCCAAAAATGTCTAATTCAGCTTTTAATATTGATTACTTCTAAATTTGTAAACCCAAACTACTGAAATGTTCAGACAAAAGGGCCTTTTGCTTACCCAAATTAACCTTCTCCAGAAAGCAGCTTTGATTATAAATAGCAAACATACCGTCTTCCAATTTACCATAGAATAAGTTAGTTGCATTTAAGAGTTGTTGAGTAATATAAATGAGAAGTAAAACAGATCTGAAAAATAATTGTAGCTACCAGTTTTTGAATACCTACTGTGGCATCTACACTATTTTAGGTGATTAGCATAGGTTTAATTCTCACAGCAGCTTTGGAAAGTAAGCAATATTTTACTATTTTATATATGTAGAAACTGAGGCTTAAGAGGACTTCAGCTGACATACTCAAAGTCACCAAATTAAAAAGTAGTAGAGCTTAGATCTGGTCTGTCAGATTTCACAGCCTTTTATTTTTCCATTACATTTTACTCTCCCCATGTGTTTCACTTATTTTTCAATTCTAAATTCAACGTGGTGAATAACATGTATTACAATTTAACCTTTGGCCAGAAAGGAGAATGTAAGACAGGCATATACAGATAATTTTTTTTCTCCCTCTATACCTTAGAGAATATGTTCCTAATTCTTTCATAATTATAATGTGGAGACTTGCATGTATATTTTTGAAAGGGTCAAATTTAGAAAGTTACAGAGCAGAGAAAATAATAAGAAAGAGCGTTTCTGACTTCGTTGGAAGGTAGACAGGCAGGAAGTCTGCATTTCTGAAGAAGAGGGATAATTTATTAACAACGTGATCCTGACATTCATTTTCCTCAGCAGGGCTTGGTCTTTAGATTGACAACTGAAATGCCTTCCCCATCACTGAATGTGAAGGTGTTTGTCAGAGTAGAGGGAAATTATAGCCTGCTATAGAATGAGGAACAGAGATGTTTTGAGGAGCAGTCTGAGGGAAGTGAAGTGGAAGCCACAGGCAGTGAGTCAGCCATGCAAATGCTAAACTCAGGTGTGGACGCGGAGGTGGTGAATGTCCTCCATGGTTCAAATAAATTCATCTCGGGCCCACTGGGTATTCAGCTCTCTTTGAGGTGGAAAGTGACTTTTGGCTTATTGGAACATAAATATTAGTAGTAAATATAAAACAGAATCGGCCAGTCTCTCTTATAATCCCTGTTTCGGTTTTTAGCATCGCGGTTTATCCAGGGCAAACCCAATTTCTTGTCGAGTAAGCTACTTAACTTTGATGCTGTGCACATTCTCTGTCTACTTATACATTTTATACAACAAGGAAGGCATTTATGGCTTGGGAAGGTGCCCCTCTGCCTTGTTCAGCCTGAGAGATAGCAGAGGACTATTGTGTTTATTCTCAGTGTGTGATGAATTGCAGAAGGGAATGAATTATGATCAAGGTGGAAAAACTTCATGGCTTCTTCTGTGTTTGGTCTTGAATATACTTCATTATATATTTTGAAGAGAAATCCTAAATGCATATCAAATTAAAAACAAAAACAAATTCTAAAGGCAATTTTAATGAATGCTGCATTATCTAAGCCTTTGCTTCCTCTGTTGGTATGAGGACTAGATACCTGAGATTTCTAAATCTACCTTGTTAAAGGAATAATTTAAATGATGGTTAAAAATATCTCACATATAAGAACGCTTTGTATACTAAGCACTGTTCCAAGAGCTTTACATGGACCTATTTTCCTTATAATAACCTAAGGAGGTAGGTACTGGCATCTCATTTTACAAATGATAAAACAGAGGCAAAAAAGCTAAATAGCTTATCCACAGCATAGAAGATGACAAAGGTGGGATTTGAACTTTAGAAGTCTGGCTCCAAACCCCCTCAGAGCAGACACTATACTTACAAGCATTTTATATAGTATATATATGTATGTATATGCAGTGAATATCTCTATATCTATATGTATATCGTGTCTCATTCTATATGTGGGTGGGAGTGGGAGAGAGAGAGAAAATGAAAAAACAAGAGTGCAAGAGGAACACTTCTTTTTTTTTTTTTTTGAGAGGGAGTCTCATTCACCCATTTGCCCAGGCTGGAGTGCAGTCGTGTGATCTCGGCTCACTGCAACCTCTGCCTCCTGTGTTCAAGCGATTCTCATGCCTCGGCCTACCGAGTAGCTGGGATTACAGGCGTGTACTACCATGCCTGGCTAATTTTTGTATTTTTAGTAGATACAGGGTTTCGCCATGTCGGTCAGGCTGGTCTCGAACTCCTGTCCTCAAGTGATCCACCCGCCTCGGCCTCCCAAAGTGCTGGGATTACAAGCGTGAGCCACTGACCCTGGCCCGAGGAGCACTTTTGAATAACTGAATGAAGTTCAAACTGGCTGGATTACACAGTGAAGTGTGAAGAGTTGTAAGAAATGAGGTTATGAGTGATCGGGAAAGTAAATAAAAAAGACTTTTTTCTGGTTAGTTAAGGAGATTGGATTAAAAAAAAGAGTCAGAGAGTTTAAGAAGGGTTGCTACTCTTATGAACAGTGGAGAATAGATTGGAGGGTGGCCAACTGGGGGAAAGAACCTTGGTTAGAAAACTGTTGTAATAATCCCTGAGAGACATAAGAGCGGCCTGAGAAAACTTGGTGAGCGGCTGAATGCGGGGTATGATGGAGAGTGAGCAGTCTGGGATATGAATGGGTTTCTGACTTGGACCAATGGCCAGATGAAAATACAACCCTCTGAGATGGGTAAAGACCCATTTGCAGGGAGAAGACAAATCCAGTTTAGGTATCTAAAGTATGTCCAAGTGCTCAGGAGAAAGTGTTTGAGCTGGAAATAGACATTTGGTGATTATTGGTATAAGAATGGTAATTGAAGCCACAGAGTGGAGAACACTGTTCCTCTTGGAATTAGCATAGAGGAGTAATAGAAGGAGATGCGTAAAGGAGTCTTAGAAGGAACAGCCAGAGAGAAAAAAAGAAAACTAGAAAGCCAACAGAAGAGAGTATTTCCAGTAGGAGAGAGTGGTCAACAGTGCCGAATGATGTTGAGAGAAGTGTTCACTGTCTGGTGAAATAAGAAAGGTGCCAGCAGCATTGCTGGAAGTCAGACCATTGTAAGCGGAAGAGTGAATGGGAGGTGAGGAATTTAAGATAATTAATTATAGTCAACTCATTTAAGGTGGTGAGATGGGAAAGTAGGAAAGAAGGAATATATAGTAACAGGTAAAGCATTTCTTATTTTAGTTGGTTGTATTAGAACATGTATGTTTTGATAGAAAGGAGCCAGTAGAGCAAGAAAAATGGAAGCTGTAGGAGAGGGAACAATCAATCCATCTAATCCACCCTTTGAAGAAGTCAGAGAGAATGCAATACAGAGAAGAGAGAGAAAATTTATCCTAAGACAAAGGGAGGGACACCTATAGAGAAAAAGAAGGAAAGAAAAGTTAATAAGTTTGTAGATTTGTTAGCCAGCAGTTTAAGAGGTCTCTGAAGATGGGAGTTTTTGTAAAGAAAGAGGTAAGATCATCTTCTGAGAGTGAAGGAAGTGTCTGTAGAATCGAGGAATTGAATTTTGAAAAATTTTCAAAATTTTGCAGAATTTAAAAATAGGTACTGTAGAGAATGGGAGGAGGGAACTGACTAGAGAAATAAAGTATTGTTGGCTGGTTTTGAGGATTCTACTGAAGTTGAAAAGCACGAATGGATTTGTAGTGGCACCAATCCGTACAGTTGTGCGATTTTCTTTCTTTCTTTTTTTTTTTTTTTGAGACAGAGTCTTGCTATGTCACCAGGCTGGAGTGCAGTGGCGTGATCTCGGCTCCCTGCAACCTCCGCCTCCTGGGTTCAAGCGATTCTCCTGGTTCAGCCTCCCGAGTAGCTGGGATTACAGGCACGCACCACCATGCCCAGCTAATTTTTGTATTTTTAGTAGAGATGGGTTTCACCATGTTGGCCAGGATGGTCTCCATCTCCTGACCTTGTGACCCGCCCACCTTGGCCTCCCAAAGTGCTGGGATTACAGGCATAAGCCGCCACGCCCATGCCTGGCCTAGCAAGCCCTGGCTGGGTTTTTGCCAGGAAAACATGATAGCAGGTCATCTAGGCAAGGAAGTTAAATCCATTGGCAAGAGAATGATTGAAGTCATGAGCCAAGAAGCCTAAGCTGAAACAGGAAGGAAGTGAAAAAACTGAAAGTATTGATAGGGAGAAAGGGGGAGAATAAGTGGAAGAACATGTTTCTATAATGTGAAATAATAGATGTGGCAATAATAAAAATGAGAGTTAAAAGAATAAGAGATGTTAGAATATAGGATGGTTGAATTTGGGATTTCAGAGGAAGAATCAGTCTTGGAGAATCCAGGATCTAAGCTGGAAGAAGGAGGGTATTAATTAAAGAAAATTTAATAAGACCACACCACTTTGAGAAAGATGATTCCTGCAGCTATGTGTAGGTAGATAGGAGTGAGAAGATGCTGAACTAAAGCAGCTGAGAGGTTTATTTGTATTTGAATTGTGGATATAAAGACAGGCGGAAATAGGCTAATTTTTTTTTTTTTTGCATTGAAAGGGATGTGTATAACTTTTCTTTCTCCAAAGAGATAATAAACTAAATATTTTTTAAATCAATAATATATATGTGTGTATGTGTATATGTGTATATACATATATGTGTGTGTGTGTATATATATATACACACAGACATATATATATTCTCCCAGCCCAAGCTGAATTTTTGCATCTGACTTTTAAACAAACCAATTTCATAATGTGATGGAAATAATGCTCTAATAAAAGATTTGTTGAAATCCATCTTCTTATCTTTCTTATCTTTTTAGCATGCATATCTAATACTCAATGGGGGTAGTGATAACAGTCATATTGTATTTTCTGGTATTTTGGTGTATTTCTGTCTTGTATTTTTTGACTGGGCATATACTTGCATGATTGTGGTTAATAGCATCTTCACACTTATACCTGTCTTCTTATTTAATGTGACAACATGAATATTTTGCTTTCACAAGCATCATTTAGTATGACTGTGTAATATTGTCATTTTCTTTCCTTTTAGTTTTCAAAAAAGTATATCATTTCCATCAGTTCAATTTCCTCTGTTCCTTATGCTTGGATCTCAAACGCAGATGTGTATGTATATATAATAAAAACACAAATGCTTGTGAAAGGAGAGCTCCCAATTTGAATATTTATATAGAACAAACACAGTGAGAGGGAGTCTTCTTGCCTGATTTGTTTCATTCCCACAGGGACTGACATTTTTAGCAAATTAGTTGTCTATAACTTTAACAAATCAAGAGAGTTTTACATGAAGAGTCAAATTTATCCCTTGGAAAAAATCAGACAATTTGTCAATACCAGAACCTGTAGTTACATCTAGTGACTGTCTAGTGGATTTGAGTGTTGTGTGTCCCTTTTAGACAGGGTACGTGTTCACTTTTTCATCACCATGCTGTCCACTGGAGGTTTCCAACATTGACATTACTTGCCAGTTCCCTGTGGGCATTTCATTTTGACACTTGATCTAAAGCAAAATAAAGGATAAATGAATGATTGTCTCTTCAATAAAAGCTGAAGCTGTCACTTCTCATTTAGCTACATGTGACTAACCTATTGTCTACTTTAAAATTCTTTTGGGGTGACCCTTTCTTCTATCTAGCAAAGAAAAAAATGCAATTTTAGCATTTATCCAAGTGAAACAGAATTAGAAAATTAAATCCACTATTGGATCACATAGAACATTCCAAAACAAAGTCCAAAAGAGCTAATTGTTTCATATCACCTATTTGCATCTCTGTTCCTCTTTGTTAGATGAAAAATCAAGAACGAAATTCTTTCTAGTTCTCTGTCAGTGTAGCTTTTGTTAATTTGCTCGCTTCTGGGCCAAATGCTGACATTAAAGGAACATGGAAGTTGTTTGTACCTAAATGCATTTTGTGAGTCACTTGGGATTGCCATTGTTGGTACCATGTGTCCTGCTTAATAAAAAAATAATCGTAGAATGAACTCTTTCCTTATAATCATACTGGCCTGGTCTTAATGAGAGTCACAGTTGCTTTGTGCCAATGAAGAGCTTTTCTCTTTGGGAAGATTGCATGAAGAAAGTATGCATGATAAAGGATCCAGCATTAATTTAGTCATAGCAAAATTTTTCATTTTCTTTGTAGGTGAAAATAAATAATGATTTTAATTATGAATTTTACAATAGTACTTGGTCTTATGTAAAACATACGTCGACAGAACACACATCATCTAGTCGGAAGCGCTCCTTTTTTAGATCTTCATCATCTTCTTCACGCAGTTATACTTCACATACCAATGAAATCCATAAAGGAAAGGTTAGTATAAAATGTCAGTTAACTTTTCCATGTTTTACTTTTTTAAGTATTGCTTACATTAATAAACTTGTATTTATCAAAAGGATCAGCTTTCATATTAAAATTAGTAATAGTAATAGTACTTCCTTTAAGAGTCAATGCAATATCTTTCTCTAAAAGGTACAATATTGTCTCATTAAATCTCTTTGATAATATATTTATTTATACTGGCCAGGCACAGTGGTTCACGCCTATAATCCCAGCACTTTGGGAGGCCAAGGTGAGTGGATTGCTTGAGCTTGAGCTCAGGAATTTGGGACCAGCCTGGGCAACATAGCAAGACCCTGTCTCTATAAAAACACAAAAATTAGCTGAGCATGGTGGTGCATGCCTATAGTCCCAGCTACTTAGGAGGCTAAGGTGGAAGGATCACTTGAGCCTTGGAGGGAGAGGATGCAGTGAGCCAATATCATGTCACTGCACTTCAGCCTGGGCAACAGAGTGAGACCCTGTCTCAAAAAAAAATACATATATATATATATATATATATATATATATATATGTATATTTAGTTATAGTTTTAAACTTCTCATTAAAAATATTTGTTTTTATTTGAAGATGTTTACAAAGCCCTTATTACCTTGAAATCTTCTATTTTAAACGATCTTAAATTTCTTAAATTTGTGATTACTGGTGATACTATTTTAAGTGTCATATACAATTTTAAAAAATCTAATTAATGCTTATATATGCTTCTTAAATGCAAATGCTAGAGGCTTTTTAGATGGTGCATGAAGATAAAATACTTTAAAAACACTTTATTACTTTTGAGATACCAACATTTTTATCTAAGGAAGTTAAAAGACATTTTTAAATACTTCATTGTTTTGAAATACTAAAACCTTCCTCTTGAGAAATCTGAACAGTAGAGATGGATTGTACTAATTGATATACAGTTATGGCTGAATAATTTTTTTAGGCTAATTATTATTCACAATCTGCACATTTCATCACATCTTAAAGTTAGTAACTTGATTAATAAATCACTTAGGAAAATATAAGGAATATTGATTTTATTTGTTTTATGACTGAGAAACTGACTATGGAGCTATGAGTTGTAAAAACATTTATTGTCTCCACATTATATTGTTCACAAAGTGGGGATTTGGCAAAAGTAGATCTGTGATCTGTCTTGGACATCATTAAAAGATGCTTAGGAAGTGTTTAAAAGACTTCATTATAAAGTAGCTTCACCTGCAAATACCCTAGCATGGGAGATAAATCATACCTACAAGTCATTGTCAAGATGTGGACCATAGGGACACATTATTTTATATACTTATATTTATCAGTTGATAGATTAATTCTCTTTTTCTAGTTGAAGATGGCATAGCAACTTGGTCTTGGGGTTTTGGAGTTTATATAAGAAATTATCATATAATTTCTTCACCTGTAATCTCAGCACTTTGGGAGGCTGAGGCAAGCAGACCACTTGAGGTCAGGAGTTCAAGACCAGCCTGGCCAACATGATGAAACCCTACCTCTACTAAAAATACAAAAATTATCCAGGCATGGTGGTGCATGCCTGTAATCCCAGCTACTCAAGTGGCTGAGGCAGGACAAAGCTGAATTTTCCTGAATTAATCCTGAACCCTGAATTAATGCTTTGTTGATTTCATATTGAGAGAAGGGTCCTCACTATCTGTCCAGATGTGGGAGGGGATGGTGGCTTAACATAGCATTACTCAGATTTTTTTTTTTTTTTTTTTTGATATTGGGTCTCACTCTGTTACCCAGGCTGGAGTGCAGTGGTGTGATCACGGCTCACTTCAATCACTGCCTCCTGGGTTCAAGCGATTCTTCTACCTCAGCCACTTGAGTAGCTGGGATTACAGGTGTGTACCACCATGGCAGGATAATTTTTGTATTTTTAGTAGAGACAGGGTTTCATCATGTTGGCCAGGCTGGTCTCAAGTGCTCTGCCTGCCTCAGCCTCCCAAAGTGCTGGGATTATAGGAGTGAGCCACCTTGCCTGGCCATTACTCAGATATTATTACTATTTGAGACTCCAAATATTCCTGATTGCGTCCAGTAAGTGGGCCCATAAGAGTGCTCATCATGCGTCAAAAATAAAAATTCTTGTAGTCTTGGTTGATTGGAGATGAGAGCTGATGAAGGTATTGAACAGAGAACTATTTCCATTGCCTTTTTATCTTCCACCTAAAACTCCTTGTACTCTTTCTTCTTTCCACAGAGTTACCAACTGCTGGTTGTTGAGAACACTGTTGAAGTGGCTCAGTTCATTAATAACAATCCAGAATTTTTACAACTTGCTGAGCCATTCTGGAAGGAGCTTTCCCACCTCCCCTCTCTGTATGACTACAGTGCCTACCGAAGATTAATCGACCAGTACGGGACACATTATCTGCAATCTGGGTCGTTAGGAGGAGAATACAGAGTTCTATTTTATGTGGACTCAGAAAAATTAAAACAAAATGGTACAGTATTAAAAAATTCGTTGTCTAAAGGCATTTCTGGGATTTTAATGGGGAAATAACATGTAGTTAATGTAAGCTTTTGAGCTTTAAAATTTGACAAACAGAAATTTAAATTGCAAAGGAATCTAAAATTGCAAGAATGTATTATTGTCTACTTAAAATCTTATATGGTTTAAGAAAAGCCTGTCTACTGTTTTGCATAGTACCTTGAGCTAAATCATTATCATTATTGGCTATCTCTAGAGGGTATTGGCTGGGTTTTTAGAATGCTTTTTAAACTTTCCACTTTCTCAAACTAAACAGCATTTCTCAAGAAAAACTAAATGAGGAATTTAGCAATATTTCAGAAATCAAGATGTTTAAATAAGTATTTCATTTACCTTTGTTTTTTACCCTCTCATTCTTTTAAAAAAATCCTCTCTGAATATCATAAGTTTGTTTACTACTTAATACTTGTAACAATAGCTTAAATTGATGGGATACCTTCCTCATGACAAGTGAGTTACATGTATTAGTAATAATCCTTACTACTACCCAATGAGATGGGCATTATAATCTCTGCCCCACAGTGAGAAATAGAGACTCAGTGCTATTATGAGACTTATCCAAGGTCATGAAGATTGCAAGGAGGGTATTTAAGGCTGGGTCTAACTGGCCTCAAAGTCAGTTTAGCTTATTCCTTATGCTATGTCACTGCTAAAATTGCCTGATTTTGGTTAGAATCAGGACATACCCCTGAATTAATGCTTTGTTGATTTCATATTGAGAGAAGAGTCCTCACTATCTGTCTAGATATGGGCAGGGATGGTGGTGGCTTAACAACCACTCCTCCTCTTCAGAGACTAGCCTTGGCTTACTAATGTTCCAAGTCAAACCTTTTTTTTCCTAACTTTGTCTTTTAGCTGATGCCCACATTTCCCTCTCTATTCCAAATCCCCTCTTCAAGGTCTTTCTCTTCAGAAAAGATTCTGTTACAACCTTGGAGAAGAATAAGATCTCTTACATAAGATTCAGAGGAAGTCTTTTAGCTTTTTAAATGGGTAAACTATAATATTTTTTCATTTCCACTGAGCTATTTTTTTTTGAAGTTCTCTACTACATAAAATTTAACTAGAACTTGATCTTTTCAAATCTTATAGGTTAGAAATGAGTGCACAAGTACAGGTTTTTGTAGCAACGACAAGGACACTATTTCTTTGGAGAATTAATCCAGCAAGTAGTTTGGTCTAAATTCAGTTTTACTTCTTTTTATTGCACTTAAAAGAAATGGAGAGGATTAAAAAAACATTCCAAGCTGGTAAAATTAAATTTTTCAGTAAAAATTTTACTCTTGAGCAGTTTATGTTTTTCCTAAAATTTTTATTTAAATATAATCATAACCTCTGGGATATAGTGTATGCCCCAAATAATTGTTCTTTAAGAAACATTAAGGTTATTGTAATATAGTTAGTAAATGAGAAAATATATTTGCACATTTTAGTATTTTTCTATCCTACTTTCAAAAAATGCATTGGCAAAAAAAAAAAAACACAAAAAACTCCCCTTGATAATGAGTAGAAATGATCACATTCTAAGGGTATAAGTCATGGGAAGGAGATGTTGGAAGTCACAGATGTTAAAGATGGAGAGATTGAACCAGTAGAACTTGAATTTTAGGAGTTAATTCCTGTGGAAACAGAAGCCAGCTTTGGGAGCCTTAAGTAGATTTGCTGGAAGAAGCTGTCATGCTCCTACTTTTATTGATTTATCTTATGCCTAAGAAGCTGACTGTAAATGGGTGAAAGATATCACTCTTTGGGGTGTTCAATTTCTACTCCCTGCACCTTTTTATGTAGAAATCTCTTCTGCCTCCCCTCTGAAGCTGATAGAAGGAAAATAACAAAAGTCAATTTTTTCTGATCTTTGACTCTTCTAGAGCACTTGAAAATGTTCATATCATGTCACTCTTGATTAGATGGCCATAGTAGCAGCAAACAACCTCTTATCCCTACTCTCATATCTGAAGATCTTCAAGGAATGCAGAAATTAAACATGTCTCTTTTACATTTTCTCCCCTAGATTTTAATTCAGTCGAAGAAAAGAAATGTAAATCCTCAGGTTGGCATTTTGTCGTTAAATTTTCAAGTCATGGATGCAAGGAACTGGAAAACGCTTTAAAAGCTGCTTCAGGTAAATGGAAAAAGAGCAGTTTGCATTGCAAGCTTAACTTCTTTTTTTTTTACTTTTAAGTTCAAGGGTACGCGTGAAGTTATGTAGGTAAACTTGTGTCATGGGGCTTTGTTGTACAGATTATTTTGTCACCCAAGTATTAAGCCTAGTACCCACTAGTTATTTTTTCCTGATCTTCTCCCTCCTCCCACTCTCCACTCTCCAAAATGCCCCAGTGTGTGTTGCTCCTCTGTCTATTTCCATATATTCTCATCATTTAGCTCCTGCATATATGTGAAAATACTCAATGTTTAGTTTTCTTTTCTTGCTTTAGTTTGCTAAGAATAATGGCTTCCAGCTCCATCCATGTCCCTGCAAAGGACATGATCTTATTCTTTTTTTATGGCTCCATAGTATTCTATGGTGTATATGCACCACACTTTATCCAGTTTATCATTGATGGGCATTTAGGTTGATTCCGTGTCTTCGCTATTGTGAATAATTACAAGCCTAACCTCTACTCCAGTCTTCTATTGTTAATTCTTGATCTCCAAAGGCTTTTGAGGCTTTATCAGGGGTTCTGCTTTGTGTTTTAAAAAATCTATTTGGTAATTTTTGTCTCTGCTCTCTCTTTCATGTGTCAAGGTAGTGAGACATCACACAGGATAGGGAGTTCACCAGGTTATCTCCTCTGTATTATAAATATGTTATCAGTGTGCAGCACTTTTCTCCTTTATGATGATTGGCAAACAAGCCTAGACAAGTGACAATATCAAGAGACAGTTCAGTTTCACTTGCTGACATGGCTACTCCGTGGAGGTCAGGTTTTTGGTGCATGCTGGTTGGCAGTGGAGATGGGGGGAAGGTGGTATGCTAGTCTTTGGGTGATTGAAGGAGGACTGAAAGGGTAAACTGATCTAGACTGTGAGGGTACCATGTTAAGGAGTTTGGATTTCATTCTGATGGCTATTGGGTTCCATTAAAAGATTTAATACATGGAGTGATGAAATAAAAGTTTACCTAAGTAAAGTTGTAGAGAATAAAGAAGAATGGAGAAGGAAACATTTGGCAGGATTAAAAAACAAGAGATGGAAAGTAAAGGAGGAGTGAGGTCAACAGAGTGAAGATAAGGACCAAAAAATGTTCACTGGATTTGGTGATTAAGACTTAGTTGCTGCTTTTGAGAAGTGTCCGTTCATGTCTTTTGTCCATTTTTAATGGGGTTATTTATTTTTTACTTGTTAAGTTAAGTTCCTTATATATTCTGAATATTAGAGTTTTATCAGATGCATAGTTTGCAAATATTTTTTCCCATTTTGTGGGTTGTCTGTTACACATTGATAGTTTCCTTTGCTGTGCAGATGCAGGAACAGGAAACCAAATACTGCACATTCTTACTTTTAAGTGGGAGTTAAACACTGGGTACTTATGGACATAAAAATGGCAAAAATAGTCACTGGGGACTGCTAGAGAGGGGAGGAAGGGAGGAATCAAGGGTTGAAAAACTAACTATTGGGTACTTACTCTCACTACCTGGGTGTTGGGATCAATCACACTCCAAAGCTCAGTATCACATAATCCACCCAGGTAACAAACCTGAACATGTACCCCATGAATCGAGAATAAACGTTGAAGAGAAAGTTGCTTTTAAAGGAAGAGATTCCATAGTATGGTAGGGGTGTAAGTGAGACTGCAATGCATTGTGTGAGGCCATAGACTGAGCAGTATCAGAGTTTAAATCCTCTTGGGGTAATGGCAAAAGTGGACACTGACCCATGTGTCATGGTTCTCAGTGAAGAAGCAGGGATTCTTGGGATATTGGTAGATGAGTGCAAGAAGGAGGAAGATAAGTAGTAAAACCAGGTTTATGTACTCATTCACTTGCTTCATTCATCAACTATTTATGGAGTCTGTGGTATGTGCCAGGAATCGTTTTAGACACTCAAGATATAGCCGTGAATATGCCAGAGAAAGTGCTTGTCTTCGTGAAGTTGACATGTCAGAGGAGGAAAAGTTTTTGAATGAAGTGGAAAAAGAATGATCTGAACATAGAAATGGAAGTGAGAGCTTTGAGAAGATGTTGACATCAGTCTTCAGTTGGGCTGGCAGTTGGAAGCTGCTTACCAATTTTATTTTATTTCACATTTAACAAACACAGGGCACCTACTGTGTGCCAGCACAATTTTAAGTGATGTACAAAAATAAACCAGTGTAGTCCTCCTACCTATGTGTTAAGTATTATTCATATTCTCATTTTACAGACAGGGACACTGAGGCCCAGAAATGTTGCCCAAGATTATCGTTAATAAGAATTAGATATGAAATGCAAATGCATAAAATTTGGCTTAACAGTCTGGGGTCTTGACTTGCATTGGGCTGCCTTTTCTAGGGGAAAAGAGTTAGCTGGAACAGAGAGCTCACTGGGGTATGGAAAGGGAGGCTAAAGCCTTAAAAAAACATCATGATGGTAGAATCTGTAATTCTTTTTATTTATTTATTTATTTATTTATTTTTATTATACTTTAAGTTCTAGGGTACATGTGCACAACGTGCAGGTTTGTTACATATGTATACATGTGCCATGTTGGTGTGCTACACCCATTAACTCGTCATTTACATTAGGTATATCTCCTAATGCTATCCCTCCCCCCTCTCCCCACCCCACTACAGGCCCCGGTGTGTGATGTTCCCCTTCCTGTGTCCAAGTGTTCTCATTGTTCAGTTCCCACCTGTGAGTGAGAACATGCGGTGTTTGGTTTTTTGTCCTTGCGAACTGGATTAAGAAAATGTGGCACATATACACCATGAAATACTATGCAGCCATAAAAAATGATGAGCTCATGTCCTTTGTAGGGACATGGATGAAGCTGGAAACCATCATTCTTAGCAAAGAATCTGCAGTTCTTACATAGGTGTGCTGGCTAAGGCAGTGATTCTCAAACTTTAATATGCATGACGCTTACCTGGGGGATTCTCTTAAAATGCTGATTCCAAAGGTTACTCATTCTCTCAGATATTCTCCTGTAGGTCTTGGTGGGGACTAAGAAATCTGCAGTTCCCTCAGATGATTGTGATTCAGTAATACAGGGATGGGACGTGATTCACTGCATTAAAAAGTGTTACTGTATATATTGAAAACACAGCTAACAATGAAGACGAGGAAGCATCAGGTGATTTGTTAAAACTATTAAGATTTACAGTCACAGAAAGTCAAATATTGCATGTTCTCATATGTGAGGGTTAAAAAAATTGATCTCATGGAGATAGAATAGAATGATAATTATCAGAAGCTGGGGAGGAGGAGGGGTCAATGAAGAGAGATTGCTTAATGGGTATAAACCTGTAGTTAGGTAAAAGGAATAAATTCGACTAGGCGTGGTGGCTCAGGCCTGTAATCCCAGCACTTTGGCAGGCTGAGGTGGGTGGATCATGAGGTTAAGAGATCGAGACCATTCTGGCCAACAAGGTGAAACCCTGTCTCTACTATAAATACAAAAATTAGCTGGGTGTGGTGGCGCACGCCTGTAGTCCCAGCTACTTGGGAGGCTGAGGCAGGAGAATTGCTTGAACCTGAGAGGCAGAGGTTGCAGTGAGCTGAGATAGTGCCACTGCACTGCAGCCTAGCAACAGAGCAAGACTCTGTCTCAAAAAAAAAAAAAAAAAAGGAATAAATTCTAGTGTTTGATAGCACAGTCAGGTGGCTATAGTTAACAATAATTTATTGTATATTTTAAAATAGCTAGAAGACAAGATTTGAAATGTTCCCAACACAAACAAATGGTAAGGTGATGGATATCCTAAATATCCTGATTTGATCATTACACATTCTATGCATGTATCAAAATATCACATGCACCCCATAAACATGTACCATTATTGTGTATAAATAAAAAATAAAAAAACAAAAAAAGAACCTGTCAGGCTTTAATGATTTCTGAATATGAGTACAATATGCTTATTTTATGAAATTGCAAAATTTGGACAGTTACAAGGAAATGAAAACCACTCAAAATCCGATCTGCAAGGTTGGAAATTTCTTGTCATGACCATTACAAATGGAGATAAAGTATTTCTAAAATTATGAGGCACATAAATGGAAAAGAAGCTTCCATTAGCATTTCACACTTTTCAGAACACTTTTCATGCGTTAAGTAATAGATTCCTGTTAATTAACAGCTTATTTTATTCATTGTTAGTATACCAGATGCAATAAACTGTTTTCCTTCCAATATTTTATTATGAAAATTTTAAAACATATAGACAAGAATGTTGTAATAAATACCCATATACCCATTTCCTATATACAATTAGTATTTTGTAATTTCACTACATATATGTACATATAATATTGATAATATTGACTGATTCTTTGAAATATATATTATGTATTTAAAGTGTTTATAATATTTGCTGAACTATTTGGAAGTAAGTTTCAGATATCATAATACTTCATCACTAAATATATGCATGTAACATCTAAGAAGAACATTCTCTTGCATAATGTGATACTCACACTAAAAATATAAAGAACATGAACAATAATTCCCTAATATCATCTGCTCTCAGGCAAGAGTTGTTTTTCTTTTTTAAAAAATATACCTTAGTTTTGGCTAGGTGCAGTGGTTCACACCTGTAATCCCAACACTTTGGGAGGCTGAGGCAGGCAGATGACTTGAGGCCAGGAGTTCGAGACCAGTCTGGCCAACATGGTGAAACCCCATCTCTACTAAAAATACAAAAATTAGCCAGGTGTGGTGGCGTACACCTGTAGTCCCAGCTACTCAGGAGGCTGAGGCATGAGAATTGCTTGAACCTGGGGGGCAGAGTTTGCATTGAGTATGCCACTGCACTCCAGCCTGGGCTACAGAGTGAGAATACTGTCTCAAAAAAAAAAAAAAAAAAAAAAAAAAAAGAAAACCACCAAAAATAAAATAAATATAGCTTAGTTTTTAGAACAGTTTTAGGTTCACAGCACAATTGAGTGCAAAATACAGAGAGTTCCTGTATATCCCCTGCTCCCACACAGGCAAAGCCTTCCCCACTATCAACATCTCCTAACAGAGTGGAACATTTGTTACAATGGATGAACCTACATTGACACATTGTCATCCAAAGTCCATAATTTACATTAGGGTTCACTCTTGATATTGAACATTTAATGACTTTTGACAAATGTATAACGACATGTGCCCACCATTGTAGTATTATACAGAACAGTGTCACTGCCCTAAATATCCTTTGTGCTCTGCCTATTCATCCCTCCCTTCTTTCTGACCACAATTTATCTTTTGACTGTTTCCATAGTTTGGCTTTTTCCAGGATGTCATACAATTTGATAGTTTTTTTAAATACTTGATAGACTTTTCACTTTTCATTTGCTTTCTTCTGTATAGGAACCCAGAACAATGTATTGCGAGGAGAACCGTTCATCAGAGGGGGAGGTGCAGGCTTCATATCTGGCCTTAGTTACCTAGAGCTGGACAATCCTGCTGGAAACAAAAGGCGATATTCTGCCTGGGCAGAATCTGTGACTAATCTTCCTCAAGTCATAAAACAAAAGGTATGTCAGGCTTTGTTTAAAGCAATAGGAAGCAGTCATGTTTATTTGCATGAGGAAAACGAAGGTGGTTAAATCAAGATGGTTAAACAGACATGGCTGTAATTAGCATTTTCCGTATCCCAATTATATTTTGTAGAGTAAAATGAATGCACACATAATAATAAGAAACAGAAGGTGTGTTATACTCATATTTTAGTTGCAAATGTTAAATGTCTTGCAATTTCCAAGATAAATTAATGACAAAATTTGCATTTTTAACTTTTGATCTAAGTTCGATTATGTCTTCCTTGGTCCCTAATTCAGAGGAGTTATAAATTCTAGCAAGGGGAAGGCATGAAGTTTTGCCTTCTGTTATGTTCCTATCACCTTTCTTTGTGTGGCCATGGCTTGTGGGCTCCTGAAGTCATACAAAGTAGGATAGTAACAAGTTGGCTGGCAGAATTTTAACATGTTTTATTGTTATCATCAATTCTTTTATAATGCAACAAATGTGTTTCTAAAAATCATTGAGCTATGCAAAATTGCACAATAAAGGGCTTAAGGAAAAAAAATCAGGTTAGAGACACAGCACTCAAATTTTCATCTGTCACACTCATATGAAAAAGACAGGTGCCAATAAAAATACTTGCATGGTTTTATACATGTTAAATTATTAAAAATGTATCTATACTACAATAAGTGTGGTGCATTACCTAGAAAAAGACCTGAAGCTTTCTGGGTTTTGGAAGGTTTACGGCTTGTGAGTTACTGTGAAGTGCTAGAAGGACGCCAGTCAGAAACCCGACAGACATTTGTAACAGCAGACATGAACAGTATAGTTTATAATGCAGGAAATGAACTGACATAGATGTTGAGGGGTGTGTGAGTGTGTGTGTGTGTCAACGCACATGCGTATGCATGAGTTTTGTATATTCCTATGTGGCTTGTTTCCACTGTGTGAAGCATTTTGTGTTCACCCTGTGTTTCATGTGGACATAGTTGTACATAAGAAAATCTCAAATCTGTGCTATACTCAAAATTTTCAGTATATCAATCTCAATGGAACAAATTCCCCTTATCAAAACAAACATTATAGCAGAACCGATTCTATGATTTATTCCCTGCATGAAAGTCAATGTTCCAGGCAAAGCCTGATTTTCAGAGATACATTTCATAAACTCAAAAATTGCAATAGGTCCTCAAGTCCCCTCCTAACACCCATAAATTGCCCATTGGCTTCCAAATATGGGTGAGGGAGGGAGGGTGAAATTTTCCTAGAAAGTCTTATCTTAAAGGACCATCTGTTAATATTCAAAATGGCCTGTATTCATTGTCAGCATCCCATACAAATCTTTAGAAACTCTTGATTACATTAAATTATTGATTAGAGAAAGACACATGTTCTTTAACAGTCTCCATGTACTTTTCCACATAGGACTATAAATTATCATATTTGTGCTACCTTTTTAGCAGGGCAAAAAAGGAACAGAGAAAGAAAAGGCACTATGCAGGTACAGGTACATGACTATGCAAAGCCATCGTGTTCGCAACAGCTTGGGCTCTCAGGAACCAATGGTGCATATCTCTTCCCAGTTCAGGCATCATGGTGGCAGCCTGAAATTGGCTATGGTGAGAGCAGTTACACTGCAGAAACTGGCAAATGCTACAAAGCAGAGACATTTCTGTTCCTGGGAGAGCAGACTGTTAAAACTGAGTCAGCACATCTGTGATTTCAAGGTTGCTTTTCTTCTGAAATAGCCAACGCAGAGTAATAATGTTTACCTGTTTTAAATTTCTCCATGAGGAAAGAATCCATGATTTCCACTAAGAGATATGTTAAATCTCTCAGTCAGGAAATTTAATTCTAAATTTAATTTCACTTGCTTCTTTGCTGTAACTAGAAAATGAATGTCCTATTTTATTTTATTTTATTTTATTTTGAGATGGAGTTTCACTCTTGTTGCCCAGGCTGGAGTGCAATGGCATCATCTTGGCTCAGCGCAACCTCCACCTCCCAGGTTCAAGTGATTCTCCTGCCTCAACATCCTAAGTAGCTGGGATTACAGACATGCGCCACCACACCCTGCTAATTTTGTATTTTTAGTAGAGACGGGGTTTCTCCATGTTGGTCAGGCTGGTCTTGAACTCCTGACCTCAGGTGATCCCCCCTGCCGCAGCCTCTCAAAGTGCTGGCGTTACAGGCGTGAGTCATCGCGCCTGGGCTGGTTTTTTTTTGTTTTTTTTTTTTTTAAATCTTACGCATGCACAGAAGATATATAAAAAATTCCTCCCCCATGTGACCCTAATTTTCCCTAAGTTTGTCTTGATTTTGTTGCAAAGAGAGTGCACTGTTTTCCTTTGTATTTGCATAAGAAACAATTGTAACAAACTTGCCCGTGGCTTTTGATTTTGTTTTAATGAGAGTCGTGCCTAAACATGAAAAGCAAAATATTCTTGCCTAAATCCCTGATTACTGACTATAATGTCTTTATCTCTATAGCTGACACCTTTATATGAGCTGGTAAAGGAAGTACCTTGTGCCTCTGTGAAAAAACTATACCTGAAATGGGCTCTTGAAGAGTATCTGGATGAATTTGACCCCTGTCATTGCCGGCCTTGTCAAAATGGTGGTTTGGCTACTGTTGAGGGGACCCATTGTCTGTGCCATTGCAAACCGTACACATTTGGTGCGGCGTGTGAGCAAGGAGTCCTCGTAGGGAATCAAGCAGGTCAGTGGGGTGAATTTTCTCTAGCCACCCTGTACACATTGAAAGGGAATTACCCTGTTTCTCTGCTCCTTGAGATGCTTCTTTGTGTATGAAGAGATGAAGTCTCAAATGAATTTAGAATCCTCCTTCCCTTTCCTACTTCCAGATTATAGCTACTGTGGTTAAGGCTCTTTGCTGTTATCTCTATTTATCCATCTGAAGTAACAGCCCCACTGTGCCCTCCACTTCCCATTCTCTATTAGAATAGAGTTATGATTAAAACACCTTCATCCTCTGTAATTACCTCAATAAGGTTTTGCTGTAGCAAAGGTCTGTGGAGCTTGTATATTTGCATTGCCTAATCTTTCTGATGGCATGCTCTTTGAAACATTTCTATTTCTATTCTGTGTGATGTACTATCAATCACTCACAAATATTTGTTGAACATCTGCTGTGTGCTCTACGGTGTATATGGTGCTTCAAGCACTTAGTACAGGGCTATGTGAAATTGACTTTATGAGTAGTCAAAGTATGACTACAATCTATATACTTTTGTTTCTATATTTATGTACATGTCTGTCTCTTCTAGAACGCTCATTACTTAAGGTCAGGGCTGTTTGATTCCTTTCTTTATTCCCAGAGCTTGACAAAAGGCTTGATTCATAGAAGTCACTAAATGAACGATAAATGAATAAATATAAGACTAAACTATAGAGGCTTATATACAAGCATTACAAAGGCATCCTTATCCCTAAATGTCTCTCCAAGTGGCCTGTTCTGGTAATTAAAATTCTACGACTGTGATTCATTCCTTTGTGGCTTGGATTTCCCCTTATCTGTTAAAATGGAAGCACACTCTCCTGCTGTCTAATTAAATAGAATGGTAACATTTCCTGCCCACCTCCATTCACTGTTGTGAGAAGTAAATAAATGATACAACGTACGTAAAAGTGCTTTGAAACAGTTGTAAAATAATCAACAAATTAAGGATATTATTGCAAGAGGTTCACTAATGCAACCTTAATATGGACATTCCTAGTCTGTATGTAGAGCCATTCTGAACATTGTAGAAAACCTCAATGAAGAGTGAAGGTAATCAATATCCAGAATGATCTCTTCCTCCAATTAACTTGTTAGCAGGAAGCATAGCACTAAGTTCCCAAGCCCTCTTTAAGAACTTATTGATCAACCTCTTTCTCATCTTGTAGGAGGGGTTGATGGAGGTTGGAGTTGCTGGTCCTCTTGGAGCCCCTGTGTCCAAGGGAAGAAAACAAGAAGCCGTGAATGCAATAACCCACCTCCCAGTGGGGGTGGGAGATCCTGCGTTGGAGAAACGACAGAAAGCACACAATGCGAAGATGAGGAGCTGGAGCACTTGAGGTAATGGAGACCCGACCCCCTGGCAGTTGCATAGAACACAGTACCCTCTGCAGTTAGCATGGAACACATGATTGCTGCTGTCGAGAGATTTAGAAGTTAAATGGCTATTTTTACCAGGGACTGCTTTGTCCCTTAGCACTAGGGTGAGTTGAAGGAGCTTGCTCTGTGTGCTTCAGGTTTTCCTGAAACAAGTGTTACAAAAGGCTGGGTAACTGGGAGTAGTCCTGCTGAGTGGATACGATCATTCTCATTCGTTTTGGCCACCTACTTGCTGTGTGACCTTGGGCAAGTTACTGGCCACATCTCTAAAATTAGCATGATAATAGCAGGTAAACTGATACTAAGATTATCTGTTTATTGTTACTGTCAGAATTAAATGAGATTAAGCACCCAAAGTGATTACTAAGCATTCATTAAAGTTTGTATTACTTTTCAGATACACCATTCTTACTCATTTATTTTTTGGATTAAGCATAGAGCCAGTTGCTTGAGATGGAGAATATCTTGGTGGGTAAACCCAGTAGCCTGGCACTAAACTTCCCATTTGTCAGGACCCTGCAAAAGCCATCTCAAAAATGCTCAGTTGATGAATCATAGCCCTGGGTCAGAATTCTTTATGCCACACCCTACTGTTTTACATTGTCCTTAGTAATTTTTGCTGACTGGACTTGGCAAAATATTCTAGTAAGATAATTTGAAGGTCATGTGAGTTGAAGAAAGAGATGAGGTGCTTGGGTATCTGGTAGAAGCGTAGGGTGAATAAAGAAAAAAGAATAAGTTGGGAAGCCTTATTCCTAAATCTTTGGTGCCTTGTAATCTGGCATTAATCAGTATCTCTTGACTGAGGAAGCTGGCAAGCATGTGAACTATGGTGGGAAGAGGATGCTGGCTGCTGTGCACATGTTTCTGGGAGGATGAGGGTCTGGGAGGAGATCTCTGAGAGGATGCATTTTTCCTGCTTTTTGACATAAAGCTAGGAGGAGAGGTACATCCTAAGAAAGTCATTGAAGAGATTTTTCACTCTTGGTGCTCAGGGGAGGGGAAGTATCATCTTTCTCAGTACAAATAGGAAAATTAAACTTGCCACAGTTTCCTCAAAGTATGGCAAGATTATAAGGAACTCAGATGAGAAGGAGGCCACACTCCCAGGCTATTTGTACTGCTTTCTCTCAGATTTTGTGTCTCTAGAGTGGAGATAATATTAGTGTTATTTTGACCTTAGAGGCAGTCTTGAAAACCATTGTTTAATGACAGATGTCATCATTATCATTATCTTTATTACAGGCTCCCCCAAGAGATAGTCATAGTGATGGTAAAGTGTCAGGATTGGCACTTGTGGGATGATATTAGGACTTCTGTTCTCCCATCTTCCTTTTAGGCTTAAGATTCTTACTCCAAGCCTTACTTAAACTTGCTTTCACCAAATAATGTGCTTTCAGTTATACACGTTCAGAAAAAAATGTAGACACTAAGACTTCGTATTTCTCTATTGCCTTGTGAGAGGTAGAAGGTGCACAATTGTAGGAGCCTAATTGACTATACGTAAATCCAGCTTTGGTATTTATTAGTTCATAATCTTGGACAAGTTATTTGAACTTTCTGTGCCATTGTTTTTTCCATGTATCTCATGGTGTTGCTGTATGAATTGAGATAATGCATATATGCAGAGCAACTGCCATGGTGCCTGACACATAGTAAATGCTTAGTAAAAGGTAGTTATAATTTTGTGTTACCTCTCTTTTGGGGTCACTAACTCTAATTACCTTCTTCTTTTTTTTTTTTGAGATGGGGTCTCACTCTGTCACCCAGGCAGGAGTACAGTGGTGGGATCTCAGCTCACTGCAATCTCCGCCTCCCAAGCTCAGGAGATTCTCCTGCCTCAGCCTCCTAAGTGGCTGGGATTACAGATGTGCACCACTGTGCCCAGCTAATTTTTGTAGTTTTAGTAGAGATGGGGTTTCACCTTGTTGGCCAGGCTGGTCTCGGAACTCCTGACCTCAGGCTATCTGCCTGCCCTGTCCTCCCAAAGTGCTGGGATTACAGGCGTGAGCTGTCGCATCTCGTCCAATACCTTATTTTCAATACAGAATTAATTCTGTATTAAATGAATTTCAGAACCAAACGGCAAGAGGAAAAATAGGTTTTGAAACAGGTGACCTCTAGAAAGCAGACAGTAGTATGTTGGCCAAAGACTTTCTTTTTCTTTTCATTCTTTCTGTTTGTTTTTCATACTACTGACCTAGCAGCTATTTAAATCACTGTCTTTTGTTAGCTTGAGTTTATGTTTGAGTTTTCTACCACAGGATGTAAGCAGATATTTGGTTCTAAGAATGATAAAAATATTACACCAATGTACTTAAATGAATGGAGTTCCTTCAGATACAAAGGAGAAATCCAACGTAATGCAAAATAATTATTATACTGTGCAAATCAATCACATTAATTACATTTTTTTTCCTTCCAGGTTGCTTGAACCACATTGCTTTCCTTTGTCTTTGGTTCCAACAGAATTCTGTCCATCACCTCCTGCCTTGAAAGATGGATTTGTTCAAGTTGGTTATGAAAGATATTTTTTTCCTTTATAATGCTCTAACTTCTATCTCTCTGCTGAGCCCATAACCTATTTTCTTCCTCCATGGTGAAGCCGTGCCAAAAATATTTTATATATGCATTTTAGTTTTAGTGGTGAGGGTTTTAGTGTGTGACTTTTTTTCTTTGGCCCAAGGTGATGTGAATTCTGCAGAAGGCAGTGTATCTTCTATGGTGTGGGAAATCAACACTGCCACCCAGTGAATCAAAAATGTAATCATGCCAGAGGGCTACTGAACACTGCCACCCTAAACACCAAACTGCGAATCTACAAGCTTGCTCTTTAACTCACAGAGCTTCTCTTATTTTTGCCACTGACTTTTTTTTTTCCCCCTCATAACTGTAGGCCCTGGGATGAAGTATTAGGTTTATTCCAGGAGTCAATAAGACAGTTAGCTAGAGTCTAGTGAGATATGGATCATTCTACTTTGAGCAATTGAACCTTCCTGTTCAGGAAAGAAGAGTAGTCATCTGCCATTTGTCATTCTAGGGACTTTTGTTGTTCTTGGCTTTTGGGACATTTTCGTTAATGCTGCTCTCAGTCTTTATGACGAGGCTTTGGCCTGAAGCCCCAGTGGTGCCTCTTCATGGCTCACACAGGATATTGTTCATGAGGACTCTCTCCATGTTACCAGCACTGCTTTCCTCACAAGGGATTTTGCTTTTCAAACCCCAGGCCCTTGAACATGCATTCACTGAAAATTTACTGTTTCCCCAAATGTAGGCACTATTGGGAGATGAAAGTTGTGTGTTCACGCAAGTGTGTGTGTGTGTTTGTGTAGAGAGAGAGAGAGAAAATCAACCTAGCATCTCTACCACCCATTCTGTCCTACCACAGCCACCGTAATTCATGGAGTTCCTGAATGGAACATATGCTCAGAGAATAGGCCAAGCAAACTCATGCATGTTAGCAAACCATGAGGCTGCTGTCCCCAACTGCAGTGTGTGTGGTGTTGTTTTAGGAGCCAGGAGTCCCAAATATTGCTCTGTGGACTGGCTGCATCCGAATGACTCAGGGAACTTAAAACTAGAGATGGCTCTTTCTCACTTGTCCTCCACGTTTTCTGATTTGATAGTTTGGGAGTACAGCCTAAGAGTCTATTTTGTAATTTCTACAAGTGATTATGATATACAGCCGCATTTGTGCACTGTTGAATCAGACTTCCTCATATGAAAGTTTTTGTTTTGTTTTGTTTTTGCAAGGTGGAGGAAGGAATAGGATCATGAGTCGAAACAGAACATGTGCTCCTCCCCATTTCCCTCAAACCTCAGCATCAGCCTGGCCCATTCTGTTTTCTACTAACTTCCATGATAGAGCCAGAGTGGGCCAGGAAGCACATACTGACAATGGGAAGGAGATATCAGGAAATCTTGTTCTAATCCCTAGAGCAGAGCTGGTCAAGGCCTGAGCTCCAAGCCCTCTCCCAGGCTTGAGTTTTTCACCATCCCCTTGGGTGGAAGACAATGAGAAGGGTAAGGAAAGAGAGACCCTAAATGAGTGTGATTACCCTTCATCCATCCCCAGGCTCAGACTTCAAATTCCACCTTGCTTCGCCATGAAAGCTCGCTTCCTGCCATTATAGGTTAGTGAAACGTTCTTGAATCTGACCCAGCCCCAGCAGCATTCCATACATATAGTGTGGAGTAGGAGGGTAGGATGGGAGAAGATCAACATTATGCTTCCCCTAAAAGTTATCAGCAAGAAACTTAAACTTTCATGAACATACTAATAGGATTGGAAAATTTCTGGGTGTTCATACTGACATTTTGTAGGCAGTATGGCAGTATTGTCAATGAACAGCTCATAATACTTTTTTTTTTTTTTTTTTTTTTTTTTTTTTTAGAGAGAGAGAGACAGAGTCTTGCTCTGTCACACAGGCTGGCATGCAGTGGCACTATCTCGCCTCACTGCAACCTCCGTCCCCCAGGTTCAGGTGATTCTCATGTCTCAGCCTCCTGAGTAGCTGGGACTACAGGCATGCACCACCATGCCCTGCTAATTTTTGTATTTTTATTAGATACAGGGTTTCACTATGTTGGCCAGGCTGGTCTCGAACTCCTGATCTCAGGTGATCCACCTGCCTTGGCCTCCCAAAGGGCTAGAATTACAGGCATGAGACACCATGCCCGGCCTGGTAATACCTTAATATGAAGAGTTGACTGACAAAGATGTTCTCCAAATCTAATAAAGAACTGATTTTTCCTAAAAGTTAAAGGAAAAGAAATTATTTGGACAGTGTCCAAATAATTTTAATAGAATGTAATTTTAGTAGAATGCTTAGTATAGTCCTTGGTATTTTGGGAGCAATCAATACATTATAGACAGTGGTATTAATAGTTTTATTTCAATTAATGGTGGTGCTAGTGTTACTAACTATATAGGGGAAAATGTTTTTATAGACACTTTTCTGAATCAATTAAATGTAGCTTGCCTGATGATTATGATTTATAGACTGAATATATGTAAAGAAACGTTTTGTTAATGCAAAATAGACAAACTCTTTCCTTTTCCATCTTTTACTTTTGTTTAGGATGAAGGTACAATGTTTCCTGTGGGGAAAAATGTAGTGTACACTTGCAATGAAGGATACTCTCTTATTGGAAACCCAGTGGCCAGATGTGGAGAAGATTTACGGTGGCTTGTTGGGGAAATGCATTGTCAGAGTGAGTGGCGTCAGTTGTATATAATTTAAGATGAGAAAATTACGTGGAAGAGAATGAATCAAGATAAATAACACTCACCATATGGCCCATGTGTTGGCCTTCCTTTCCTGTAAGGCTGACATGATCCTGTTCAAGTTTTAGGAGCGACTTGAATAAGCCCTCCGCCTTCTCTAGTTGGTAATGTTCCCATTCAGTGAGGTCAATTTCATTGCAATTTAAAACTTTCTGGTGCAAATTAAAGTAGGCCAGGGAATTCTCTTTAGATGAAGACCATTAGGATATTCTTTAGAGTTCAGTTACTCAGGATGTACCACAATCAATCAACTTTCTTAAATGCTTTGCCTCCTGTTCTGTTTGGATAGAGGCATCTGAATAACAGCATCTGCATGCTGCACCACCCTAAAACTACTCTGGCTTCCATCTCTCTTGCAATATAAGTTTGTTCAGCAAATGAATAGGCCGAGCTGCAGTGATACATTTTTCCTAAATCAGTTGCTCTGTGCTATATGAGGAAAGCGCTAGTGTACACACACACACATACATATATTTCTCCCTTTGGGAATATACCTATTGTGAAATTTCTGAGTAATTGGGTATTCATACATTGGGTATACATACATTTAGATTTAGTGGAGGCTGCCAGCCTTCCAAGTGGTTGTACTGATTTACATCTCTAGCATAATCTGATAAATCAAGCTTGCTTTTGTCCTTACTAACACTTGATAGCATCAGACACAGTGGTGAGTGTATAGTGATATATATATATATATATATATTTTTTTTTTGGAGACAGAGTCTCACTCTTTTGCCAAGGCTGGAGTGCAGTGGTGCCATCTTGGCTCACTGCAACCTCCACATCCCAGGTTCATGTGATTCTTGTGCCTCAGCCTCTTGAATAGATGGGACTACAGGTGTGTGCCAACACACTCTGCTAATTTTTTGTATTTTTAGTAGAGACAGGGTTTCACTATGTTGGCCAGGCTGGTCTCGAAGTCCTGAACTCAGGCAATCCACCCATCTTGGCCTCTTAGGGTGCTAGGATTATAGGTGCGAGCTACTGTGCCCAGCCTATTTTTATATTTTTTCTAATGACTAATAATGTTAAGCTTGTTTTCATATGTTCGTTAGCCATTGGTTATATTCTTTGGAGAAATGGCTGTCTATGTCTTTTGTCCATTAAAAATAATCGGTTTGTCTGTCTTTTTCTTATTTTTTAATTTAATTTAATTTTTAATTTTAATTTTTAAAAATTTCCATAGGTTTTTGGGGAACAGATGGTGTTCGGTTACATGAGTAAGTTCTTTAGTGGTGATTGTGAGATTTTGGTGCACCCGTCACTCAGGCAGTACACACTGCACCCAGTTTGTAGTCTTTTATCCCTTACCCCCTTCCCACCCTTTCTCTCTGAATCCCCAAAGTCCATTGCATCAGTCTTATGCCTTTGCATCCTCATAGCTTAGCTCCCACTTGTGAGTGAGAACATGCAATGTTTGGTTTTCTTTCTTTTTTTTTTTTTGAGATGGAGTCTCTCTCTGTTGCCCAAGCTGGAGTGCAGTGGCACAATCTCAGCTCACTGCAACCTCTGCCTCCTGGGTTCAACATTCAAACAATTCTCCTGCCTCAGCCTTCTGAGTAGCTGGGACTACAGGTGCACACCACCATGACCGGCTAATTTTTGTATTTTTAGTAGAGATGGGGTTTCACTCTGTTGGCCAGGATGGTCTTGAACTCCTGACCTCGTGATCTGCCTGAATCGGCCTCCCAAAGTGCTGGGATTACAGGCATGAGCTACCATGCCTGGCACAATATTTGGTTTTTAATTCCTGAGTTACTTCACTTAGAATAATAGTCTCCAGTCTCATCCACGTTGCTGAGAATGCCATTAATTAATTCCTTTTTATGGCTGAGTAGTATTCTATCGTATATATATACCACAGTTTCTTTATCCACTCATTCATTGACTGATGGGCATTGTCTTTTACTTATTAATCTCTCTCTCTCTCTTTCTCTTGGAATCCTTAAGCAGAAACAAATGAAATAGAATATGAATATGAATATTTGCTAGTTGGGAGTTAATAAAGCCAAAAGTTTGTTCTTTGAAAAGATTAATAAGAAACTTCTACTTGAAGGGCTTCTTTTCCTTTATTGTGAACCGACTGATGAAATGTCTGTCTTTTACCTTGACTTTTCAAAGGATTTTTTTTTTTTCTTTGAGATGGAGTCTTGCTTATCGCCAGGCTGGAGTGCAGTGGCGTGATCTTGCCTCACTGCAACCTCCGCCTCCTGGGTTCAAGCGATTCTCCTATCTCAGCCTCCTGAGTAGCTGGGACAACAGCCGTGCACCACCATGCCCAGCTACTTTTTGTATTTTTAGTAGAGATGGGTTTTCACCATGTTGGCCAGGATGGTCTCCATCTCTTGACCTCATGATTTGTCCGCCTTGGCCTCCCAAAGTGTTGAGATTACAGGCATGAGCCACCGCACCTGGCCAGGATATTTTTATTAGGTAAGACATTCTAAGCTAGCAGTTATTTTTTATTTTATTTATTTATTTATTTATTTGAGACGGAGTTTCATTCTTGTCTCCCAGGCTGGATTGCAATGGAGTGATCTTGGCTCCAATCTTCACACCATATTTTGGCAGTTCATGTGCATACACTGCACAGACTATCACGTTCCCTTCTACACAGGTCTAAGCAATCTGACAAATGATAACTCTGTTTGTTACATAAAATATCATCCTGTATTTGGGTGTGCTGTATTTATTTTTATCCTGTATCACCAAGCATTTCCGAACATAGTGATCAGTTTTACCCTCTTGTCATCTTCTAAATTTCACTTAGTATCTTTTAAAGTAGGCCTTATTATTAACAACTTTAACAAACCCCATCCTGTGGGACAGAGACCTGCGTTTGTGGCTTGACAGAGACCTGCAGGCCCAGTAGTGCTGGGGTGGGAAAAGGGTATTATTAATTGTTTTTTGCTTTTGGTTTTCTCCAGCAACTTTACTCTGATGTCTAGGTATAATTTTCTTTATATTTTTCTGGGCTTTTATTGAACCTGTGCTTTAAGTCTTTTGTCAGTTTTAGACCATTTCTTGACCATTATGTCCTAAAACATTGCTTCTGTCCCATTCTTCCTCACTTGTCCTTATGGGACACAAATTATACATTTTTTGGACCATTATATTTTTTAACATCATTTTTTTGTTTGTTTTCCATCTTTTCCCCCTCTGTTTCATTCTAAATATTTTCTTTTTCTTTTTCTTTTTTTTATTTGAGATGGTTTGTTTTCCAGGCTGGAGTGCAGTGGTGCGATCTCGGCTCACTGCAACCTCCGCTTCCCAGGTTCAAACAATTCTCCTGGCTCAGCCTCCTGAGTAGCTGGAATTACATGCATGCAGCACTGCATCTGGCTAATTTTTGTATTTTTAGTAAAGATGAGGTTTTGCCATGTTGGCCAGGCTGGTCTTGAATTCCTGACCTCAAGTAATCTGCCTGTCTGGGCCTCCCAAAGTGCTGGGACTACAGGCATGAGCCACCGCACCTGGCCTCATTCTAAATATTTTCAACTGACCTATCTTCCAATTTATTAATTCTCTGTATATTTCTGTATAATCTCCTTTTAAGAACTCTATTATAGAGTTTTAAATTTTATCAATTTTATTTTTCAACTTAAAACAATTATATATATTTTATATATATATATATATATATATATATATATATTTTTTTTTTTTTTTTTTTTTTTTTTTTTGAGACAGATTTTACTCCTGTCACCCATGCTGAAGTGCAGTGGTGCAATCTTGGCTCACTGTAATCTCTGCCTCCTGGGCTCAAGCAATTCTCCTGCCTCAGCCTCCTGAGTAGCTGGGATTATAGACGCTTGCCACAGTGCCCAGCTAATTTTGTACTTTTTAGTAGAGACGGGGTTTCACCATGTTGCCGTGGCTGTTCTCAAACTCCTGAGCTCAAGTGATCTGCCTGCTTCAGTCTCCCAAAGTGCTGGGATTATAGGTGTGAGCCATCGTGCCTGGCTATTTTTCAATTTTAGAGGTTTCATTTGTCTACTTTTTTACTGCATAGTGAATTTTTAAATTAATAACTTCATTTTTAGAGCAGTTTTAGCTTACAAAAAACTGACTAGAAAGTACAGAGAGCGCCCATCTACTTCCTTACTTCCCGCCCAGTTTCCCTATTAGGTATTAACATCTTCCATTAATGTGGTATATTTATTATAATGAATGAGCCTATATTCTTACATTATTATATTTAAAAATATTAAAATTTTTCACTTAAAATATAGTTTTTAAGCGATGTTTTGATATGTGTAAACAGTGTGTAATAAGCAAATCAGAGTAAATAACATCAATTACTTCAAACATTTATGTTTACTGTTTTATATTTTCTAATTCTCTGTTGTAATTCTCCATCTTGTCATTTAAAAAAATATATTAATTTCAGTTGTTTCAGGGCCTGTATCTGTTAATTTCATTCTTTAGGTAAGTCTGTTACTGTAAGTCTGTTTCTATTGTTTTTTTTGGTTGGAATTTGGTCAATTCTTGTCTTTTTGAATGTTAAATTAGTTTTAATTGAATGTCAGACTTTACGTATGAAAATTTAAAAATTGGATGATGCTATCTTCCTCTAGAGAAGACTAACTTTTGTTTATGGCAACCAGTGAGGCTGGCTTATGTCTGGGTTATCTCTATTCCAAGGATGTGGCCATTAAGGGATTCCAACTGAAGGTATGGGCTTTCTACCTGGCCCCTTCTTTTTGACAGGACTGGACTCTAGTTTTTAAAACCCTGGTCCTGTGAGACTGCTAAAAGCTGTTTATCTTTTTAGCCTCTGAGCTATGGTTTTCTCTTCAGTTTAGCAGCCTTTCAGCATATTTTCTTTTTTTTTTTAATTTACAAATACCTCAAGGAAAAATGTGTTACCAAATGTAAATGTAATCACCACATTAGACTTCCCTTCTCTCTGAAATCTTGGACTTTCAAACTTGCACTGCCTTGTTAGTGCTCTGATTCTTTCAGAAATAGTTTTCCTTTTAATTTTGTACAGTCTTTCTATTTTTTTTGTCTTGGTAGGAGATTTAATGTGAAAACAGCAAACGCATTAGAAACAAGCAGATTCAATACTAGATTATGAAGTTTTGGAAGGCATAAGATGTGACTTGTACTTTGCTGTGTCCCAAGCAGTGCACAACATATTTGGCAAAATATAGGCATTCAAAAAGTGCTGTGGATTTTTGTATATATTCATGGAGTATTAGCTCAATTTTGCTACACTGATATATCTCATTGTGATGAAGTCAAAGCTTTCAGTGCATCCATCAAATGCTGTTTTTGAATGAATAAATGAATGAATGGGTTTTCTGATGACAGTGCTGTAAAGATACAGCAATACTTTGTAGAATATTGTCCAAAGTCCATTAGGGATATTAGCAAGATTTTTTTTTTAATCATGAATTCTGACTTGCTGTTTATACTATGTGTGTTTTTTCTTTTTCTCTGTTCTTTTTTGAAGTAAGCTATTTGAGCTAATGAATGTAATTGAGTAAGAAAGAATACAGATGAAAAGTCAGGGAACACTGAACACTTTTATGTCTGCAAGTTTAAAGGTGGTGCTTTAGCTGGGTGTGGTGGCATGTGCCTGTGATCCCACCTACTCAGGAGGTTGAGTCAGGAGGATTGCTTGAGCCTAGGAGTTTTTAATTTTTTTTTTAATTTTACTTTAAGTTCTGGGATACATGTGTTGAATGTGCAGGTTTGTTACATAGGTATATATGTGCTATGGTAGTTTGCTGCATCTATCAACCCATCATCTAGGTTTTAAGCCTCGCATGCATTAGGTATTTTTCCTAATGCTTTCCCTCCCCTTGCCCCCCATCCCCTGACAGGCCACAGTGTGTGATGTTCCACTCCCTGTGCCCATGTGTTCTCATTGTTCAACTCCCACTTATGAGTGAGAACATGCATTTTCTGTTCCTGTGTTAGTTTGCTGAGGATGATGGTTTCCAGCTTCATCCATGTCTCTGCAAAGGACATTAACCCGTTATAGTATTCCATGGTGTATATGTGCCATATTTTCTTTATCCAGTCTATCATTGATGGGCATTTGGGTTGGTTCCAAGTCTTTGCTATTGTAAGTAGTGCTGCAATAAACATACGTGTGCATGTGTCTTTACAGTAGAATGATTTATAACCCTTTGGGTATATACCCAGTAACGGGATTGCTGGGTCAAATGGTATTTCTGGTTCTAGATCCTTGAGGAATTGCCATACCGTCTTCCACAATGATTGAACTAGTTTACACTCCTACCAATAGTGTAAAAGCGTTCCTATTTCTCCACATCCCCACCAGCATCTGTTCTTTCCAGACTTTTTAATGATCACCATTCTAACTGGCGTGAGATGGTATCTCATTGTGGTTTTGATTTGCATTTCTCTGGTGACCAGTGATGATGAGCATTTTTTCATATGTTTGTTGGCTGCATAAATGTCTTCTTTTGAGAAATGTCTGTTCATATCCTTTGCCCACTTTTTGATGGGGTTGCTTGTTTTTCTGTTGTAAATTTGTTTAAGTTCCCTGTAGATTCTGGATATTAGCCCTTTGTCAGATAGATAGATTACAAACATTGTCTCCCATTCTGTAGGTTGCCTGTTTACTCTGATGATAGTTTCTTTTGCTGAGCAGAAGCTCTTTAGTTTAATTAGATCCCATTTGTCAATTTTGGTTTTTGTTGCAATTGTTTTTGGTGTTTTAGTCATGAAGTCTTTGCCCATGCTTATGTCCTGAATGGTATTGCATAGGTTTTCTTCTAGGGTTTTTATGGTTTTAGGTTTTACATTTAAGTCTTTAATCCATCTTGAGTTAATTTTTGTATAAGGTATAAGGAAGGGGTCCAGTTTCTGTTTTCTGCATATGGCTTGCCGGTTTTCCCATCACCATTTATTAAACAGGAAATCCTTTCCCCATTGCTTTTCTGAGCCCAGGAATTTGAGGCTGTAGTATACACTGATTAGACCTATGAATAATCACTGCTCTCCAGCCTGGGCAACAAGACAGACCCTGTCCCTAAAAAATAAAAATAAATAAATAAATAAAAGTGGTGTTTTAATAATTTCAGACGGCAAAATATCCAACTGGATGAAAGTTAATGAAACTCTCCTGGTGGAACATCACTAGAGCACATAAATAAGTGACAGCTGTGAAAAGTTTGGTTTCAACAGTAGGCTGGGCATTAGGACTCTATTGGGGTTGTTCATTTTAAGTTGTCACATTGTTTTGAGGGGAGGGGTGGGAGAGGGGGAGCTGTTTTGGTTTTTAGATATTCATGGGTCAATTACGTGCCAGGCTCTGTGTGACATGTCTTTCAGTCCACCCTAACAGTGAACTTACGTCTTCCTCCTTGTCCTCTAATATGAAAAAGCAGAACAAGTGTGTCTGCATCACATAAGACTTTTTTAAAAAGATGGTTTAGGAGAGCAACGACCCTTATATTTTGCTCTCTTTTATCTTTAGAAATTGCCTGTGTTCTACCTGTACTGATGGATGGCATACAGAGTCACCCCCAAAAACCTTTCTACACAGTTGGTGAGAAGGTGACTGTTTCCTGTTCAGGTGGCATGTCCTTAGAAGGTCCTTCAGCATTTCTCTGTGGCTCCAGCCTTAAGTGGAGTCCTGAGATGAAGAATGCCCGCTGTGTACAAAAAGGTGAGTGGCTTCCATGTCTATCCAAGGACACTTGTACCCAGGCAAGTGAGAGTCCTTGTGGCGACCTTCATGGTACTGTATCACCATAGCTGTGAGTCATTCCCTCCATTCTTGCTCCTTAAGATAGGGTCAGTTTGTAGACTGAGTAACAGATTTTCTTCACATGGCACAGAAAGACTCATGAAAGCAAGGAAAGGCAAGGATAGCCTGGTGATTCTGAAACTTTTAACTTAAATCATCCTTGTGAAAGATTAGCTTTATATCTGTTATGGTGCCAAGACAATAAAGGATTTTTAAAATCTGTTTTTTGTTTGTTTGTTTGTTTCCTCTAGATTTTTTTCCCCTGCATTTTTCATAAGTACAGAGTTGAGATCATAATTTATTTAAAGTTCTGTATGTTTCATTTTTGGGCTTTCAAAGAGTTTATCAGTATTTCTGAAATTGAAAATTTAGAAAGCATTTTCATTTAACACTTTAAAGCAGACATTATTGAAGGAAAAGTGTTGTGATTCATGAAATTGTTCTTAATGTGGAAACCCAAAAATCCAGTATTTTAACACCAAGAAAATTAAAATGGTCTTTTAAGAACCTAAGGTAGAAAGGATTTAGAAAGCCAAATTATTTCTTTTTAGAGGTAATTTTAGATGAGATAGATTTGTTTGACAATAACCCCTTATTTATTCTTTGTTTACATTTTTTAAATAAATGGAAAATATTGTATTTGTAACAAAAATGAGAATGAAGAAAAACTCACTTGCATACTATTTTATGTGATATTATCTCTCTAGTATGTGATTTTTAATTAAACGCTGAAATTTATTTTTAATAGTGAGGATGAAGTACTAGATTTCACAGGTGATGGTGTGAGGTGAATTAGATGTTTCTAACTAAGTTCTCCATGCGACAGGGTATGGAGCACTCAGATACTGATGGTAGATATGGGCTGTGATGTGAAGTGGATGAGAGGCAGAACAATAGGCAAGACACACGTCCTTGGAGTGCCCTCCCTGCCTGTCCTGATGTGCTGTTAAGTTATCAAAGCTCCATCTCAGAGGACAGTTGTTTTGTGTTCTGTAAACACTGAAGTATAAACATGAGTTTACTTGGAATATTTAAAGTCATGGACCAGTACTTACAATTCTAAAAATGAAAGAGAACAATATACAGTTGATGAGGTTGCACTTTTGGTTCAAATGAGATTGTAGACTAGTCTGTCTAAAATGCTACTTCAGCTATTTTACAGCACAGTTTGGTATGAAGTTTCATTTACCCAGTAGAAAATTCTATTAAAGTGGGTTTTAATTAAGGATGTTTTTCAGATCTGTGTGTTTTTCTGAAGATGTGAATAACAGTAACTACTTCTAAGCCTATAACAAACAAAAAAATCCAAGACTTACCAGCTTCCAAAGTTGATGTTTTAAAATGTTGGCTGTTCTAGTATTTAGTCTTTTTTTTTATTATAATAAAGCATACATAACATAACATTTACCATTTTATCCATTTTTAAATGTATGTTCAGTGGCATTAAGTAATTCCCATTGTTGTGCAACCATCACCACATTTTTTTTCATCTTTCCAAACTGAAGCTCTATATCCATTAAACATTAATTCCTCACTTTCCCCTACTGTCCCCGTAGTTAGTCTTGATGGGAATAAATTTGCTTTTAAAATAGCAAAAGCACATACTTTCGGTGGGCCTTAAGAGTGTGTTTACTTGGTTAACCAAGCTGTAAAGGCAACAAAGCTATGTTCTTCTTAAATGCAAAAATTCTTTGGGCTAGGTAATTCTATCGTTTTTTTTTTTTTCCACAAAGACATTATAATACATTTTTTTTTTTTGAGATGCAGTCTCGTTCTGTCACCCAGGCTGGAGTGCAGCGGCACAATCTCAGCTCACTGCAAGTTCTGCCTCCCGGGTTCACACCATTCTCCTGCCTCAGCCTCCTGAGTAGCTGGGACTACAGGTGCTCGCCACCATGCCCGGCTAATTTTTTTTTGTATTTTTAGCAGAGACGGGGTTTCACCATGTTAGTCAGGATGGTCCCGATCTCCTGACCTCATGATCCGCCCGCCTCGGCCTCCCAAAGTACTGGGATTACAGGCGTGAGCCACTGCGCCCGGCTTGACATTATAATAGTTTAAGCAAACTTTTAAAATCTAAAATTTCAGGATTTGTCCTAAAGTAAATTTTTAACCACAGTGCAGAACTAATTTACATGGCTTGATCATTGACCTTAAGTTTTGGTACATCTAGATTAAGGCTTCTCAACCTCAACGCTATTGGAATTTTAGGTCTAATAATTCTTTGCTATGGGAGCCTCTTCTGTGCATTGCAGGGTGCTTAGCAGCATCCCTGGTCTCTACCCAACAGTAGCATCCTCCTATGTCAATAACATTCTGCAGTTGTAAAAACCAAAGATGTCCCTAGTGATTTCCAGATGTCCCCTGGGGGACAAAACTGCCCCTGGTTGAGAAGCACTGATGTAGATAATACCATTTTTAAAAAATTTCATTTTGGAATAATTTTAGATTTCAGCAAAGTCACAGATATAATTTCTACACACCCTTCACCCATCTTCCTTAATATTAACATCTTACATAACACAACTTGGTTAAAACTAAAAAATTAATATTAGTACAATGCTATTGACTAAACTATACACTTTATTCAAATACCTCATGTTTTACCACTAATGTCTCTTTTATGTTCTAGGGTCCAGTTCAGGGTACTACGTTGCATTTAGGATAATACCATTTTAAAGAGAAGTGTGCTTTTTTTTTTTTTTTGAGACAAGGTCTCGCTTGTCCAGGCTGGCTGGAGTGCAACGGCGCAATCTTGGTTCACTGCAACCTCCACCACCCGGGCTCAAGCAATTCTCCTGCCTCAGCCTCCTGAGGAGCTGAGATTACAGGCATGTGCCACCATGCCCGGCTAATTTTTGTATTTTTAGTAGAGACAGGGTTTCACCATGTTGGCTAGGCTGGTCGTGAACTCCTGACCTCAAGTGATCTGCCTGCCTCGGCCTCCCAAAGTGCTGAGATTACGGGCGTGAGCCACCGCGCCCAGCCAAGAGAAGTGTTTTAATAATGAATCTTGTTATTGAGACTGCTGACCATGGCAGGCATACTTCACATTGCCATCATTTTTACAGGTTTATGAATGCTCACAAGATTGTAATGTCATGTCCAAGGCTCTTGAATTTTCCAAAGTAAGGAAGTATTTCATAGTTTGTGTATTCATAAAAACATATTCTCCAGATAAACTACCTTTATAGATATAGTAAATGACTATCTAGTTTTATGATGCAAAAGTGTATGGCAATGAATTTCATTGTAATAAAGCTATTACGAGGTGAAAAAAGTCAGGATGTTTTTAGATCATTCCCATTGCAATCAGGGATAGCTGAGGGGATGGCAGTCACATTATGCTCTTGTAAGTTGGACCACGGTGTTTACCTGTCAAAACTGAAATGATGACTGAATTGTCAGTTTCTATAAAACACAAAGTTATAGAAAGAATTTTATTAACGTAATGACCTCCAGACATTTATTCACTGTTGAGGGAGACCACTTAGACATTCATATGTAAGAGGTTATTGTAGATCTTCTCGGCACACCAGGGAGTTCTCCATGTATAAGGCAAGTGATGTTGCTGCTTTTTGCCTCATTATGGGCACAGCAGGCAGAATGCAGTCCAAACAACAAACAGTTTATAAGCACCAGCTTCTTGAAAGGGAGCCACTTTATTGTCCTTGGATTCAGACCAATGTAGAATTAAATGCTGCCTGGGCCAGTTTGTTAAATGTGTGAAGTAGCACCAACTTCCTAACTCTTTTTACTCTTAATTTTCTGATTTCTTAGGTGGGCATGTGTTAGGGAGGCATGAATATCCCAATGTATAAAAAGTGCATGACAAATATAAATGTTCACGAGATGGTAGCTATTACTACCAATGCAGTTATTTGTAATGTGACTCTAGAAACTCTCTATAGCTTGTAAAATGTATCACACCTTGATTATTATTACTATTGTTACTGTGCAAATGCATTGCAGTTGGAGAATACTACAGACCCTGGTCCAGCAATTCATATAATACCTTGTTTACTATGAAGAGGCTTTTCTCCTAACGACCACATCTCCCTTATCCTTTTTTAGAAAATCCGTTAACACAGGCAGTGCCTAAATGTCAGCGCTGGGAGAAACTGCAGAATTCAAGATGTGTTTGTAAAATGCCCTACGAATGTGGGTAAGTGCCGCCTTTGCTCATTTCTCTGTTTTATTTTATTAATGATAAGGGATAATTTCTTAGATAATAGTGTCTGTTGGATGGAAGGTGTAGCTTACCAAGAGTTAAGGGTCTTTGTTTGCATTTCGATGTAGTCCATCTGCTGCCTGTTATTTGTCTGGGTCACTAGGGCTGACAGCCATGGCATTAAGCAGTGTTCTAATCTGGCTAGTGGAGAAGGCTGCAGGACTACTCGAGCACTGCTTGTTTTATATATAAAATGGAGCAAAATGGCAAAACTGTCAGCTGAGGATTTAGAACTTTAGAGGATTAGAGGATTAAAACTGAAATTCCTTTGGCACATAAACTCTTAAAGCAATACTGATAGGGAAACAGCAGCTGCTTTTGTTGATTCTTGAAGCATCTTCTCTAGATTTGCATGGTTAAGAATGCCACCAACTTGAAATCATTCCATTGTAGGAGGATATCTCTGAAGTAGTTAATAGATGTCTGTGTCATGGTCCTAGTAGGATAGAGATGGCACAATTAAATTAGGACAAGAAAAGCTTTATTAGCAGAAATATTTACAAAAATGTGAACAGAGGAAAGGAAACTACAAGTCCCATGGCAGTATTCCTAGACTGCTAACAGCTTGACCGTATAGCCATACCCAGGTCCAAGGAGTAAGGAGAGGGGCATTCAGGAAAAACTGGAGACAGAGAGGGCTGTGTGGAGATGGCCCTGAGGAGGAGCTGACACTCTCATTTTAGGGACTTCAGAGGTCCCACAGGCGTGAGCCAGGGGCATAAACACCTCAACTGCACTGTCCTTCCTGCCTCGAGTCTCCTGCTAGTCAGTGCTCACCACTGATCAAACCAACTGAAGCTAGAGGCCGAGGAAGTCCACGATGTGGCCCATACATGTCAGCTTCCCAGGCAGGTGGAGAAGAGTGGAAAGTGGATCTGGGGAGGAAATAAGAAATATCCAGCCCCTAGACTTAGTGGCCATTTTTAAAATTAAAAACCAACACATGACCTGGTGCGGTGGCTCACGCCTGCACTCCCAGCACTTTGGGAGGCCAAGGTGGGCCAATTGCTCGAGCTCAGGAGTTCAAGACCAGCCTGGGCAATATGGTGAAACCCCTTCTCTACAAAAAATACAAAAATTAGCTGGGTGTGGTGACTCACTCTTGTAGTCCCAGCTACTCAGGAGACTGAGGTGGGAGGATTGCTTGAAGCCAGGGAGGTTGAGGCTTCAGTGAGCCACATTCATGCCACCGCACTCCAGCTTGGGTGACAGAGCCAGACCCTATCTCAAAAAGAAAAAAAAAAAAAAAAAAAAGAACCAAAACACTAATTACTTGGTTTTCAATGATTTTGGTTATCAAAACCGATATCCAACTTCTTGAAGCTACAGTGGGTAATTGTTATTGTATATAGCAATTTCTGGTGTGAAGAGGAATATAAATAACTAAATGGCGTGATGGAAATGGTGGTCAGCCTAGATACATTCTCATTCTAATATTCTGACTTTGCTGCTAATCTTTAATAATTATTGTTTATTTTGAGTCATTTTCATCCTCTTTCCAACTTCCCCATTTCATTTAGTTGATCTGCAGCTCGTTGTTAATAGTTATGGTATACATTTCCATGTCATTCCATGGTCTCAGATACTGGCAACAAGGTGGTATTGTAAGGTCTTTACCCTTTCAGCTGTTATAAGTAGTTCTATTTAAAGTTTCAATAAACAGATGAAAAGATAGATTCAAAACAACAGGATTTGTTTCTGTTTTATAAATAACTCCAAGTAAATGTAGCTTTTGGTAGAAAAGGAAAATATTAGAACTAAATAAAGTGTGTGAATATAGACTCTTTCTGACTCCATCTGGTATACAAAAATGCTGTGTTGTCTAAGGTTTCAGTGACAGTAATGCCCTCCTTGTCTATCAGCATTCAGAAATGTGGAGTTTTCTGATAGTGACATTTCTAAATAGCTATTTTTTTCCACTATTTTAGCACCAATGCTAATGAGGAAGGTAACACATTTTATGGAAATTTTTTTTTTTTTTTTTTTTTTTTGGGACACAGTTTCATTCAGTCATCCAGACTGGAATGCAGTAGTGCAATCTTGGCTCACTGCAACCTCTGCCTCCTGGGTTCAAGTGATTCTCATGCTTCAGCCTCCTGAGTAGCTGGGATTACAGGTGTGCGCCACCACGCCCAGCTAATTTTTATATGCTTAGTAGAGATGGGGTTTCGCCATGTTAGCCATCCTGGTCTTGAACTCCTGACCTCAAATGATCCACCTGCGTTGGCCTCCCAAAGCACTGGGATTACAGGCTCCCAAACTTATGGAAATATTTCTAAACTATTTTGTAAACATAGATACTTTTAAAAGTAGCATTGAAAAATACAGTTTCATCTTCCCGTGATGATTTAGGGTCATCCATTTTTGGACAATGCAGTTTTATGGACATGAACTCTTGGCTGTTGGGCTGGGATGAGCTCATTTCTCCTGCAATTAATGGTCCCATTTGACTATGATCACATTGAATGCTTGGTCTCCACTGGCTTTCTGTCTCCTTTGTCAGCTGTTGCTAGCAGACCTTTTCTTCTCATCTAATTTGCTGTACCTGGTCTGTTCTAGATAGAACTAGATCAACACTAGATATCTACACTTAGAAAAATTGTGAGCAAATAATGAGTAAATACAAATATCTTCATTTTGAAGACCTAAGTGAGTTGGACCTAGGAATGAAGGGGATTTGAGTTTCCACCTTTTTTTTTTTTTTACTGTGGGTGATAACATCTGGGGGCACTAAGCTCAGAGCATCACTTTTCATTTCTCCTTCTCAGCTTTTACGAACAAAAATCTTGTAAATAATGTCATTAAAAATTCTTTTCAGACCTTCCTTGGATGTATGTGCTCAAGATGAGAGAAGCAAAAGGATACTGCCTCTGACAGTTTGCAAGATGCATGTTCTCCACTGTCAGGGTAGAAATTACACCCTTACTGGTAGGGACAGCTGTACTCTGCCTGCCTCAGCTGAGAAAGCTTGTGGTGCCTGCCCACTGTGGGGAAAATGTGATGGTAAGGGGCCTTTCATATTTGTAAGTATAAGAATGCTAAAGTCACAGTACTGAGGATTTAAAAAATGTGGTTTCTAGTTTAGCAGTGGGCCGAAGAAGATACTTGAGGATGTTAAAGACTCAGACTGATTTGACATGCACTGACCTCTCCTATACCCCTCACTGGAGAAGGGCACAGATCACAGACCTCAGAGGATAAGATTCCCACATTCCTGATGTGGAAATGTTCTCCCAAACAGGGGTGATTCCATGCCACCTTCATGATTTTTACTCTGTCCTTGTATTATCCATATTGTGTACTCATTTTTTAAAAGTCTGACATAAAAATAACTTAAAAATGAAAACTTTATATCATGTCCTTAAAAGGAGGTATCACTTGCCATAAATACTAGGTAACTATAAAAGTTATATGTAATGGAACTAAATAAAGTTGTGGACTCTAGCCAGATACTGGTCCAACATTGACTATGCTGTTTCTCTGTGAGTTTAGCAAGTGTTAGAGGGGTGTTAAAAACATACTAGCACCAAGCTGACACTTTCTTCTAGAAGTAATCAGACGGATTTGAAGAGAATAAAAGAAGAAGTTACTTTCTCACGTTGTGATTCAATATTTGCTAACACTATGTTTAAGTAGTACTTACAGTGATCTTGAACTCCCCCAAGAGCACAGCAAACCTCCCATGATTTGGGCAGTACTATGAAAGTGGAATGGCTGGGTCTCCAGAGCCAAGTCACTGTCTGGGCTTCCCTATCTGTAAATTTAGGAGCTGGACTCTATGACTTGTAAGGTCTCTGTCGTCTCTTCACTCTCTGCCCTCCTGGCCTGTACCCGCTGGCACCTGTCCCCTCACTCCCTCAAGGTTTGCAGCACAGACTGATGACATACATATGTGACTCTAGCCATGTCTGGGTCACTTTTGGTTAGGTGGTCACCATTGTCTGCTGGCTGACCTTGTTACTCATCTTTGGAAGACTCCTGGCTGGTGTATTCCAACCATGGACTTTCCATGCACAGACTCCTTGCCTCCTTAACTCATTTCTGGTTTGTTTTTTGGGATTTGTAGCCTTTTGCATGCCATGCTCTCTCTCAAAGCAAGTTAAGTTCTCTTTTTTTCTCTCTCTCTTTGTTTGAGTCTTGACTTGGTTCTTTGTTGAGGGCTTCTCATTTGACCTCAGTTGCTGGCTTATATGGACAGCAGCATGTATGTAGGAGATAGTTGAAGAGCTCTTGACTTGGATAAAACCACCCCATGTGGTCTAACCAATATAAAGCCTGCTACCAACCTCAAAACCTATTTCTTTGGAGTGGAGCAAAATGCCCCAATTTCCTGGTCCTACTGCTTTTCCAGGGGATAATTTATTATGTCATTCCAGGCAGGAGCTTCTACAGCTCTGATCACCACATTATTACTTTGGAGGTGATGTTCTTTGACTCCCCGACCTCCACAATGTACCATTAAGCCTCTTTCACTTACTTTTCCAGCTGAGAGCAGCAAATGTGTCTGCCGAGAAGCATCGGAGTGCGAGGAAGAAGGGTTTAGCATTTGTGTGGAAGTGAACGGCAAGGAGCAGACGATGTCTGAGTGTGAGGCGGGCGCTCTGAGATGCAGAGGGCAGAGCATCTCTGTCACCAGCATAAGGCCTTGTGCTGCGGAAACCCAGTAGGCTCCTGGAGGCCCTGGTCAGCTTGCTTGGAATCCAGCAGGCAGCTGGGGCTGAGTGAAAACATCTGCACAACTGGGCACTGGACAGCTTTTCCTTCTTCTCCAGTGTCTACCTTCCTCCTCAACTCCCAGCCATCTGTATAAACACAATCCTTTGTTCTCCCAAATCTGAATCGAATTACTCTTTTGCCTCCTTTTTAATGTCAGTAAGGATATGAGCCTTTGCACAGGCTGGCTGCGTGTTCTTGAAATAGGTGTTACCTTCTCTGGGCCTTGGTTTTTTAAAATCTGTAAAATTAGAGGATTGCACTAGAGAAACTTGAATGCTCCATTCAGGCCTATCATTTTATTAAGTATGATTGACACAGCCCATGGGCCAGAACACACTCTACAAAATGACTAGGATAACAGAAAGAACGTGATCTCCTGATTAGAGAGGGTGGTTTTCCTCAATGGAACCAAATATAAAGAGGACTTGAACAAAAATGACAGATACAAACTATTTCTATCCTGAGTAGTAATCTCACACTTCATCCTATAGAGTCAACCACCACAGATAGGAATTCCTTATTCTTTTTTTAATTTTTTTAAGACAGAGTCTCACTTTGTTGCCCAGGCTGGAGCGCAGTGGGGTGATCTCATCTCCCTGCAACCTCCGCCTCCTGGGTTCAAGCGATTCTTGTGCCTCAGCTTCCCAAGCAGCTGGGATTACAGGTGCCCGCCACCACGCCCAGCTAATTTTTGCATTTTTAGTAGAGATGGGGTTTCACCATGTTGGCCACGCTCGTCTCCAACTCCTGACCTCAGGTAATCCGCCTGCCTTGGCCTCCCAAAGTGCTGGGATTACAGACATGAACCACCACGCCTGGCTGGAATACTTACTCTTGTCGGGAGATTGAACCACTAAAATGTTAGAGCAGAATTCATTATGCTGTGGTCACAGGGGTGTCTTGTCTGAGAACAAATACAATTCAGTCTTCTCTTTGGGGTTTTAGTATGTGTCAAACATAGGACTGGAAGTTTGCCCCTGTTCTTTTTTCTTTTGAAAGAACATCAGTTCATGCCTGAGGCATGAGTGACTGTGCATTTGAGAATAGTTTTCCCTATTCTGTGGATACAGTCCCAGAGTTTTCAGGGAGTACACAGGTAGATTAGTTTGAAGCATTGACCTTTTATTTATTCCTTATTTCTCTTTCATCAAAACAAAACAGCAGCTGTGGGAGGAGAAATGAGAGGGCTTAAATGAAATTTAAAATAAGCTATATTATACAAATACTATCTCTGTATTGTTCTGACCCTGGTAAATATATTTCAAAACTTCAGATGACAAGGATTAGAACACTCATTAAAGATGCTATTCTTCAGAATTGTTTCATTTGTATGATGTTTCATTTTAGAGAAGATTTTCATGATGAATGGTTAATGTGTTCTTGCCTGAAGTTTTATGTCTGATCCAGATCTAGCTTTTTGTATCAAAGTGTGCCCTAAGGGAAGATGCAGATATAATATGTTGAAGTTACAAGGAGGCAGGTTTCAATTGGTTAAAAACAATGACATTCAGACATTGCAACTGCATTTGTTAGCGGTTATTACAGAGTTAATTTCTACCCTGGATGGGAGGACACATTTGAACATGCTAGGCCTGGATGCAGACCCTGAGACAAAAGGTTGAACAAGTAATTCATTTGGAAGGAAATACCTCAGTATCCTTCCAATAATTTCTCCTCTTAGCTTAAGCTAGTATGGAGTTAGATTCCTACCGCTTATGTATCACCATGCCCCCTTCCTAAATAATACAGAGGATATGGTCAGCATTATCACATATCATCAGAGATTGAGGTTTGAAAGAAAGGAAATGAGTAGATGTAACTAAGAGGTTTGAGAAAGGAATTTCAGCAGAGTTATTGAAGGAGAAGTCAAGGAGAGGAGAAGGAGAGGAGCAGTGAATGTTGTCGTGAAGAGGTGTTGTCTTGAAATACTGTATTTTTTTCCTCCTTTTCTTTTCTGAACATTCTTGTGCTGACCTTTCCTCTAGTCCAACAGAGGCATTCACAATTGCCTGTGGAGAATTAGGATTGTCGCAGCAGGTCAGCAAGGAGAAAGTCATTTTTAAGATTAAATTTTTAAAAATGTTTTGAAACTTCCAAAATAAGTTCTTGAACACCTATGGAGAGGCTTTGAGGAAAGTTAAGGGAATGATTTTATACCACAAAAATAAATGGAAAAAGAATAAAGACTGTGAGAATTCCATCTTCCTGCCCTTTCCTGTGCCTCAGATCAGGTGAGGGTCATCTGGGTTAGAAGGGGATAGAGCCTTGGAGGAGGCAGAGGGCAGAAAGCATTGCTGAGATTAGAGTCATTTGGCCCTCAGAAGGAACAGACAAAGAGAAGGAAATTGGCTGGTGCATTAATCATCACTAGCTTCAGGGAGCTATGTGGAGGCCAAGGCACATCCTACAGATCATCGCTTACCACTCATGAGGACGCTACAAGTTACCTGGGCAGAGAAGGTGCCTGAGAATATTTCCTAATCGTTTTGAGAAGTGCCTTCCTGTGACATCTTATGTATTTCCTAATTGATCAAAAGTAGTGCTGCTTCTCTAAGCCCTGAGATTTAATGAGCCCCATTCAAACTGTTATTAATGTAACCTTCTTTCCCAGTGCAGGATGACTTGTAATCACCTTGAAAGAGAAGGAGGGTTCTTCGTATTCAGGTAGGGTATGGTAGGGATGTGGAGTGCCAAGCAGGAAATCTGACAAGTGACCCCCGGAACTTTGGATTACCTAGCAACTAGCCAGGTAACTGGCTAATCTGATTGAGGGTTGCCCTCTTTGCTGGGCAGATCATGGCTAATCTCAGCTTCACATGAGTCTTGTGAACCATCTAGTTGTTTTGTAACTGCTAAGAGCTGCAAGTGCTGAGCAGCTGGTTTATACAGCATTCCCTGAAACAGCCTAGTATGTGTCCATTTATGTGCCCGGCTTATTATGTGTCCACTTATGTGTCCAATTAGTAATCACTTTTTCTTTCGGTCAAGGTATGTGTATTAATCAATATTTTTTGAACCCGTCCTGTCTCAGTCTGTTTTATGCTGTTATAACAGAATATCACCAACTGGGTAATTTATAATGAGCATAAATTTATTTGGCTGCTGGTTCTGAAGGCTGGGAAGTCCATGAGCATGGTGCTGGCATCTGGCAGGGCCTTCATGCTGCATCATCCTATGGCAAAACGTGGAAGGGCAAGAGAGAGCAAGAGGAAGCAGGGGCTGAACTCGTTTTTATAACAAAAGCACCCTCATGATAACTAACCCATTCCCGTTACAACAACACAATCCATTCATAGCAGCAGAGACCTCATGTCCTAATCACTTCTTATGAAGGCTTGCCTCCCAACACGTGCATTGGAGGTTAAGTTTCCAACACATGAACTTTGGGAAACACATGCAAACCACGGCACCATGGTTTATCATTATTCTGTATTTTCTTTATGTTCCTATTCACATTTCTTATACACACATACTCACCCACCACAGGCATTTGGATTATTTGGAGATAATACACACATACTCACACATAATACACACAAACTTACTCACTTATACACACATACTCACCCACCACAGGCATTTGGATTATTTTCACAGCATAATAGCTAGTGGAAGTGGTCATCATCATAAACTTGAAGAAAACTTAAGATATTGCATACTTTGGGCACAAGATGAAGTGGGTATTCAGGGGTATCCAATACTTCTCTTTCTCTTCTCTGAAGTAGAGCGGATAGACAAAGAAGAGAAGAGAAAAGAAAAGGGGAGGCAGGAGAGATAGAAAGAGAGAGATAAATTGGGCCATTCTTAGTATGGGATTGGCAGAACTGAGTAGCCATACCAGTCCACTGAGATTTTTCTTCCTTGATGGACTAGTTAAAGCGTACTCAATACTTGTGTTAGAAACAGAATGGCTTGTTTCTTTCTCAGAACACTAAGCCAGAAAAGCGACATCAGTAGGAGGCAATTTCCATTAATGTCTGAGAAAACAGGTTTATGCCTGCCTTTCAATTACCTTGGACTTTCAGGCCATTCACACATTTGTGGACGAGAAAGCTGATGCCATGATAGGAGCCCCTGCTGTGACAACCAAAGCACCTACAATTTGTCTTTTTATTTATTCCTGTCAGGCTGTGAAGGCAAAGCTCTAGATTTACATTCAAGATATCAATCACATAGAAAAATTTGCTTCCTCAGCCAGGGGTTAACAAGACCAGATGGAAAGACTGCCGTTGTTTGAAAGGGGTGGGCTGGAGGTGAGAAGGTGGGCAAGAGAAGAAAACATGAAAATGTTCTTTTCAATTCATAGGCTGAGGACAATTTCCTGTGAAAAGACAAACATAGGAACTGCTCTGTTATCACTGTTATTTCCATGCATCTCTATGAGAGGAGACTTGCACTGAATTCCAGGGAAGGGGACTTAGTTATACGGCAGATCAATGATGTCCAAGACAGAGAAACATTGACTGAAAAACGAAGCACATGCGATGTTGGCTTGAGGGTCTATTACAAAATAATCAGCTGCCCTAGTCAACTGGGAACACAGAGAGGTCAAGGAATTTTCAGCAACAGTAAAATATAATTTTCTTATTAAAGAAAAAGTTTTGCCTGGCATCCCTAAGAGAAAATGGATTAACATGAAAGGCTTAGGATTGGTGTATCATTAGGCCATATACAACCCACGTGTGCATTATGACAGTATTTAATAAGGGGCCACAACTGAACTCTAAGTCCAGAAACTCTTTTTTGCACAGGTAGCACCAAGAGCAACTCCTGAAGTCAGGCATTATATAAAGCTGTATTCAAGCCCACTGACTGGACCCCCTTGTGACCCTATAGAATTAAGCAGCTTTGGTATGATGATAATGAGCCTTCCAAAGTATCTTGAGTCTCTTAATAATGTAATGATTGGCTGTTTAGCATGGACATGGGCACAGATTCATTAAATGTGGCAGAGAAAGGCACTTTTGAGGAAATCTGGTTCCCAAATCCCCTATAGCTTGGTGAAAATAGTGACTTATCCTCATTGCTCAGTACACTGGCTGTATATGCTCAATAAAATGTCCATTTTACAGTCACTTTCCACAGTCTCACAGCTAGTTAGCAGAAAGTCTAGTCTTAAAAAATCTCTTTATCTCCCAGAGTAGAGCTCATCCTGTTTCACTCTAGCACTGGCCCCTTTACTGTCTTGTAGACCTTGCGGATATTGTATGCTAGTCGTGTCTTGCCAGACAGCAGCATAGTTAAATGAGTCGTGTAGGGGTGGTTTCTTGCTATAGCTAGAGTGCTAGTATTATGAAATGTCAGCATAGACTTAAATAGGCAAGACATTTCTTTTGTTCCATGAGTAGTATGATCCTCCTAATTATCTTCCTTCCTTGTTTTGAATATAGATGGAGGTTTCCTGTAACCTTCCCTGTGGAGCATTGATTGAGGGTAGGGAAGTTGAAAATTGTGGTAGACAAGGAGCCAGAAGGCTTAAGGAGGAAGCTTAGCAATTACTGAGATCTAAACAATGTTGACAAATAGGCCTAAGTTTTGGAAAAGTTGATCTTGGGACTTTGGCTTATGAAGAGACTGCTAGTCCTGCTTCTAACAGTGGAGGTGACTGGAGCTAACAGTTCTTTTGGATGTATACTGGGAATTATAATCTTGCAATAAACATTCTTTCCAATTTAGATGGGAGAAAGGAGGGGACTGTCTTAGTTGGTTCAGGTCTCTATAACAGAATACCACAGACTGGGTGGCTTAAACAACATTTATTTTTCACAGTTCTGTAGGCTGGAAAGTCCAAGATGACAAATTTAGTGTCTATCAGGGGCCTGCTTCCTAGTTTGCAGATGGCCACCTTTTCTCTGTGTCCTCACATGGTGGACAAAGAGGGAGCTCTGGTCTCTTACTCTCCTTATCAGGGCACTAACATCATCAAAAGGGCCCCACCCTCATGACCTCATCTATACCTAATATCCCCCAAAGAATCTACCTCCAAATACCATTGCATTGGGAATTAAAGCTTTAACATATGAATGGGTGGGGTGACACAAATATTCAGTCTGTAGTAGAGACTGTGAACTGGTGTGATTTTTTGGGTGAAACTGTTGCTTCATTCAGTGGGTTTCTGAGGAATTTTGCTTCAAAAGCTTGCCCTTTGGCAATCCTGGCAAGTAATGCAAAGAGATCAAACTAAATTTATAAATCAGATATATTGTGTCTGCAGATGCTGGGGAGACACTTTTCTCTCATATTGAAATAGCAGTGCCTCAAAGATCTAATACAGGAGCTCAGCAACGTAGGCTGGAATTACCATCTCTTCTGAGACAGAACACTGGTCCTCAATCTTCAGATGTGTAATGCAAAGACTTGAATACCAGAAAAGAGCAATGTTAACATTTAAAGCTAAAACTTCAGTAGTGCTTATCATGTGCCAGTAAATGCTGCTAGTTGCCTAGTTCCTTGCTTCTTATGAGTGGTTGATCAGAAATATCCAATGCAGATATTTCGTTTATCTCTATTACCAGTTCATGCCATGGTGTGTAAGTGCTTTCTTTACTACTGGAAATAGAGTCATTAGCATCTTTAAACTCAGATCCAAATCAGAAAACTTGTCCTTGAAATTCTGTTTCTCTAGAACCACTCTCAGTACATAAATCTTTATTAGGGTTCTTCAGAAAAACAGAACCAGTCGGATAGATATAGATATATGATATCATATATATCCTAAAGGATATATATATATAAAATATATATTTATATAATTTATTAAGTTTTTAATATTTTCTATTTTTGTCCTCATTGTCTTGAGCATATGGAGCACATTTTTAATAGCATTACAAGTTTTAATATATTAATTCAATCAATTTTGGCATTTATGGGTCCATTTCAATTATTTTTAAAAAGTTTCTTTTGGTTAATATTATTTCTTTTTTGAATGACTTACAATTTTTTGACAAATTTTACATTGTTTCATGCTGGATTTGATCCTAATGCACAGCTAACTTACGTAGAATAGGTTAAATCTTTTAGTGCAATCAAAAGCTACCATTAATCTAGAGTTTATATTATGTCCTTCCATTCTGGTTGGTACGAAATGATCCCTCCTTATGTGAATTTTAGGAATTGTTAGGCTTTCTGGTTTCTGGTACTTCTCTCCCTCACTTGTACACAGCTCAGCTTCCAGTCAGCACTCAGCATAGATCAGCAACGGTCCCACTCTGCTGAGCTCCAGAGCTCTCATTCCTCCTTGTGCAGCTCCTTTGTCTCAGGCAATTTACTCTATAAATTCTAATGCCTTGACTCCCCAAACTGAGGTTTTAGTTCTTCAATTCAGTGAAGCCAATGGACACTGTTTGAAATCCACCTACCTGTGCAGTGGCCTGGAAATCGCCACCGGGAAGTAAGCCGTGGCAAGTCTAAGTCTCACCTCATTTGTTTCCCTTCTCTTGGGGGTCATAATCCTTCAATGACTTTTGTCAAATGTTTAAAAACCATTGACTTTCATTTTTTTCCAGTTGATTAAGGTGGAAGAGGAAATCTAATTCCTGTCACTCCATAATGGTCAAAAGCAGAAATTTCTTAAATATAATAGCATTTAAAATAAGCCTCTCATTCAAGTCCAGACATGAACTGCATGGCGGTCTGCTTCACAAAAGTGGAATGCAACATCACTGAGGGTATTTTTTTTTATTTGTTTATTTTTGAGACAGTTTTGCTCTGTCACCCAGGTTGGAATGCAGTGGTGTCATCATGGCTCACTGCAGCCTCGACCTCCTGGGCTCCGGTGATTTTCTCACCTCAGCCTCCTGAGTAGCTGGGACTATGGGTGCGTGCCACCATGGCCAGCTAACTTTTTAAATTTTTGGTGGAGATGGGGGTCTCATTATGTTGTCTAGGTTGGCCTTGAACTCCTGGGCTCCAGCAGTCCTCCCGTCTTGGCCTCCCAAAAGGCTAGGATTATAGGTGTGAGCCACCGCCCCCGGCTTCTGAGGGTATTTTCTTATTTCCATGCTGTGCAATTTTGGGAACAAGCACCTATCTTGGGAAAGAAGCAGCTTCATTTTATTATCCTAGTCATTTAAGCTTAAATTCTCAGTTTTCTTTGATTCACCCCTTTAAATCTTCCAAGCAAAATTATCTCTGTCATTTCTTTTTTCTTTTTCCTTTTTTTTTTTTGAGATAGAGTTTTGTTCTTGTTGCCCAGGCTGGAGAGCAATGGTGCAATCTCGGCTCACTGCAACCTGTGCCTCCCTGGTTCAAGTGATTCTCCTGCCTCAGCCTCCTGAGTAACTGGGATTATTACAGGCATGTGTCACCATGCCTGGCTAATTTTGTATTTTTAGTAGACATAGGGTTTCTCCATGTTGGCCAGGCTGGTCTCAAACTCCTGACCTCAGGTGATCCGCCTGCCTCTGTCTCCCAAAGTGCTGGGATTACAGGTGTGAGCCACTGTGCCTGGCCACCTCTGTCATTTCTTTATATATTTCCTTAGTCTAAAAACCTATCAGCTAGTGTCTGATTTACCAGTTTATCTACTCTGTTAATCATGTCCTACAGCGCTGATTTTATCATTTTACTATATTGATCAAGAACCCCTTTTAGTTGCCCACTGTCTTCTGAATAAAGATTAACTCAATTTGTCATTCAACGTTTGGTCCCTTTGCTATTTGGTCATCTTTATCTCTTAATAAAACTTTTCTGCTATTGTCGAAAGGGCTTCATTCTGTCCTCTGTTGAATGTAACAGATCAGGAAACTGCCACCATCAAGCCCTGCCCACAGGCCTATCTGCCCCATCCACAGGGCAGGCACATTCCCACTGTTTCAACCCTGAGCACAGCCTCTGAGGATTGGATAATGAATGGTTTTCTTATGATTCCACTGGAAGCAGAGTAAAGGTAGATTCAAACACCCGCTATTCTCTTTGAAAAATTGAAAAAGTCCTAGTTAACCTGTACTGCAGGCTAATAAGCAGTTTCCCAGGCTCTCCATCTCCAAGATAGAGCCTCTTTTGACCACTGTGCAGTTAAGAAAGTTCTAGGGTATTGACTATTTTAATCCTCAGACCCAGAATATTTGGAGGTAGTGGTAGGTAATGTAAGAGAAGGGATTTCTTATCTTGTGTTTTTCAGTGGCTCCCAAATTGAAAAAGAAGCTATGAGTCACATATATTTGGAAAGTTATATTCCCCAAATTTATCTTGCCTTTAGGATAACCACATAACTCAATAAATAAAATCCAGGACAGTTCATCCAGAAGGAATACAAATAAGTAAGGATGTTTTTGTTGGATAAAGAAAGTCTGACAAAGTAGAGGTAGAAAGCAAGTGTCCTTTTTTCAGGTCATGACTTGGTGATTTTTTACACACACAGACACACACATGTACACACACACACAAACACACACACACATACATTCTTGTAATGAATTCCACTGTCCCTCCCTCATGTTCCTCGACTCTGTCACATTTTCTGCTTGTCATGGTTTAAGGGATACCAGCAATGCATAAGAAAGAGAAATCTGAAGAAATGATAATTCCCAGGCTGCAGCTACATAAAACTGTTATCAGAAAGTTTTTCTCTGCCAGGCTCCTGATGAGCTCACAGGTTACTAGCCCTTCTAATTGACTACGCATTCTCTATTTCTATACTCAGGAAATCTGAAGGATGATGGTGGGGTTGGAGACTAACTCAAGTAAGAGTAAAAACCATTAGAAAACTTTGCTCTAATTTTAGAGCCTGGTGAGTGCTTCAGAAGTGCCTCTTTCTGTACTTTATCCTTTGAAACAGTGGCAGTAACTGGGACAACTCCAGTTGAGCAATTTCTCTGGCTTCTTTCACTGGAAGCCTATTTGTTTCTTCCTGTCTGTGATCTTTGTTCTTCTTTTTTTCTGGTAAAACTGCCTCCATGGCAGGGTCAGCCAAACTAAACAGGCCTGATTTACCAGCAGAACACTGGCTTCCACTGTTGGGTTAAAGGGCAGAGTTCTGAGTAGCAAAATAATATGATTCAGAGTTCTTCAAAGCAGTGCTTAGCCACTAGGCAGTCCATGAACATTACAAAATCTCCATCCTAAAGTAAACAAAAATTGAAAAATGATTATATGTGCAACTAATAGTGAGAAAAACAACAGGAGTGAGACTAAAAGAAATCTGTAATTTCTTCAAGAATACTTGAACATGCTTTTCCTCTACAACTCTATTTCCCTGAGACTCTCAAGTAGACTGTATTAGTCCCTTCTCACACTGCTATGAAGAAATACCCAAGACTGGGTAATTTATAAAGGAAAGAGGTTTAATTGGCTCACAGCTCTGCATGGCTGGGAAGGATTCAGAAAACTTACAATCGTGGTGGAAGGGGAAGAAAACACATTCTTCTTCACATGGCAGCCGGAGAAAGAAGTGCTGAGAAAAGCGGGAAAAGCCCCTTATAAAACCATCACATCTCATAAGAACTCACTTACTATCATGAGAACAGCATGAGGGTCATTACCCCCATAAGAACTCACTCGCTATCATGAGAACAGCATGAGGGTCGTTGCCCCCATCATTCATTTAGCTCCCATCAGGTCCCTCCCATGATGTGAGGATTATGGGAACTACAATTCAAGATGAGATTTGGGTGAGGACACAGCCAAGCCGTATTATTCTACCCCTGGCCTGTCCCAAATCTCATGTCCTCACATAAAATACAATCATATCTTTCCAACAGTCCTATCAAGTCTTAACTCATTCCAGCATTAGCTCAAAAGTCCAAGTCCAAAGTCTCATCTGAGACAAGGCAAGTCCCTTCTGCCTATAAGCCTGTAAAATCAAAAGCAATTTAGCTACTTTGTAGATACAATGGAGGTACAGGCATTGGGTAAATACACCCATTCAAAATGAGAGAAATTGACCAAAACAAAGAGGCTACAGGCCCCATGCAAATCTGAAATCCAATAGGGCAGTCATTAAAACTTAAGGTTTCAAAATCATCTTCTTTGACTCCATGTCTCACATTCAGGGCATGCTGATGCAAGAGGTGGGCTCCCATGGCCTTAGGCTGCTCTGCCTCTGTGGCTTTGTGGGGTACAGCCCCCCTTCCTGGCTGCTTTTATGGGCTGACATTGAGTGTCTGCAGCTTTTCCAGGTGCATGGTGCAAGATGTTAGTGGATCTACCATTCTGGGGTTTGGAGGACAGTGGCCCTCTTTTCACAGCTCCACTAGGCAGTACCCCAGTGGGGACTCTGTATGGGGGCTCTGACCTCACATTTCCCTTCTGCACTGCCCTAGCAGAGATTCTTCATGAGAGCTTTGCCCCTGAAGCAAACTTCTGCCTGGACATCCAGGTATTTCCATACATCCTCTGAAATCGAGGCAGAGGTTCCCAAACCTTAATTCTTGACATCTGTTGACCTGCAAGCCCAACACCACATGTAAGCCACCAAGGCTTGGGGCTTGCACACTCTGAAGCAACGACCTGAGCTGTACATTGGCCCCTTTTAGCCATGGTTGGAGCTGAAGCAGCTGGGATGCAGGGAACCCTGTCTTGAGGCTGCACAGAGCAGGGTGGCCCTGGGCCCTGTCCATGAAACCATTTTTCCCTCCTACGCCTCCAGGTCTGTGATGGAAGGGGCTGCCATGAAGGTCTCTGATATGTCCTGGAGACATATTCCCCATTGTCTTGGTGATTAAAATTCAGCTCCTTTTTACTTATGCAAATTTCTGCAGCCAGCTTGAATTTCTTCCCAGAAAATAGGATTTCCTTTTCTATCGCATCATCAGGCTGCAAATTTTCCAAACTTTATGTTCTGCTTTTTATTGAATGCTTTGCCACTTAGAAATTTCTTCCTCCAGATACCGTAAATAATCTCTCTCAAGTTCAAAGTTTCACAGATCTCTAGGTCAGGGGCAAAATGCTGCCAGTATCTGCATAGCAAGAGTCACCTTTGCTCCAGTTCCCAACAAGTTCCTCATCTCCATCTGAGACCACCTCAGCCTGGACTTCATTACCCATATCACTGGTCAGCATTTTAGTCAAAGCCATTTAACAAGTCTCTAGGAAGTTCCAAACTTTCCCACATTTTCCTGTCTTCTTCTGAGCCCTCTAAACTGTTCTAACCTCTGCCTTTTACCCAGTTCCAAAGTCGCTTTCCCATTTTTAGGTATCTTTACAACAGCAACCCACTCTCTGCAGTACAAATTTACTGTATTAGTCCCTTCACATGCTGCTGTGAAGAAATACCCAAGGCCGGGTAATTTATAAAGGAAAAAGGTTTAATCGACTCACAGTTCTGCATGGCTGAAAAGGCCTCAGGAAACTTACAATTACCACGGGAGGGGAAGCAAAAACGTCCTTCTTCACAAGGCAGCAGGAGAGAGAAGCGCTGAGCAAAGGGAGAAAAGCTTCTTATAAAACCGTAAGATCTTGTGAGAACTCACTCACTGTCACAAGAACAGCATGAGGGTAACTGCGCCATCATTCAATTACTTTCCACTGGGTCCCTCCCATGACATGTGGGGATTATGGGAACTATAATTCAAGATGATATTTGTGTGAGGACACAGCCAAACCATATCAGGGACTTTCTCACTTGAGTAACCTGCCTGTGTTTGAACTATAGAAATGAACCACAGAGGGCCCTGGGGGACTGACTGGGAAGAGAAGTATCAAGGAGGACTAGTGACAACTCTCTGAGGGGGAATGGTAGGAATATTTGTTGGGGATGAAAAAGAGATCTAAATGTGTCTCCTGTTACAAAGCCTGACTGTGGTGTACTGTATGTTATGAGAGCAAGTAAGAAGACTTTGATGGGGTCTGGCAAGAGAAACAACTATGAAACAGGCAGAGCAGGAGCAGCAGATGCTGAGCTGAGGTCTCCTGAATTAGAGGGGCCACCTCATCTTCAGTCTCCTATGAAGGGCAGCAATATTCACAGGGCCAGGAATATGGCCACATGGGGCTGAGATCATCAGCTGGGTTTATATACCAACCATTGAGTTTATGCTAATATTTGTGATTATAATGATAAATTTGCTAATATCATAATATTTATATTGCATAGTTAACAATATAAATATTGATTAAACAATGATTCTGTGCCGGGCTTCTAAATGCTTTACTTGGGCTATAGTATGAATGTTTGTGTTTCTCCCTAATTCATTTGTTGAAACCTAGTGCCCAAGGTGATGGTATTAAGAGATGGAGCCTTTGGAAGTTGATTAGGTTCCACCCTCATGAATGGGATTAGTGCCCTTATAATAGAGGCCTGAGGAAGTTTGTCTGCCTCTTCCACCATGTGAGGACACAGCGAGAAGGAACACAGAAAGAAGGAACATATGAAGAATGAGCCCTCACCGACACCAAATCTACTGGCACCTTGATCTTGGACTTCTCAGTCCCAGAACTGTAAACATAAATTCTGTGGCTTGCAGATTACTAAGATATTTTGTCTCAGCATCCTGAATGGACTAACATATTTAGTCAGATAATAATAATCAAATTATTATCCTGATCTTACAGTTGTGGAAATTGAAGTACAGAGAGGTTAAGTGGTTTTTCGAAGTCAAATGGCTAGTAAGTGGTGGAACCAGGATTTGTGAGAAAGAGAGTCTTAGAACAAGGTGAATCTAAGATAAGGGTTTAGACAGTTAAAGGTTTCAGAGGCAATGTGTGTTTTGTGTGGCCATTCTACCTACTTTCGATCAATCAATCTATGAGAAAGGCCCTATGCTGCATGCCAGGAAGGGGGCTGTGGTGGAGATATACAAATACCCAACAAATTCCTATGTGAGTGAATTTACACTCCTGTCGAGGATGTCCTATAGTTCTGTAGTGGCTCAACCCAAATTCTATTAATACTTTTTGCCCTACATTCTGAAACTGTCCTGTGAAATACCATAATTACTAGCTATACATGACTATTTAAATTTCTGTTAATTAAAATTAATTAAATATTAGGTTTGATTTTTAAAAATTGATAAATAATAAAATAATTAAAATTAGATAAAATTAAAAATTGAATTCCTCAACTACCTACATTTCAAATGCTCAGTTGATACACATGGCTAGTGACTACCATGTTGGTCACTAAAGAAAGAAAAAATGATTTCCATCGTTGCAGAAGTTATATTGGATAGCACTATTTCACAACGTCATTTGACTTAAAATAATCTGCCAAAAGAGGTCAACTAAACCCATGTCTTTTGCCTTCTTTTTTTTTGCTCTGTTTCACATATGTTGTGCTTGGGAATAGCTTCTGACTCCACTAAGAAGTTAATGAAAGCCATTACCCAGAAAATGCACCTATGCGATTCTATACAGAAATTCGTATACAACTTTGCTAGGATCATGGACTCTCTGTGTAACAGTTACCTACTGGTGCCTAGCAAATTACCTCAAAACCCAGTGGCTTAAAACACTAAAGTTTTATTATCTCACACAGTTTCATGGTTCAGGAATTTGGGAATAGCTTGGTTAATGATTCTGGTTAAAGATTCTCATTAGATTTTGCTTGAATTGCTAGATTTTGCTAATAAAAATACAAGATGCTCAGCTAAATTTGAATTCATGATAAACAAGAAATAGTTTTTTAGTGTAATATATAACTAGGATATATTTTTACCAAAAAATTCAACATTTATCTGAAATTCAAATTTAGCTGGGCAGGTGTATTTTATCTCACACTCCTAGGTTTCAGTCAATGTGTGAGTGAGCTGGGGTTTCAGTCGTCTGTAGACTAATGGGCTCTTGGGTCCATTCCGGAGATGATTCACTTACACGCCTTGCAGCTCAGTGCTCATTGTTTGCAGGAGTTTTTTGCTACCTGGACCTCTCCACAGGGCTGCTTGAGTGTCCTTAGGACACATCAGCTAGCTTCTTCCAGAATGAATGAATCAAGAGAATGCACTATTACTTATGACCTTGTCTTCCAAGTCATAGTCCATCATTTCTGAAATATTGTATTGGTTGCACAGGTCAGTTTTATTCATTGTAGGAGGGGACTTCCCAGGGGCATGAATACCAGGAAGCAGGAATCACTGGGGCTATCTGGGAGGCTGGCTCCATTTCTTGGAATTTATACATAGATTTTATAGAATATGAGCACCCTGAAGGCACAATTTTTCTATTTTCCCTCCCTGTTGTAGTTCCAGTGGCTATAACAATGCCTTATAAAACTGTAGGCATTCAATAAATATTTGTTAAATGAATAAAGAAATGGACTCCTAGTCCATAATCTCTTACCCAAAAGATTCTACTGCTCCCTAGGTTTTGTAGAAACAAAGATGTTTCCCCAAACAGCTTGGAGATGAAGATATTAGAATATAAGTAATAAAAATTTGCACGGACATTCTAAAGTAATATATTAATAATGGTGCTAATAAATGATCATGATGGTGCTTTTAAATGAGTGCCAGTATCTGTGTTAGAAACTTCTTTTTAGGGCTGGGGGCAGTGGCTTATGCCTGTAATCTCAGCACTTTGGGAGGCCACGGCAGATGGATCACCTGAGGTCAGGAGTTCAAGACCAGCCTGACCAACATGGTGAAACCCTGTTTCTACTAAAATATACAAAAATTAGCTAGGTGTGTGGTGGTGGGCCCCTGTAATCCCAGCTACTCAGGTGGCTGGGGCAGGAGAATTGCTTGAATCTGGGAGGTGGAGGTTGCAGTAAGCCGAGATCGCACCATTGCATTCCAGTCTGGGTGACGGAGAGAGACTCTGTCTCAAAAAAAAAAAAAAAAAAGAAACTTGTTTTTAGGTATGTAATTTCATGTATGTAACCTTTCACTTATGCATTGTGAAAAACAAGAAAGAATAATAATCCAGATACTATGAAGAAATGAACGCACTCACACACACACACACACGTGCTTGTGTGCGTGCATATGCACTGTTGTTCTGGGATAAAAGTAGAAAGGAAATGATGATATTTAATAGAATGCCAGACAGGTTCTTTTGTAGAAAAGTACCTGGCATACTCTTGACACATAAATTACAACCTGGGAGAGAATAGGCAGGTTAAAGTTTATCATAAGACTGATTTTAAAAAGAGGAGTGTGGGTAGTAATTCAAAGCTGGCAAAGATCTGAGAGGAAAGGGCTACATGCGGAAAATAACAGTGGACCTCTTTTTAGTGGCAGCAGAATTATGTGGGTCAAATTCTGCCGCTTTTTGATATCTGCTGGGACTTACTTTCTCAAGACAGAGGGCTAACCTAGGCAAAGCCATGTGGCTGTCACGATCCAAATCACAGGTTATCCCTGAAGTGAACTTGTGGGATTTGCTTTTTGCTAATGGAAGCCACCAAGGAGATTCTAGAGAGGAAGAAATATACCACCACTTCTATATCCCCATCGTAGGCAGCATCTCTTTCCTCAAGATGCTCCAAGTTTGTGAGGTAATAGGATGAAGACAGGAGTCAGATATAGGAAAAGCCAGCAGTTTATTTCTTGATGGCTTACAGAGGAATGCTTGTCTCTTTACACCTTCTCAGGAGGGTTTGCAAAGCAGCCTCAGCTGCTCTCTGGACACTAATACACGGATCTTGACGAAGTGCTTGGAGTCCTGAAATGGCAAGAATAGCAAATAAGTGGAGGAGGAGAGTCAGAGCCCAGCAAGAAGGGCAAACCAAGCCAAGGCCCAACTTTTTAGCACTGAGGGTCAGACCCAAGTGGGGCTCAGGTCCTCATGCTCACATTTTATCCTAAAAGGTAGGATGTGGAACTACAAGAAATGATTTTAACATTGAAATAAGGGAAGAGAAGGCCCTGACCTTGTGATCAGTAGGTTTAGGCAATTGGAAAATCGTAGTCTATTGGTGTTTCTGATGCCTGCAAAGGGCTGGAGCTGGAGATTGCTTTGTACCCTGGAGAAATTCTAGTGTCTAGAGAGCATCAGAGACAATAATTGGTACTAAGATTTTCAAGTTCTGGGCTGACGTGGAACTTAGAACAGCAATATTTTCTCTTTTCCTAAGAATGTAACAATATGCTGGGAAGAAACTAGGTTGGTACTCACGTGTGGTCAGTTGTTCTCTGTCTAGTAACTCCACATATTGGCTGGTCAAATTGAGAACAACGGCATCTAAAGTTAATAGGAGACCATGTTACTGATTTCATTATAGAGGAAGAAGCCATGAAAAGTATAGCAGGTTAGACTCTGCACCTGGTGAGAAGGTAAATGGTAGGCTGGTGAATGAGCAAACTATATGACTTCCTTTGCACCCCCTAGAATGATGTCAGGGTGACTTCTATTGGGTCCCGAGTGCCATGTCTGCAAGTAGTCACTTATCCAGAGTATTTGGCAGAGTTCACACAATGATCTTCTAAGGAGGCTAGTTGTTGTTGGGATTTCAAATGTGTGTAAGATAGGGTCTCTGTCTTCAAAAATTTCATAATGTGTTGGTGGGGGGATCATATGTATGATTCAAGAAGGAATCTTCAGATTTTTAATTTGGCCTTAAAGGTGGTGAAGGGAGTGGGCCTGTTGTCTGTGGGCTGAATTAGTTGGAACAGGCTTCAAAGTAAGACTTAGAATTTCATGATAGAAGGATCTCTAGAGATTTACTTATGTTTTATTTTATACATCAGACAGAGAGGTAACATAAAGTTAAGTCAATTTCCAGAATCACATAGCAGAGCCAGGGGCTGCTGGCCCCCACATGAACATACTTCCCACTTGTATCATGTTGCCAAAGCTCTCAGCTTGAACTGAGCTTTGGATGTTGAGTATGGGTTATCTTATGGGATGAGGTGAAGAAGTGTTTATGTAAGGGCAGCAGCTGGGAGCAAAGATCTGGGGAAAAGAAGGAGCAAGGACTTGGAGCCAGAAGGAGCATGAAGGGCTCAGATGGGAGGAGAATGAGTGTAGGTGAGTCAGGAGAGGTTATGAGTTTTCACTGCAAAAGGAAGCAGGTTTCTTTGAGGGAGGATGTTACATGACGTAAGATAAAAGCCCTTTCTGGGCTTTAATAAAAAAGTTATACCAGTCCTACTAGTGTTCATACTGGACAGCTTCTGGTCAAAGCAAAACTAGGTGGAAAAAGCAGACATATCTGGGTAGGAAATGGGGATGTGTACTCACCTGTGAGTTTGACAGCTGCACTCCTGATCACCTCCCAGGTGCTGGTGAAGAAGGTGAAGGAGTGTGTGTGGAGGATCCACAGAATTTCCTGGTTTTTCTTGGCCTAGAAGAGATGTGAATTTCAAAGAGGGCAACTGGAAAGTGAACCTTTGTGACATTTGGCATCCTATAGGTCCTCAGAACGGATTTGTAAAGGCCAGTGAGCACTCACACAGCCATAAATTAATTGGCTGAAAATTGTCTTATGGGTATTTTGATCTACATTTAATCAGGAAGCCATCAGAGTTTAAGGGATTAATCAACAGATATGAATTTTAGGAACCAAGGAGAATATATCCCAGTCAGGACTTGGGAATGGAGCAGAGGGTCCTGTGGCAGGATACCTCTATGTCACTATATCCTGTGAAATCAGGATATCACTGCCATCCTTCCAAGGCAGTTCTGGCTCTGGCCAGAAATTCCTTGCTACATTGTTTGCCCTTCTGCGATTTGTCTAGACCCTTGTCCTGCCTTTTTTGGAGGCGGCATCTATTGGACACTCACCAGTTTCACACAGAATTGCCTGTAGAAATCCCTGGCCCTTGGTAGATCCTGATCAAGGAGACGGTCTAATACCCCATAGAGCTCCTGGAGGCCCAAAAAGGGAATGCAGACCATCAAGACATCACGGCAAGCCTGGAAAACAGAGTTTTCTGCATCACAGTCCAGAACGTTAGGATCTCCTTCCAGAAGGGAAAAAATGCTGAATAGTACTGGGAAAGAAGCACTAAAAGTCAGTGGTGTGAATGGCTTTATAGTCATTGCTGGCACCTTCCCAGTTTCAAGGAAGAGTAAGCTTGGGAAGAGATAGTAAGAAGAACCTAGAATTGGAGAAGAGGTTTTCAGGTTCAGCGCTAAGGGGTGACTTTAGATCTGGCTCCTGGTGCAGCTAGACCAGGCTTATTGGTACTTCTCAGCCATGGGGAGAGCAGGAGGTGCAGGTGTCTGTGGAGAGCACTTACAACTCCAATCTTGGGGTTGGGATCCCAAAGGTGCAGAAGGAATGAAATCAGGCTCTTTTTTATTTCTTCAGCAAAAAAAATCTTCCACCTTCTTCCTGTTAGGGGTGCCAGGTCCTCAAATAAGAAGATGGCAGTCAATCTCACATCATCCTGCTCCTGTGGTGACGAATGCATGTCGTGGTGAATATCCTCTCAGAGGCCATTCCCTGCTAGCACACTCTTGGCTCTCATCCCACCCTTCCCGCTTCAGCAAAAGAAGGCTGGAACCCAGGCACTTGTCCATCATAGTCACGGCCTCTAAATGTTCCAAGAACTTGCTTTCTTTCCCTGAAGCTTTCTCTCCATACTACATGAGTTTAAAAAACCCTGGGTCTGGGGTTTATGTGATGCCAGAGAATTGATTTCTGTCTTTGAGTAGCCAGTGGGGAAGTGTGACCAGGACCACAGGAATGATACACAGGGGTACTCATAGAGAAAGCCAGGGAGGGTTTCTGCTTGTTATGTATTTTACTTGGTTGCGTTACTAGCCTAGAATTATGGGACCTCTAATCTTAATTGTCCAAGGCTTGGTACTATTCTCCATGACACCAAATATTTTCTAAAGGGATTACAGGCAGCTTGGGAATTTGGGCCTTGGTTCTCAGAGAGGTTAAACACAGAGGTGCCTAGCTCTACTCTTGAGTATGTGAAATTATGGAACTTCCTTGTTTTTGGTCCAGGATGGCAGGCGATGATTTTAGGAAGCCAAGAGAGGCCGGGTGCAGTGGCTCATGCCTGTAATCCCAGCACTTTGGGAGCAGAGGCAGGCAGATCACCTGAGGTCAAGAGTTTGAGACCAGCCTGGCCAAAATGGTGAAACCCTGTCTCTACTAAAAATATAAAAATTAGCCAGGCCTGGTGGCACGTGCCTGTAGTCACAGCTACAGCTACTTGGGAGGGTGAGGCGTGAGAATTGCTTGAATCTGAGAGGAGGAGGCTGCAGTGAGCCAAGATCGTGCCACTGCATTCCAGCCCGGGTGACAGAGCAGGACTCTGTCTCAAAAAAAGAAAGAAAAAAAAAAGAAAACAAGAGAAAGGTGGTGGTGGAGGAAGATGGCCTCCTATTACCTCATTGGAGTTACGTTTCAGAGTTCCGACAGGGAAGAAACGAAGTGAGATGAATTTCATGGAGGTTTTTTTATTTTTAGACCCAGAAAACTAGTTTAAAATACCCATATGAACAAAAAGGGATTAAAGAAAAAGCAGTCCTGAATAGCAGAATATTATTTAGATAAACAATAAAGTTAATATAGATCTTCTAAAAAATGATGGCTTGTTGGGAAGAGGCCAGAAAAGCTCAGATGTGACTTTGTATAATGAAAATGAAAGTAGAAACACATTTTTTAGATTTATTAGGAATAAGGTCAGGATACATTTTTTAAAAGATACCTCTTTAGAAAGAGGAAGCTAACCAAAAACAAGGTACCAAAAAGGTAGAGAGACATTTAGTTAAAAAAGCTTGAATTTTGCAAAATCAATGAGCTAATGATAGGTCCAGGAACAATCAACCAATCGAGATGATGAAAAATCAGAAAGAAAAAGTGGCAAAAGGATTTTGGGTGCTGGGAGAAATATTAGAGAACGTCTAGTCCAATGTCCTCATGTTCACTTGAGAACATGGAGTCACAGAGGGTAAAGCGATTGCTCAGGGTGACAGTGTGGGGAATAGTAGCAAGAAGGGAATGGAGCATGGGGCAGCAGCCACATTTTCTGTTCTACCATTTCATTCAAGTGTCACCATGTTTTGAAAAGTCTAAGAAAGTATTTAAATATTGAAAGAAACAAAGGAAGAAAACTTGGAGATTATAGAAAGCTATGCTTAATCTACATAAAAATATTGGGGCAATAGATCATAGAGTTAAATATACTTATGTAAAAATGGCATTACTGGAGAACAAATAAGAGTCAAAGTTTTGTCCAACTTTACTTTTATGCAAACGTGATGGAGTTGACACCTATTAGAGATGAGCAAGGTCTGAGCTAACAATCAGCAAGGCTTTAGCACATTTTATCCTTCTCTGATGACACTGGGCAACATTATCTTGACCACTAAATTGTTAAGTGGACTTGTGATTTACTGGAGGCTCAGATCTAAGAGAATTATTATTGGATCAACAACAATCCAGGAAACTTAACAGCTGGGGTTCTGAAGGGGTGACTTCAGCCCTGAACAACGAAGAAAAAGAATATCTTTGTTATTTTTACCCCAGTAAGCATTTTTGAGGACAAGATAATTAAAAATTGCTTTTTTTTTTTTTTTTGAGATGGAGTTTCACTCTTGTTGCCCAGGCTGGAGTGCAGTGGCATGATCTCGGCTCACTGCAACCTCTGCCTCCCGTGTTCAAGCGATTATCCTGTCTCAGTCTCCCTAGTAGCTGGGACTACAGGCGCGCACCGCCACACCCAGCTAATTTTTGTACTTTTACTACAGATGGGGTTTCACCATGTTGGCCAGGCTGGTCTCAAACTTCTGACCTCAGGTGATCCACCTGCCTCAGCCTCCCAAAGTGCTGGGATTACAGGCGTGAGCCACCATGCCTGGCCTAAAAGTGATATTGGTTAATTGGAGGAAATAGTTGGAAACAAGCAGAAAGATGTTTTCAAAGGCCAGGTCTAGGCTAGCACATAGACAAGAAAAACTGCAAAAATACGAAACTGAAGAATGCTGTGGGCATATATTACAGACTAAAATCTAGAGGTTCATATAGTTAGCATGCCAAAATCAGGAAGGGCAAAATTAAAAAAAATAATGGAGCAAAGAAATGGGAAAAGGTTGGATTTGAGAGGTAATATATCCTTAGATTCTATTCAATACTTCTTGAGCCTCATTTAGAGTTCCAACTCAGTCACAGGCTTGCAAAATATTTAATGAGCAGAAAAATTAGGTTTATGATGAATAATGAAAGAAATGAAGACTTCTCAAGTCTGCAGACTGTAAGGTAAATAGGTAATCAAATAAAGCCTTAATGTTTATGAAGAATGCACTAGAGAAGGCAACTAGCAGTTTTCCATCTCCTCTGACAATACTACATGAGGAAGCAGGTTTAGATTACAAAATAATAGGTTTAGGTTAAAAATAGATTTTTACATTGATGGCAATGAATAACCAAAAAATAAATACTAAAATGTGCTTCCTGGAAGGCATAGAGGAAAATGACCCTTCTCTGCCTAGGACTGCTGACTGATCTTTTTTGAAATTGCGATTATGGAGTACATCAAAAGCTGGCAAACGTTTTCTCTAAAAGGCCAGACAGTAAATAGTTTAAACTCTGTGGATCCTAAGATCTCTGTAACAGCCAATCAACCCTTTCTGAGGGGTGAGGAAACCGGGAAATTTATCTACAAACTCTTGTTTCTTATTGTTTGAGGGTCCTTCCTAGGGCATTTCTTCCCCCAACAATTCTGGCTCAACTAGCTTAGATCAATCATGACTGCCAGGCCATAGAGCACCCTCAGGCAGAGAGATACAGGAAGCCAACAGCTTGTATAGAGATTGTCTGCAGGTGACCTGTCTGGGGCAGGCCAAGGAATATGGGTGGGACACTGACAATGTCTTCTGTGAGCACTACCTAAACCTGTTTCTGTTCACTCACTTCTGGGGAGGGAAGTTCCTAAACAGGCTCACTTACATCTTCAAAGAAGGTCCTTGTTTGCAGCACTATTTCCTTGAAGTAGAAGCTCACGTCTCGGTCTGTCAGCAGCTCCAGGATTTTTTTTAGAGCCTTCAAGCTTTCACAGACGACTTCAGTGCGAGCTAGGTGATACAGGCCTCTGATGATAGATTCTAGCATTAACTGCTTATGTTTCTTCACCTATTTTGAAATAAGACCTCTTAATCTTGAAAATTGTTCTATGCGTATCTGGAAGAGGGTAGGAGTCCTCAGACAAGAGGACTGAAATTTTGTCAGGGTCACATGTAGTTCAACCGAAGGACTACCACTTCAGCAATGTATCTGGATTTCCAATTAATTTGTATGCAACAACTAGGCGTGGGTTATTAAATCATTATTTCAAAACTCTACTTAAATGAACCATTTCCCCTTAAAACGCCTTTTACCTTGTGAGGAGCCCCGGATGCTGTGTTGCCGAGCCCTCGGATGGCCATCTGCCTCAGAGTGGCGTTGGAGTCCCAGGCACTTTGATCCATCAAGATCAGCACATTTCGCAGATTCCCATGCTTCCAAAGGATTGGTTCCTTCATGAGCTGAAATAATCAACACACTCCTCCCGTTTAGTTAAGGGCGTGGCCCCTCCTTCAGGAGAGTGCCAAAGACATCACAAGTACAATTAAAGAGAGGACCCCACTGCTTGTGCAGCGGAGGAGGAAGCCCTCTGGTGAACCAGCAAGCCTTGCTGAAGCTGAGCTCTAGATATGAGCAGCGCACAGGTCAAGCTTGCATGGTGATGTAAACCCGGTTACCTGCATAACAGATGTCTAGTCTCAATGGAAAATGGGGCAGGGAAAACAGGAATGACTGATAGTTTTCCTTCTCTGGATTGGCTGGAATAGTCTTCAGGCCGGAATTTGAAGCGTCAGTGCTACAATGCTTTGTTTGATCCCTCACAGATTTATTGTCCCCCTTTCTCTGCCTTCTGCAAACTAGAGGGCAGGAGGTGGGTGAGGTGGTTTATTTTCCTCTCTCACCCCCTGCTTAGGTACCATATATCTGGCAGTAGCTGGTCTCTCCTCTATGAAACCCCCCCCCCCCTTGAAGTCTCTCTTCCCTGGTTCCAGTGCACACTGGGCTCCAGACCATAAGAGAAATACCCTATGGGGACCCAGTGAGTGTGCTCTGAGGGCTGTTCTCCCTTGCCTCAGAGAAGAAAGCTGCGCCGGTTATCCGGTAGTTCTCCGAGGAGGAGGTAAGAGATGAGAGCAGCTGTTCCATGATGTCCAGTATGACTCCGTGTTGCCACACTGCCATGCTCCTAGAAAATGCACATTTTAGCAGAGACATATTTTACTAAACAATGGAGGAAATCTTAGTCTGTTTGTTCATCAGGCAAGTAATTTGTCTAAAAAGGAATGCTTGGCTGGGGGTGGTGGCTCATGCCTGTAATCCTAGAACTTTGGGAGGCCGAGGCAGGTGGATTGCCTGAGCTCAGGAGTTCGAGACCAGCCTGGGCAACATGGTGAAACCCCGTATCTACTAAAATACAAAAAATTAGCCAGGCATGGTGGTGTGCTCCTGTAGTCCCAGCTATTCAGGAGGCTGAGGCAGGAGAATTGTTTGAACCCAGGAGACAGAGGTTGCAGTCAGCCGAGATCGCGCCACTGCACACTCCAGCCTGGGCGAAGAGTAAGATTCTGTCTCCAAAAAAAAAAAAAAGAAAAAAGAAAAAAGAAAAAAGGGATGCTTGATGAAAGCCCACCAAGGCTTAAATTTTAAAATGGCCTATCCAATTGTCCAATTTAAATGCAGTTTGTCTAAACAATCCCATCAAAAAGCAGGCTAAGGACATGAATAGATAATTCTCAAAAGAAGATATACAAATGGCCAACAAACATATGGAAAAATGCTTAACATCACTAATGATCAGGGAAATGGAAATCAAAACCACAGTGCGATACCACCTCACTCCTGCAAGAATGACCATAATAAAATAATAATAATAAAAAAAAAGGTGTTGGCATGGATGCCGTGAAAAGAGAATAATTTTTCACTCTTGGTGGGAATGCAAACTAGTACAACCACTATGGAAAACAGTGGAGCTTCTTAAAGAACTAAAAGTAGATCTACCGGTTGATCCAACAGTCCCACTACTAGGTATCTACCCAGAGGAAAAGAAATCATTATACAAAAAAGATACTTGCACACACATGTTTACAGCAGCACAATTTGCAATTGCAAAAATATAAAACCAGCCCAAATGCCCATTAATCAATGAGTGGATAAAGAAAATGTGGTATATATATACCATGGAATACTACTCAGCCATAAAAAGGAGTGAAATAATGGCATTTGCAGCAACCTGGATGGAATTGGAGACTATTATTCTATGTGAAGTAACTTGGGAATGGAAAACCAAACATTGTATGTTCTGTCTCATATGTGGGAGCTAAGCTATTAGGACGCAAAGGCATAAGAATGATACATTGGACTTTGGGGGTTTGGGGGAAAGGGCAGGAATGAGGTGAGGGATAAGCCTACATATTGGGTGCAGTGTACACTCCTCAGGTGATGGGTGCACCAAAATCTCAGAAATCATCACTAAAGAACTTATTCATGTAATCAAACACCACCTGTTCCCCAAAAACCTACTGAAATAAAAAAATAAAATTTTTTTTAAAAAGCTGATTAAAAAAAGTTCAACAGAATTCTAGGTATGTGAATATTAAATATTTCTTTCAAAAAATAAGTGTAATTTGTCTAAAGATGTTCACCTGAATCATGTTTCTTGAGGTGAGTGGTGTGTGTGGGGCTGATCTTACCATCTCTTCCCATTCCCTTTTCTTTCTTTCCTGTTTGTCCTCCTTCGACTATTAGTCCTAAGTGAATCAATTATGCTCAGTGAAGTTGCCTGTATTGCACTTTTGTTTGTTTGTTTGTTTTTGTTTTCTTCTTTGTATCTGGTTCTAGAAAAAGTGCACATTACCTGGCCAGTGAACATACGCCTATGTGGTGGGTACTAGGACTGCTGAGTAGAGTCCATAAGTTGTCCCCCTCATCAGATTCCTTTGCAAGGCCTTCTCTCATGGCTTGGGCTTGCAAACATTTTAAAGTAGCAGTTGAAAGCCTAAAGGAGACAGTCAGCATTACAAAACTAAGTTGACCCTTATAGGGAATTGCAAATTCCCAAGTTTGCCTTTCCACTCCTCACAATGCTTTCCCACCCCTGGACTAGGGGATGTTGTGTAAGGGAAAAACAGGCAGCCCTATGCTCACATTTTAGCCTTGGGATCCATGGGGACATGCAGATGATGTGGGCCAGTAAGTAATGCCACAAAATCTTGTCAACACTCCCCCCATAAGAAAAAATAGGCCATAAGAATAAAAAGTGAAAAATACCATATTTCACTGATTCTAAAACACGATCTCTGAAATCAGGATGCATCTTGCAGTAGATGTGTGTTACAATTGTTCTTGGCCAGACAGTACTTGTGATGTAGTTGCTATTGTCTGTACATTCACATGTGCTGCCTGGTTCAGATATAGCTCTTTATATTACCATCATTTTAGTAAAGTTACACGTATTATTGGAACTATTACTTTTAATGGTAAAAACAGCAATTACTTTTGCACCAACCTAATACGTGTTGACTAAACGGTGTTTAAAGTGTCTTTAAAAATGTTGCACTATAATTTTACATTGGAATGAAAAGTTATGCAAAATGCAGGGAAACAGAATGATGGGATATGAAATGAAAATTCATACTTCATAATCCTAAAAGAGTTCTTTTGATAAGTACAGAATAAAAATTTTAAAGTTTAAGAAAGCATTGATTCACTGCTTACTTTGGAGTTCTTTTCTGTTTTCTCAATGGTATGCAAAAAATTGCTTTTTTTCAATTGCTGAAGTCTCAGAATTTATGAAATATGGTATTTATTTTTATTTTTCTTTTTTCCCTGGTGGCCTTGAAGATCACAAGATTCCAGCCTCTCTAGAAAGATCTCAATGATAGAAACCAAAGATAATATAGTAGTTCCTCTAGGAAAGAAAGCATAGCCCCTTATTCTTTAAGTGACTATTCTGTGTAGCTACACTGGATACTGGCTCAAGAAGAACTATGGTGTCACGGCTTAGGGAGAGTAGAGCCTTGTAGAGCCTTGTTTCTTCATGGACAATGGATGCTATGACAGAAAGCACAGACCCTGACTTCTGCAGCACCACTCCTGGAGTCTGGGATTAGGACCACTGTGGAAGATGCTTCCTGATTGGCCGTTTACCTGCAGGGGTCTGGGATCTGCTGCTGTTCTCCCTGCTGCATCACATGCCGCCTATGGCTCCAGGGACAAGTGAGCATCTTCTGGCCCAGTGTGCAGCTAACCAGCTTCAGGAGGAGAGTGAACAGCTCTGGATACAAGCCGGTGACAGAGGTGCCCATTGAGATCACTTCATACATAGCACAGGCCACCTGAGGGGAGAAAGGGCCTCTTGGTCAGGCAGTCTCATTTTCTCCAAGGCCATCTTCTCTCTGGGCTGATTTTCAACTTTGTTTTCTCCACCAGTAAAAACACACAGAAAAGGGAGGGTTTATTGTCTGGAAATTTCTCAACTCAGGGCCTGCCATGTTAGTCCTGTGACTGCCAGGGGACACTAGTCATGTAAAATAAAATGTTTTCAGCATTGGGGTTTTTCAACAAAAAGGGTCCTTTGGATATCTTACAGACTTATCTAGAAATATAGATACATAGGTTTTTTGGGGGGTTGATGAGAAATTTGCTTCTAAAAATGATCAGCCACAGACAAAAGTAGAGCCACAACTATAAACTGGAGTAAAGTTAGGGTATGAGAGAAGAAGGAGGTGTCATTAATGTGACAGCACCAAGCTCCAGGTGGGGATAGATCATAAAGATGGCGCAGTCTCAGGCAAGTGATGGGTTCAGGCTGTCCAACTCACTGAAATTGCCTCAACCCTGGCGATGTCATCTTCTAACTCAGTCTCCAGTTTGTCTATTAAGGCTTGCAAGAGTTTCCCACTGGAGGCTGGCTTTTCAGCCAGCGCCTTCCACAATGTCTTTGTGTCCCTAGGGTGGCAAAGCAGGAAATTGGTAGATAAGGCACAACCCCTCGGGCTGTAAGCTTTTCCATCTGACTCACTCTAAAATCACATTATGACTAATGACAATTTCAAGGGCAGATGGACATGCTGCCATGCCTGGGGATAAGAAAGATGTTTTACATAACAATTCAGCATTCTAGCCTTGGGTTACAGAACTTTGTTAAAGTCCACTAAGATGGGAACCTCTCATGTAGGTGCATTCTAGGCCACCAGAAAGAGGAGAATATTCACTTTTTAATATTCTCTTATTCCTATGGCATATTGTTAAAAATATTATTATGCAATACATATATATCTTATATATATGAAAAGCACTTGGAAAAACATTACTTGTGATTCAAATACCAATTGTTAAATTGTTATTCAGATGAGCTATTTTCAACCTTTGTTTGCTATCTTGCTCTCAAACCGTAAATCCCTCCCCAGTGCCTTTCAGAGTGGCCTTCCCTAGGAGAAGGAATCAGTTCAATAAGGATCTACCTGTCAAAAGGCAGAGGCTTCTGTAAAAGGTTGACAACAACTGTATCCATGTGAAAGCTGGCTATCTGGGAGATGGCTTCTAGAATGAACTGAAAACTTTCTTCTTTTTGTCTGAGGACTGGCATGTGATGGTAGATTGTGCCTAAGATCTCCAATAGCTAAAGAGAAAAAAGCCAAGTCAAACATTAAGTTGCCATTTTCCCTCTATGTGAATGACTCAGAACAGGTATCTGTCGTGGATGGGCAGCTGATGAATTCTAAATAATGTTAAAAATAATAATTGATTTCACATGTGGCCTATTTCTCACTCAGGAGGATTGTTCATGAATTGGCTATTTGTTCCTAATTAAATTTAGGAAACATTTTGTGAAAGGGTGTATTATGACAGGTGCTGTGTTTGCCATTGTCGGAATTTACCAAAGATGAAAAAGATGTACCCTTTTTGCAAAATGAGTGATCCAATAAAGAATATCAATCATAGACCTAAAGGCCTGTAGTCAAGGCAGTCTATGGCAAATGGTATACATGAGGTGCATACAACCGACAGGGGAATCCAGGAGGAACTGAGTCACATTGGAGGGCCATTTGGTTTGGGTCTTGAAGCATTTGTAGAAATTTCAAAAGGCAAGGTGGAGACAGATGGTGGGAAAGGGCATCCTTGTCAGAAAGAAGAACACAGATAAAGATGTAAAGTTAAAAGACATGAGAATAGGTGGAGCACAGAGGATTTTTAGGGCAGTGCAACCACTCTGTATGATCTTATACTGGTGGATACATGTCATTATACATTTGTCAAACCCATAGACTGTACAACACCAGGAGTGAACCCTGGAACTGCAGTCCATGGAACTGTGGACTTTGGGTGATAGCGATGTGTCAATGTAGGTTTACTGATCGTAACAAATCTACTCTGGTGGGAGATATTGACAGTCGGGAGGCTGTGCGTATGTGAGGGGAGCGGGTAGATGGGAACTGTGCTTAATTTTGCTGTGAACCTAAAACTGCTCTAAAAAATCTATTTTTTAAAAATCACGGGAACATGGGCATAAGAAAATGCTGAGATTTCTAGTGTAGGAGAATGGTCCAGGTTGGAGTGCAGAGAGAATGAAGATAATAAAAGAAAGATGACTTGATAGAAAAGATGAACCCAGATCTCAGAGCACTGGATGCCACCTTTAGGAATTTGGATGTTAATCTGTTGGCAGTAGGGAACGATATCATACATTTGGATTTTTGACATGGACACAGGCATATATCTATCTTAAAGTAACTCTGCTTCTAGTAGACATTTCTATTATTTTGGATAGACATTTAAGTTAGACATTTATTTTAAATATATTTTCTCTGAATTATAATTCCTTAGTTATAAATAGCCCCCATTTATGATTACCACAGATTTCCAGGTCAATGATGCTTGGAGAGGATTTAGGTCCCTATTGTAAGCCTTTACCTATTGTGTGAACAACTCTTTATGCTATACACACAAATATATGGGCATTCCACATTTATCAATTTTGGCTGTCTCATGTCTATCCCAGTGCCTACCACATAGTAGGTGCTCAATAAATGTTTTCAAAAACACTTATTGAAAAGTAATTAGCACAGAGGTAATTTTCAATGCCCTTAACACAAAAGCTGTGCTTTGGAGAGTTTTTAAATTGAGGGTAGTTGACTGGACTATAGGGACAAGAACTTCTTTCTCTTACTCTCTTTGAGTTGCTTTCATTTAGTGAAAGATTTTTTCCTTTTTCTTTTTTTTTTTTTGAGACTGAGCCTTGCTCTATTGCCCAGGCTGGAGTGCAGTTGCACAATCTCAGCTCACTGCAACCTGTGCCTCCCTGGTTCAAGTGATTCTCCTGCCTCAGCCTCCCAAGTAGCTGGAATCACAGGTGCTTGCCACCATGCGCAGCTAAGTTTTGTATTTTCAGTAGAGATGAGGTTTCTCCATGTTGCTCAGGCTGGTCTCAAACTCCTGTCCTCAAGTGATCCACCTGCCTTGGCCTCCCAAAGTGCTGGGATTACAGGTGTGAACCACCACATCCAGCCCATTTTTTCCTTCTTATTAATGTTTGAATAACTTGTATTCTATTTTTGACTTCAGAAGAGAAAAGAGAGGCATTTCCATTTGGAGCTCTTAACCAAGCTTCCTGAATTTAAATCCTGTTCACTCTGCTTAACTCTCCAGTTGGGAAGAAGAATTGAGGACTTTCCCCAATCCAGTGGCAGCCTTGCTTATCAGACAATGAACACTATGGGGTGTGGGAGAAAAGCCTGAAGGGTAGCAGTGAAATTAGAAACTCCTGCCCTTGACTCCTGCCCTTGGTGGTTGTCTCAAAGTCATCCACATGGTCACTCTTATCCTTACATCTCTAACAACCCTGTTTTCCATCATCCAAATGGCCTCGGTTCAGAGCTGCTTCCTCTAGCCAGAAAGAGACAGTTTGAACAGCTTTTATATTAAAAGACAAGAGAGGCAATTGAGACAGGTCCTCAACGTGAGCCTTGTTGTTAAACACACAACGTAGGTCTCTAATGAGGCCTCTTGAGGTTGTGCAAGCCTTTGCATGCTGCCCATCAGTGGACAAACAGAGAAAGTGGCTGACTTGGCATTTCAGAAGTGATAGAAATCTGTTCAGTTGTTAAAACTGGCTATCAGTTCACCTGATCTTCCAGAGCAGCTCCCTGCTGCTTCAGGACAGTGATCATCCATATGCCACAGGCCTTTGTACAAGTGGGGTTGAGGCTCTCCAGACCGTCCAGCATTTCCTCTAGGAACATCAGAATTTCTTCATTTGGGATGAACTTACTGACAATCTGAAAATGCACCCAGAAAGATTCGTGTAATCAACCACCCCATTTTATATCTAGATACTTACAACATGCTGTTGTGGTTTGTTTTGGGTATTAGAAACCACTGAACTTTTCAACAGTTTTGATTGAGGCCACAGAAACTAGAGAAAATACTAGAACAGGGCATAGACATGACCTTTTATTACTAAGCAAACTTTCCGTGGAGTTGCCTTTTTTATCATTTCATATTTATTGAATCCTAAGCCTGCTAAGGCAATTTTCTCTCCAAGCCTAAAGTTATAGCATACAGCATAGGGAAAAATAATGCAGAATGTTTACATAGCAATATGTACATTATAAAGTCCTTTTACAAACATTCATATATCATAGAAACATGACTTGAATCTGCCACATAATACCTAAACCTTGAGAATTCAGGAAAATCTATCAATATGTATTAAGTACCATGCTGAATACTCAGGTGGTGGACAGTGTACATATGGAGTATGGATTATTATGAGCCTTGTTTCTTGCTCTTCCATATTTCAATATTAAGAACAGTCCATAAAAGGTCAATAAAATGGAAAAACTTTGCAATTGTTGTCTCTAGGTACAAGAAGTATACAGAATGCTTGGTCGATAGCAGTGTGTGAATTTGAGTGTGTATGTCTGTGTGTGCGCATTAATGAAAAAGGAGTAGGAAAGCAGGTGAAAATTTGGTGTTTGAATGAGTTCCAGGATCATTATCTGGGGATTTAACTAAGCAAGATGGTAATGATTATGAGTTTGTAGACACTAGAGCGTTCCTATTTACAATGGTCTTCCCTTTGCATTAAGTAGCCAGATGATATTGAGAAAATATGAACTCCTTTCCTTGAATATTTGCACATCCAAACCATTTGCTGAGTTATTAGATCAAAGGACTATACCATGGCTACCATTCTATGTAACTCCAAATGCTTGCCGGTTGTCCAAGCTTCATGGTTAGCTGTTTTGTCTCACAGTGGGATGGATGTTGATTCAGGAGCAAAGGAAGGAAGGGAACTCATGTTTTTGAGCGCCTATTATGTGTCGGGCACCTTTTAAGGCATTTGACATATTTTCCCTTCCTGTCTCTCAAATGGCTTCTCTGTCATTTGCTGATCAATTACTCATGTCTCTGCTACAGCCACCTTCCTTGTTTCTAATTGCCTCATTTGATAGCTGGAGTCTTGCAGTTTCCTACAAACTGACTTCCCTAATTTTGCTCTTAACAGTCTATATTCAAGTCTCCACATAGCTGCCAGAGTGGCCCCTCAGAAATGTAAGTCTGGTTGTGTTTTTCCTCTCAGAACCACTGTTAGCCTAGAAGAGGCATTTGCACACTAGGAATATGAGCCCCGTCCTCAAGATATTTCACTTCTCTCTGTGAGTGTATTGTCATAACGTACTGATTTTGCTGGATCCTTTACTGCTACCTGTGGAAAATTGCCATAACACCAATATAAATCTGTAATGTCTACATTATGAATGATGTTGTCTTACATGAGGGTGCCCTTTTGCATTTCAAAATTGGCATAATTATGTGTGGTGGCCTGACTCTTCTGAGAACCCTCCATTGGCTTTTGATTTCAAATAGAGCAAAAAACAAGTTCCAAACACTGCATGTTCTCACTCATAGGTGGGAATTGAACAATGAGAACACATGGACACAGGAAGGGGAACATCACACACCAGGGCCTGTTGTGGGGTAGGGGGGTGCGGAGGGATAGCATTAGGAGATATACCTAATGTTAAATGATGAGTTAATGGGTGCAGCACACCAACATGGCACATGTATACATATGCAACAAACCTGCACGTTGTAAACATGTACCCTAGAACTTAAAATATAATAAAACAAACAAACAAACAAAAAAACCAAGTTCCTTAAAAAGGCCCAGAAGGCCCTTGGATCAGCCTCCAGTTATCTCTTGGATCTCATTAACCCCTCTTTCTACACTTCAGGGGCTTTGCACTTGCTGTTTTCCCTCTGCCTGGAATTCTTTTTTCCAGATATTTCCATGATTATCTCTTTCAGGGTGTTCTTCTCCAGAGGATCACCTCTTACCTCTTCTTTATTCCCTTTCTTGACTTTATTTTTCTCAGTTATCATTATCTGATATTATGCTTATTTTTGGATTTCCTTTACTAAGATACAAGCTCAGTGAAACAGGAATTGTATTTTCTGCTTTCTTAGTGCCTAGAATAGAGCTTTACATATGGTAGGTGCTCAGGAGAAGGAAGGTAAATGAATGCATGACTGAATGAGTGATTGAATTGATTGGCCAGTCCTCACAACAACCACAAAATGGTCTTTTGTTTTTGTTTCTTGAGGATGAGGAGACTGAACTTCAATCAGTGCACACAGAGTGCATCTGATTAACTCCAAAGCTCTTGTTCCTTCCACTCCAACCCACAGCATCCCACATTTTGGGAAAGGACACTTGGTCTACAAAGTTTCCCACTATCTGAAATGATCAGTAATGAGTGTTGACTAGGCATGTGTACTCTAAGTTAGAAAATGACAGGACCACGGGTCCCTCATTCAGCTTGAATATCTATCTTCTTTGCAGTGGGGAGTATGTAGCTTACTCATTTGGAAATCAATCCAGAATCTTTACATCCCCTGGCCACTCCATATTTATTACCTTAGCTATTTTAGAAGAAATCTTGATCTGAACCTGCACGTCATCACTTTCCAGCCCTTCCTGCAAACCCTGCAGTCTTTCCACTTCCAAGTGAATGCCTAAAATCAACAAAGTGAGAAATGTTTAAGTGTTCAAAGACCTGATAGGGGTTGAAGAGGCTGGCTATATTTTGATATGACACTAAATTAGCTGCTGTCTGATGAGATGGTGAACATAAGCGCTAACACATACTGAGTGGTTTCTACATGCTGGGCACCATGCAGATACTCTGCATACAATAATCTCATTTATTACTCATAAACATTATCTGAGGTAGACTCTCCTGTTCTCGTCTTGGTTTTGCAGATGAGAAAGCGGGAACAGAGATGTGAAGACATTGCCCAAGGCACACGGTGAATAAAAATAGGAGAGTCTGAATTTCAACCCTGGTCTGTCTGACACAAATGCCCAGGTTCCAACTACTCTGCTATGCTGCTATCTCTCTTGGATTTCTATTCTTCAGTGAGCTCCCTCATTGGGGAAACTGAAAAGTAACTACTGTAATGAGAAGTTTACATCAGCAACTGTGTAAGTGATTGTTGATATCAATTTATAAATGCAGACCTAACCAATAAAGATTTTCTGTTTATTATTTGAATGTATATTAATCATGGAAACTAACACATGAACCATTCTATGGAAGGCAGCCTAGCCCAGTGGGACACACGTGGACTTTGAAGTCAGATGCCCCTGAGCTCAAAGCCCAGCTACTCTACTTTCAGTGGTCCAAGTAACTGAAAACTTCTTAATTTCAGACTCCTCATTTTCAAAACTGAGAAGTGTCCATGAGTATCGATGGGTATTTAATTTAGTATCACACTTGTTACTTGTGTCTAGTAGGTGTTTTAGTAATACATGTTCTTTCTCTCCACCAAGCTTGTTTCTTCCATCGGCGAAAATGTCGATGTAAATTATAAAGTATGGGCGTTCTATTAACAAAGAGTGTTTGAGGACCTGAATTTTTCATATTTTAGGAAAATGAAGTGGGCTAAAGGAAAAATAGGTAGAACAATAATAGAATCCAAATTCCTTTCTTCCTATGAGTTCCCTACTGGCATATTTCTGTTACTACTGTAATGTTTTTTTTTTTTTTTTTTTTTTTTGAGACAGTCTCCCAGGTGTGATCTCGGCTCACTGCAACCTCTGCCTTCCAGGTTCAAGTGATTCTCATGCCTCAGCCTCCCGAGTAGCTGGGATTACAGGCATCCACCACCACTCCTGGCTAATTTTTTGTATTTTTGGGAGACAATGGGGTTTCACCATGTTGGCCAGGCTGGTCTTGAACTCCTGACCTCAAGTGACCCATATGCTTCGGGCTCCCAAAGTGCTGAGATTACAGGGTGACCCACCACGTCCAGCCTGGAATGGTTCTTTAGTTCTCACTTCCTTAATTCTATTTTTTTCCTGACTTGGTAAAAACATATATCTTTAATCAATTATCTTCCTATATCCCAAAGGACTTTTGTACCTACTTTGACTCTGCTGAAGAGTTTTTTCTTTTCTTTTGACTGATTATCTCTTTCCCCCAACCAAATCCTACCTTTTGGCTTTAACACACTTATAAAATGTGAATATTGGAACTGCAATATCTCTGTGTCCCCAGCATTAGAACAGTGCCTGACACATGGAAAGGCACTCAATAAATATTTTGAATACCTAAAGAATGATGTGTGGAACATAGGCAGGCATAAGGTGGCATTAAGTCTAGACTGTTTCTGGCTGCGTCTACTCTGCAGAACTGCACACACACAACGTAGGGCTGTCCTTGGTGAAACATGGACTCAATTAACCTGGACAGGGAGCCCTGATTGTTGGTTTCAGCCTGAGACGGAGGTTTAAAAATTCCTAATATTTTGTGGTATTGACAGTTATTCACATGTACTTGGAGAGCAGGAGGAGCTCCTGCTCTGAAAATTTCCACAAAGTTCTGTCTCTTAGAGAGCTTTGAAAGGCACTTAGTACCACGATAATAGTGCAATTTTCTCTGAAGAAAACCATGTGATAGAGGAAGCATTGCTAATATGCCCAATTGCTTAGTGATTTAAATCGGAGACTCTCAAAACATTTTACCTACTTTAATGGATCTTTATAATGCTTCAGTGTTATTATCTCTATTTTAAAAAATGAGAAAAACAGAGCCACTGAGGAAAGATATACCGGTTTCAGATCTAGGAGACAGATTCTGTGATATAATTAAGGTATTAAAACAGAAATTGCTGAACTATAGAGGGAAGGAGAAACAGAGAGAAAGAGAGAGAGAGACAGAGAGAGATGGGGAGGGGAGAGGAGAGGAGAAAAGGAGGAAAATGAGGAAAGAGGAGAGAGGAGAGGGGAGGAGGGAGAGAGACATAGGTGCATAAGGAGAAAAGCTGAGAATAAAAGAAGATGGGTTTCTTTTCTTCATTTGTGGGTTCCCCATCTTTCCCTCACCTTTTATATAGAACAGACCAATAGTTGAGCTAGCAGCCGCCTGACGGATGGTGGGCAGGGTATCACAGGAGTGAGGAGCCAGAAGTCCAAGCAGTGAACCAATTTTAAAGTTCTCTGGTGCCTGCAGGATAAAGGAGGCATCCTATTGTGATGGGGTAGCTTGGTCATATCCCAGGATGTTCCCAACACTGGATCTCAAGTCTCTTATTTTCTCTCTGCAGGTCCTTAGAATGAAATTTGATCTTGCACTTTCTCCTAAAAGATGCCTATTTTTAAGGGCAGTGGAGAAGTAAGCATGCATGTAAAGAAAACCCAATAGCTCAATTCGTGTGAGCTGCACTCTGAAGTTAGATCTCTCTCCAAAAGTGTTCCGAAAAGCACTTCACTCTGAGATGCACGATCCATCATGCAGGAGTTTTGGATTCCAGAGATCTCAGAGATCCCTGCTGTTCACAAGCAATAAAGTCTATTCATTCTAGGGGATTACTTACCTCAATATCATTTGTCAGCACTTTCGCAGTGATCTGGAAGGCTCTTTCTCTTTCCCACTCTTTTTGTGAAACAAGCCACATTTGGAGAAGCTGTTGGTCAAAGAATAAATGTTCTTTCCTTAGTATTCTTCATATTCATCTAGTTTCATATTCTCTTTTTCTGTCTCTGCCTCTTTTGTAACACGGTGCTCACCTCCCCACAAACAATTTTTAAGTAGATGGCTGTATGTGGGGTGTGGGTGGGTCCAGCTGGATGTCTTCATGTAAGGAAAATGCAGTAGAGTTTGGAGTGGACATTGAAGAACAGATTAGGGAGAATGAGAATCAGTTTGAGTGGAGGCTCTACTCACATTAAACATTTCTTGACAGTCCTCTGCATTCACATTATCCCACATCATGGTCTTCAGAAGTTTTCCTAGGGCGTCCATGGATCGTTCATAGAGAAACTGAAATCAAATATGTGTGTGTGAGTCTCAGGCTGGGGTGAGAGAGTAAGGCCCCACTGCAGACTGTCATCCTACTTAGGCCTCACTAGTGCATACTTGAATGTGCTCCTTGTCCTTGTCTGTCTGGCCTTCACTTTTCAGATTTTCCAGAGGTGGAAGGGGCAGCAGCCTCCGAATATTCTCCTCAAGAATGTTAAGGTGGTCTTGTAGTGAGAGCTGAGGTTTCAGTTTACTGAAATGAGAACCAGGTGGAGGAATGGATATTACAGTGACCATCAGAACATACCCAGTGGAATTCCCAAGAACTGCCAATCACATCTGACCAGGCAACTAACGTGTCACATTTTCTGACACGTTGGGATGTTGAGAAAGGTGGTGACAGGAGTAGGGAGAGATGGGAACACAGAATCAGACTGCATTGGTGAGCATACTCAATACGCCTCCATTCTTTAGATTAGATTGATGAACAAATCATCACTCACTTTGTGTTCCTTAACACTATTATATGATCTGTGACAGCATTACCTACTTGTTTTCTCCATCTTGTGTGTGTGTGTGAGAGAGAGTGAGAAAGAGAGAGAGAGAGAATGATAGAGAGAGATATGTATCTCCTCAACTAGATTGTAAGTCTGCAGCAGTGACTTTTATCAATTTCACGTCTCTTTTCATGTTCTAAATAGTGACACATATACTATAGGTTCTTATGAATGCACAAGTGAATAAATGACAATGGAGTGTTTCTTCCTTTCTGCCTTTCTTTCAAATGTTTACTATAGACTTCATGAGGATATGAAAAAGTCTAGATATGACTTCAAAAAATGCACATGTTCAATACCCATGAAAAACTCCATTTACTTTTAAATAAATGTAAGTTAAGACAATAAGATACCATTAGTCAGCTACCAAATTAGCAAAGCAATTAAAAATGATGACACCATCAGAGAAATAAGATTCTCTTAGAGAGGAATAAAATTCAGTACCAGCTGGGAAAGCTCTATGTAGTCTTCTTGTCTTTATTGTCTGGCTCACTGCTTTAAAAGAAATTAATGTATCAAAGTATAATTTATGTATAGTAAGCTGCATCCATTAAAAAAATTTTGAGAGATGTTCACACTCATGAAAACACTGATGGTTATATAACCAATATGGAATCTTTCTATGATACTCTATTTTTTTTTCTATGCTCCTTTGCAGGTTATCTTTTCCTCCCCCTTGACAACCACTGATTTGCTTGCCATCATTAGAGATTAGTTTTCAAGTTCTACAGCTGTGCTGTCTCTAGCCTCATAAGCTCGTGAACATGAGTTGTGGCTGATCTGGATTAAGATGTAACACATGGGATTTTGAAGATTTAGTATGAAGAATAATATAAATTATCCAATTTTAAAATAATGAATATATGTTGAAATAGTATACTAAATATATTGGATTAAATAAAATATAATATTAAAATTAATTTAATTGTTTCTTTTCACTCTTTTAAAAGTGGTTACCAGACAGTTTTAAATGACATATGTGACTTGCATTGTATTTCTACTTGACAACACTCTTCTAGAGACTGGTTAATTCTTAATTCAGCTTCAAGATTGATTTATTTGAGCTTTCTACAAACCTCCCTCATTTTTGTTAACATGGCAACCTGTGCTTTCTCTTATCCTGCCTCTTACCACATTTGGAGAAATTATGTGGGTGCTTCTTACATCTGTTTCTCCCAGTAGGCTGAAACTCTGTCAGGGGAGGGTCATATCTTGTTCATCATTGCTCTTTTACAACCTAGTTCACTGACTGATATGACATAGATGCCACTTAATAATATTTATTGAATAAAACTATCAACTATCATACTTAAAAGTTCAGAAATTTTTTTTTGCCCAAAGGTGTTTATCAAAGTATTATTTATAGTTTTTAAAACAGGCAACAATTATGTTATAGAAATAGGAGGTTGGTTAAGTAAGATGAGACATATTTATATAAGATATTAGGCAGCCATTAAAGATATATTTGTTACCTCAATATAATAAATGACATATGTGAAAGCTTATAGCTAACATTATATTCAATGGTGAAAGGCTGAAAACATCCCCTGTAAGATCAAGAGTAAGACAAGGATACCATTTTTACAACTTCTATTTAGCATAGTGCTGGAAGTTCTAGCCAGAGCAATTAGGCAAGGAAAAATTAAAAAGGTATCTAAATTGGAAAAGGAGAAGTAAAACTATCTCTGTTTAGAAATGACACAGTCTTATATGTAGGAGCTCTAATGACTCTACCAAAAAACTGTTAGAACTAATAAATGAATTCAGCAAAGTTGTGAGATACAAAATCAACCTACCAAAATCTGTTGCATTTCTATATACAACTGATTTGTTAAGAAATGAACAAACTGAAAAGGAAATGAACAATTTCATTTACAGCAGCATCAAAAAGAATAAAGTACTTAGGAATAAACTTAACCAAGTGAAACACAGAAACACACTAAACATTGTTGAAAGAAATGAAAGAAGGCACAAATAATGGAATGACATCCTTTGTTCACGAATTAAACAATATTGTAAAGATGACTAGATCTTAATATCATTAAGAATAGATGTACAGATTTAATGTAATTCCTATCAAAATACCAAGGGTGCTTTTTGTAGAAATAGAAAAATTCATCCTAAAATTCTTGTGAAATCTCTAGAGACCCCAAATAGCCAAAACAATTTTGAAGAAGAACAAAGTTGGAGGTCTTATACTTACTGATTTCAAAACTTTTTACAAAAGCACAGTAATCAAAATAGTATGTAACTGGCATAAAGACAGACATATAGGCCAGGTATGGTGGTGCGAACCTGTAATCCCAGCATTTTGGGAGGCTGAGGTGGGCTGAGAGCTTGAGCCCAGGAGTTCGAGACCAGCCTAGACAACATGGCAAAACCATGTCTCTATAAAAATAGAAGAATGAGCTGGGCGTGGTGGTGCTCACCTGTGGTCCCAGATACTTGGGAAGCTGAGGAGGGAGAATCACTTGAGCCCAGGAGGTCAAGGTGCAGTAAGCCGAGATTGTGCCACTGCACTCCAGCCTGGATGACAGAGTGAGACCCCGTCTCAAAAAACAAAAGCAAAAAAAGAGACATATAAGCCCATGGAATAGAATAAAGAGCTTATAAGTAAACCATTAAATGAACTACGACAAGGGTGCCAAGACCATTCCATGGGGAAAGGACAATTTTTTAAAAAACAAATTTTATTGAGTATATTTAAGGTATACAGCATGATGTTATAAGATATACATAGTAGAAGCGGTTCCAAGATGGCCGAATAGGAACAGCTCCAGTCTACAGCTCCCAGCATGAGTGACGCAGAAGACAGGTGATTTCTGCATTTCCCACTGAGGTACCAGGTACATCTCAATGGGGCTTGTTGGATGGTGGGGGCAGGACAGTGGGTGCAGCCCACTGAGTGAGAGCCAAAGCAGGGCGAGGCATCACCTCACCTGGGAAGCACAAGGGGTCAGAGAATTCCCTTTCCTAGCAAAGGGAAGAGGTGACAGATGGCACCTGGAAAATTGGGTCACTCCTACCCTCATACTGTGCTTTTCGCATGGTCTTAGCAAATGGCACACCAGGAGATTATATCCCGCGCCTGGCTTGGAGGGTCCCACACCCACGGAGCCTTGCTCACTGCTAGCACAGCAGTCTGAGATCGAACTGCAAGGTGGCAGCGAGGCTGGGGGAGGGGCGCCCGCCATTGCTGAGGCTTGAGTAGGTAAACAAAACGACCGAGAAGCTCGAACTTGGTGGAGCCCACCGCAGCTCAAGGAGGCCTGCCTGCCTCTGCAGACTCCACCTCTGGTGGCAGGGCATAGCCGAACAAAAGGCAGCAGAAACCTCTGCAGACTTAAATGTCTCTGTCTGACAGCTTTGAAGAGAGTAGTGGTTCTCCCGGCACGAAGATCTGAGAACGGACAGACTGCCTCCTCAAGTGGGTCCCTGATGCCCTAGTAGCCTAACTGGGAAGCACCCCCCAGTGGTGGCAGACTGACATCTCACACGATCAGGTACGCCTCTGAGACGAAGCTTCCAGTGGAACCATGAGGCAGCAACATTGGCTGTTCAGCAATATTCACTGTTCTGCAGCCTCCGCTGCTGATAACCAGGCAAACAGGGTCTGGAGTGGACCTCCAGCAAACTCTAACAGACCTGCAGCTGAGGGTCCTGACTGTTAGAAGGAAAACTAACAAACAGAAAGGACATCCACACCAAAACCCCGTCTGTACATCACCATCATCAAAGACCAAAGGCAGATAAAACCACAAAGATGGGGAGAAAATGGAGCAGAAAAGCTGAAAATTCTAAAAATCAGAGCGCTCTCCCCCTCCAAAGGAAAGCAGCTCCTCACAAGCAATGGAACAAAGCTGGACGGAGAATGACTTTGATGAGTTGAGAGAAGAAGGCTTCAGATGATCAAACTTCTCCGAGCTAAAGGAGGAAGTTCGAACCCATCGCAAGGAAGCTAAAAATCTTGAAAAAAGATTAGATGAATGGCTAACTAGAATAACCAGTGTAGAGGAGTCCTTAAATGACCTGATGGAGCTGAAAACCATGGCACAAGAACTACATGATGAATGCACAAGTTTCAGTAGCCGATTCGATCAACTGGAAGAAAGGGTATCAGTGATTGAAGATCAAATTAATGAAATGAAGTGAGAAGAAAAGTTTAGAGAAAAAAGAGTAAAAAGAAATGAACAAAGCCTCCAAGAAATATGGGACTATGTGAAAAGACCAAATCTACATCTGGTTGGTGTACCTGAAAGTGATGGGACCAAGTTGGAAAACATTCTTCAGGATATTATCTAGGAGAACATCCCCAATCTAGCAAGGCAGGCCAACATTCAAATTCAGGAAATACAGAAAATGCCACAAAGATACTCTTTGAGAAGAGCAACTCCAAGACACATAATTGTCAGATACATCAAAGTTGAAATGAAGGAAAAAATGTTAAGGCCAGCCAGAGAGAAAGGTCGGGTTACTCACAAAGGGAAGCCCATCAGACTAACAGCGGATCTCTCCACAGAAACTCTACAAGCCAGAAGAGAGTAGGGGCCAATATTCAACATTTTTAAAGAAAATAATTTTCAACCCAGAATTTCATATCTAGCCAAACTAAGCTTCATAAATAAAGGAGAAATAAAATCCTTTCCAGACAAGCAAATGCTGAGAGATTTTTGTCACCACCAGGCCTGCCCTAAAAGAGCTCCTGAAGGAAGCACTAAACATGGTAAAGAACAACCAGTACCAGCCACTGCAAAAACATGCCAAATTGTAAAGACCATCAAGGCTAGGAAGAAACTGCATCAACTAAAGAGCAAAATAACCAGCTAACATCATAATGACAGGATCAAATTCACACATAACAATATTAACCTTAAATGTAAATGGGATAAATACTCCAATTAAAAGACACAGACTGGCAAATTGGATAAAGAGTCAAGACCCACCAGTGTGCTGTATTCAGGAAACCCATCTCACATGCAGAGACACACATAGGCTCAAAATAAAGGGATGAAGGAAGATATACCAAGCAAATGGAAAACAAAAAAAGGCAGGGGTTGCAATCCTAGTCTCTGATAAAACAGACTTTAAACCAAAAAAGATCAAAAGAGACAAAGAAGGCCATTACATAATGGAAAAGGGATCAATTCAACAAGAAGAGCTAACTATCCTAGATATATATGCACCCAATACAGGAGCACCAAGATTCATAAAGCAAGTCCTGAGTGACCTACAAAGAGACTTAGACTCCCACACAATAATAATGGGAGACTGTAACACCCCACTGTCAACATTAGACAGATCAATAAGACAGAAAGTTAACAAGGATATCCAGGAATTGAACTCAGCTCTGCACCAAGCAGACCTAGTAGACATCTACAGAACTCTCCACCCCAAATCAACAGAATATATATTCTTCTAAGCACCACGTCACACTTATTCCAAAATTGACCACATAGCTGGAAGTAAAGCTCTCCTCAGCAAATGTAAAAGAACAGAAATTATAACAAACTGTCTCTCAGATCACAGTGCAATCAAACTAGAACTCAGGATTAAGAAACTCACTCAAAACTGCTCAACTACATGGAAACTGAAAAACCTGCTCCTGAGTGACTGCTGGGTACATAACGAAATGAAGGCAGAAATAAAGATGTTCTTTGAAAGCAATGAGAACAAAGACACAACATACCAGAATCTCTGGGACACATTTAAAGCAATGTGTAGAGGGAAATTTATAGCACTAAATGCCCACAACAGAAAGCAGGAAAATCTAAAATTGACACCCTAACATCACAATTAAAAGAACTAGAGAAGCAAGAGCAAACACATTCAAAAGCTCGCAGAAGGCAAGAAATAACTAAGATCAGAGCAGAACCAAAGGAGATAGAGACACAAAAAGCCCTTCAAAAAATCAATGAATCTAGGAGCTGGTTTTTTGAAAAGATCAACAAAATTGACAGACCACTAGCAAGACTAATAAAGAAGAAAAGAGAGAGGAATCAAACAGACACAATAAAAAATGATAAAGGGGATATCACCACCGATCCCACAGAAATACAAACTACCATCAGAGAATACTATAAACACCTCTACACAAATAAACTAGAAGATCTAGAAGAAATGGATAAATTCCTGAACACACACAACCTCCCAAGACAAAACCAGGAAGAAGTTGAATCCCTGAATAGACCAATAAGAGGCTCTGAAATTGAAGCAATAATTAATAGCTTACCAACCAAAAAAAGTCCAGGACCAGATGGATTCACAGCCGAATTCTACCAGAGGTACAAGGAGGAGCCGGTACCATTCCTTCTGAAACTATTCCAATCAATAGAAAAAGAGGGAATCCTCCCTAACTCATTTTATGAGGCCAGCATCATCCTGATACCAAAGCCTGGCAGAGACACAACAAAAAAAAGAGAATTTTAGACCAATATCCCTGATGAACATCAATGCAAAAATCCTCAATAAAATACTGGCAAACTGAATCCAGCAGCACATCAAAAAGCTTATCCACCATGATCAAGTGGGCTTCATCCCAGGGATGCAAGGCTGGTTCAACATACACATATCAATAAACATAATCCATCACATAAACAGAACCAAAGACAAAAACCCCATGATTATCTCAATAGATGCAGAAAAGGCCTTTGACAAAATTCAACAGCCCCTCATGCTAAAAACTCTCAATAAACTAGGTATTGATGGGATGTATCTCAAAATAATAAGAGCTATTTATGACAAACGCCCAGCCAATATCATACGAATGAGCAAAAACTGGAAGCATTCCCTTTGAAAAGTGGCACAAGACAGGGATGCCTTCTCTCACCACTCCTATTCAACATAGTGTTGGAAGTTCTGGTCAGCGCAATCAGGCAGGAGAAAGAAATAAAGGGTATTCAATTAGGAAAAGAGGAAGTCAAGTTGTCCCTGTTTGCAGATGACATGATTGTATATCTAGAAAACCCCATTGTCTCAGCCCAAAATCTACTTAAGCTGATAAGCAACTTCAGCAAAGTCTCAGGATACAAAATCAATGTGCAAAAATCACAAGCATTCTTATACACCAATAACAGACAAACACAGAGCCAAATCATGAGTGAACTCCCATTCACAATTGCTTCAAAGAGAATAAAATACCTAGGAATCCAACTTACTAGGGATGTGAAGGACCTCTTCAAGGAGATCTACAAACCACTGCTCAATGAAATAAAAGAGGACACAAACAAATGGAAGAACATTCCATGCTCATGGATAGGAAGAATCAATATCGTGAAAATGGCCATACTGCCCAAGGTAATTTATAGATTCAATGCCATCCCTGTCAAGCTACCCATGACTTTCTTCATAGAATTGGGAAAAAGCTACTTTAAAGTTCATATGGAACCAAAAAAGGGCCCGCATTGCCAAGACAATCCTAAGCCAAAAGAACAAAGCTGGAGGCATCACGCTACCTGACTTTAAACTACACTACAAGGCTACAGTGACCAAAACAGCATGGTACTCATGCCAAAACAGAGATATAGACCAATGGAATGGAACAGAGCCCTCAGAAATAATACCACACATTTAGAACCATCTGATCTTTGACAAACCTGACGAAAACATGAAATGGGGAAAGGATTCCTTATTTAATAAATGATGTTGGGAAAACTGGCTAGCCATATGTAGAAAGCTGAAACTGGATCCCTTCCTTACACCTTATACAAAAATTAATTCAAGATGGATTAAAGACTTAAATGCTAGACGTAAAACCATAAAAACCCTAGAAGAAAACCTAGGCCATAACATTCAGAACATAGGCATGGGCAAGGACTTCATGTCTAAAACACCAAAAGCAATGGCAACAAAAGCAAAAATTGACAAATGGGATCTAGTTAAACTAAAGAACTTCTGCACAGCAAAAGAAACTACCATCAGAGTGAACAGACAACCTACAAAATGGGAGAAAATTTTTGCAATCTACTCATCTGACAAAGGGCTAATATCCAGAATCTACAATGAACTCAAACAAATTTACAAGGAAAAATCAAACAACCCCATCAAAAAGTGGGCAAAGGATATGAACAGACACTTCTCAAAAGAAGACATTTATGCAGCCAACAGACACATGAAAAAATGCTCATCATCACTGGCCATCAGAGAAATGCAAATCAAAACCACAGTGAGATACCATCTCACACCAGTTAGAATGGCAATCATTAAAAAGTCAGGAAACAACAGGTGCTGGAGAGGATGTGGAGAAATAGGAACACTTTTACACTGTTGGTGGGACGTAAAGTAGTTCAAGCATTGTGGAAGACAGTGTGGCGATTCCTCAAGGATCTAGAACTAGAATTACTGTTTGACCCAGCAATCCCATTACTGGGTATATACCCAAAGAATTATAAATCATGCTGCTATAAAGACACATGCAGACGTATGTTTATTGTGGCACTATTCACAATAGCAAAGACTTGGAACCAACCCAAATGCCCATCAATGATAGACTGGATTAAGAAAATGTGGCACATATACACCATGGAATACTATGCAGCCATAACAAATGATGAGTTCATGTCCTTTGTAGGGACATGGATGAAGCTGGAAACCATCATTCTCAGCAAACTATTGCAAGGCCGAAAAACCAAACACCGCTTGTTCTCACTCACAGGTGGGAACTGAACAATGAGAACACTTGGAAACAGGGTGGGGAACATCACACACCAGGGCCCGTCGTGGGGTGGGGGGATGGGGGAGGGATAGCATTAGGAGATATACCTAATGTAAATGTCGAGTTAATGGGTGTAGCACACCAACATGGGATATGTATACGTATGTAACAAACCTGCACGTTGTGCACATGTACCCTAGATCTTAAAGTATATATAAAAAAAGATATACGTAGTAAAAGGTTACCATAATGAAACAAATTGACCTAGCCATCATCTCACATAGTTATCTGTTTCTCTCCTGTCCACTCCCACCTCTGCCCCGTGGCAAGAGCAAAAGTAGGAGCAGCTATAATCTACTCACTTAGCAAAATCCTTAATACAATACACTATTATTAAATATACTCCTAGGTTGTACATTATTAAATCTTTAGACTTATTCATCAGACTTACCTACTACTTTATATCTTTTGACTTACATCTTCCATTTCCTACCCACCACTGAGAATAAAACAGTAGCCACTGTTTTTTATTCTCCATTTCTGTATATCTGACATTTTAAAAAATTCCACATACAAGTAAGATTATACAATATTTTTTTCTGTGTCTGGCTTATTTTACATAGTATAATGTTGTACAGGTCCACTCATGTTGTAACAAATGGCATGATCTCCTTTTTAAAGTCTGAATAATATTCCATTGTGGGTATAAATATCACAATGTCTTTATCCATTCATTCATTGACAGACACCTAGGTTGTTTCTATATCTGTGCTATTGTTAATAATGCTGCAATAAATATGGTGGTACAGATAACTTAAAATTTTTTTAATTTAAAAAGCCATAGGGGTACAAGTGGTTTTTGTTACATGGATGAGCTGTATAGTAGTGAAGTCTGAGATTTTAGTGTACTTGTTACCTAAATAGTGTACATTGTACCCCAATAGGTAATTTTTCATCTCTCAGGGAGTGCAGATATCTTTACGAGGTGGTAATTTCATTTCCTTTGGGTATATACACAGAAGATAAATTGCTGGGTCATATAGTAATTCTATTTTTAATTTCTTTTGGACCCTCCATCCCGTTTTCCATAATGGATGCACCAATTTACGTTCCCACCAACAGTGTACAAGGGTTTCCCTTTCTCTCTATTCTTGCTAACATGTGTTAGGGTTTCTTTTTGATAACAGCTATCTTAACAGGTATGAGGTAATATCTCAGAGCAGTTTTGATTTGTATTTCCATAATTATGAGTGATATTAAGTATTTTTCATTTGCCTTTTAGCCATTTGCATATCTTCTTTTGAGAAATGTCTACTCTGGTCCTTTGTCCATTTTTAAATCAGGTTATATATTTTCTTGCTATTGAGTTGTATGAATTCTTTTTAATTTTGGATATTAACTCCTTATCAGATACATGGTTTGCAAACATTTTTTCCCAATCCATAGGTTGCCTTTTCATTTTGTTGACTATTCCCTTTGTGCTGCAGAAACTTCATAGTTTGATGTAGTGTCATTTATTTATTTTTGCTTTTGTAGGCCAAGATTTTGATGTGAGGACAACCTTTACAAAAAATGTTGTTGGAAAAACTGAATATCCACATGCGAAAGAATTAAGTTGGACCCTTATGTTACACCATATGCTAAAATCAACTCACAATGGATCAAAGATCTAAATGTAAGAGTTAAAACTATTAAACTCTAAGAAGAAAATACAGGGAAAAGCTTGAAGATCTTGAATTTGACAGTGATTTCTTGAAACACAGGCAACAAAAGTAAAAATAGACAAATGGACTACTTAAAAATTATAAATTTCTGTGCATCTCGGGAATACAAAAGAGGGAGTGAGAGTGAGGAGTAAGGGTGAAAAAAACTACTTATTGGGTACTATGCTCACTACCTGGGTGACAGATTCATTTGTACCCCAAGTCTCAGCATCATGCAATATACAAACCTGCACATGTACTCCCAAATCTAAAATAAAAGTTGAAAAACAAAACGAAACAAAAACTTTTGTGCATCAAAGGATATAATCAGCAGAGTGAAAAGGCAACCTATTAAATAGGAGAAAATATTTGCAAATCATATGTCTGATAAGAGGTTAATGTCCAGAATAAATTAAAAAAAATATTATAATTAAACAACGAAACACCAAACAACTTGATTTTAAAAATGAGGAAAGGACTTGAGTAGACATTTCTCCAAAAAAGATATACAAACAGCTAACAAACATATGAAATGATGTTTGACATCACTAATCATTAGGATAATGCAAATCAAAACCACAAGAAAATACCACCTCACACCCATTAGAATGGGTATAAAAAACAAAGTTTTGGGTCACAAAAATCAATATATACAAATCAGTAGCTCTGCTATATACCAACAATAATCCCTTTTACAACAGCTGAAAAAAAATTAAATACCTAGAAATATACTTAACCAAGGAAGTGAAGGATCTCTACAAGGAAAACTACAAAGCACTGCTAAAAGAAATCATAGATGACACAAACAAATGGAAACACATCTCAAATTCAAGGAAGGGAAGAATCAATGTTGTGAAAATGCCCATACTGCCCAAAGCAATATACATATTCAATGCAATTCTCATTAAAATACCATCATCATTTTTCATAGGATATAGGAAAAACAATACTAAAATTCATATGGAATAAAAAAAGAGCCCACATAGGGAAAGCAATAGTAAGAAAAAAGAACAAATCTGGAGTCACTACATTACCTGATTTATATAAAACTATAGTTACTGAAACAGCATGGCACTGGTATAAAAATAGGCACTTAGACTGATGGAACAGAATAGAGAACCCAAAAATATAGCCAAGTAGTTTTAGCCAACAATATGAATGTATTTAACAATACTGGACTGTACACTTAAAAATGGCTGATTATAAATTTTATGTTTTATTTATTTTGCCACAATTAAACATTAACAAAAACTAAAAACTAAGAAAAGTATGATGTTTATGAAGAATTGGTGATAATGTGGAACTATGTAAGGTGAAGTTAGAAAAAGCAGGATGAAAAATCACATGCAGAGTAGAATCTCAACTCTGTTATAAAAATGGAGGACTAGAAATAAAGACTTAAAGGAATGTATTAGCGCATTTTCACAGAGCTATAAAGAAATACCCGAGACTAGGTAATTTATAAAGGAAAGAGGTTTAATTGACTCACAGTTCCACATGGCTCAGGAAGCCTCAGGAAACTTACAACTGTGGCCAAAGGCAAAGGGAAAGCAGGCACCTCTTCACAATGCAGCAGAGGAGAGTAAGCATGTGAAGGAGGAACAGCCAAACACTTATAAAACTATCAGATCTCATGAGAACTCACTCACTATCATGAGAACAGCATGGAGGAAACCACTCCCATGATCTAATCACCCCACGCCTTTGACACGTGGAGATTACAGGTCTCTCCCTCAACATTTGGGGATTACAATTCGAGATGAGATTTGGGTGGGGACCCAAAGTCAAACCACATCAAGGAAATAGACCAAAATGCTGGCAATGGGGGCACTATGGGTGGTTTTTATTATTTTTTAAAAAATTTTTGTGATTTCCCAATCTTTACAGAGGACTTCTATTTCTGTTTCTTTTTGTTTCTTCCATCTTTTATTTTAGGTTCAGACGGTACATGTGTGGGTTTGTTTTATGGGTAAATTGCATGTCATGAGGATTTGGTGTACAGATTATCTAATCAATAAGCATAGAACCAGATAGATAGTTTTTAAATTCTCACCCTCCTCCCAACCTCCACCCACAACTAGGCCCCAGTGTCTATTGTTTCCTTATTTGTGTCCATGTCTACTCAGTATTTAGCTCTCACTTATAAAATTAGTGGTATTTGGTTTTCCTGCATTAATCTGCTTAGGTTTATGGCTTCCAGCTCCATTCATGTTACTGCAAAAGACAGATTTTATTCGTTTGTATGTCTGTGTAGTATTCTATAGTGTAATGTATCACATTTTCTTTATCCAGTCGACCATGGATGGGCATCTAGGTTGATTTCACGTCTTTGCTGCTGTGAATAGTGCTGCAGTGAACATACGCATGCATATGTCTTCACAGTAGAGCTATTTATATTATCCCCTGGGTATATACCAAGGAATGGGATTGCTGGGTTGAATTGTAGCTCTCCTTTAAGTTCCTTGAGAGATACCCAAACTGCTTTCCACAGTGGCTGAACTAGTTTACATTGCCAGCTGCAGTGTATAAGTGTTTCCTTTTCTCCACAACCTTAGCAGCATCTTTGAGTTTTTAGTAATAGCCATTCTGATTGGCATGAGATGCTATCTTATTGTGGTTTTAACTTCTATTTCTTTTACTGCAGGGTGAAAATATTATTTTTAAAATATGCCAAAAAGTATTTCCTTTTTCAGGTTTATTGCTGCTAACCAACTAGAATGTGATTAGGGCTTTCATAAGATTTTAATTGAAAGATTAAAATTTGCCTGGAGGCCAAGATCTAGAAAGAAGAATTTCCTTTTGCAGAGAAATTTTAGTCCTCATATATTAATACATATAATTCCTCTGAGTAGCTCTTCAGTCTCTGTCAGTCATCAAATGACCAATTTCTCAGCCAGATCCATAACTCTTTGGAAGGAGAAAAAGCCCCAGTTTGAAGCTCCCATTAATGAACTGTGTTCAGTTTTGGGAGTGTGTACTGAAGTCTGCACTAACAGATGTTAGTTGATCAGGAGGAGGATAAGGGGGAAAATACTTTTTCAATGAAAACAACTAAAAATTATCTACCTGAGATACCTAATGGCGATTAAGGCTTTCCACCGAATAGGGCTAGCTAAGGAATCCAGGGGCTCGTCTCTAATGAAGTCCTGAAACATAAATAAGGAGATTAAATGTTTCAGAAAGGCTCAGGAAAGTTACCAGATGCAGCTGCAACCTCATCAGACCATTGGGTGCCCTGGGTCATAAACAAGGCAGAGATCTGTTATGTGGGACTGGTGAAGTCTATTCACTTTTTAAAAAGATAGCCCTGAACTCTTGGTAATGGAATACTCAGGGCCTTTCTTATTCCCTCTCTGCACACTCACCAGCATGTAACCAATCAGCATCTCCTTGTAGGAAAACTGGAACCCCTGATCCTCAGCATCTTGGACAGCAATGCCAATCTCAGTGATGCTTCTTGTGAAACTCATTTGCAGATCCATGTCCTAAAGCAAAAGCATTTACAATGCAAGTCAAGGTCTAAGACACCACACTCAGGTCTATTAACATGTGACCTAGCTTTGAAATATGTTCCCAGACAGGAGTGAGAATCTTTGCTTCCTTTGCCATCTCTACTCCAGACTAGGGTCTAAGTTGCAGGGAAAGTGAGAAACAAATGCCATTTTTCCTCCCTACCACCCACAATAGAATGAAGGTCCTCTAGAGCAGTGGCTTTCAAAACTTTTTGACCATAAACAACAGTAGGAAACAGTTTACAATTCCACCTAGTACCTGTATGCCCCAAATATGTTTAATATATAACAGAAATAATAGTTATAGTTTTTACAAGTAAAGTACTCTGTTGTTTCACTAAAGAATTTTTCTGGTTGTGACCTATTAAATTGATTTCATAGTCAACTGGTGGGTCACAACCCAAAGTTTGAACACCATTGTTTTAGTTTATAGCTCAACTTCTAAAGACCCTGGAACCAGAATATAGTTCCTTGTTCTGCCCTGGATTAGGATCATGGATTCTGACTTCAGAATTGGATTGTTACATGTTGGAAACCTTTCAATTGGAATCAAATCAAAAGGACATCTTTGCTTGGCACACTTCAGGGGGGCATTATCTATCTATCTATCTATCTATCTATCTATCTATCTATCTATCTATCTCTCCTACCTTGTTCATCACAGACATGCCCAGAACCTAAAAAAAATCAAAGGCAAAATTAGATACTCAATGAGTGGCATTGAGAGATATACCCAACCCAACAAAAGGACTCACCCATCAACCTGAAGGACAATAGTAAAGCAGGAGGTAGAGCCTTGCCAAGGGGGGTCTTGCCAAGGGGAGGGGGGCAATTCACTTCTTCCATTTTTAAAGTGAGACCTTGTACATTTGCAGAGTCTTTCCCCCAGGTAAGTCATGAGTAAGCTGCAGAAGGCAGGGTAGAGACTTCGAGTCTTGTGTTTTCAGCCTTCACAATCATTTTAAAGAGGCTCAACAGACTTTGGTAAGGAAAAAGGGTAAAGGCTCTTAGGGAAATGAGAAGCGAAAAACTATAAAATGAAAAGTCAAAGGGCAGCTAACTCTGGAACTGTGAGTACAGTGAGTTCTGCTATAACATTTGTGTTGAAAATGCAGATTTGTTCCAATGAGATTGACATGCTGTATCAGAGAATACTTTTAGTACATGCTGAATTCACATTTGCTTGTGTGCAGTTTCCTCTGTGAGAGGAAAGGTGCACAGTTGAACTGAGCCACGTAGGAATACTCAAAGCACGCACGTGCACACACCCCATGAATCTACCAGCTACCTCAGTCTACTGTGTGTTATGAGCCTTTCCCATCCAAATCTGGTATTATAACAGTCCATTAGATTTCAGATAACCCTTACCATTTCATAGGAAGTTCCAACTTTCACAACTGACTTCAGGTGTTTCAAGGTAAAATGCCATTTTTTTGGGTAGCATTTGTGTATTTTTAATTTTTTAAAAAAAGATTCCTATTCACTGGCAAAATGAGTTAATACAGAGGAAACCCTAAAAACTCCACCAAAAGCCTGCTGGAACTGATTAATGATTTCAGTAAGGTTTCAGGGTACAAAGTCAATGTACAAAAATCACTAGCATTTTCATACACCAGTAATGTCCAGGCTGAGAGTCAAATCAAGAACATAATCTCATTTACAATAGCCACAAAGAAAATGAAATACCTAGGGATACAGTTAACTAAGGTCATGAAAGATCTTTATGAGAACTACAAAACACTGCTGAAAGAAATCAGAGATGACACAAATAAATGGAAAAACATTCCATGCTCACAGATAGGAAGAATCAATATTGTTAGAATGATCATACTGCCCAAAGCAGTTTACAGATTCAATGGTATTCCTATCAAATTACCAATGTCATTCTTCACAGAATTAGAAAAAAACTATTATAAAATTCATATGGAACAACGAAAAAAAGCCTGCATAGCCAAAGCAATACTAAGATGGAAGTATCATACTACCTGACTTCAAACTATACTATAAGGCTATAGTAATCAAAACAGCATGGTGCTGGCACAAAAACAGACACATAAACCAATAGAACAGAACAGAAACTCAGAAATAAAGCCATACAGCATATGATCTTTGACAAGGCTGACAACAACAACAAAAAAGCAATAGGAAAAGGACTCCCTACTCAATAAATAATATTGCTGGGATAACTGGCTAGTCATATGCAGATAAATGAAACTAGACCTTTACCTTTCACTATGTATCAAAATTAACCCAAGGTAGATTAAAGATTTAATTGACAAGTGGGATCTAATTAAACCAAAGAGCTTCTGCACAGCAAAAGAAAATACCAACAGAGTAAACAGACAACCTACAGAATGGAAAAAATATCCTCAAACTATGCATCTGACAAAGGTCTAATATCCAGAATCTATAAGGAACTTCAACAAATCAACAAGCAAAGAAAAAACAACCCCAATAAAAAGTGAACAAAGGACATGAACAGACACTTCTCAAAAGAGGACATATAAGTGGCCAACAAACATGAAAAAATGCTCATCATCACTAACCATCAAAGAAATGCAAATCAAACCCACAATGAAATATTGTCTTATATGGGTCAGAATGGCTGTTACAAAGAAAGCAAAAAAACAAAACAAAACAAAAAAACAAAAACAGACGCTGGTGAGGCTGGGGAGAAAAGGGAATGTTTATACACTGTTGGGGGGAATGTAAATTAGTTCAGGCACTGTGGAAAGCAGATGGAGATTTCTCAAAGAACTTAAAACAGAGCTACCATTCCATCCAGTGATTCCATTACTGGGAATATATTAAAAAAATGGATCGTTTTACCAAAAAGACACATGCACTCATATGTTCATTGCTTCATTATTCACAATAGCAAAGACATGGAATCAACAATGGAGGACTGGATAAACAATGTGGGAGATACATATATTATATATACACACACACACACACACACACACCCCACATTTATACATAGATATGGTTTGGCTGTGTCCCACCCAAATCTCAACTTGAATTCCCATATGTTGTGGAAGGGACTTGGTGGGAAGTAATTGAATCCCAGGGGCAGGTCTTTCCTGTGCTGTTCTCATGATAGTGAATAAGTCTCATGAGATCTGATGATTATATAAGGGGGAGTTTCCCTGCACAAGCTCTCTTCTCTTGTCTGCTGCCACATGAGACATGCCTTTCACCTTCTGCTGTGATTGTGAGGCATCCCCAGCCATGTGGAACTTTAAGTCCATTAAACATTGTTTTCTTCCCAGTCTCAGGTATGTCTTTATCAGCAGAGTGAAAATGGACGAATACAGTAAATATACCATGGATTACTATGCAGCCATAAAAAATAATAAAACCATGACTTTTGTAGCAACAAGGATGGAGCTGGAGGACATAATACTAAGAATTAATGCAGGGGCAGAAAACCAAATAAGTGTGAGTTAATATTGAGCACATAATCATGGGAACAAGACACTGTGGACTATTAGAGGGGGACAAGGGTAAAAAAACCTAACTGTTGAGTACCTTGCTCACTACCTGGGTGCAATACACCCATGCAACAAACCTGCACGTGTACCTCCTGTATCTAAAAGTTGAAAAAAAATTCAATGGGAAATAATTTTGTTCAGATCTATGAAAAGAAATAATCTGTCCAGGAGGGGCTTCTAAACTAAAAAGAGTGTATCACTGATGGAGTTTTTTGAGTGTTATGACTCAACCTCATTTCCTCTTTATGTTTTTACCTATATTATCTTGTGTATATGTTTTGTTATAGCAGAACTAACTGTACCCTGAAAGTGTATAGTAATCTTTATTTTAATCATTCTTATTTTCTTTCCTCTTTTATTTATCTACTTTTAGAGACAAGGTCTTGCTCTGTCAACCAGGCTAGAGTGCACTGGGACTAATGGTATGTACCACCCCACCTGGGCAATTGTTTTATTTATTTATTTTTATAGATGAGGTCTTGATACTTTGCCCAGGCTGGTTTCAAACCCCTGGCCTCAAGTGGTCCTCCAACTTTGGCCTCATGAAGTGCTGAGATTACACGCTTAAAAAAAATAGTTTCTTGTAGAGATGAAGTCTCACTATGTTCAGGCTGGTCTCTAATGATTGACCATAAATTAATGTAACATAAAACAAATTTTATTATGTTTTCTATTCTCATCACTGCTTCTCAGATTTTGGGGGCATCAGAATCAACTCTTGAGGAGCATGTTGAAAATGCAAATTCAGTGATTCAACTCTGAAGGCTGTGATTCATTAGGCATCTCTATTTTTGACAGGCTCTCCAGGCAATTCTTATGCAACTAAGGTGTGAGGATGAGTACCCTATACCCTTCCACTAACATGTACTGATGACTACAATTTCATGAGTCCTTATGAGTCTATTCTTATCACATGTACATAAGAATAAATGTGAAGAGCACTTATGCATCAACATGTGGTTTGTGGAGACACAGACGAGAAGCTAAAGGAGTCCCTAACGTCAAGGTGCTGACAATCTAACAGGAGAAGCAGATGTGCACGTAATCAATGAAAGCCTCCCACATTGATCTATAAATAATCACTTGAAAGTTTTAAGCATACAGATTTCCAGAGTTTTCCCAAGACCTACTGAACTAACTTCCCTAGAAAACAACTCTAGGAAGCTACATTTTACACTTGATTCTTGTGTGATTCTTAGGTGGCCAGCCTGGTATTTGTCAGCAAAATGGGTGAATTCACAATTGTATAAAGCAATTTATTAAAGATACAAACAAAATGCTATGGAAGACAGAATGATCAGATAAATTTCAACTCAGTTTGGTGGCTCCAAAGGTAGAACATTCTTGGTATGTTTGAGAAGCATCAAGGAGGGTCAGGTTGGCTGGGATGAATGTGGAGGGGGAAACAGTGCAACACAGGTGAACTGAATAGCTTGATGAATGACATATTTTATTCACTTAAAATATGTATATGACACTTACTATTTGTGAGACACTGTTCAAGGTAGTTTGTAAGTCTTATCATATAAAAAGTTAAAGAACTACCATGGGCTAACACTTCTGATACTATTACAGGGAAATAATGAGCCAGGTGCCCTAAAATAGTACAGGAGTAACTGTTTTAAGTTCAAACAAGGGTGAGATCACTACGGATATGATTGACCTGGGACAATCACTGCATCACAGCAGTGGTAGGACATGAACCGCTCAGGGCTTTAGGAAAGAAAATAGATTACCTGATGCTATTTTAAAATAAATTTTTCTGTTCCCATATGTTCTCATTTCCCAAACATACCAGATCCTACCTATCTTTCTTTTGGCCTGTGTCCTTTGAGCCTGAAGGATGCAGCCATCCATGTTGCTGCAAAACACGTTTTATTCTTTTTTATGGCTGCATAGTAATCCACGAGACATTTACTGTATTAGTCTGTTTTCACGTGGCTGATAAAAACATACCCAAGTCTGGGAAGGAAAAAAGCTTCCCAGGGACTGAGCCCCTGCAAGTTTTAGGAACCCCAGCCTAGAAATGGAGGCAGCCATGCAACGGGCATTACCTGAGAGCACTGGCCATGAAGAGACAGGACTTGGGATATGATATCTTGATTAAGTCTGGAGAGAAGTTGCTTCTTGGGAGCATGGAGGGCCACTGCTCCATAGATGACCATGACATCTGTCTTGGTCAGGCTCTTTTTCCCAGAAAAAAGGCTCTGAAGACCAGGAAAGGGAGACATGAAAAATGTGACTGAAGGAGTTCTATTTTCTCTCATGTTTTTTTCCTAATCCTGTGGACCACTATAGGGGATAAGAAACTGGACTGGGATGATTCGAATAAGTCTAAAATGAATATACTCTCGCCTGTTTAAATGTAAACAGCCAGGATGGTCCTGTGGGATGATCAGGCCTTCAGAGAGGTAACTGGGAGAAGCTTTTGTTTATTATATATACTTATCAGGCCCCTTTCCTTCAGGGAAAGCAGAGTATGCATGAGAGGAGCTATTCATGAGGGCCGAGTGGTTGGTAGAGGGACAAACTTAGGCACATGCAGAGCGCATTTAGGATCTTCCAGATCAGCTTTAGGGTCAGAGAAAATAAAGTAGACTTTTCATATAGCTAATCATCCTATAAAGACTGGGCTTGGACAGTTCTGACCTGGAATAAGAACCTGGGGACAGGAGTAAGTATAATATAAGAAAGGATATTCACTGAAGAAATCAGGGTTGTCTGGCCTTGCAATACTGAGAATTTGAAGGAGATGATTCTTCTTACCTTACATCGATTCATGAAAAACTTTTCCTGATTTTGGAATGTTTTAAGAACTTTTAAAACAATATCCAAATGGTTCTCGGCACAGTATCCTAAAATAGATGTTATTCCCTAAAATCAGAAAAGGTATGACATTTTGAGTTTAACCATTTATTTATTCAACAAATATTTACTGAGCACCTATTATGTGCCAGGTATCCTTTAGGTGCTGGGGGTACAGTAGTTTGCAGAACATACCAAAGTCCCCATCTTTGTAAGGTATACAACCAGGAGAACTGACAGGGAAGCAACAGGGAAGTGAAATAAGTAAACACATCAATTCAGTAAACAGGTAAATATACAGTGTGCCAGATGGTGATGAGTGCTATGAAGATAAGTAAAGCAGGAGTAGGTAGTGAGGATTGGGGGAAGTTTGCATTATTAAAATAGGATAGTCAGAGATGGTCTCACGGACAAGGTGACAATGAGCAGAGCCTTGAAATGAGTGAGGGAGTGAGCCATTAGACTATCTGGAAAGGAGAGTTTCAATCAGAGAGAAGGTAAGTGCAAAGCTCCCGAAGTCCACTGAGAGGGCTGAGGGAGCAGTCAGGGAGGAGAGCAGTGCAAAATGAGTCAGACAGGAGGTGGCGGGTTCATTACAGTAGGGCCTTTTAGGCCGTCCCCAAGATTTTGGACTTGTAATCTATGATTGCTGGGAAGCTAATGGAGGTTTTTTTTCAGCTTGAATTGACTGATGCTTTTAAAGAATCATTCTGTTCCTGAAACTTTACTGTATCTTAAGAGGTTAAATTTCTGAAAGTTGGCAGTTCTTGTTTCACACTCTGAGGTTATATATTCCCTCTGTCCCCACCTCTCTTGTCCAAAGCTGATTTCACCAGAGTTCCTTCATGGCAATTTGTTCCTGAAACCTGTTATATGTCATTCAGTGGCATAACCCTGCCAGAGCCATCATGAAAACTCGTAGACTAGACCATTCTTGTAGAGTCTAGATAATAATCGTTCTAGTATGAAGCTAGAATCAGAACTCTGGCCTCACATGATTGAAAGCATTATGCTTAGGAGATTGAAAACCAAGTAGGCTCAGTGGGTTATGAAAGTCACGTGTTAACACTTTATTCATCCAGAGGTCATTTATTAAGCGACTTGAGTATGTAAGACATATTCAAGGACTTAAAGTTAAGTAAAAAAGGTATTTGAGAAGCTCAATTGGACGTCACAATTTTTATTTTTTTTATTTTTTGAGATGGAGTCTCACACTGTCAACCAGGCTGGAGTGCAATGGTGCGATCTCGGCTCACTGCAACCTCCCCTCCTGGGTTCACGCGATTCTCTTGCCTCAGCCTCCCGAGTAGCTGGGATTACAGGTGTACATCACCACACCCGACTAATTTTTTGTATTTTCAGTAGAGATGGGGTTTCACTATGTTAGCCAGACTGGTCTCGAACTCCTGACCTCGTGATCTGCCTGCCTCAGCCTCCCAAAGTGCTGGGATTACAGTTGTGAACCACTGTGCCCGGCCATGATTTATTTTTTAAAGTTTGTGAAACCCTCAGACCTTGAATGAGAGTCTTATATGCTTATATTTAAAATCAACTTACTTTGTTTCCTAACCTATACCAGAGATAAGATGGAAAAAATGATATTAGAGATGGTGCCAACAGCAATAAATGATAATATCTGACAAGAAAAAGGAAATAATAGTAATATAAAAGCAGTTTCAAAAGTTCAGTAAAGTCTAGTGGTTTCTGGCCATTTAATGTGTGAGAAAGAACCCTAAATATCTTATAATTTCTGAGGAGAAAATATAACACACTATACTTTTTTTATACTGGTGGTCTTTATCAGCTTGGGAACTATTTTTTGTTGGTTTATTTGTTTGTTTTAAAAATACACATCTTCAGCGGGGTGCGGTGGCTCACACCTGTAATCCCAGCGCTTTGGAAGGCTGAGGTGGGTGGATCACCTGAGGTCAGGAGTTCGAGACCAGCCTGGCCAACATGGCGAAACCCTATCTACTAAAAATATAAAATTAGCCGGGCATGGTAGCAGACACCTGTAATCCCAGCTACTCGGGAGAATGAGGCAGGAGAATCACTTGAACCTGGGAGGCAGAGTTTGCAGTGAACCAAGATCGTGTCACTGCACTCCACCCCGGGTGACAGAGCGACACTCTGTCTCAACAACAACAACAACAACAACAAAATACACATCTTCTCCTTCCTCCACATTTATATATACTCTATAGCCACAGGCTATGGTAGGAAGTAAGTAGAGCTTTGCAGAAGCACTTTAGGTTATCTTTACATTCTCTCTAGATTAGTCTAGATTAGTCTATAAGTAATTTCAGCTTGTAAATTCAATCATTTTGATGCTCACAATCATGCTCTAAGTCAAGCCAAGGTCTGGTTAGGTAAGAATTATTGAAATTCATTTTTCAATATTTTCATAAACTTGGTTAAAAATGAAGTATTGATTTTAAATAGAAAAGCCTAACTTTTCCGAAAAATTCTGTTAGGCTATTCTGAGTGTATTAATTGATAATTATGATTAAGTAGAACATTATTATAAAAGCTGTCAGAGGTTTTGTGGATAGGATTAGTTGTGTTGTTATCATCATAAGAGGAAATTGAGAGCAAGGGGTCCCACCTGTCTTTGATCCCCCAGTTGGTTGGGAGCAGTCAGAAACTCCTTAATCTGTGAGTTTACAAAGTCTGAATCTTGGCAGCATGCTAAGGTGGTTCCCAAGGCTTTCCAAAGGAATTTCTGGAAAACAAAAGATAAGCAACAGGATTTTAAGGGTTGGAAAGCAAGACTCTGATGAAAAGTGGAAAGAGTTAAAATAATCATCTGAAGGAAAGAAATTGGGGTGACTTAATAACCATGTACCTCAAGTATTCTCTCTTCTTGAGAGTGTTTCCTTCCTCCAGGCTCTGCCCTCCATCTGTGCCCTCCTATATTCCTCTCTACCTTGTGTCCTGCCACTAAAATATACTTCACCCCCCATTGTAATTTTTTATTTTCTTGCTTGTCTCCATGCTTAGGATTTGGGTTCATTGTAGCAGAGGGTCTTATTCATTATTTCCACTGTATAGTTCCTGATTGTTAATATGTGCTCAACAAATGCTCAATGAACATGCTCAATAAAAAGAGGGTTTTTTGTTTTGTTTTGTTTTTTTAAGATGGGGTCTCACCCTGTTTGCCCAGGCTGGAGTGCAGTGGTGCGATCTTGGCTCACTGCAACCTCTGCCTCCTGGGTTCAAGAGATTTTCATGCCTCAGCCTCCTGAGTAGCTGGGATTACAGGTGTGTGCCACCATGCCTGGTTAATTTTTGTATTTTTAGTGGAGACAGGGTTTCACCATGTTGGCGAGGCTGATCTCAGACTCCTGGCCTCAAGGGATCTGCCTGCTTCAGCCTCCTGAAGTGCTGGGATTTCAGGTATGAGCCACCATGCCCAACCCATTATTTTGAAGATGGCTTTAATTTGTTTTATAAGGTTCAAATCATTCCTAGCTATATAGTAACAGATTGGCATTTATTTAGAATCCCCATATTGTCACACACAAGAGACAAAACTGGCTAATTGGTGGTCCAGGTCAAGGACTCTGCACAGCTGGCAGGACTTTTCCTAATGAGTGGTCATTACTGACAATAGGAAAATCTGTGGAGCAGGAGGAAAGGAAATTCTAATAGACACAGACCAAGTTAAATTAGTACATTCAGGAGTAATGTGCATATCAATCTGGCTTGAAATGAGAGGGGGGCATAAAGTTAAAAAGAGGTGGAGCAGTTGCTGTTATCTCAACTCCCAGAGTGACAGTGGCCTCAATCAGAGTGAGAATCTGACCAGGTTGCATCACCCCACTTTCACTTATTCAGGCCAAAGTCCCTATAATAAGGAAATTATAGTGGAGAAAACTGTGTACAATACAGAAGTAAATACGAATTGGGGACAAAGCTGCTAAAGTCTATTTAAGCCCACCTTGGGGGAAAGACTGGAAAGAATCTGGGAAAGTCTTGTGCTGCAGAAAAAAATTGGTCATGAAGGGAAAGTTTGACTTAGGTGTAAAATGTTAGTCTTAGTGCCTCCCAGTCCTGCTGACCTGTTGCTTCTCTGTGGATTTTGGTCCAGTGCATAGTACATCCCTGCTTTAAGGCTTCACATGGAATCCAAGAAATTAGAAGCCTAGCATTGGGAGAAAATGTGGTAGAGTGCAAAAATAGCAACTTTTCCATCCTATTTCTGTCCATGTCTCCTTACTATGGGGTGTTGCAGCTCCTTCAATCAAGAAAGGAGTCTATTTTCCCATTTATGTGAATCTGGGCTGGCTTTTTGACTTGCTTTGGCCAATAGAATGTGGCAAAAATGATAATGGGTCAGTTCTGAGCCTATACCTCAAGAGTCCTTGCATGCTTTGTTGCTATCACCCTGAGAGTTAGCTTGGGCTAGCTTGCTAGAGTATGAGAGAACAAGAACAACAGAAATCAGCTGTGCTAGTTAAGATGCATCATAGGCAGGTTGCGGTGGCTCATGCCTGTAATCCTAGCACTTTGGCAGGCTGAGGTGGGTGGATCATGAGGTCAGGAGATCGAGACCATCCTGGCTAACATGGTGAAACCCCGTCTCTACTAAAAATACAAAAAAAAAAAAAAAAATTAGCCGGGTGTGGTGGCACGTGCCTGTAGTCCCAGCTACTCGGGAGGCTGAGGCAGGAGAATCACTTGAACCTGGGAGGCAGAGGTTGCAGTGGTCCGAGATCGTGCCACCGCACTCCAGCCTGGGTGACAGAGCAAGACTCCATCTCAAAAAAAAAAAAAAAAATGCATCATGTACCAGCCAACCTCAAGTATACCTTGTGAGCCTAGTTGAGATTAGATGACTACCCACCTGAGCCCAGCCCAAAGTGTCAAAGTATAAAATTGTGACCTAAATAGGTGGCTGTTATTTTAAACCACTAGGGGTAGTTTGTGATGCAGCAAAAGTGAATTAGTACATTCTTACTTTACTCTTGTTCGGTGTAAGGCTTGAGAACATCTAGGCAGCTAATTACTGAAATTGCTCTGCCTACGGGTACCACCATTATTCTAGAGTAATCTTGTGGGTCTGGAAGCTGTTGAATAAATAGCATGATATGAGGTGCACAGAGCTAGTTTGTGTTATAAGAAGATGGAGCATTACTCGCCAAATTTTCCTAATGTGTGTTGGCAGGTTTGGTAAACCCATTTGGAGAATCAGTACTCTGCACCAAATTAGAGAGTCGATCAATGAGGAGAATTTTGAAAATTACATATGTGAGTTGAAGATTGATAATGATTACTTTGTGGAAAGAAATACTGAGTACTGGAACTGAGAAACTTAAATATTTTTCCAGGAAAATAAACTTATGAATGGTATTAGCATAATAAAGACCATGATCAAAGCTACTTTTATATGGAGCACATGCCCTATGTCAAGCACTTCACCAGGGACTTTATATACTTTATCTCATTGAACCCTCAGAATACTACAACCCTCAGAGGTGGGTATTGTTTCTATTTTACTGATGAGTATGGTGAGAATCCAGAGAGATAAAATAATTTACCTGAGGCCCCACTAGTAGTAATAAGGGGAAACTGGCTTCAAACCCCATTTGGAATGGATGGCTACAAGGTGGAAGCTTAGGTAGGGGCCATTTAGAGACAGAGGGATAGAAGAACTGACTTTAAAAACATGGAAAGGAATAATGTTTGAAAAATACTTTATTGCTCTGATTTGTCCTGTTAACTGACACATGGCTGTGGGTCCTTTAATCATTGTTATCCATGGCCATACCTCTTTGTCACTGGAAATAAAAACCTATTTCTTTGGGCGCCCTTTCCTAGAACTGGCTTTTGAGTACTCTTTTAGCTATAAGCTTTTGTTAAATTGTAGTAGATTTCTTTTTGATTGCCAGCCTCACAAGACTGGCATAATGGAAGCCAGGACAGAAGCTGACATTAAGCACTGCTGTTAGCCTTCCAGTATCTATTCTTCTTCCTCCTGTAGAAAGAACCTCTGAATATTAGTTAGGCACATATCTATCTTATCTACCTCTCAGTCTTCCTCGCAGATACCTGTGGCCATATGAGTAAATTTGGGCTAAAAGTGAGGTGCAGAGAAGGTCATATTCAACTTTCAGCTAGTGGCCTTAAAAAGAGGGAACTCTTTTTTTTTTTAAATGTTCCTCCCTCCCTTTGATTGTGATACAGACAAGATGGAGCTAGAGCAGCCATTTTGGATCATAGGTAAAAGCTAAGGTTTCCCCTCAGCTGAAAAACCAACCTTCTCAGTGGAGTTATTGCTGTAACTGCCCATTTGCTGTTTGAAATCCTGAGTCAGCTGAATGGTCCAGGCCACATCACTGATCTTCCATAAGGATTCTTTGAGCAACTGTTGTAGGAAGTGGAAGTTAGATGTGAATATGACCGTTTCATGTGCTTTCTTGGCATATTTTTGGTTATTTTATCTTTTAAAAGTTTAAATATATTTTAAATAGTATTATTCCCTTTTCCATAAAATAACTAATTCCTTCGAAACTTTCCTCTTAGTTTATTCTAAAAAACATTTTCTGATATGTTCTGAATTTGCACTGAGAATAAGATACACAGAATGTGGAAAATCAACTTCCTTTTCTTCCTTTAAATAAATATTGCTAAAAGACCTAAAATATAAACTAATCCAATCTGAAACTTAAAGTTGGCATTTTTCTAGTTTCGGTAGATTTGGAAAAACTCCATTTGTTGATATTAACTTAACTGATTACATACTAAAAAAAAAAAACCCCAAACACGATGGAGATTTTTGGAATCAAGAATTAAATGTCTTAAAGAACAGGCACATTTTGATGTACAGGTACATTTCTGCAAACTTCAACTCTAGTAACTAAAGATTCCTGGTTTTACTGATACCTATGAGACAGGGTCACAATCAGTCCTTTGAACCCATGTCCTTCTTCTTTGAACAATACATAGAAAAGTGTTTTTTTTTTCTTTTGGACAAACACATTGCAATATATATATTATCTCTCCTATATTTTTTCAACTTTAAGCTTAGAAAAGGACACAATGCCAAACAAAACCAATGAAAGGATGTGTATGCCTGTTCTTAACAGGAGCTCATTCATGGGTTCTTTAAAGAAATTAAACAGTTTCGGAAATTTAAGAGAAGAAGACATGTGCAGACAGTTTTGGAAAAAAAAGACCAGAAAATATTCAAAATTGGAAGAGGAGAAGGAACTGTTGTCAAGACTTCCTACTAGAAAAAAAAATATTTTTCTCCCTAGTAAAGACAGTTATTTTAAAATGGTAGCAGAAGGAAATCTGGTAGGAATTTTGGGAGAGGGAAGGGAACATAAAAGAACCATAAATATAGGAGGAGAGGTGGATCCTAGAATTGAGGACCAGGAGAGTAGAGCAGTCACTTTCAAATCTTATACTGGATAAGAATCACTGATGGAAACCTTTAAAACATGCCAGTTCTCAGGTACCACCCCCAGAGATTCTGAATCTGGAAGGGAGATAGGAGGCAGAGGGAGTACTGTGGAGAGATCATTGAAAATTGACTCTTCTAAGAAGCCATAGGTAATTCCTAGGTAGATGCCTTTTAATATAGAAAACCTTCTATATTAAAAGCTCCCTGTCTGTGGGCTTCGTCCCTCCTGCAAGTTTCTGAAGTCACATCTTTGTAAAGCCAATGTCCACTGCCTGTCTGCAATTAACTATTTCTGGGATTTGGTATCACTTGTGGCACTGTTTAGTTGTAAAGCTCCAAGAAGTTTATGGGTGAGAGAGGAAATTCGTTTTTGGAAATGGATAAAATGTGGCCCTTTGTTTTTTGGATATTAGGAAAAAGACATTAAGCCACAAATAGAAGAGGAAATACAGTTGTGTTTAGGGGCATGGAAGTGGAAATTATATTCATCTGCTTTTCATTATGTGGCTGGTAAAAGAACAAAGTTGCAAGAAGTAAAAACTTGAAAATTAGAGAAGATTTAAGAAAGACACAGGAAAAATATTGCTAAGTAAAATCTTCAAAACTGTCTGAAACTGAATCAAGTGGATTTAAGATTGTAGTTCAAATTATGGCTATTTAAAGAACATTATCCTTGAGTGATCACTTCTAACATTCTAATTCTTTTCCAAAGAAAGGAAAAGGTTGTTTATTATCCTCAGGAATCTAGTTCCTTTAATTTAGGATGGGTAACTTCAGCTGATTTCATCATGCCATTATTAAAAATTATTCTAGAAGCCAGCCTTACCTGAAGCAGCATGGTTTCCCATAGAACGGTACTGATGTTCTTTCCTAGAAACAAAAATTGATGTAATAATCGCAAAAAAACAAAACCACCCCAAGACTCAAATTCTCCCCTCCAGGCCTCCAGTGATACTGGAGTTCTATTTTAAGCTTTCTTTTTGCTCATAATGCTTATTTGAGATCAAATTTACTACACTGGCAACTTTAAAGTGCTAGGTAGAGAGAAGGTCTTCAATCTATCATAAAAATCTAGGCTTTTTGCTAATTTTGATGACTACTGAAATGACCATATTTTGATATTCTAACATGATTAATAACTTTTTAGAACAATGCTAAAATAGAATTTCTCTAGATACAAGAAAAAGACGAGAGCAAAAGTAAAAATTCCTGCTAAGAATGTTACCTACTAGGTCTTCTTGTAGTATGAATATTGGCAAGAAACAGAACATAAGGAGTTAAGAAGAAAAAAATAGCTATCTACCTTGCATATCAAGTTCATCATTTTTATTGCCTAAAATGAGCATTAATGGCTTTACACAGAGAAACGGTGCATTATTTCTTTATGTTCTTGCCCCCTGGGTAAAGACCTGGCCCCAATCCCTTGTACCTTCCAGAGGCTGCAGAAGCTCAGGTAAACGTGTTTTCCATAGGTCTACCAATTTTGGGTGAATTATCTCAGGCAGTATCTTCAAAAGCCCTATTGCACCAGCCCCACGTAACTCCCCTAAACTGGCAGGCATAGATATTACCTGAAGGATAGAAGAGAAGGAGCTCATCAATTTCAGGGGCGTTTAAAAGCCCCACTTATTTTTCCCTTTTTACCATTGTTCCAATTCCTTTGATTTCTGCATTGGATAATCTTTTAACAAATCATCACAGTCTATTCTTATTTATTCTAGAATGAAGCTAATACTTAGATAGCCCTTCTCCCATTTCTTTTTCCCTGAGGATAAAGGTGAAAAAAATACATGGAAAGCACCAACCAAAAATAAGTGGAAAGAATTAACACTTAGATATATCAATTAATTAAATAAAGGCATGAGGAAATAGTGCTTGAGTAAATCATCCATATGGGGCCAAAGAGAGAGATGGGAAATCCAAATAACAGATGTGGAATTTGTTTAATGGTACTTATGAATGAGATTCAATATATGCTTACTTTAAAATTATAAGTAAAGTTCAACAAGTATTTCAGAGTGGGAAGGTAATCATGTCAATAATAAATATTCATGAATGTCACTAGTATAGCAGAAAATTTATTATGCCTTTTTAGTGTTTCTTTTTGTTTGGAGTATCTATGTAATTTATATTAGCACTTATTTGGAACTGAACTATCCTTATCAGCTTAAATTTGTTCTACTTTGGTTCTTAGTAACTCACTCACCAGAAGTCTGGCCAGTAGCTGCTGTGGTGAAGGAAGTTTCACTAGAAAGAGAAAGCAATTTTCATCATCACTGCAGGGGTTAGAGATTGGGGTTGGGTTTAAGGTCAAAGCACTGTAGCCTTCCTGGAAATGGATCCCTCATAATAGAAAAGCTTTTCTGTGTTTATGAATGTACAGACCAGCTCCTGTAGAGACGACAAGTGCTGTCGACTCCTTGGCACTGTGCTGCTTCTTCTCCTCTGCCATAATCAGAATTCTGATGATACTAAACAGGGGCTCCAGAGCTTCTGTGTATTCTGCAGGTACCACAAAAGTCAGGATCCTTGGCCATAGCACCTGTGGAAAACAGGGCATGATGCAAGGATTGCTTATTCTTTTCCATTATTTCTCCCTGGTCCTCACTGCATGTTTTTCTCTGATTTAGAAGCTTTTCTCCTGTTATTATTTTGCTTTTTGGGCCAAGTCAAGATGAGATCATTAAAGGAAGCCTCTGCACAGCACATTGATTTTCAGGTGTTAGCTGTAGTGAGTGTTGGTCAGTATTTCTCCATGGGGACGTTGCTGGAATGTGGGGCAGGACAATTCTTTGTTGTGAGGGACTGCTCGAGACACTAGGGGAATGCTAGCATCCCTGAGCCCCACTTACCAAGTGCCAGTATTCCTCTTGTCAATGTGACAACCAAAAATCCCCCAAGTACTTCCCAAAACTCCAGGATTGGAGTGTGACTTCCCCAGTTGAGAAGCTTGGGAGAGGATAGTGAATGGGCTGCTGCTGTCCTCTGTGCTTCAGGCTCTGACCTGCCTGCTCTGGAAGTCTGAAACATTGTGGTTTCTTTAGTATGTTTTATGTCCCTTAGAAAACTCTCTTGTCCTAATGGAAACCTTGGTGTCAACTTGTACTCTTCTCTCTTCTTTGTCATCTATATTTAATCACCAGACTCAGTCCTTTTTTCATTGTAAGATGTCTCCTGCCCTTTCATGTCTCATTTCTATTGCAATGACATTGCTGTAATTGCTACAAGTTGCATCTGATCTCCTATATAGTCTCTTTGCTCTTAGTCTACTCATGTGTGAATCTACTGATTCCCTACAATTATCGTTTTAAATGTTTAGCTCTTGCTTAAAATTTTCATTGGTTTATCAACCATAAGGTAAAAGTTTGGCATTCCAGGCCCTTTAGGGTTGGACCCTAGATTATTTTTTTCATCATTCACTTCTATATCAGAAGGTCTTAAACTTTAGTATGTATCAGAAATATTGGAACTTAGTTGATTGTAGACTTTTGGTCTCTATGTCCAGTTTTGCTGATTCAGTAGGTCTGGTGTGTGACCTGGAAATCTGCATTTTAAGTAAATATCCCAGCTAACTCAGGATGAAGCTAGATGAAGCCTCTGATCTACCACTTAAAAGGTGTGGTCAGTTGGTTGTCTTCTGGCTGTGCTATGTACTTCCGGGCACTACAGATTCCAAGGCTCTTCCCCTTGAGTTTCAAATGATCAGGTCTCCAGTGAGGCCTGAGAATGGCTGCTTTTAACACATTCCCAGGTGGAATAGGGTAAGTTTGGCATTGGTTGCTTTAAAACCACTACTTAATATTACTGTATGCATTAGAGGAAGAAGAGAAATAGTATATTAATATTATATATATAAATTGTCATGAACTATCCAGATGTAAGATACTTTATATTAATTAATTCAACATCTGTTTTTGAGGAACCACTATGTGTTGGACACAGCGTTGCAATATACTTCCTCTAGTCAGAGCATCAGGAAGCTGATGACAAATGGAGAACAAACTCATGTCTTTATTCTTACACAGGCTGGGCTTTAAGAAGGTGATCAAAGTAACTGTAAGTGGTGACAAAAGACCACTTACCTGAGGCATTCCAATGACCAGTGGGTCCAGGGTTTTTAAGACCTCAAGGCTTGTTTCTCGGACAGATTCCTCTTCCTTTTCATTCTCATGAAAGTTAGTTTTCACTGGTTTCTCCTTTAAGAAAGATCAAACAGGTGACTTGTTAATGACTCCTAAGGTTGGTCCCCTCTGACTTTCCTTGGGTGTGTTCTTAGACTCTGGAGTAGAGGATGTAGTCACTCAACTTAAGGGGCTCATGGAACCTAGATATCTTGGCCTTCAACATCTAATCCCTGTTTGAAAGGGCCCCTTGGAGGAATTAGTTGGAAAACACAACGCTTGCTAAAAGAGAGAAACAGAAATTGTGAGGCTCCTTCAACTGCAGATATCCCCTCTCTTTCTCAGGCCTTTGCCATTTTCTTCAGGGCAAATTTTTCAAAGCATGCTTCTTTGTGGAGTGAACTGTTATTTCAGTTGTGACTAATTTGCTAAAATCACAGAGATCATAAGCTTGTATTTTTCAGCCTATTTATCAAAAGAAAGCTGACCTCAATTGTGTGATCTGAGTGTTTGTGTTTTCCCAAAATTCATATGTTGAAATCTGAACGCCCAAGGTGACGGTATTAGTAGGTGTGGTCTTTGGAAGGTGATTAGGTCATAAGAGAAAGTCCCTAGTGTTTGGAATTCATGCCCTCATGAAGGAGACCCTGGAGAGCTAGCTAGTCCCTTCCACTAGGTAAGGACACAGTGAGAAAGCACCATCTGTTAGGAAGCAGGCACTCATTAGACAATCTTGGACTTCCCCGCATCTTGAACTGTGAGAAATAAATATTTTTTGTTTATAAAACATCATTTTATGCTATTTTCCTTTCTATATGGTGTTTTTAAAGGATTTTAAAAGCATGCTCCATCAGCATACAGCTTTTTCTCATTCATATAACAGATACATTTCTGTTTGTGTACAGCAAAGGGTTAGAACCCTAATAAACTTATTTATGATTTCAGAAGTGTGCTATTTTAGAAATGCACTTCATAGAACTTACTTCACTGTTCCATGGTATTTTGCTATAGCAGCCTGAATGAACTAAGACACCGTTGCAGCAAGAATTGATATCTCTATTGCTTTCTCGGAAGCAATCCAGTCTCTGTGTCCCTCTCCAGACAACCCCAATCCAAGCTTTTGGTGGCTGGGTTAACTTAGGGAAAACTGATTTAACCTATCTTGTGTTTATTATAAGTTAGAGGTGATTTTAGAAAAAAAAAAAAAAAGAACTGAGAAAACTAGAGGCTGTAAAAATTATCAATAAAAGTGATAAGATTAAAATATGACTTCAAAATCAGTTATTTAATTGAATTCCAGTTATTTTTAATTTTTTTAAAATTTATTTATTTATTTTTTACTCTACTCCTGTGACAGATTAAGGATCCTAATCATTTTTTAAAAAGAAACATAGTTGAGCGAACTGTACTTTTTATAGTGCATCACTCAAAACTGTAGCCTCTGCATACCAGATTCCTGTTCAACGTTGCAAACTGGGAGAAGACATAATCAATCAATGGCCATCCTTCCCGAGCTTCAATATAGGACTTTTCACACATGGTTTGGATGAGGAGAAGAACAGAATTTCTTACCTAGGGTAAGAACAATGCAATAGCAACATTTTACTATGTTTTGCAGAAGGGAAATTTACCTTATTTTATTCTATAATCTTAAGGATAATTAAGTGGGAACATTTTTGAAAAAGGAACATAAATTGAATAGTGTTAATACAGATTGAATAATCCTTATCCAAAATGCTTGGGATCAGAAATGTTCAAATTTTGGATTTTTTTCAGATTTTGAAATGTTTGCATTAAACTTACTGGTTGAGCATTCCTAATCTGAAAATCCAAATTCTGAAATGCTATAATGAGCATTTTCTTTGAGCATGACCTTTGAGTGTCATGTTGGTGCTCAAAAAGTTTTGGATTTTGAAGCATTTCAGACTTCCTTTGGATTAGGGATGCTCAACCTGTATAAATAGAGGGAGAAGAAAGTGAGTGATAGGTTATGAAAGAGTCACCAGAAATGCTCTCTTTAGCCAAAATCTTTCTCCTTGGCTCTCAAAGGCATATTGTCTATCACCATAGATTATGAATTGTTGGGTAACTTTGGCCTAAAACACTGCTTTGCTTTTAAAATACTCAATGAAAGATAACAGACAACTGTTTATTCACAATTTCAGAGTCCAAACAACTATGAAAACTGGATTTTTGTTTCTTAAATTTAGTGCCAACTCATTTGGTGGCAAAACCCAAACTGAACGGTTTTAAAGCTGTTTGTAATCTTATTCTATGCTGTGTGGATATGCATTAATTTTCTTGCAGAAATATTCATGGATTTCCATTATGGGTTTCTATCAGAGTAATGTTTTTCTAAAAGCTGAAAAATTGTCAATTCTGAAATATATCTGGCCCTAGAAATTAGAGTGAAGTTTTATGAACTTGCATTATAGTATATATAATAATTTGGTTTTAATTTGTTTATTGTGTTGCTTCTCTGGAGGATAGAAACATGAGAACCAATCCCTTAGTGAACAGGTCTTTGAAAAGAGAGCGGGAAGAAAAAAACCATTTTGAACAGGGAAGCAGTTATATGGTGGCCAAAACAATTAGCATAAAGACTCTCAGTAGTCTACCTAGAGAAGAGGTACACCTTTTCTCTATTTTTGCCTGGGGAGTTGGCCTTCCTCAAAGATCTATGCTCTTTATGCTATCCTAAACTCTTCTCGTAATTCTTGTTTTGTCTTTTGTCAGTTACTAGGCCAGGTTTTTTTGTATAATCACTCTATTGCTTTTTATTGCAAAGCTTTTACTATTTTAAACATAGTCACTGGCAGTCAAAGCTTCTTAAAAGAATTTATTCCTCTTAATTGGCTTCTGTCTAGCATTTTATTCCAAACAAAATGTGGTATTCTTACAAAAATATAATATTTGATAATGTTTCTTGCTTTCCCAGTATAAGTTCTATAACTTCTAACATAGAACACCTTTTTTTTTTTAAAGAGAGAGTCTTACTCTGTTGCCCAGGCTGGAGTGCAGTGGTGCAGTCTGGGCTCACTGCAACCTCCACCTCCCGGGCTCAAGTGATTCTTGTGCCTCAGCCTCATGAGTAGCTGGGATTACAGGTGTGAGCCAGCACACTTGGCTAATTTTTGTATTTTTAGTAGAGACGGGGTTTCACCATGTTGACCAGGCTGGTCTCGAAATCCTGACCTCAAATGATTCACCTACCTCGGCCTCCCAAAGTGTAGGGACTACAGGCATGAGCCACTGCACCTTAGAACACTTTAATCAAATAATCAGGAATATTGAGCAATCCGCTATGTGCATGACTTGCTCTAGGTAGAGTCTGGTTGGAAAGTAGGATGTCTATGCTAAGACCAAGGTTTAGGGATTAATATTTCCTGGATGAAGATACATTATCTTTATAATTAACAAGTAATTTTTAAACTATTTGAAGTGCATTGGCATAGTGAGATACAGTCTCTTTGCTCTTATTCTACTCATGTGTTAATCCACTGATTTCCTGCAATTATTTTAAATAAGCAAAAATCTTCTTCTTTTCACTGAGACGTCCTTTAGCTGTGTGTACTTTAGGCCTCTACCTTGATGAAGTTTATCTCTTTGGAAAAGATGGAGTTCTTTTAAAAATGGAATTGACCACAGAGTTCTTTATAAAATAGTCTCATAAGTAGATCCTTAAAGAATCAAAATAATTTCATTCATTCTTAAAGCTACCATCGACAAGAGTTTCTATTAATTCTCTTACTTTTGTACTGAGATCACCCATGACGATTTTGACTGTTCTTTCTATTGAAATGATGTGATCCCTCAACCTGGGCTCTGAAAGACAGAGGGAGAAATTGAGAGGCCTGACTCAATAGAAGTACAGTATGTTCTAGGATTGATGAAAAGCTATTAGAATTATGGCACATAATTGTGAAATCTCTTGTTTTTAACAACCTATTTGTTTTTCAATGCCCTCCCATCCTCTTTGTTTCCAAATCTTTAATGATGTCCAATGCTTTCTTTGCTTCTTATTACATTTGTTTCATTTTGTTTAAAATGTTAGGTTCCATAGTGGTTTCAATATATCATTCCTGGTGGATCAGATCTAAATATTGTGAGACTGCTTCATATTCATCTGCTGATTCTTCAGTAAATCAAAGTGCTAACTGAATGTTAAAAAACTATACCATACTATGCAAAAATGAATTTTTGTATTTTAGCAAGTCTAAGATATCACCAATTTTATCATGCACCATTATTTCATATTGCACCAAAAAATAGTGGCTAATTATAATTAAAGATTCATTCAATTGTAAGATGCATTCAGTGTTATGAAAATATGTACTTTCTGGAATAAAATATGGCAATTCGTTAAATTCTGCTTTTTTGTAAACGTATCAATCTCTAGAGAATTGTGCACTCCCTCCCACCCACCCCTTGATATTGGACCATTTAATCAACCTACAAGAGCTTCTAAATTCGAACTTTAATTCTCAAAAATTCTACTCATTCTTCTCAACTGGGTGCATCCATAAATGTTACGAAAGAAGAGAAGTAACTAAAGATGCCTGTTGAAAGGAATTGTAGATTGTGGAAGATTAAGAAGACAGAATTTCATTTGCACGTGATGTTATATAAGCATCCAAAAGACATAGGATAGGATTAGAGAGTGCATAGGCTTCAGTCTGCTTCTTGGCATGAAATAAACCATGTTGGCTTCAACCCTCTTGCTTACCATCAGCATTGACAGCCAATCTTAACAAAGTCAAGATTCCCACTCGAATGGCTTCATTATTACTTCTTACTTGTTCATCAAAAAATTCCATCAGCTCTCCAGGATTGGAATGGGCTGCAGGTTCAAGAAACACTAGAGCTGTAACTCATTTTCATCCTAGGTAAAATACTTGTGAATGGGAGGAGGGAAATTCACCATGAAGATTATCCAAGGCACTCTTCAGTTGGTAATTTGATTTTATTACGTCCATGCTTCTTCAGTATCACAGAATTAATTGAGCAGTTTTGTTCATAAGAGAGCTTGCTGTGCCTAGGCCACTTCTGTTCATATCTGTGAATGTGGCCTTATTTAAAAATGAGGGTCTTTGCAGATATAATGAAGTTAAGAAGGTTATTAGAGTGGGCCTGAATTTAATATGACTGGTGTCCTTACAGGAAAAGGAGAAGAGACATGGGGCACAGTGAGAACACCATGTGAAGATGGAGGAAGAGATGGCAGTGATGCTTCCTCTGCTGTGAGAGCTGCAGTTGTTGAAGCAAGGAGGGGTGAAAAAAGGCCTGGTTGGAGGACAGTGGTTTATTCTAGAAAGCATCAGGGGTAAGGTGAATTAGTTAGCTAGGCAGGGGTCGGGGAGAAGAAGAAAGTATAGAGACAAAGGGGCCAGTCAGGAGAGAAGTAGAAAGGTATGCATACACATGACAGAAAGATATGCAAGGAGGTAGAAGTGATGTAGTATTTGGGGGAGTGCAGAGGTCCAGGAGGTATTGGATTGCTGCTGTCCCTCCTCCTCAGGGACTGTATGGGAGCATAGTTTTGTATTCTGACCCTGGGATTTTGGTGCCCCCCGTGCATCCCATGTCAGGCCTTCTAATCAGGTGATATAATGTAAGGTCAAGATAAAAAAGGATAGAGTGAAGGACAGAGAGAGAGAGACGGAGTGACTGATGGTTAAAGAGGTGTAGACACTAAGAGATGACCAGGAAGAGAAAAGGGTGACTTTGGTTTGACACAGACTCAAATAATCTCAAATACCAAAAAAAAAAAAAAAAAAGAAATTTCCTATTTTTAGGATTGTCAACTCACTCCAGTTTTCCAAGGACTTCCTTGGTTTGAGAACTGAAAATTTTATCTCCCTGGACCTATCCCAGTCGTGGAAACCCTGGCATCATTGGCCATTCTTCCCGTCCTGCTCCTCCTGGGAACTTGTGGGGAGAGGGGCAGGCACAGAAAACTGTGAGCTAAAGAAACAGTGTGTGTGTTTGTGTGTGTGAAAGTAAGTTAATGTGACAGTTTGCCCTCCTTTTACCATTGTCATCATCATCACTTGGGGACATTTTTATTAAAAGCCTTCTGGATGCTGGTCCTACCTAGAATGAGAAAACAGCTTGAAGCTTTCATTTCATTTTCCTTTACTGGAGGCTCTGGAGCTCTGCAGATCTGAATGGGGGTGGAAATCAGGTGGTAGATGTTAAACACAGAAAACCGGTTGAAATTAAAAATTGGAGTTGACAGCATGGTCTTCTTACCTGCTGGAGTAAATTGATAAAGATGGATCTTCTCAAGCTCCTTGGAAGGCCAATGTCATAAAGAACTGCTGCAGTCAGTATTTGTTTTAGGCTCTAAAGTGGAAACTCCCACAGGTTAGTTGGAGGCTGCCAGGGAAGCAGCTGCACAGGATGTGGAAGGCAAATAATTGTGTTTTGAGAGAAAAACAAGCTTCTCATCTTCCTGCAGTTACAAGTTTTCTTGAATGATTCTGGCCCCTTCCACCCTGTTCAGTGCCTCAGCAGCTTGGAATGAATGAATGAACGAATATCCCTCCTTTTTTTTTTTGAGACGGAGTCTTGTTCTGTCACCCAGGCGGGAGTGCAATGGCGCAATCTCGGTTCACTGTAACCTCCGCCTCTCGGGTTCAAGCGATTCTCCTGCCTCAGCCTCCCGAGTAGCTGGGGCTATGGGCATGCGCCACCATGCCCGGCTAATTTTTGCATTTTTAGTAGAGACGGGGTTTCATCCTATTGGCCAGTCTGGTCTCTCAAACTCCTGACCTCAAGTGATCCACCCGCCTCGGCCTCGCAAAGTGCTGAAATTACAGTTGTGAGCCACTGAGCCAGGCCCAGAATGAACGTTCTTAATCCGTTTCTGAAGTTCCCATCATCCAGCGATACAATCTTTTTCCTACCTCATATTCCTCAAGAGATATTGAAAGTCAGCTGCCCAAACAGGAGTTTAAGCTCCTTAGGGTCTTTTGAGACTTAAAAGCCTCCCGGAGGGTTGCATGCGGGTTCTCTGATTCAGTTCCTTTAGGGTATGGCTCTTACCTGAGTGACATGGAAATCAATCTCTTTGTCTTTATACTGGTTCAGGAGCCAGGGCACCTGGCCCAGGGCGTATCCACGGAAGTCTTCCCGATGCAGCAGCAAGCTCACCGTGGGCCCGTGGGCCTTAACGATGCTCAAAGTCTGTACAGGCAGCAAACAAATACCGTTTCTGAAACTTCCTTATGTTTTTCATAGGTTTTCAGAACACCAGGAGCTTTAGGTACTCCTGAAAACTTTCCTCACTGCTTTCAGCCAAGAAATAATTCTTTAAATTCTTTAAAATCTTTAAAAAATGTTCAGGTTAAGATCATTGCATGGGACAGAGCTATATTTGTATTTACATATGTATTTATACTGATACTCATTTCAATACTTGCCCTTCTCTCCTATTTTTTATTTTATTGTATTTTTTTGAAACAGAGTCTCGCTTTGTTGCCTAGGCTGGAGTGCAGTGGCACGATCTCAGCTCACTGCAACCTCCGCCTCCCAGATTCAAGCAATTCTCCCGCCTCAGCCTCCTGAGTAGCTGGGATTACAGGTGCCCACCAGCATGCCTGGCTAATTTTTGTAATACTAGATTTTATTTTATTTTATTGTATTTTTTTGAGACAGAGCTTTTCTATTTTTTAAACCTCTCTCTAATACTCACTTTCTTTTAGTATATTAAGCAATCTAGAACTTACCTCATCTTAAAGAACCTTCAAGCTGGCAGGATGGCTCACGCCTGTAATCTCAGCACTTTGGGAGGCCGAGGCAGGCGGATCGCCTGAGGTTAGGAGATGAAGACCAGCCTGACCAACATGGTGAAATCCCCGTCTCTACTAAAAATACAAAAATTAGCTGGGCATGGTGGTGGGCGCCTGTAATCCCAGCTACTTGGGAGGCCGAAGCAGGAGAATCACTTGAACCTGGGAGGCGGAGCTTGCAGTGAGTGGAGATGGCGCCACTGCACTCCAGCCTGGGTGACAGAGTGAGACTCCATCTCAAAAAAAAAAAAAAAAAAAAGAATCTTCACCGATTCCACCTCACTTTGACCCTAACTATTACCCCCACCTGACTCTGTTTCTCTTTCCTGCTCTTGGAGCAAAGCGTTTCCAAGGTATGGTCTTTATTTGCTATCTCTACCTCTCACCTCCCATTCACCTCTCAATCCACTAGAATCTTGCTGCCATTCAGTGTGGAAAATCATCAACTTCCAGAGTATGAAATATAAATGTGATAAATTCTGATTATAAAAATGTAGAAATCACAAATGTTATGTTGAAGAAAACATAATACACATAGGACCCATGGATAAACACTGGTATATTTTAGTATATTTTTTATTTGACTTATTTCCTATGTTTTCCATGAATTTTAATTTCTTAAAAATTGACATCATTCTTATAGAGTTCTATATTCTGCCTTTTCTATCTGATGTTTGATAAATTTTTTGTATCAGCTACATTTTACAACAAATCATCTCAAAACTTAGTGGCTAATGGCAACTATCATTTATTTCATTAAATACTATGTATTAGCTGGGTGGTTCTTCCACCACACATTTCCAAGCAATGGACACTTGTCAAGATTTTTCTTGAGTGCTGTAACACTCAGGACTACATCTTTGCTTCTTGAAAACTTCTCCTTTCTAAGCTTCTAAGACCTCATTCTACTTGACTCTCCTACACTCTTAGCACATTCCCTATTCTCCATCATGAGTTCTTCTCCCTTGCTTTCCCCTTAATATTGATGCCCTCCAGAACTCTGTTTTAGCCACTTTCCCACTCTATAAACTCTTTAAACAACTCCATCTAAATCCACTTATTTGGTTGTCACTTATGCAATGATGATACCCAAATCTATAAGTCCAATTTTTGCTCTTCCTTTTTAACTCCAAACCTGAATATCCTCAAACCTACTAATATCTCCACTTGACTGTACCATAGGTGTTCAAATCAAAATGTCTACATCAAACCCATTTTGTACTGTCCCACATTTGTAATTCCTCCTCGTTTAAATTGATGATCCCAAGATCACCTGAGTCAGAAACCTAGGAAACCATCCCAGGTTCCTCCATCCTAATAAGCATCCAACTGATGCCAAGTCCTGGTCATTCTATTCTTCAGCATCTGACTCCTCTGATCAGTTCCACGAACACTATGTTAATTGATCTCTTTACCACTTATGAGCTGGAATATTTCTATAGCCTCCTAGCAGGTAGTCTTATCTTAGTCCACCCCATACCCCTCTATTGTTAATGTTGATATTAGAATGATTTTTCTACTGCAGTACTCAAATCCTTGCTTAAAACCTTTCAAGGGTTTCTTGTTTATTAAAAAAAAGTCCAAACTTGTATGTAGCAGCTAAGGCTTTTCATTATGTGACTAAGGCCATCTTTCTGGTTTCATTTCTTTCTGCCTTATATCTTTTTTTCTCTCTTCCCTTCTCCATCTCCCATCACACTCACTCAGGTGTTCATGCTTCCCCATTTTCAACCTCTGCCTCAGTAGGTTTTAGTCCCTCTGTAGGGAATGCACCTTCGCTGTGGTGAGCAGCTTCATGGGCTGCAAGGATCAATTCCAATGTCGCAGCTCACCAGGGCAGTTAAGTGCTTCCCTCTCTGTGCACCCTTGTCACTTTGTGTACCTTCTGTTCACTTGCCTGGCCCTTCCTGCAGGGAGCAAGGAGAGTAGTCGTTAAACAGATGCATTGAATTTGTTTTCCAGGTGTCTTGAAGAAAAAACTTCCCTACAGGATATTTTTAAAGTTCCATGTTGCTAACGATTTAACTACCTCAGGATGTTAAAAAATAAATGCTTTAATAGTTTAAAGTGTTGAAAAGAAACTAAACTAGAGAAAGCTGCTAAGTGTTAAACCTTTTATAATAAAGCAATGAAGAGACCTAAATAGGATACCATTTAGCCTGCTTAAAAAAACTATAGCAATTAAGCAAGATAAAGGGAATATACTTTTAAAGCAAGATACATGTGAATGCACTTTGTAATTTATTCTTTACAAGGACAAGGCACTGCAGTATTTTGAAGCAGCCAAGAATATTCTTTAGATGTTATTTTATTTAATCATGATATTCATAGACACAAGAAGCACCTGTGGACTGCTATTTTTTCCTAATTAGTGACTCAGCTCATATATGAGTTTTAATACATAAAATGTGAAATATCTAACTTTCTGGGATTTTTACTCATTTTATCTTATTGATTGTTCTTTCCACATACTGAAATGTCAATTTCATGAGTGTGGGATTTTGGTTTATTTAATTCCTGCTACAACCTCGGCATCTGGAATAGTGTCTGGCATGTCATGGGGATTCAATAAACATTAACTGAAATAATAAATAAATAGGGATTTGAAATAGGTGGGAAAAAAGAAAAAATTGATAAATCTCATAAAATACAACCAATGGCTTCCAAAAATACTGAGCCTAATTATCATGTCACAAAGAGAAGAGAAATTTCAACCAGCATATAGGGACATCCAGCTTGAGGCATCCTGAGGCCCACTCACCTGCATGGGTGAGGCCAAAGGGGCCCACTTCTCCATTATATACCAGAACAGCATGAAGATCTTGTCAGACAGTCGGTTGGCATCCAGTCTGGGGTAGGGAAAATCTCTCCAGTGGTTGACATATTTGTAAATGGCTTTGCTGAATTTCTCAAGGGCTGCATTTAAAACACACAACCACAGACTGAGAAAAATATAAGGATGGGGCAGACGATAAAATAATTTGAGAAGAGAGTGCTGATGATTAGTAAATATGTAATGGTTTTTAGATGATCTTACGACTGCATCAAATACACATATAGAAAGTGCTCAGCCACAAAAGTGAAATGCAAATTAAAAGCATAATGAGCCACTACTATCCAGAATGTCTAAAATTTAAGATAGTCAATGCCAAGTGTTAACAAGACTAAGGTGCAGCTGGTATTCTCACTGCTGGTAGAAGGGCGAATTGGTTCAAGCACTTTGCAGAACTCTTTGGCACTATCTAGCAAAGTTGAATATGCATTCCATTTGACCCAACTATTCCAATCTTATGTATATAGCCATTAGACGTGTGTAGATATGAGCACTAAAAGTTTGTACAAGAATGCGTTCATATTAGCTTTTTGTTTTGTAATAGCCCCAAACAGAATATAGCATAAATAGCTGCTAATAGGTAGAATTCTATTACATTCTATAGACATGTAATAGAATACAGAAATAAAAATGGGCGATAACTCCACAGAACAACATGGATGAATCTTACAAACAGGCAAAGCTAATGGTGTTTGAAGTTAGGATTGTGGTTACCCTTTGAAGGTAACATGAGGGGGCTTCTGGGCTCTGACAATCTCCCACTTCTTGACCTAAGTGGTGGCCACATGGGCAACTTCACTTTGAAATAACTCATCAACATGGACACTTCTGATTTGCGTGATTTTCTGTGTCTGTGTCTATGTTTTACTTCAATAAAATTAAAAAGAAATCTTAGGACTGCCAAAATACCATTTGGGCCACGAATCCATATATATTTGCATGAAATGCATAAAATAATAATATTATTTTCTTCAGCCCTTGTGTGCCACTTATTTTGCTAGATGATAAAGAAAATTAATTAGTCCATTCTTCAGGGACTCCTCACATTCACAAAATACCCTGGAAAGGACCCTGAGCATGTTATAGCTGTAGAGCCGGCCATTTATTGGCTCATTCACAGTCTCTCCAAACTCCTTATAATTTCTTTAAGAATCTCTTACTATACTTTATAATAGTTTATTTCTTGGTGTATGTGTGTGTGGCTGTGTGTGTGTATGTGTGTACATGTGTGTATGTTTCTAACTGACCTGTAAGCAACCTGAAGTAAGGGATGATGTCTTGCTGGTTCATGGTATGTGAAGCAGCCAGCACAATGTCTGCTAATTTGCTGATTGATCAAATGACTAGGTATGGATGAATGGCTGGATGGCTGAATGGCTGGATGGATAGATAGCTATTACATTTGATACCTTTTCTTTAGTGGCAGTCAGGCAAAAAGGTGATTTAAGATCAAAGGGCACTTAGATAATTTTATAACACAGAGAATTCCCTTAGTAATGTTCATGAGGATTTCTAGTTTTATTTAATTTTACATTCTTGGTTGTTAATATTAAAGGTAGAAATGCTGTTAGAGGCTCCAAAGTTTATTTGCAGGAACACAGTGTTAGCTATGATAATGAGTAGGAATAGTAAAAAGTATTGAAAGTGGGTTAGTGTAGTATAGCTGCACAGGTCCTTGAGTCAGACTGTCATAGTTGACAGTCTTGGCTCTGCCATGTACTGGCTGTGTGACCTAAGGCAAGCTGTTTGAAACTTTCTAAGTCCAATGTTCTCACTTGTAAAATGGTGGAAAAAATGTTACCCATCTCATGTGGTTGCTGTGAGAGTTAAATGAAATAGTAATCTTAAAATACCCAGGGCAGTGTCCAGGCACATAGCAAGTTCTCAATATATATCAGATAAAAATATTACTTTGATGACAGAACAAGAAGAAATGGGAAAAATGGAATGGAAGAGCCTTTGTTTCTAGGTAAAGAAGACATTCCTGACAGCGTGGGCTTTTAAATTACAAAATAGTAGTGTTAGGTTATGTTGGAAGTGGAAGGGAACGTAGCAATCACTTATTCTGATGTTTTTAGAGTTGAAACTGGGACTGAGAGAAGGGCAGGGTCACCTGGTGGCTCAGTGGCTGAGCAGAGACAAGAGACCAGGTCTCCAGTCTCATCCAAGAAACTTCCCTGTACACTGCAAACACTGCTTCCTAGGAATTCCAGGGCACGTTCTTCTCTGTAGGCTCTTGATTTCTGTGACATATTTCAGTTTGGGGTAGAGGAGTTTGTGACCACAGTTTGCTTGCCTATTTTTCTTGATTTTATGATTGCTTGTAGTTTGATTACTTTGTTTAGTTATCATTATTACAATATTACATTATAATCAGATGCCAAAATTTAACCTATGCTAAGAGCTGGTAAGTGCTGACAATCATTGCCAAGAAAGTGTCGTCCAGTTAGAGAAGGAGGTCAGTCGAAATGGAAGTTGTACAGGGCAGTGAGGAGTGTAGACTGGGTGTTCCCACAGACCTGGGTTTGAATCCCACCTCTATATCTCATTGACTGTGTCACCATTTTGGGAAAATTCTTTACTTTCCTTGAACCTCAGTTTTTCCTCTATACAATGGGCAAATAGTACTTATCTTGCAGAATTTCTGTGATGATTGAATGAGATAACTCCCTGCTGAGGACTTTCCATGTGGTAGGCACTCAATAAGTGGCAGCTATTATTATTCAAAAGGACAAGATTGGAGTTAAAGGGAAAACAAGACTTTTGCTTAATTTGTAAGACAGTTCACAGCCTGGTTTTTAAGCAAAAAGGAAATCATCGGGATACCCACCAATACAGAAAGTCCCCTTCATCCTTTCATCCTCGGCCAGCCTGAGCATGGTTTGCATGGTGAGCAGGGTCATCATCATGAAAGGAATACTCTGGGACACTGGAGGGAGAGGCAGAAAGGAGACAAGTGTTATTTATCTTCTCAAATTTGGGGTTCTGTGACTCCAAATCAACAAGAAGCATTTCAGGGCTGCACGGAGGAGGCAGATGAGGTGTAGTAGAAAGATGTTTCTATAATTCCGCCATCTCTACCCCACCTTAATACCAGGCTGTAGTTAGATAATCAAGGAAGGGCTGGTTGAAAATAAGGTTCTAGCTACACAGCCACTTGTACCTCTTGTTAAGTGGCAGTCGCTTATTTGGAAGGCAGCTATGCTCACCACTATACCACCAGTGCTGCCAGCAATTGCTTAGTTGGATAATTAATTTATTAATGTCAATCTCTCCCACCAGATCTTTCCTGTATCCCCAAAGTATATGTAAACATATGTAACAGGTGATTCCTAAATATCTGTTAAATAAAGTAGTGTGGAAATAAATGGTAGGGATCCTTATTTCATGTAAGTGTTCAGTGGTTTATAGAATACACCTTACAGAAAATGTGCTTCTGCAAATGCAAAGCTGGATGAAGGGGAAGGTGAGGATGGGAGAGTGGCCAAATTCAGAGCAGTCTGGACTAGTGGCTGGGCAGCAGAATCATCCATGCTCATTTTAAACAGCTGCCCACATCCCTCTGTCAATATTTCTTGGTACAGAAGAAGGCAGAGATGCTATCTCTTCTACCGTTTGCTCCCATTTAGCTTTTAGACAATTAGAAGTTGTCATTTCCCAGGGAAAATTGGAGAATATTCCCGCTATACCATAGCTGGTTGCCAATTCAGCCAGGGCAAGCACAACGAATTCATCTGGTAGCTCTAAGATCCTGAAGTTACTTTGTACTTCATACATCACAGAGTTGAAATCATGTGCAGCAAGAGACACCAAAACCTCACCAGCTAGCATTCTGATTTCTCTGAGCATCTGAGGAGGAAAAGAAAAATAACAATAACAACTAGAAAAGGGGCAGAGTGAGTCTATGGAGGGGAACTAGTCAGCATAATATTTATATATGCATTTATTTATTTTTAAAATTATAGATTCAGGGGGTACATGTGCAGGTTGGTCACATGGTTCAACTGTGTAATGGTGAGATTTGGGCTTCTAGTGAACCCTCACCATTCCTCCCACCTTCTGTTCTTTTGGAGTCTGCAAAAACGTCTACTGACCCCCAAATCTGCAAGAACACTATTAAAACCAGTTTTTAAAAGTGCAATCAAGTTACCTCTGCTTTCCCAGCAACTGACACCTACCAAGAATCTTTCACCATGGTTTTCTAGCAGCCTGTTCTCTACTATACAGCCACACTATTTATAAGCTCCTCTAGCGTTGGGACGAAGGGAGAACAGGCTGTTACAAAACCATAGTGAGAAACTCTTGGTAGGTGTTAGTAGCTGGGAAAGCAGAGGTAATTAGAGTGAATTTAAAACGCTGGTTTTAATAGAGTTCTAGTAAACTTCGAGGTCAGTAGCTGTTTTCTTGCTGGTTGATCTGGTACCATGAACACAAGACTTACATTTTATGTTTAAGTGATGCAAATTACTGTGGTTGAAAGACTGAAAGCAAAAGTGAAAGGAAATGGGCTAGGAATTGAGAACTTTGGTTTTGATGTTAATCTGGCCTAATAATCATGTCCAGTATTGGTGGTATTGGGAAAGATTTCTGATTTTGGTGATGGCGAACTAGGTAAATTTGATCAAATCCCCTCCTGAGGAAAATACAAAGGACCCAGATAAGATATTAAAAATATATACTCATAAAACCATCAGCAAACTCACAATATAGGTTGGAATGAATTACTGAGTTGAGGCCTGAAAAAGATTATTGATCTAGAGAGATAAGCCCTGCATTTGAGACTGTTTTGTTGCATTTTGAAGCAATAGTCAGAGTTCAGGGCCAACCAGTGGTGAGACTCTGGTCATTCCACCTCTTGTCTTTTGGGATAAGACACCAAAGGGCTGTGTTCAAATGAAAAGTTAAATTGGTACTCTCATGAATGACAATCGAATTCTAAGTTATAGAAGAGACCCAGAAATCTCAAACCCTGAAAGCAATCATAAATTGTTAGTGCCCTTGGCAGGAACAAGTAATACTTCTTTCTGGAAGAAATAACATCATCCTAGGATTCAAATTACTTCTACAAATTATTATTTTTTTGCTATGTTGTCTATCAGACAATCTAAGATAGTAGGTACATAAAGAAATAAGTCATATAGAAGCCAAGAAAATTGGTTTCTAGTTATGTTACTAGTTGTCAATAGACAGCTGTGTTACTTTGAAAAAAACATATCTCTAATGGTGAACTTCCTCATCTAAAAGGAGGTTGGATAAAATCACCTTTAAAATCATTCTTATCTTTGCCTCAGTTTCCTCATCTGTGAAGGAGTAAATATCAGGCATTATAACGATATCCAAGTTACCACAAAGAACAAATACAAGTGATTTGTGGTCCTGGCAACAGTGTAGAAGAGCTTACTGATGTCCACATGGGTGCAGTTGGGTCACATAAAGACCCTTTTCACCATCATGAACCAAACTTACATTGTTGTCTCTCATATCCTTAGAAGCATAATAAATCAATCGTTGGACAATTGCATCATCCAAGATGTCAGTATTCTGAATAACAGAAGTGAGATGACTGTAAATGTCTTCCTGTGAATATACAAAGGCATACACAGAAATTTGGCTTGCAAAAATAAAGGAATCAAATGAAATCCTAATGAATAACACCATTAAAGTAAGCAATATATCTTTACTACACAATGGATTTCATATTATATGTCTTAATTGAGGCTTTCTTTTTTTTTTCTATTTTTTAAGATGGAGTTTTGCTCTTTTTGGCCAGGCTGGAGTGCAATGGCATGATCTCAGCTCACTGCAACCTCTGCCTCCTGGGTTCAACTGATTCTCCTGCCTCAGCCTCCCGAGTAGCCAGGATTACAGGTGTGTGCCACCATGCCCGAATAATTTTTGTATTTTTAGTAGAGACGGGGTTTTTGCCATGTTGGCTACGCTGGTCTCGAACTCCTGACCTCAGGTGATCCACTTGCCTCGGTCTCCCAAAGTGCTGGGATTACAGGCATGAGCCACCGTGCCTGGCTTTAATTGAGGCTTTCTGAACATAACATGCATCTTTAGGAGTCAAAGGCTACAGAGCAAAGTCAATTCTAAAAACTATTTTAACTTGGCTATATTTCTATGGCAAGATCTAATTGACAACCAGGAGAGGCTACCTGCCATTCCATGTCTTTTGAAAATCACTGTTGTGGGACACTCAGGGGAATGGAAATGCCTGTCAGCTTAATTGCTGCCCTTACTATCAGGGAGTGATATGGTACTAGGGAACACACTGTAACTCCCCAAGAGGCTGCTAGGCTATGAAACTGGATCCTAAGGGACATTTACAGGCCCTTGTTTCATTCATGCCTCTGCAGACAGAAAGTTGTGGACATTTTAGACAGGGCCTCCAGTTGTGTGGCTTGACTAGATGCCCTGTGTGAGGAATTGTAAATCTTTTAGGTGGCTATGTGTCCTCTGGATGATGAAAGAGAGACTGGTGTACTGAAATCTCCAACAGCTTCAACATGCACCTCCAGCCACTCCACCCATGCTTAAGTTGTTAAATAGCATCCTTTGCATTACTCCTCAGGGCTGGTCCTTGGGAAGTCTGAGAATAATGCATAATTTTTCTTTGCTTTCTTCCCTGTATTTTCTGGGCCTGCCTAACTATCTCTGTGAGTCCTTTTCTTGCTCCATGTGCTTACTATCCTGTCTGCAGGCCTTGTTCTTTGGCAAGGCTACCATTTATGGAGCTCTCACCACATTCCTGGAACTGTGCCAGACTCATTATCTGGAGCATTTTATTAACGCTCACAAGTCCCTGTCTTAGGTACCACAAATATATTCATTTTATAGATGAGGAAATTGAGTCCCAGGGAGCTTAATGTAGTTAGTGTTACGTACTGATGCTACAATTTGAAACCAACAGTCTGAATTTTAGCTGGCACCTTAACCTCTTGGTTATGCTGGCTATTATTATTCTTTAACTAGACTCATCATAAAATAACTAGGAAGTGCTTGTTAAAAATATATATTCTCTGATCCCTTTACTGGAAATTCTCCTTCAATGTTTCTGGGATCCGGAGGTTATTCTCTTAAGTGATTCCCAATGTTTGAGAAATAGTGTTCTTTCGGAAAGGTGACTTCTACTGAGAGATTAATGTAATGGTTTTCAACCGTACCTAAATGTTTGGATTACCTCCAGGTGCTTAAAATGCCCAAGCTTTTCACAGACTGATCCAATCAGAATCCCTGGTAGTAGGGCCTGGGTGTTGATATTTTCCCAAAACTCTCTAAGGGATTCTAATATATGGTCAGGGTTGAGAACCACTGAATTAAGAGATAAAGGTATAGGCACTGCCCTTCACAAGGAGACAACACTGAATAATGATTAGGAACATTTTTTTTTGGAGTCAGATGGGCTTGCTTTTGGATATAGTCCTGTTGTTCTTAGTTGAGCAAGTCATGTAACTTCTCTCTGCCTAATTTTTTCTCAGTTATCAAATGGAAATAGCAATAACTACCTGATAAAATTGTTCTGAGGAGTGAATATTATACAATACACTGTTGTTTGGAAAATATCTAGCATTTTACTTCCCAGATAAGTGTTCGATGAAGGGCAGTTATTTCTTTTATTTTATAAAAGGTTGTTGAAATGTGAAAAGCCTTCAATTCTTAGGTAAACTTCTAGCTGTGAAATAGCATTATAGATGAGCAGGGAAGAGCTTTTGGGATTTTTGTAACAACCCTCAAATTATAAAAGAAACAGTCTCATCCACATGTTTGTAAGTCTGACATACACCTTTCAACATCTGCCTGTATAAAGTTATAAAAAGGAACTTTTTTTTTGCTATTTTCTAGACATAGATGCTGTGATTCTTGAAATGCCAAATATCATTGCTTAAACATTACAATGACTTTCATTACAACTGCATTTACTGAAAAATCTAATGCCATGTAACAAGCCAGAGAAAAATGAGAAAGTTGAGACAAAGAAAAATATATACGAAATGTTGCAACAAGAAGACTGAAAAAGGGAAAAAGATTTTTCTCTGTTTTCCCTACCTTGTTAACAATATCTTCCTTGTTCAGCATGCCAAGAGTGAGGTTAATATCCCCAAACATCTCTAAAACGTACAGAAAAATATGAATTGAAATATATGCTGAAATGCCCTCCTGTTAATTATTTTGTAATCAACACAGAAAGTTCATTCATTCATTTATCCTCTCTCTCTCTCTCTCCCTTGACTGCTAGCTCTTTGATGGCAGGAACTGTTTTATTCATATCCATGACATAAATGAAACTAGCAGATGCTAAGTTATTATTATTTTTGAAACCTGAATCAAATGTGAAAGGGAAGATAAAAGATGCCGGATTCCTATGTATCCCTCCAGGCAAGTGGGCATTGCCTTGTAAATTCTCTCTTGCAGGATTTAGCTCTCAGAGTCAATGAGGTGAATTTCTCACTCCTGACTTAAGCATTAGAAGGCAGGGGTGCAACATAGCTGTTTATTTTTCACTGGTCCTCCCCTCAATACCTCTCCCATCTTCTTTTTCCATACCCTTTTCAACTCCACCTATTCTCCTGTGCCTGCCAACTCCCTCTTTTGGTCACATGCTAATGAAGGCTTCCTGTTTTCTGACAATGACCTAAATGTGTTTGACTTGCATTTTCTAGGAATATATGTTTTTGAATAAAGCACTCTAGAAAACTGGAAAAAAAATTGAGTCAAAGGAATTGAGCAATTTCAAGCTACATGGCAAGTTGGTAGGAGAAATACTTTTGGAGATGAAGATTTCTTATTAACCTCCACACCAAACAACATACTCATTTAGGGCAATCTTTTTGGCAAAGTAGAAAGGCAGCCATACCTGGAAATTGGGAGAAATACTTCCAAAGGACTCTTCTAGTATTTAAAATTAAATAACAAACTGCCTTTCTTTGATATGTAGCCACTTTCTCCTCAGGTAGACTCTAAATTTTAAAGCACAACCATCTCTTAGGCTTCCAGTCTATTATTGGTCCTTCACAATCAGCATGATTTTATTATGTATTTAGCATACCATTTCATAAATCCTTTGAGGTGTACAGTCCTCCCACAATGACGCGCCACTCCCAGCCCTCATATATACTTATAATTCCACAGAAACAAAACACAGGGAAGAGCCTTGGCTTCTCAGGATCTGATGATGCTTACCTATGGATTCCTCTGTACTAAGTGTCATGTCTTGGCTGTTTCAGGGTCTCTAAAAGATAGCACCTAAGTATTAGAAATAGTAAGGCTAAAAAATCAAAGAGGCAGGTTGGCAAGTTTCTCATATAAGGTTCACATAAGCCTCTCTAAATGAAAGTGCCTCCTCCACTTGATTGGCACAATGGTCTGGGAGCTTCCAGAGATGGGCTTGCTGTTGAAGTTGATACTGTATTCTACCACTATGACATTGTCTTGCGTCTGAACTCCTGCTAACCAACAAAATGGCTGCATCTCACCAAATATTGTCCCTTTGGTGACCAGAGTATTTGGGAAAGAAGTAATTAGAGACTGGGATTCAAACCATTGTTGCAGACCAAAGGTGCTCCTCTCCCTAAACTTGAGTCCATTGATCACAAATTCAGGAATGGTTTTCAGTAGTTGCTTTACTGTCCTGATGTTGGGAAAGGCTTTATGGTGAACTCGTTGATTGTTACACTTAGTGAAAATCAGTCATATGAACTGAGCATGCTCAGTGGACTGGAATGCACTTCAGGGGCAGTTGGATGGAATGTCCAACTGACAGCAGCAAAGTGAAGACCTCTCTACCTCCCTCTCCATTAATTCCTCCCTGGCATGTTCAGGATCTTGGCCTCACTCCAGGCTCAGGCTTTTTCTCTGTCTTCAGCTTTCTTTTTGTTTTCAAATTATTTTTTATCTAGATCAATTTTCCATAATGTTTTCAACTTATCTAGCATGAATTGAAATCTGGTCCCCAACTATAAATCTATGTGATGACAATCTTCAATATATGTCCAGACTCTATGTGAATATGGAGGATGATAGAGAAAGGGAAGGCAGTACTGCTAGTCTATAGGGCTAAATGTAGAATGGGCTGAGGAGGGGAGCTCATGACAATTTTCATCTGCTGCTGCTTTTTTGGCCATCTTAACTTCATCGGTGAAGCTTATTCCAGATTCAAAGGTCAACTGCTTCCAACTAAACCTTTGAATTCATCATTCTTCTCATAGACATTTTGCACTGTATTAAAGAGATCCTCAACATTTTCCGCTTCCCAAGTCAGCATCACTTTCAGAGTTTTGTCTCCAGGTGACTTTATCATGGGATTTACTTGGTATCCTTATTTAAAATGTGAATTCCCAGGCCCCACTTCAGACCCAGTAAATTAGAATGAGGGGGCAGCAATCTATATATTTAATGTGCGCCCCTGGTGATTCTTAGGTTCACTGAACTTTGAAAAGCACTGACCAAGGTCCTTGCCCAAACATTCATTAGTGGATCAGTAAATAGCAGTTAACTGAAGAATGTTTGTTGTGGTTGGGCAAGGAGCTCTTCCCCAGCATCATGACTCACTGAAGAATAGGCCAAGTTTGGTTAGTCAGGGAGGTACTGGGGTGATTAGAGGCATCCCGAAACTCTTAACATCTATAAGATGTTAAGTCTACTTGTAGTAAATAAAACAACAGATTCCCTATAAGGGAAAAAATGATGTTAGAAATTATGTGCTCTTAGAGTCTTAAAAAACAATGTACAGCAGAATCAATAATAAGAAAGCTAGCCATTTAGGTAATTGTTACAACCATTTTCTTAATATTTTTGTGAATGGTGACAAATGATTTTTCTGTATGTCTGTATATAAAGACTTCCTTGATTTCATAGAGATTAGAGAAGTTAGGAGATAATTGATTTATTTTGACTTTTAATTTATTCATCGCTGCAATCAAAACACAACTTTTTGCTAAAATCCTTTCAGACAAAGTAAATTCACTCATTGAAACCAATACTGCAGATAGTTTTAAAATCCCCAAATCCTCAAAATAGCTGATTTGCTGTCATTTTATTTCATTTTTCAGTCGCCTGCTTGTTACATCTTCCCATTATTTCTTCCTCTTCTCATTGCATGAGGCTAACACAATATGGATTTGATTTCTCTAAGACTCTAAGAGGATCCTAAACACGAATTCTCAAAGTGAATAGGATGGCATGTGCTAACTAATTAAGTACTGTTTCTAGATATTTGTGAGGGAGCCTAAATCTAGCCTGCTAAGGAATTAGAGTGTCTCACTGGATATGTGGTAGCCATCCCCTTTCAATGTAACTTGTCAAATGAAGCTACCCAATCCCAGGCCTACTATGTTCCCACATGATGTTATCAGACAAAAATATTAATAAGGCAGTAAAGGTAAAATATAAAGCTAAAGAAGAATAGATACATAGAAATAATACAGAAACGTTATAAAAATTTAAATTTTATGGTTTTAATAGTTTAATTGTAGATGATTTTAATGTATACTACAATTAATCTAAACTTTGATATTTATCCTTTTATTCTTCAGATGACGTGTTAGATTTTTATAAAATATATTAAAAGTGAAATTAGGCTGTGTTTTGTTTGATTTGTCAGTTTCATGAGATAAGCCTAATTTCTTTTTTAAAAATTTTATTATTATTATACTTTAAGTTCTAGGGTACATGTGCACAACGTGCAGTTTTGTTACATATGTATACATGTGCCATGTTTGTGTGCTGCACCCATTAACTCGTCATTTAGCATTAGGTATATCTCCTAATGCTATCCTTTCCCACTCCCCCCACCCCCCAACAGTCCTCAGTGTGTGATGTTCCCCTTCCTTTGTCCATGTGTTCTCATTGTTCAATTCCCACCTATGAGTGAGAACATGCGGTGTTTGGTTTTTTGTCCTTGCGATAGTTTGCTGAGAATGATGGTTTCCAGCTTCATCCATGTCCCTACAAAGGACATGAACTCATCATTTTTTATGGCTGCATAGTATTCCATGGTGTATATGTGCCACATTTTCTTAATCCAGTCTATCATTGATGGACATTTGGGTCGGTTCCAAGTCTTTGCTATTGTGAATAGTGCCGCAATAAACATACGTGTGCATGTGTCCTTATAGCAGCATGATTTATAATCCTTTGGGTATCTACCCATTTATGGGATGGCTGGGTCAAAAGGTAATTCTAGTTTTAGATCCCTGAGGAATCGTCACACTAACTTCCACAATGCTTAAACTAGTTTACAGTCCCACCAACAGTGTAAAAGTGTTCCTATTTCTCCACATCCTCTCCAGCACCTGTTGTTTCCTGACTTTTTAATGATTGCCATTCTAACTGGTGTGAGATGGTATCTCATTGTGGTTTTGATTTGCATTTCTCTGATGGCCAGTGATGATGAGCATTTTTTCAAGTGTTTTTTGGCTGCCTAAATGTCTTCTTTTGAAAAGCGTCTGTTCATATCCTTCACCCATTTTTTGATGGGGTTGTTTGTTTTTTTCTTGTAAACTTGTTTGAGTTCATTGTAGATTCTGGATATTAGCCCTTTATCAGATGAGTAGGTTGCAAAAATGTTCTCCCATTCTCTAGGTTGCCTGTTCACTCCGATGGTAGTTTCTTTTGCTGTGCAGAAGCTCTTTAGTTTAATTAGATCCCATTTGTCAATTTTGTCTTTTGTTGCCATTGCTTTTGGTGTTTTAGACATGAAGTCCTTGCCCATGCCTATGTCCTGAATGGTAACGCCTAGGTTTTCTTCCAGGGTTTTTATGGTTTTAGGTCTAACATGTAAGTCTTTAATCCATCTTGAATTAATTTTTGTATAAGGTGTAAGGAAGGGATCCAGTTTCAGCTTTCTACATATGGCTAGCCAGTTTTCCCAGCACCATTTATTAAATAGGGAATCCTGTCCCCATTGCTTGTTTTTGTCAGGTTTGTCAAAGATCAGATAGTTGTAGATATGCGGCATTATTTCTGAGGGCTCTGTTCTGTTCCATTGGTCTATATCTCTGTTTGGTACCAGTACCATGCTGTTTTGGTTACTGTAGCCTTGTAGTATAGTTTGAAGTCAGGTAGCATGATGCCTCCAGCTTTGTTCTTTTGGCTTAGGATTGACTTGGCAATGTGGGCTCTTTTTTGGTTCCATATGAACTTTAAAGTATTTTTTTCCAATTCTGTGAAGAGAGTCATTGGTAGTTTGATGGGGATGGCATTGAATCTATAAATTACCTTGGGCAGTATGGCCATTTTCACGATATTGATTCTTCCTATCCATGAGCATGGAATGTTCTTCCGTTTGTTTGTATCCTCTTTTATTTCATTGAGCAGTGGTTTGTAGTTCTCCTTGAAGAGGTCCTTCACATCCCTTGTAAGTTGGATTCCTAGGTATTTTATTCTCTTTGAAGCAATTGTGAATGGGAGTTCACTCATGATTTGGTTCTCTGTTTGTCTGTTATTGGTATATAAGAATGCTTGTGATTTTTGCACATTGATTTTGTATCCTGAGACTTTGATGAAGTTGCTTATCAGCTTAAGGAGATTTTGGGCTGAGACAATGGGGTTTTCTAGATATACAATCATGTCATCTGCAAACAGGGACAATTTGACTTCCTCTTTTCCTAATTAATACCCTTTATTTCCTTCTCCTGCCTAATTGCCCTGGCCAGAACTTCCAACACTATGTTGAATAGGAGTGGTGAGAGAGGGTATCCCTGTCTTGTGCCAGTTTTCAAAGGGAATGCTTCCAGTTTTTGTCCATTCAGTATGATATTGGCTGTGCGTTTGTCATAGATAGCTCTTATTATTTTGAGATACATCCCATCAGTACCTAATTTATTGAGAGTTTTTAGCATGAAGGGCTGTTTAATTTTGTCAAAGGTCTTTTCTGCATCTATTGAGGTAATCATGTGGTTTTTGTCTTTGGTTCTGTTTATATGCTGGATTATGTTTATTGATTTGCGTATGTTAAACCAGCCTTGCATCCCAGGGATGAAGCCCACTTGATGGTGGTGGATAAGCTTTTTGATGTGCTGCTGGATTCGGTTTGCCAGTATTTTATTGAGGATTTTTGCATCAATGTTCATCAAGGATATTGGTCTAAAATTCTCTTTTTTGGTTGTGTCTCTGCCAGGCTTTGATATCAGGATGATGCTGGCCTCATAAAATGAGTTAGGGAGGATTCCCTCTTTTTCTATTGATTAGAAAAGTTTCAGAAGAAATGGTACCGGCTTCTCCTTGTACCTCTGGTAGAATTCAGCTGTGAATCCATCTGGTCCTGGACTTTTTTTGGTTGGTAAGATATTCATTATTGCCTCAATTTCAGATCCTGTTATTGGTCTATTCAGAGATTCAACTTCTTCCTGGATTAGTCTTGGGAGGGTGTATGTGTCAAGGAATTTATCCATTTCTTCTATATTTTCTAGTTTATTTGCGTAGAGGTGTTTATAGTATTCTCTGATGGTAGTTTGTATTTCTGTGGGATCAGTGATGATATCCCCTTTGTCATGTTTTATTGCGTCTATTTGATTCTTCTCCCTTTTCTTCTTTATTAGTCTTGCTAGCAGCCTATCAATTTTGTTGATCTTTTCCAAAAACCAGCTCCTGGATTTACTAATTTTTTGAAGGGTTTTTTTATGTCTCTATTTCCTTCAGTTCTGCTCTGATCTTGGTTATTTCTTGCCTTCTGCTAGCTTTTGAATGTGTTTGCTCTTGCTTCTCTAGTTCTTTTAATTGTGATGTTAGGGTGTCAATTTTAGATCTTTCCTGCTTTCTCTTGTAGGCATTTAGTGCTATAAATTTCCCTCTACACACTGCTTTGAATGTGTCCCAGAGATTCTGGTATGTTGTGTCTTTGTTCTCATTGGTTTCAAAGAACATCTTTATTTCTGGCTTCATTTCGTTATGTACCCAGTAGTCATTCAGGAGCAGGTTGCTCAGTTTCCATGTAGTAGAGCGGTTTTGAGTGAGTTTCTTAATCCTGAGTTCTAGTTTGATTGCACTGTGGTCTGAGAGACAGTTTGTTATAATTTCTGTTCTTTTACATTTGTTGAGGAGTGCTTTACTTCCAACTATGTGTTCAATTTTGGAATAGGTGTGATGTGGTGCTGAAAAGAATGTATATTCTGTTGATTTGGGGTGGAGAGTTCTGTAGATGTCTATTAGGTTCACTTGGTGCAGAGCTGAGTTCAATTCCTGGATATCCTTGTTAACTTTCTGTCTCGTTGATCTGTCTAATGTTGACAGTGGGGTGTTAAAGTCTCCCATTATTATTGTGTGGGAGTCCAAGTCTCTTTGTAGGTCACTCAGGACTTGCTTTATGAATCTGGGTGCTCCTGAATTGGGTGCATATATATTTAGGATAGTTAGCTCTTCTTGTTGAATTGATCCTTTTACCATTATGTAATGGCCTTCTTTGTCTCTTTTGATCTTTGTTGGTTTAAAGTCTGTTTTATCTGAGACTAGAATTGCAACCCCTGCCTTTTTTTGTTTTCCATTTGCTTGGTAGATCTTCCTCCATCCCTTTATTTTGAGCCTATGTGTGTCTCTGCATGTGAGATGGGTTTCCTGAATACAGCACACTGATGGGTCTTGACTCTTTATCCAATTTGCCAGTCTATGTCTTTTAAGTGGAGCATTTATACCATTTACATTTAAGGTTAATATTGTTATGTGTGAATTTGATCCTGTCATTATGATGTTAGCTGGTTATTTTGCTCTTTAGTTGATGCAGTTTCTTCCTAGCCTCGATGGTCTTTACAATTTGGCATGTTTTTGCAGTGGCTGGTACCAGTTGTTCCTTTCCATGTTCAGTGCTTCCTTCAGGAGCTCTTTTAGGGCAGGCCTGGTGGTGATGAAAATCTCTCAGCATTTCCTTTTCTGTAAAGTATTTTATTTCTCTTTCACTTATGAAGCTTATTTTACCCAGATATGAAATTCTGGGTTGAAAATTCTTTTCTTTAAGAATGCTGAATATTGGCCCCCACTCTCTTCTCACTTGTAGAGTTTCTGCTGAGAGATCAGCTGTTAGTCTGATGGGCTTCCCTTTCTGGGTAACCGGACCTTTCTCTCTGGCTGCCCTTAATATTTTTTCCTTCATTTCAACTTTGGTGAATCTGACAATTATGTTTCTTGGAGTTGCTCTTCTCTAGGAGTATCTTTGTGGAATTCTCTGTATTTCCTGAATTTGAATGTTGGCCTGCCTTGCTAGATTGGGGAAGTTCTCCTGGATAATATCCTGCAGAGTGTTTTCCAACTTGGTTCCATTCTCCCCATGACTTTCAGGTACACCAATCAGATGTAGATTTGGTCTTTTCACATAGTCCCATATTTCTTGGAAGCTTTGTTCATTTCTTTTTATTCTTTTTTCTATAAACTTCTCTTCTCGCTTCATTTCATTCATTTAGTCTTGCATCACTGATACCCTTTCTTCCAGTTGATCGCATCAGCTACTGAGGCTTGTGCATTCATCACTTAGTTCTCGTGCCATGGTTTTCAGCTCCATCTGGTCCTTTAAGGACTTCTCTGCATTGATTATTCTAGTTAGCCATTCGTCTAGTTTTTTTTCAAGGTTTTTAATTTCTTTGCCATTGGTTCGAATTTCCTCCTGTCGCTCAGAGTAGTTTGATCGTCTGAAGCTTTCTTCTCTCAACTTGTCAAAGTCATTCTCTGTCCAGCTTTGTTCCATTGCCAGTGAGGAGCCGCGTTCCTTTGGAGGAGGAGAGGCGCTCTGATTTTTAGAGTTTCCAGTTTTTCTGCTCTGTTTTTTCCCCATCTTTGTGGTTTTTATCTACCTTTGGTCTTTGATGATGGTGATGTACAGATGGGTTTTTGATGTGGATGTCCTTTCTGTTTGTTAGTTTTCCTTCTAACAGTCAGGACCCTCAGCTGCAGGTCTGTTGGAGTTTGCTGGAGGTCCACTCGAGACCCTGTTTGCCTGGGTATCAGCAGTGGTGGCTGCAGAACAGCAGCTATTGGTGCGCCGCAAATGCTGCTGCCTGATTGTTCCTCTGGAAGTTTTGTCTCAGAGGAGTACCCAGCCGTGTGAAGTGTCCGTCTGCCCCTACTGAGGGGTGCCTCCCAGTTAGGCTACTCGGGGGTCAGGGATCCACTTGAGGAGGCAGTCTGCTCTTTCTCAGATCTCCAGCTGCGTGCTGGGAGAACCACTACTCTCTTCAAAGCTGTCAGACAGGGACATTTAAGTCTGCAGAGGTTACTGCTGCCTTTTGTTTGTCTGTGCCCTGCCTCCAGAGATGGAGTCTACAGAGGCAGGCAGGCCTCCTTGAGCTGTGGTGGGCTCCACCCAGTTCGAGCTTCCTGGCCACTTAGTTTACCTACTCAAGCCTCGGCAATGGCAGGAGCCCCTCCCCAGCCTTGCTGCTGCCTTGCAGTTTGATCTCAGACTGCTGTGCTAGCAATGAGCGAGGCTCCCTGGGCGTAGGACCCTCCGAGCCAGGTGCAGGATATAATCTTCTAGTGTGCCGTTTGTTAAGCCCGTTGGAAAAGCACAGTATTAGGGTGGGAGTGACCCAATTTTCCAGGTGCCATCTGTCACTCCTTTCTTTGACTAGGAAAGGGAGTTCCCTGACCCCTTGAGCTTCCCAGGTGAGGTGATGCCTCGCCCTGCTTCGGCTCATGCACGGTGCCCTGCACCCACTGTCCTGCACCCACTGTCCGGCACTCCCCAGTGAGATGAACCCAGTACCTCAGTTGGAAATGCAGAAATCACCCATCTTCTGTGTCGCTGTCACTTGGAGCTGTAGACTGGAGATGTTCCAATTTGGCCATCTTGGCTCCACCCCCCTGAGATAACCCTAATCTCTTATACTCTAATATATAAAAGAGAAAGAAATATTAGCTGGCAATGTCATATAGAAGTAATTATGCCTTTGATGTCAGTAGACCCATTTCCTTTCTTTCCTTTTTCCTTCCTCCTCACTTTCTACTTCCTTCCTCTCCTCCTGTCTCTCATGTCTTCTCCTCTCCTTTCCTATTCCCTGGTCTCTGTTTTCTCTCCTGTTATTATTATTTTTTACTCTTTTTCCTTTGCTTTTCTACTGGTAGTAAATACAACAACAGGATAATTTCCAGTAAAATTCACTCCAGCTGAATTCAGCACACATTTACTGACTACTTAGTAGGCAAGAAGCCCATGATAGGGATTCTTGGACAAATCATAAAAAAAGAACTTTATCCTAACCTCAAGGAACTTGCACTCTAGGGGAGAAGGCAGTCCACTGGTATAACAAATGGAAAAATGAGCCAGGATAGTGATCGTTATAATAGAGGAGTAAGCAAAGGTCATGAAAGAGTTTTGAATTTTGTCTGCAAAGCATGATTGTAGGACTTGAGTTGGTCCTTGAAAGTAGAGATGAGTCCTCTTCATAGCATTCAGAGGAACCTGTCTTCTTCTCCAAGTAGAAGACTGCAGATCCTCTAATTATTTTTTCTTCTTTAGCATGAGTAAATCATAGCAATTTGTTGATTTTTCTATTTGATTTAGGAAGATTTATTTTTTAAATTTTAATTTCTAAAATTCCAATAGCTTTTGAAGTATAGTTTTTGGTTACATGGATGAATTGTATAGTGGTGATTTCTGAGATTTTAGTGCACCCACCACCTGAGTAGTATACACTGGACCCAATATATAGTTTGGTATCACTCATCCGTCTCCAACCCTCCCCACTTCTGAGTCTCCAATGTTCATTATACCACTCTGCATGTCTTTGCATACCCATAGCTTAGCTCCTATTTGTAAGGGAGAATATATGGCATTTGGTTTTCCATTCCTGAGTTCCTTCAATAAGGGCCTCCAGCTCCATCCAAGTTACTGCAAAAGACATTATTTCATTCTTTTTTATGCCTGAGTAGTATTTCGTGGTGTATATATACCACTTTTCTTTATCCACTCATTGGTTAATGGGCACTTAGGTTGCTTCCATATCTTTGCAACTGTGAATTGTGCTGTAATGAACATTTGTATGCAAGTATCTTTTTGATATAATGACTTCTTTTCCTTTGGGTAGATACCTGTAGTGGGATTGCTGGATCAAATGGTAGATCTACTTTTAGTTCTTTGACAAATCTTCATACTATTTTCCCTAGAAGTTGTATTAATTTACATTTCCACCAGAGGTGTATTAAGTGTTCCCTTTTGCAGCACATCCCCATCAACAACTATTTTGTTTTGGCTTTTTAGTAATGGCCATTCTGGCTAGGATAAGGTTGTATCTCAATGTGGTTTTAATTTGCATTTCCCTGAGGATTAATGATGTGGAGCATCTTTTTCATGTTTGTTTGCTGTTTGTATCTCTTCTTTTGAGAAGTGTCAATTCATGTAATTTGCCCACTTTTTGATGGGATTATTTGTTTTTTTTCTTGTTGATTTGTTTATATGCCTTGTAGATTCTAAATATTAGTCTTTTGTGGATGCATAGTTTGCAAATATTTCATCCCATTCTGGGAGTTTTCTGTTTACTCTGATGATTATTTCTTTTGCTATGAAGAAGAAGCTCTTCAGTTTAATTAAGTTCCATTTATTTATTTTTGTTTTTGTTACATTTTCTTTTGAGGTCTTAGTCATAAATTCTTTGCCTAGGCCAACATATAGAAGAGTTTTTCCTAGGTTTTCTTCTAGCATTTTTATGGTTTCAGGTGTTATATTTAAGTCTTTAATTCATCTTAAGTTCATTTTTGTATATGGGGAGAGATGGGGATCCAATATCATTCTTCCACATGTGGCTAGTCAGTTTCCCCAGCACCATTTATTAAACAAGATGTCCTTTCCCCAATTTATGTTTTCGTATGCCTGTAGATCAGTTGTTGGTAAGTATTTGGCTTTATTTCTGGCTTCTCTATTCTCTTCCATTAGTCTATGCATCTGCTTTTATACAAGTACCATGCTGTTTTGATACTATAACCTTGTAGTATAATTTGAAATCAGGTAATGTGATGCCTCTAGATTTGTTCTTTTTGGTTAGAATTGCCTTGGCTATTTGGGTTCTTTTTTGGCTCCATATGAATTTTATGATTTTTTTCCTAATTCTGTGGAAAATGATGTTGGTGTTTTGATAAGGAATTGCACTGAATCTGTAGATTGCTTTGGGAAGTATGTACCTTTTCATGATACTGATTCTTGTAACCCATGAGTATGGGATGGATTTTTATTTGTTTGTGTCATCTATTTCTTTCAGCAGTGTTTTGTAGTTATCCTTGTAGAGATATTTTACATCCTTGGTTAAGTATATTCTAAGGTGGTTTTTTCTTTCTTTTTGTTTTGTAAAAGGAATTGAGTTCTTGATTTGATTCTCAACTTGTGATTTACCAAGATTTAGACTGTTATTGTTTTCAATTGCTTTTTATTGTAAATATATAGTGTTCAGCTGTTACTATGATAAAATATATATTCAACATCCTTTTAATAGAGCAGGCTTCATATCTGAAATAAAAAAAGAAGAGGAGAAACAGTATGAGACTTCAAGTTCAGAAACTTGAATTACCTTTAGATTCTGCTTCAAACTAGTTTTATTACTGTGGGAAAATCAACCCAGTTGATATGGTTTGGCTGTGGCCCCACTAAAATCTCATTTTAAATTGTAGCTTGCATAATTTCCATGTGTTGTGAGAGGCACCCAGCGAGAGGTAATTGAATCATGGGGGTGGGTCTTTCCTGTGCTGTTCTTGTGATAGTGAATAAGTCTCATGAGATCTGACAGTTTTATAAAGGGAAGTTCCCCTGCACATCCTCTCTTGCCTGCCACCATGTAAGATGTGACTTTGCTCCTCCTTCTCCTTCTGCTGTGATTGTCAGGCCTCCCCAGCCACATGGAACTGTGAGTCAATCAAACCTCTTTTCTTCATAGATGACCCAGTCTCAGGTATGTCTTTATTTGCAGTGTGAGAACAGACAAATACACCAGTCCCTGGACTGATACCTGAAAAAAGAGGAGATAAGGTTAGTTGACCTAAGGATCATTTCCTCTGCCAAGCAACTTTGTTTTCACATTCTTTGTACCACTAAAAACATTTGCAATGCTCTTTCTAATTCTAAAGCAGCAAAATTATAACTTTAAAATATTGGAACCTTGCTATGCATGGTTTGAATACATCTCTCAAAGTTTATGTGTTGGAAATTTAATCCCAATGCAACAGTGTTGTGAGATGGGACTTTTAAGACGTGATTAGCTAGGTCATGAGGTCTCTGACCTCATGAATGGATTAATGTGGTTACCAAGGGAGTGGGTTCCTAAGAAAAGGATGAGTTTGTTCCCCTTTTCCCAACCCCTCTCATCTTTCTTGAATGTGTGTGCTCTTTTGATCTTTTATTTCCTGCCATGGGATGATACAGCAAGAAGGCTCACCAGATTCTCGTACTTTGGTATTAAACTAGGCGTCCAGGATATTAAGAAGTAAGTATATATTGTTTATAAATTACCCAGTCTGTGGCATTCTGTTATAGCATCACAAAATGGACTAAAACAAATCTTATGTGAATAAGGAATTTCTTACACCTTTCCCCATATAAACCCAGTATGAAGATTTCCTTTTCCCTTGCAATGACAGCAGCAGCCAGTGATGTAGGGACAGGAGGTTAGAGAACTCTCTAAGGACTGAATGCACAGCAGCCATTGCTGTGGACAATAAGGTAAGGCAGGATAATACACCTCAAAGCTTAATACAATGACCAAGCTTTGGTTAATGTTTCTTGATTAAAAATCCTCGAGAGATATAAGCTATAAATTGCTAATATGAAAGTGTAAACAATAGCTACTTTTCTGTATGTCATCAAGCATGCTGCACTTTAAAATTGAGAGAATGGTTTGAAAGTTATCCCTTTAGGAATTTAGAAAGAGCTTAAGAATATAATCTTGGCCAGGCATGGTGACTCATACCTGTAATTTGAGCACTTTGGGGAGCCTCGGTTGGAGGATCACTTGAGCCCAGGAGTTTGAGACTAGCCTGGGTAACATGGTGAAACCCCGTCTCGACAAAAAATAATTAAAAAAAAGTAGCCCACCCACCATGGTGGTGCGTGCCTGTCATCCCAACTACTCAGGAGGTTGAGACCAAGCGCGGGGTGGGGTGGGGGGCGGGGGTTGGGGAGATTACTTGAGTCCAGGAGAGAAGCTGCAGTGAGCTGTGATTGCATCACTGCACTTCAGCCAGGGAGACAGAGCGAGACCCTGTCTCAAAAGAAAAAAAAAAAATTAATCCCTCTAGAATTTGCAAATGATTTAAAAAATGATTTCACTCTCAAGTGATAGAAAATTAAATTCCCTGTGGATAAGTAATTTACTAGTATGGTATTTCTCAGAGCCTCTTTTATTAGGCATATCTAGCTTTGCTACTGACAGTTGCTGAGAAAAGAACAGCCTATCTTTATAATTTGGGGTAGTGAGAGAAATAACAGAGCCCTTTACCTCTGAGGACGTTACCTGGTGGCTTGGCGTCATGATAATTGGGGCCTTCTGCTTTTTGGAGCTCATTATACCTTGGCCAGAACTTTTAGGACTAGATTTTAAGTGTCAGCTCCTGGACCTGTAAGTCATGTTAGTGAGAAATGAGACATGAGACATCGTGTTTTTTTTTTTGTTTTTTTTTTTAACTGAAGAACTCACTTTTTATGGCAGCTAAACAATTCAAAGGAGGATACTTTCATTATCTCAACTTCTTATAATGAATGACTTGGATCTCATAATTGCCCAGGTAAATAATCTTAGAAGAAAAAGTTATTAGTATTATATTTTTAAGGATTAAAATACAATTTCATTGCCTCTGAATGATTCTCTTACATTTTGAATTTTTTTTCCTTTTTTAAAAAAGAAATAAACATGTTCCCATTGTCTTTTGTTTACTTTTATAGGATTAAAAACATACTTTTGATTCCTGCTTTTGGTAGTTTCAATGGCCTCTAGATGTGCCATAAAAATGTGAATATTCTCATGTTACAGTTAGAGACTTTAGAATCCTAGAAATGGTCATTAAGTTTTATAGAAATACTTTGTTAGGTGAAACTGTTCAAAAACATTTAAATCAAAAAGTGATAGTAAAATATTAGATACAGTTTCAAATAGTAAATTTTCTGGTTACCAATAGTGTTCAAATATCATAGGAATATTTGCTGGAAAAGAAGCAAATAAAAAATAAAGTAGATCTAAAACAAAACATAACTTTCATTGCTGGTGCTAGTATTCATATATGTAACTCTTCATCTGCTTCTGTAGTGCACAGAAATGAGTACAGAAGCTTAGAAAGATAAACCTGGCACTCATTTCCATAGTTTGTACTTACTAAAAGAGGAAGTAGATATATATCCATTAATATTAGAGATTTTTTTACCAGTAAGATTATTTAATCCATCTGAGCCTTAGTTACATCATCTGTAAGATTGTTAGTTGTATAGATTAAGTGAATAATGCAAAGAAAATATGTTGTACCAAGTTAGCATTATTTGTTATCTGGCATTTTTGCTGTTATTGCTCTTGTTGACATAATTATACCAAAACAGCCTAATGAGACCACATCATTCCAGCAACTTTCTGCTCATTGAGGTCTTAATATTATGATTTCTGCTTTTAAGAAAATGCTTGTAAGCTTTGTAAAATGTTGGAACCAAACAATCTTAACATAGGGCTAATTTTAAGAGAAAGTGTTATGTATGTAATGTGTAGTTTTTGTTCTAGCTGAGTTTTAAGGTTCTTTTTATCACTTATTTTAAGCAATTTGGTTATGTTGCAGCTTGGTGTACTTTTCTTCATGTTTCTTTTGTTTGAAGTTTAGTAAGTTGCTTGAATATGTTAATTTATAATTTTTATCAAATTTGGAAATATTTTAGCCAGTATGTTTCCAATTTTATTTTTATCTCCTCTTCTTTCTTCTGCTTCACTTCATCAGGGACTCCAGTGATACGTATAGTAGGCCACTTGAAGTTGACTTATAACTCGCTGATGCTCTGTTAATTTTTCATCCTTTTGTATTTTATTTTGGATATTTTCTATTGCTTTGTCTCCAATATTTCTTTCAGCATTGTCTAAACTGATGTACCACCTGGTGTATTTTTTGTTTTTCTGTCCTCAGATGGAGTCTCACTCTGTTGCCCAGGCTGGGGTGCGGGGGTGCCATCTCATCTCACTGCAGCCTACACCTCCTGGGTTCAAGCGATTCTCCTGCCTCAGCCTCCCCAGTAGCTGGGATTACAGGCGCCCACCACCATGCCTGGCTAATTTTTATATTTTTAGTAGCGGCGGGGTTTCACCATGTTGGCCAGACTGGTCTCAAACTCCTGACATCAAGTGATCCATCTGTCTTGGCCTCCCAAAGTGCTGGGATTACAGGTGTGAGCCATTGTGACTGGCCTGTATTTTTTATTTCACACAATTGTTTTCATTTCTAGAAGTTTTATTTGGAGACCTTATATATACCTTTTGTGTCTCTATCTAATTGGATCAATTTTTCCTCTAGCTTCTTTAGTATCTGTAATAGAGTTATAAAGACTGTTTTAATGTTCTTGTCTATTAATTCTATCATCTGTGTCATTTCTTAATATGCTTCCATTTGTTTTTTCTTATTATTGTTGATTGTATTTTCTGCTTTTTTGAATGCTTTCCCTCCATTAGATAGTAGATATTGTGAATTTTATTTTGTTGGGTGTTAGATACTCTTGAGCTTTGTTCTGTGATTCACTTGTTATTTTGAAACAATTTGATCCTTTCGAAGCTTGCTTGTAAGTTTTGTAAAATGTAGGGACCAGACAATCTTAATATAAGGCTAATTTGGTATATTCTTTTGAGTATATCTGATGTCCCATGAAATATAAAGCTTTCCACTCTGGCTGGTTGAAAATATGAGTTATTCCTAAACCTGTGTGAACTTTGGAGATTATTGATTCTTTTCTTTTTGCATGGTTTGTTTCCCAGCTTCAGTTTTCCTTATATGCATATCCTAGTAGGTACTCAACTGAATTCTAGAGGGGAACACTCTGGAGATCTTCAGAGTTTTCTCTGTATGCACCTCTCTCCTGTCCAGTATTCTTCCACTTAAACTGTATCCACTTTGCCATTCCCAGACTCCCAGCTCCATCTCTCCAACTCAAGGATACCTCCAGCCTCCTTCTGGTTTCTCTTTCCTGTGCTGAAACTTAGAAACTTTCTCCAGAAAGTAAGCTTGGGCAATCATTGGGGCTAACCTCATAGTTTTTCCCTCTCTCAGAGATCAATTCCTGCATCAATGGTGTCCAGTGTCTGAAAGCTGATATTTCTTAGACTATAAGAATCTGGGTTGCTTTTTTTTTTCAGTTGTTTCAGTGGAAGGGTAAATTCAGTTCCTGTTACTTTATCTTTGTCAGCATCAGAAGTCTGCCAAGATTCTTATATGTATTTATGCTGTTCTAGTCTTATGAACTTCTGCTACCTATTTTGCTCCCAGGAATAGTAGCGTATAAGTTGGGAATATGTTTCCCTTCCCCTCCCACCAAAACCCCAAATAATGAACCCCCAAACAAAAAACAAACTCAGAAAGCACTCAACAGTTGCCTAAATCTATAATGTTTTTGTTTTCTTGTACAAAGCTCACCTGGAGACAGGTAGCCTGGGCTAAAACAGCTCTTCAGTAATGTATTATGGATCTATGCTCTTTTTCTTTTTTACTATCTTTAGCATGTTATTTGACCTTTAGTTACAAGATAACTGCTACATATCCAGAGCTCATGTTTGCATTCCAGGCAGGAAGAAGGTAAAATACAAAACTTTCTTCATGTGGGAGTTTACATTTTCAATTTGGAAAGAGAAGACATTCACAGTGAATTTCATTCACATATTGTTGGTAAGAACTTGGTCACATAGCCACTCTTCACTGCAGTGTAGGTTGGGAAACCATGTATTTTAGTAGTTTCAATGCTTCTCAAAAGAGGAAGGTAAGGAAGAAAAGGACTGTGAATATCTTTCAAATAGAGCATCTATGGTATCTATTAGAATAATAATTCTGTCATGTTCCCAACGTTTAAGGATACGTAAGATTGCCACAAGCCTAAATCTGGAACTATGACTAAAGATCTGTGGGAGCCAGAAGTAGCCACTTACTTCCCATGTTTGATAACATTTTTCTTCTGTTAGTCAGTCTTCCATATGTAAATCATGAACAGTGAATGAGAGTAGAGGCAGGATGATAAAATTAGTTTGGGTTATAAAAGATAAATTCAAATAGAGACTATACTTTATATTATTGTCCTAATTTATTAGTTTTACTCCATGTTGAATTATCATTTTATTTAATTCAGAAGCTCTCAAAGGTATTCATTTTTTCAACTCTTATTTAAGCTTTTGGGCTTCTTGATCAAAGATGTACAGATGCATATATTCATGTATACCTGCGAGTATGTGCATGCATACACACACACAATAACTTTGATGCTGTTTTGATAATAAAATTTTTGGTAACACATTTTCTTTGTTTAAAAAATCCTAGTGTAATGATATACAAGGAGAACCACACATAGGCTAGCTGATGAAACATATGTTTTAGTGTGAGAAGCAAGATATCAAGGGATAGGCTCTAAGCATAATTATTAATGATAATCTTTAATGTGCTCTTTCCAGGCTGGGGCTGGTTAGTAACAAGACTTTTGTTTTTCTTTTTGAGGATTATAAGTGTGAGGTGAGAGCGGAATTATTTGGGAAAATATAGGAGTTTGGAAAAAAATGCAGTGAAATGAGAAAGTTCGATGGTTGCTGGTTGAGGACTTTGGGAGACAAATGTCTAACTGAGATTGGACTTTATTTTTAAAATATGAAAATTATCAGACATATATAAAATAGAGATAATTGTATAATGAATGATTGTATATGTTTACATCCTAGTTTTAATAATTATCAAGTTATTGCTCATCACGTTTTATTTCTATCCCTATTTACTTCATTCGTGTATTATTTTGAAGCAAATACCAGATATTATATAATTCATTCCTAAATATTGTACATTTTTTTTCCTAAAAGGTAAGGGTTCAAAAGAGTATGCCAAGAAAAAATAAGACCTAGTCAGAGCTCAATTTTCTCATAGTATCATTATATTTAGAGTTTGTTTAAATAAGATCAAGTTATGACTCATCTATTGCAATTAGTTGATATGTCTCCTTTTTTTTTTTTTTTTTTTTGAGATGGAGTCTCGCTCTGTTGCCCAGGCTGGAGTGCAGTGGCGTGATCTCAGCTCACTGCAAGCTCTGCCTCCTGGGTTCACACCATTCTCCTGCCTCAGCCTCCCGAGTAGCTGAGACTACAGGTGCCCACCACCACGCCTGGCTAATTTTTTGTATTTTTTAGTAGAGACGGGGTTTCACCGTGTTAGCCAGGATGGTCTTGATCTCCTGACCTCGTGATCCACCCACCTCGGCCTCCCAAAGTGCTGGGATTACAGGCGTGAGCCACTGCACCTGGCCAATATGTCTCTTAAATCTCTTTAAATATATATATTTTAATTGGGACTTTATTAATTTGATTTCTATGTAAAGAGTGAAAAAATTTCTCCCTCATTGTCAAATTGAATCATCAATACAATCTAAATAATTTAGTTGTGCTATTTGGAACATATTAGTTTTTGATGCAATGAAATAATCATAGTATGAGAAAAAAAGCAGTATCAAGGAAAAGAAAAAAGTAAGTTTAAAGACATCAATACTGTACAATTCAGCTATAAACACTTATAAAGACAAATTGATACAATCTAAGAAGGAATTCCTTAAAAAGCACGCATGGATGTAAGTCTGTATACCTTATTTGCATTATAAATTGGCAAAGTATCTCATTGTACAGTTATGGTATTTAGACAGATTTGTGGTTGTAAAGTTGGCACTTAAATATTTATCTTGTCTGTCAAGAAATATCACTTAAAATTTATTAAATAAGTACTATGCACTTTTAAATGTATACAGTTTTATTTAGGTATTGAATTAGCAATTCTCACAGGGGCCATTTTGTTTCAATTTGTGCTGACTTCATTGTTGGATATAACTTTCTCCACTGCAGGAATATCACCAGGCTAATTACTAGGAAATCTCTCTCTTTTTTTTTTGGTATATGGAGTAATATGTATGGATGAAAGGACCTTAAAATTGGAGGATTTTTCAATCTAAAATTAGATGCTCATACAAGAGAACCTCTTTCCTACTATAGACTCCCTTCTCCTTCCCCTAATCCCCATCCTGTTCTTAGCAGATGGTGACTGGGCTTATGCTAAAAACTTCCAGGGACAGAGACTTTGCTACTTGTACACAGGAAGACTATTCCATTTTGACGCAACTCAAATTACTAGAAAGTTCAACCTTATGAGACAATTTCTTTAATTTTGAAAATCATATCTTTGGCCATACTTCTGTTCTTTGTAGTAGGAAAAATTTATGTTCTCTCTTCTGTATAGTGGTATTTAAAATATTTAAAAAGATTTTCAGAAATGCTCTACACCTCAAAGATTTTTTATTTTCTAGGGAAAAAGTTTCTAAATGATCTCTTAATAGTTCCTTTAATAATTTGATTTCCAACTCTCTTACTGTCTTTCTCACTTTCTCTGAATGATTGATAGTGTTTAGAGGCCCCTCTATGTTATCAATAACTGATCAGAATATTTCATACTGATACGAACATCAAATTTCTCTTAGTTTAGCCTAAGATGTAAGGTTTTAAACTTTGCAGTTCAATTGCATTGTGTTTCTATGCTCAAATTAACTCATAGATTTTTTTACTTGAACTGCCAAAATATAAGACCCTCCTTAATTTATATTTGAGTGAAAGAGATTTTAAATCCAATTAAAATCAACCCATCAAAAAGTGGGTGAAGGATATGAACAGACACTTCTCAAAAGAAGACATTTATGTGGCCTACAAACATATGAAAAAAAGCTCATCATCACTGGTCATTAGAAAAATGCAAATCAAAACCACAATGGGATGCCATATCATGCCAGTCAGAATGGCGATCATTAAAAAGTCAGGAAACAACAGTTGTTGGAAAGGATGTGGAGAAATAGGAACTCTTTTACACTGTTGGTGGGAGTGTAAGTTAGTTCAACCATTGTGGAAGACAGTGTGGCAATTCCTCAAGGTTCTAGAACCAGAAATACCATTTAACCCAGCAATCCCATTACTGGGTATATACCCAAAGGATTATAAATCATTCTACTATAAAGACACATGCACACATATGTTTATTGCGGCACTATTCACAGTAGCGAAGACTTGGAACCAACCCAAATGTCCATCAGCGATAGACTGGATAAAGAAAATGTGGCACATATACACCATGGAATACCATGCAGCCATAAAAAAGGATGAGTTTATGTCCTTTGCAGGGACATGGATGAAGCTGGAAACCATCATTCTCAGCCAACTAACACAAGAACAGAAAACCAAACACTGCATGTTCTCATTCATAAGTGGGAGTTGAACAATGAGAACACATGGACACAGGGAGGGGAACATCACACACTGGGGCCTGTCAGGGGTGGGTGGCTGGGGGAGGGATAGCATTAGGAGAAATACCTAATGCAGATGATGGGTTGATGGGTGCAGCAAACCACCATGGCACATGTATACCTATGTAACAAACCTGCACGTTCTGCACATTTACCCCAGAACTTAAAGTATAATAATAATTAAAAAAACGTAGCCTAGTGATGTCAGCAAGATGGTAGAATAGGATTGTTTGTGCTCATCCCTTTGCAGAAACATCAGTTTGAAAAACTCAGTGTGCAAAAATACCTTCATAAGAGCTAAGGAATTTAGGTGAGAGATTATAGCACCTGGGTATAATACAGAAATAAGAACAAAAAAATCATTGAAGAGATTAGGAATGACAGTTTCAAATTACACATGGCACCCTTTCCCACAGCCTAGCTAGCACAGCACAGAGAAAGATATACTCTGCTTCTGAGTAGGAGAGTGAAGTGAGCACCAGACTTTGTTGTGGACCTGACCACCAGGCCTGCCCCAATAAAACTGAGTGCCAGCCTTGTGCTCAAGGCTTCAGGTTTTAGATTGGCACTTGTGAATTGAGCTTCCAGGTCTTCTCCAATGCTAGACCAGACCCAGCGGCCTCAGGCTCCAGGCCACACCTACAGACTCAGACTCCAGACTGGGCCTCACAAATCCAGGCACATCATTATCCCTTGCAGACTTAGGCACCAGTCCTGCCTGCCTGAAGGCTCCAACAGCAAGCCTACTCATGATCTCTGAATGAGCTGACTGAAGAAGGGCTTTGCTGACCAAAGCCAATCTGTAAAGACCAGAATAAGTACCAGCTTCTTCAAATGTGCAGACACCAATGCATGGCCACAAAGATCAGAAATAATCAGGGAAACATTATATCACCAAAGGAATAAAATGAAGCTCCAGTAACCTTAAAAATGGAAATGCGTGAACTACCTGATAAATAATTCAAAATAATCATTTTAGTGAGATATAAGAGAACACAGATAAGCAACTAAATAAAATCAGAAAAGCAAAACACAAATGAGAAGTACAATAAAGAGATATAAATCACAAAAAACAAAGCAGAAATTTTAGAACCAAAGAATACAATGCATGAAACAAAAAATTTCATAGCTTCAACAGCAGACTTGATAAAGCATAAGAATTTGAAATTACTCAGAGAAATAAAAAGAAAAAATTGAAAAGAATAAGGAAAGCCTGTGATGGGACACCAGCAAATGAACCAATATACGTATTATGGGTGTTGCAGAAGAAGCAGAGAAAAAGAAAGGAGGCAGAAGCTGTTTAAATAAAGATCCCCAGATCTAAAGAAAATGAACATCCAGATCCATGAAGCCCAAGAAATCCCAAATAGGAGTTAAGTTAAATGTGATTTAACTCCAATTGAAGCTTTGACTTCCGTTAACTTGGCTAGGCACTTGCTCACTACTCTCATCTGTCTTGCCTAATTTTGCTTCTTTTAACTTTTCCTTCAAAAGTAATTCTCATTCATGGAGAGGTTGGAAGCCACTTAAGATTGAATCACCCAGCTTTATCCCTTTTATCTGTTATCAATGACCCCCTTGCAACACTGACATATTGTTCTTTTTCTAAGTCCTTCCTTCAAGCATTGTCCTCACAGTCCTGTGGTCTTTCATGCTTGCGTGCCTCACTGCCTTCTAAGTTTTGAACACCCCTGGATAATTCTTAGAGTCTCTTGCTTCTGTTTTGTATTTGTCCTTGAATATGAAGTACTCGAAAAAGAGAGGAAAGGTCCCACCAAGAGAAGAATTTAAATGTTGTTCCCCCCTTTATGCCAACTCTTTCTTTTGCACACCTAATAAAAACTTCACACGATAAGCTTCCATGGAAAGTATTTATTGAACACATACTGTATCTTCAGTTAAACTAGACTTCTTTATTCAGTCCAGCTTTCCCCATGTTGTCCCATTTTCTAAGGTATCCAATATTCCATATGGCAAGACCAAAATGAAATAATCTGATACAATTTTCTCTGTATCTGCCCTCCAGTTTCAGTTGTTACTAATACCGGGTAGATGTGTATTTTCAGAGAAACTTTTGAAGACCTAAATTCCAATCTAAAACAACAACAGTAACAGTGAAAATTGCAGGTATTACGATAAGCTGGTTTATATTGAGATTTGGGGGAGGGGTGAAGTCATAAAGACAGCAAGATTTTCAGGATCTTTAAAACATCCTATATCCAGTGTGTTTAGGGAATACCCTGATCCTCATTCCTTTGGCTTATATAGCATATGCTGTCATCTTCAAAGTGCTTTCATATACTTCATCTCATTAAAACCTCACAAGGTAAAGGAGGTCAGTCATTCTTAACTATGTTTTACTATTGTGGAGACCAAAGTTCCCAGAGGCCTGGCAAACTGTCCAAGTTCTCCTGACTTCAGGGATAATCCCCGTTCCTACTATCCTTACTGAGGCCAGCAGGTGCTCATTGTGTGTTAGAACATGGAATTCTTGGTTGTTTAAGTCATGTGATTTTGCTGAACACTGAGGAGGAGAGCAGGAGCAAGACGCTTGTGTGGGCTTAAAGGCAGAGATGAGAATTGAGTGAACATCATCCTGGAGCCCATGGGTGTCATGGCAGAGGCAACAGTGCGGAAAGAGGCAACTATTCCAGGAGGCAGGGGGTATAGAGTGGCATTTTGTAAGAGTAGTAGTCATAAGATATTGATAATAAAATAGAAAAATATTAGTGTGTACAATGAAAAACCCTAAAAACAGAAACCATAGTTCTCTAAAAAGTCCTTGATAACATATAATCTAGAGCTGCTACTTCATTTTGTACATTACTCTCCTGTAAAGGAAAACCTGTTTCTTTTTTTAGACCCAGAATCTTGGCACAGCAATGGCAATTTCCCAGCATACTCCTTCATTTCTGCAGAGCACTGATTGTTGGAGTACTTTTAATGAAGTCCATTATCATTTTGGCAGTTCAACAAGACTTCCAGGAGAGAAACAGAGAGCGTGGTTTGGAACAAACACATCCTTGAGCTGTTTTCTATTATTCATACAGGCTACTCAGCATTTTTTTTGAAGAAAACTATATTAGAGTAAAAATTAATTGCTATATTAATACATCACTCTTAACAGGTGTAGCTCTGTGGTGTCTGGAAGCTAATAAGCTAACTTTCTGAGTGGCATATTTTTTGGGAATCCCTTAGGTCTCCCCTCAATGCAAAAGATACACACAGAGAGCTAGAGTCAATGCTGGAGTGCAAAAGGAGAAGCTTTTTGTGGTCTCTGAGGGCTCATTTATCTTCATATCCCCATTGCCTACATAGTACCAAGCACTCTGAATCAACTTTAATTGCACTTACTTCCATTTGTAATCATGTTTCTATTTTTGCTTATGTGGTTGATATCATGAAGACAAGGATCACGTGCATTTTGCTATGTATCTGTATGCCCTCTGCCTCACAAAATGACTTGCCCATGGCTGTCCTTCAATAAATAGATGACCACTAACCATGTAGTGAATAAATACAATTCACTTGCCTGAGTATCATTTATGAAAGTCATACATTTTTTATTTCAAAATGAAGTTTACCCAATATTGATCCTGTGGTAGCAAGAAAAATCCTCTGGCCATTTCAGGCAGACTAAAATTATGGTCCTATTTTAAATATATTTCTTAAAACCTCTTTCCTCATATTTATTTAGTGGAAGTAAGGGAGAAAAGTGATTTGTATTAAAGAAATGTACATAAAGACAGATCTACTTATGAATTAACATGCACTGACCAAAGCAGAACGAATGTTTAAAAAGTTGTCAAAATGTTTATCTGAATGTTACACAGAGACTGTTAACTGTCTCTTAAATACATATTCTCTCCTTCAATAGCAATTGAAAAGCTTTAGCTAGGCGGCAACATTTCCTTAAAAACTACATTTCCCAGCCTTCCTTGCCATCAAGGAACCATGTGACAATGCTCTGGCCTTTAGGATGTGAGCAGAGGCATTGTGTACAACCTCAAGGTCATGCCTATTCAAGTAAAGGAGGCCAACCTCTGCTTCCTTTCACCTCCTTGTGGACTGGAATGTGGATATTGTAGTGAGTCATTTTGACTTAAGAATAATGGTGTCATTTAGGATGGCAGAAAAGTACTGTAGAAGACCTGTCTCTGACACTGCTGAGTCCGTGTACCAACCAGAACAGCCAAACAAAACCCCTAGAGAGAGAAATAAACTTCTTTATGAATAACGTTTTTAGTTATCCAGGATTAGTACTGCAGCCAACTTTGAATTGTCAGCTTGTTGCTAAATGAGATAGCTCCTACTTGTCTCAGAATACTCAATAGAGGTAAGACAGTGATGAAGAGGAGGCTTACCAAATTTCCCTTCAAGGGTGCTATTTACTTTTGTAGGGTTTATGTATGTAATAGTGTGTGGAAACTCAAGTTAGTTTACTCTAGTGATGACTCAGCATCGTTTTAAGATTGATCTGCCCGTAATCTGACTCTGCAAAATATGTTTTTTATCTTTCAAAAGAATAGATTTGATGTAAAGTGGCAGTTCTTAGGTAAAACATTAATTTTTTTTTCTGTAATGGACAGAATGTTTGATATTGCAAAGATGAGAAGGAAATTAAATAGAAGTACACTCACTATGAATGCCTCTCATGTAGGACAGTTCTCCAGGTGTCCTTGGACCAACCCATATCTCCCCACTTTCTTGCTTGTAGTTCTCAAAAATAACTGCAGAATGTGCTGAAGATGTAAGATCCTGAGATGAGGAGAAGCTGGCCAGATTAGCCTAGGCTCTGTTCCAGTCTCCCGCTGGAAACAAGATATCCTTCAATGATTTAGCCCAGAGAGCTCCACGACCTTGGTGTATAAAACCCGGGGCAGGCTGTTTTTTGGGGTCAGTTATCTGTGGTACAACTGGGGCATGTGCAGTTGAGAATCCATCTGCTCTGGGCAGCTTTTCTGAGCCTTGGGGAAATCCTAGGCTTCTGTTTTCTCTTGTAGTCTATCTGTAAGTAATAAAGCTGCTTTATGTAACTTGTTACATGTGAGTGTATTCTGTCTCATCAGCCTCAATTGAGTTGGTAAGCAGTGCACAGCGAACCTGTTTCACACTTCAAAAAGCTCCCAAAAAGTAATGGAGGTTGAGACCTAGAGGCTGTGAGTGAAACTTTGTTACCAGAATGTTTTGTGCTTTAACTTTTCTCTTAAAATGTTTGGCCAATTTTAAAAGTCAGATTCTAGACACAAAAATGTTGTGTTACAGTACAGCCCTGGAAATCTCAATGGCACACAACACATATTTAACTTTTTTGCTCCTGTGTCTTCAGGTCACCTGGGGTGACTCTGCTTGCAGGTCAGGGTTCAGGTCTGCTTCATGTGTCTCTCATTTTGTGATCAGATACTAATGGTGGCACATTTAAAACTCTGGTTAGACTTGGAGTACAATGTATAGTGAATGCCTTTCTTAGTGGGGCAGTGTATTGCACTCTGCCCCAAGAAAGTGGGTATGTAATTTTATAACAGGGATAGAACAAAATCAAAACAGTAATGAAATCTACCATAGCAATATCTTAAGATGAATATATTCACATAAAGTTGGGAAATTTTACATAAAAATGTGAATTTTTTAATCTTCTTAAAAATTGGAAGATTTGTCAACTCTGATGTTATGTTCTCCTGTTGACAAAAACTAGGTGGACCCAAGTGCAGTTTTCTCCCTTCTGATGGGAAATGCTCTTTTGTTTCACTAGAACCCCCACCACCCTTGATTGCCATTTGCCAGCTCTATTTAATCATCATTTTCATCCTGGCTTCTGGAGGCAGTTCAGCTTGTGACCTACTGTATAGCAGATGGGTTAGAATGCACAAAAATACCTCAAAACTCTACTGAAAAGCATTAAGAGGCTATAAAAAGGGGCAGATAAATTGCCATGGAAAAACTGTGACAGAGATTATTTTTGGCTAGTGACAAGTCATTAGGATAGAAAGGGAGACTAGCTGACAGCAATATTTATTAAAGAGAGAAAATTGGAGCTAAGTCTCCAAGTATGGGTAAAAGTTTGATATATAGCCACAAAGACCTATTCTAAGAGGTGGGCTGCAGCCACTAAAGAATATGTGGAATAGAAGCATTCCCTGAGTGTTAGTACAAGGGCAATAATGAGAAAAACTAGGAAGATTAAAAAAACTTTATCAACTTTAAATGGGACTTTTTATTTCATAGTTGTTTAATTGTGTATTATGGCTGGCCATTTCAATATTTCAAAGACTCTTAGGGAACACTTCTAGGATTAATTCTTTTAAAAATTTTCCTAAACTGTGTATAGAGACAATATTCAATCTTTCGTAAGTTTTGCAACCTGTAGGATTAAACAGAAAAGAAAAACATGCATCACAACCTAATTCCTTGTGCCTGCAGTATAGGTGTAAGGAGGTATACACATCAGCGATTGCCACAAAATTGTTGATAACAAATCATGTCAAAACTCAGTGGCTTGAAACAATAGCATTTATTTTCAAAGATCTGTAGGTTGACCAAAGTGGCTGAACTGGGAGTGGTGTGGCTGGATGGTTCTGGTGGTCATGGCTATGTTCACTCATGTGCCTGCAACTCACTGGGCTCACCTGGTGCAAGCTGGGTGGATTTGATTCACGTGTTTTTCATCCTCTCTCTGGACCAGTGAGTCTTTCCCATGGTGCTGTTGCTTATTTGCATGATTGGACTTGCCCTGTTGCACAAGTTCAATCATGCAGATGCTCTTCAAGCCACTGCTCACATAATGCCTATTAATATCCCGTTGGCCAAAGTAAGTCACATGTTGGAACTAGAATTGAGATATGAGGGTACCTCTTTCCACAATGACAGGGCCCTATGAAGTTACATGGCAAAGGGCATCTTCACAGGAAGCAGTGAAGAGCTGGGAGCATTAATGCAACCTACCACTGAGGCCAGATCACATGCTTATTCAACATACGCACTGTAGTACACAAAACTGAAAAGATCAGTGGTTTTGTAACAAACAGACCTCGATTCACATTTTGGCTCTGCTATTTATACGATCAGTTTTGTCATCTCTAAAATGAGGATTGTACTTTTTATGATTGAATGAAGTATTTAGAACCTAGCAGGCACTTAACGAATGGCAGGTCTCTCCCTCTGCAAACATTTTTTCTTTCAATTGTCTTTTCATCTTTCTTCATGGGGTTGTTCTTTATTTATCAGACTCATTTAATAATCTCTATCTTTAAATAAATCATCACCTAACATTGTTTGGTGACATGAATCAAATACCTAGGACTCTTTAAATTCTACCAGAGAGGTGCAGATGAACATATTCTAAGGCTATCATGCCTCCCTAGGAAATTAGTTGCTTCAATTATCTTTCAAAACCTGCTTATTGAAACTCTCCTGGCATAAACATTTTTGTCAGAACATGAGTCTAAACTGAGTTAAGATAGATTTGTGATTTCTAATGGAAGTCATATAACTCTAAAAGTAAACATGAACCATAGACAAACCACAGAATTTTCTGAACCTGCAGCAGATTGAAGTCTAAAGTAACAGAGAGCTATGCTGCACCCTGGGAGTGCATAAGGGGATGTGTTTAAAACTAAATTGACATTACAAAACTGGATGGAAACAGATTTTTTGTCAAGGGATGCATCAAATTCCCCCCAAACAAAAAAAAAATCAGGAATATTTTTATTGCAGAAGAATATAGGCTTTGCAAAGGATGCCAATTTGTGTAGATGAGGCAGAATGGAAGGATGAGACCAAATGAGTTTTCCACTCAAAATGAAACAAATAATTCTGGGAATAAATATACCCTCTATTGGGTTCCTTAGGACTATTCAAGATATTTTCCTTTCCTAGAGCACCTCAATTTTTATTTATTTTCTACAAGTTGAGTGGGAGTGATATAATAACTCTTATGTCAGAGATAAAAATAAACCATGACATTTTGTCTAAACTCATCAGCAACTGGAGTGCATTTATGAGCATGGAATAGAGGTCACACAGCTTTGAGGATATTGTGGGTATAATCTGGATAAAGTCAGTACTAGCTCCTAACGGCTGTTTCTGCAATGTCAGAGTTAAATTGAAAGATGAGAATAAACCTCTAGTGACACTCACTTGAAAAGGGTTACTATTAACTAATGTGCATATACAATATTAAATCAAATTGAAAGCTATGGAATAGGGAAAATGCACGTGGATTTAGAAGATTCATTTTAGTCTTCACTGGATAAATTCTTAATTGATTGGTTTTGAGCAAGTTACCAATGGAAATATCTGTCTTACCACTTCTACAGAACTGTTTTGAGTATCAAATGAAAGAAATAATATCTAACAAGAAAGTTTTTTTAATGTTAAATTCCAGTACATATTTCTTTTAGTTGTGAAAATTCTTATAGTGGAGTGCTCTTCCATTTTCAGGACCTTTTGGACTTGGAGGTTCCTTTGCTTTACAGAGTACTTTTCAAGTCAAACAAATGCCATGTTTTAAAAGTATTGTTGAGATTAGGCAGCATATACCAAGTGCTTTAGCAGTATTCATCCTTTTGTGACCTAGTTGCAATTTCACAAACAATGAAACAAGGATACCAATAACAGTGATGTTTATAAAATGAAAATATATTTAAGACCTTAATTGTGCAATAATAAGAACATAATTGAATCACTTATGGCATATCCATGACACAGGCATTGTGATAATTTAAAAAATGCATTACATGGGCATAGTGTACCTGTATGGTACAGGTGCAACTTATCAGATGGGATTCTGACCATTATGCTGAAGTAGAGATCTGGAACCCTCTGACAGTGTCAGAAATATTCCTCTAGTGGTTGAAATGTAAGGAAGTCCAGGAGTGGAGCTGAGGCAAGTTTCCTAGGGGCAAATGAGAAGACTTGGGCCAACAGCCATTTCTGACCACGGTGGAAATATTTTGATATTTTGGAAACTAAAAGGGTTGTACTGTGCCTTCTAGCTGAATATCAGCCCATTTGTGAACTCAAAAGGTTAGAATACAAAACTGCATTTATAGTATTATTCCATTAAATTGTATTTACACATAGGAAAAATACTGAAGATAACATTCTTATATTTTCTTCTTTATTTTTACCCATATTTTCTATAATGAGAATTTTTGTGACACTTTGGTTATTTCTAGTTTTTCACTATTACAACCTAGAAATAATATGGACTTTTTCTCATGTCTGCCAGCAAAAAGTACAGGAATTTCTCCTAGTTATACCCTTATAAGTGGAATTGCTAAGTTGTAGAGTATATGGCTGCTTAACTATACAGTATAATACTACAGTATGTTCCAAAGTGTTTATGATAATTACACTCCATCAGCCATACATAAAGGGACCCAATAGTAGCTATCCTCTTACGCTTGGTATTGTCAGATTTTATTTTTCGTAATAGTATGGGAGTACATTTATTTTTCATTGCGATTTGATTTGCATTTTCTTGGATATTTATTGATTTTTTCTATATTATGAAGGGCTGTATTAGTCCATTCTCATACTGCTGTAAATATTCTACCTGAGACTGGGTAATTTATAAACAAAAGATGTTTAATTTACTCACAGTTCCACATGACTGTGGAGGCCTCAGGAAAATTACAATCATGGCAGAAGGTGAAGGGGAAGCAGGCAACTTCTTCACAAGGAGAAGCAAGTGAAGGAGGAACTTGCCAAACACTTATAAAACCATTTGATCTCATATAGCAACTCCTTTAATGTTTCCTCACATAAGATCATGCTTGTTGTAGGTTAAAAGAAAATAGTTATCTTTCCATTTCTAGTTTTCTAAGAGCCAGAGCTTTATCATGAATGGGTTTTGAATTTAATAAAATATTGATCTCAATGTACTCATATAGATAGAAAATGGTATTTATAGATTTTCTAATATTAACTCAGCTTGTAATTCTGGGATAAACAATTTGGGGATGATACATTTTCATACACTTTTGAGTAAGGTTTGCTAGTATTTTCATTATAGTTTTTACATCTATATTTATCATGGATATAATGAGCTTGCAATTTTTCTTTTATATGCTGTATCTTGTCTTCTCTTATTGTTAAAGACTTGACAAGTGAATTGAAGTCTGTTTCCTCTAATACTATTTTCTGGAAGAATTGTTTAGATTACAGGGGTCCCCAGCCCCCTGGACCATGAACCAGTGAGGAGGAGGTGAGCCCCGGGTAAGTAACAATTATCGCCTGAGCCCCACCTCCTGTCAGATCAGCAGGAGCATTAGATTCTCATAGGAGCGGGAGCCTTATTGTGAACTGCACATGGAGGGATCTAGGTTGTTTGCTCCTTAAGAGAATCTAATGCCTGATGATCTGAGGTGGAACAGTTTCATCCCCAAACCATCCGCTCATCCCCTCCATTCTTTCCCTCCCTGCTCCATCCTGTGGAAAAATTGTCTTCCATGAAACTGGTCCCTGTTGCCAAAAGGTAGGGAACCACTGGTTTAGAATAAACTGTATGACCATCTAGACCTGCTTTTTCCTCTGTAGGAAATTTTAAAATTTTTAATTTATATCCTTTACTAGTTATAGGAAAATGCAATCTTTCTACATCTCCTTTAGTCAGTTTTGTTAAATTTTTAAAGGCATTTATTAATTATTCTTAAGCTTTCAAATTTGTTAGCATTAAATTGTATTCCCTCTATTTTCTTTTCAGTCTCTGCAGTATTTACAGTTATGCTCCAATTTTTCATTTAAAATATTATTTCTTGTCTCTCTGTTTTCCCTCCATGACCATTCATACCAAAAATATTGTCTACTTAATTAGAATTGTGAATTTGATTTGGTTGATTCCATTATATATTGAAAAAAATTTCATTTGTATCTTCTCTCATCTTTATGATCTTTTTACTTCTTTTAGATTTATTCTGTTGTTTTAGCTCTTTAATCTCTAGCCTTAAAGGTATGTGATCTAAAAATATAATTCTTATATATGAAGCACCACTGTCACTGCCTCCCAGAAATTTTGATAATATCAGTTTTGATTATCATTCATTTGTAAGTACTTAAAATTTTTTATTATGGTGTCTTTCTTGACCTAAGAGGTATTTAAAAATATATTTTAAAAGATTTTCTAATATGCAGGTATCCATAATTTATCATTTTTTTATTAGCTCCTATCTGAAATGTATTATGGCTGCAGAACACACTTTTTATGTCATCTATTCATCAAAATTTGTTGGGGACTGATATGTTTCAGTAGATGGTCAAATTTTGTAAATGTTGTATGCATGGTTTGGAAAAATCTTTACTTTAGCTGAGTGCACACTTCTATATATGTGAGAAGGGACAAACCTTTTGTGTCAAATGGCCATGAGGGCTTAGTTCCTCCCTTTCCTTTTGAGTGGCTATGTAGGGAACTGTACTTTAACATATCAGGGAAGGGAGAATCACAAGATCTCTGATTGCTATCAACAGCATTGGTATGCAAATGCCCTAAATGAACTCCAGGATCTCATCAAGATTACTTTCTGGACTGTGAGTCACATAAGAATATGTTCATGATGATACTTTGGTTGTGTTCAAACCATCTAAAACTCTTCTAAATTGTTTTCTGCATCACCTGTCAACAGTTTTGAGATATATAAAAATCATCTACTATAAAGATGATTTACTAAATTCCCCCTACAAGTTATCAACTTTTGCTTTATTTATATTAAGGTTACTTTATTTGATGCATACATGTTTTAAAGTGCTACATTTTCCCGGTGAATTGAACATTGTATAATTATGTAATAACTCATCTCCATGATAATTTTTTTTAAAAGTTAACTATACATATCTCTATTTGCATGATAGTTTTCTATTCTTTTACTTTTAACATTTCTTTTTTTAAAAAAAAAAACAAAATTATGGGGTGCAAGTGTAATATTGTTACATGGATACGTTAAGTAGTGGTGAAGTCAAGGCTTTAATTTATCACCTGAATAATGTACACGGTAGCCATTAAGTAATTTCTCCTCATCCTGAAATCATGTCTTTTGCTAGAAAACAGAGTATCAACATCTCTCCTGTCCCTTTGTTTCTTTCTCACCTGCCCCCACCATTCACAGTTAGATTTTTTTGTTATGTCTTCTTATGGGTTATTTGATATATGTAATTTTTTGGTATTTATTTCTTTATTTTTTAGCAATAAAATTAATGAATATGTTTGATTACCCTTAATTTCTCTCACAGAATCTCCTGTGTTTATTTGCTTTCTATTAATAATTTGAGTACTTTTCCTAAAGCTATCCAATAAGGGACTTTTTGTGACAAATCTTCTAAGGCCTTTTATGTCTAGGAATATTTTCATTAAACCCTTACATCTGAGTGACAATTTGTCTGGGTATACAATTCAAGGTTTAAGTTCTTTCCTGTTGACATTTTAAAACTGTTCTTTCATTTTCTTCTTGCATCCATTGATGCTATTTGAGGGTCTGATTAAAACAGATTCTTTTTCCTTTGTAGGGAATTTGCTCTTCCTTCCCGGAAGCTTTATTTTTTCTTTTTTTTTTATATTCTTTTTTTTGGGGCGGGGGATGGGGCAGGACGGAGTTTGGCTCTTGTTGCCCAGGCTGGAGTGCAATGGGGCTATCTTGGCTCACTGCAACCTCCACCTCCGAGGTTCAAGTGATTCTCCTGCCTCAGCCTCCCGAGTAGCTGGGATTGTAGGTATGCACCACCACACCCCGCTAATTTTTGTATGTTTAGTAGAAACAGGGCTTCACCATGTTGGCCAGGCTGGTTTGAACTCCTGACCTCAGGTAATCCACCTGCCTCAGCCTCCCAAAGTGCTGGGATTAAAGGTGTGAGCCACCTCAACCGGCCTATTTTTTATGTTCTTAACATTTACTATATTGCATCTAGATATAGTTTTAATCTCTCCTGTAGGGTATTCTCTGTATTCCTTCAATGTGAAGGTATTTATCTTACTTGACTCTGAAGGATGATAACAATTATTTTCTAAGTATCTCCTCCTCATTATTTTTATATTTTTCTTCTTCTGGAAGTTTTATTATCCACATGCTGGCAATTGTAATCTTATTGTCATTTTTCTTAAATTTTCTTTTTATATTTTTGCATTATTCTCTTCTTTCTATTCCATTAGGAACATTTCTAGAATTGCTAGAAAGAATTCATTAATTCTTTGTTCAGGTGTATTCATTTTAGTATTTATCTCATTGATTGTGTTTTTTCAATTTACCTTTTTCTGATCTAGTATTTCTAACTTTAATTATTAATTTAGAAAGTTCATTACTTTTATTTCCTACTCATAATTTCTTAATTTCCTTTTGTATATTTATCATACTTATTTAAGAATTCTCGGACTGTTATTATATTTATTTCATTTCCAATGGTATATGTTGATTAATTTTTTTTGGAAGAAGTTGTACTCCTTAAATTTATTATTATTTTGGGTTGTGAGTTTATATTCCTCCAAAGTATTAGCACCTTTCTCTGATATTGTGTATTAAGAGTGGTTAGAATCCAGTAAGCTCAATGAGAAAGAAAGTGGTGAGCTGTAGCCTAGAAAGTTCACAAAAACAATTTGGGCAGTTCTTTACCTTCTTATTTTGGTGGGATTTTTATTTGTTTTGAACAGCAGAAATTATATATTTTTTGGAATAAAAAAGGTCATTGTCTTCGTAATTTTTTCATTTATTTTATGCTTAAAAATATTTGTCACCCTTAATTTCCAATATTTTTTATAGCTATCATGAAAAATATATTTAATCCTTTAATCTGCTTGGAACTTCTGTTTGTGCCATTATTTATTGATTGAAGCTTTAGTAAGAAGTTGACAACAGACAGATTATTGAGGGTCTTTTTAGATTTTTGCTTCTTCCAAGCAGCATCAATTATAGTTGCTATTCTCTAATAGCATGTAAATGGAAAAATAAGTTAGTATGTGACCATAACTTATAAGTACTACTTTTTGTATGTATTAAATGTTTTTCTGAAAAATAGTATGCAACCCAAATAGTAATTGATGTCTTTCTGTGCTCAGATTGACAAAGGTAAAAAAATATATATATAGTAGCCAACATGGTGTTGAATAGAAAAGTGGGCATTTTTTAGAGCAGTTTTAGATTTACATAAAAATTGAGTAGAAAGTACAGAGTCCTCATACAATTTTCCCTCTCACCAGTTTCCTGTTATCATTATCTTTCATTCGTGTAGTATACTTGTTACAATTGGTGAACCAGTATTAATACATTATCATTAACTAAAGTGCACAGTTTATATTAGGATTCACTCTTTGTGTTGTATAGTTTTATGGGTTTTAACAAATGTATAATATCATGTATCTGCCATTACAGTACCATAGAAGATAATTTTACTGCCCTAAAAATCCTCTGTGCTCTATCTACTTAATCATCCCTCTCTCCCCCTAATTCCCTGGCAACAGCTGATCTTTTTACTATCTCCATAGCTGTGCTTTTCTCACAGTGTCATATAGTTGGAATCATATATTATGTATCTGTTTCAGACTAGCTTATTTCACTTAGTAATATGCATTTAAGGCTGCTCTGTGTCTTTTCATGACTTGAGCTCTTTTCTTTTTATTGGTGAATAATATTCCATTGTATGGATGTACTACAGTTTCTGTATCCATTTACCAATTGAAGGACATCTTGATTGCTTACAAGATTTGGCAATAATAAGTAAAGTCCTATAAACATTCATGTGCAGGTTTTTGTGTGGACATACATTTTCAACTCATTTGGCAAATACTAAAGAACATAATTGCTGGATTGTATGGTAAGACGATCTTTAGTTTTGTAAGAAACTGCCAGACTGTCTTCCAAACTGGCTGTACCATTTTGGATTCCGTCAGTAAATGAATTAGAGTTCCCATTGTTTCATATCCTTGTCGGTATTTGATGTTTTCAGTGTTTTGGATTTTAGCCATTCAAAAAGGTGTGTAGCAGTATCTCACTGTTGTTTTAATTTGCTATTCCCTAATGATGTATGATGTGGAACATCCCTTTGTATGCTTATTTGCCATTTGTATATCATCTCACTTGATATAGAAATCCCACTTCTAGAAATCTGATGCTTAGCGATACTTCTGGATGAAAATTTATGTTCAATGATGCTCAATACTGCATGATTTATAAGAGCCAAATGTTGAATGTTGGTTGCCTCTTAATTTCTAAGAATGTAGTAGAGAGAGAGAGAGAGAGAGAGAGAGAGAGAGAGAGAAATATGACTTCTCTGCATATTCCTTCATGAAAAATACTCCAAACATATTAAGTGAAAAAATAGTCACAGAACAATATATCATAGTGTGATTCAATATATATAAAAAGTATATACTAAACACTATAATGAAAATAATTTAAATATCTGTAGTTTATAAGAATGTTTTCCTGTAAGATGATTGCATAAATCGTTCAAGTTTGACATATAGTATTATACCATTCTTGTATAATGAAGTTGCAGAGTATCTTTTAAAAATTTTATTTTTAAAAGAATTTCAAAAGTTTTTGGGGTACAGGTCATTTTTGGTTACACGGATAAGTTCTTTAGTGATGACTTCTGAGATTTTAGTGCACCCATCACCTGAGCAGTGTACACTATACCTAATGTATAATCTTTTATTCCTCACTCCCCTCCCAATCTTACCCCAACCAAGTCCCCAAAGTCTATTATATTATTATTGTGCCTTTGCATCCTCATAGCTTAGCTTTCGCTTATAAGTGAGAACATATGATATGTGGTTTTTCATTCCTGAGTTACTTCACTTAGAATAATGGGCTGCAGCTCCATCTGAGTTGCTGCAAAAGACATTATTTTGTTCCTTTTTATGGCTGATTGGTGTTCTGTGGTGTATATATACCACATTTTCTTTATCTGCCCGTTGGTTGATGAGAATTTAGATGGTTCCATATCTTTGCAATTGCAAATTGTGCTTCTATAAACATGCATGTGCATGTGCCTTTTTCATATAATGACTTCTTTTCCCATGGGTAGATAATTAGTAAGTAGTGGGATTGCTGATCAAATGGTAGTTTTAATTTTAGTTCTTTAAGGAATCTCCATAGTTTTTTCCATAGTGGTTGTACTAATTTACATTCCCACCAACAGTGTAAAAGGGTTCCACTTGCATCACATCCATGCCAACATCTATTGTTTTTTGACATTTTAATTATGGCCATTCTTTCAGGAGTTAGGTGTATCTCATTGTGTTTTTAATTTGCATTTCCCTGATTAGTGATGTTGACCACTTTTTCATGTTTGTTGGCTGTTTGTACACTTGATCTTAGCCAAAAGGCCAAGAGCAAATGTTGTTGGCTGTTTGCATACCTCCTTTTGAGAAATGTCTATTCACGTCCTTTGCATACTTTTTGATGAGATTATTTGTTTTTTTCTTGTTGATTTGTTTGAGTTCCTTGTGGATTCTGAATACTAGACTTTTGTCAAATGCGTAGTTTGCGAATATTTTCTCCTACTGTATGGGTTGTCTGCTTACTCTACAGATTTGTTTTTTTTTTTTTTTTTTTTTTTTTGCTCTGCAGAAGCTTTTTAGTTTAATTAGGTCCCATTTATTTATTTTTGTATTTGTTGCATTTGCTTTTGGTGTCTTAGTCATGAATCCTTTGCCTAAGCCAATGTCCAGATCAGTTTCTCTGATGTTATCTTCTAGAATTGTTATGGTTTCAGGTGTTAGATTTAAGTCTTTGACCCATCTTGAGGTGATTTTTGTATAAGGTGAGATGGGGATCCAGTTTCATTCTTTTACACGTGGCTTGCCAGTTTTCCAAGCACCATTTATTAAATAGGGTGCCTCTTCCTCAATTTATGTTTTTATATGTTTTGTCAAAGATCAGTTGGCTGTAAGTATTCGGCTTTATTTCTGGGTTTGCTATGCTATTCCATTGGTCTACATGACTTTTTTTTTTTGAGACAGAGTCTTGTTCTGTTGCCCAGGCTGGAGTGCAGTGGCATGATCTCGGCTCACTGCAAGCTCCACCTCCTGGGTTCACGCCATTCTCCTGCCTCAGCCTCCCGAGTAGCTGGGACTACAGGCGCCTGCCACCATGCCTGGCTAATTTTTTTTTGTATTTTTTAGTAGAGAAGGGGTTTCATGGTGTTAGCCAGAATGGTCTCGAACTCCTGACTTCATGATCAACCCACCTCGGCCTCCCAAAGTGCTGAGATTACAGGCTTGAGCCACCGCACCCAGGCAGTCTATGTGCCTTTTTAAATACCAGTACCATCCTGTTTTGGTAATGATATCCTTGTCATATAGTCAGGTAATGTGATGCCTCTAGTTTTGTTCTTTTTGCTTAGTATTGCTTTGGCATGCAGGCTCCTTTTTGGTTCCATATGAATTTTAGGATTTTCTTTTCCAGTTTTGTGAATGATGATGGTATTTTGATGGAAGTGACAGGGAATCTGTAGATTGCTTTGGGCGGTATGGTCATTTTCACAATATTGATTCTTCCCATCCATGAGCATGGGATGTGTTTCCATTGGTTTGTGTTGTCTATGATTTCTTTCAGCAGGGTTTTGTTTTTTCTATAAGTTTTATCTGTAAGTTTTCCTTATAGATATTTTTCACCCCCTTGGTTAAGTATATTCCTAAATATTATATATATATATATTACACACACACACACACACACACACACACACACATATATATATGTGCAGCTGTTGTAAAGGGGACTGAGTCCTTGATTTAATTCTCAGCTTGGTCATTGTTGATGTATAGCAGTGCTACTGATTTGTGTACATTGATTTTGTAACCTGAGACTTTACTGAATTCATTTATCAGATCTAAGAGTTTTTTGGATGAGTCTTTAGGGTTTTCTAGATATACAGTCATATCATCAGTGAACAGTGACAGTTTGACTTCTGCTTTTCCAATTTGGATGCCCTTTATTTCTTTCTCTTCTCTGATTGCTCTGGCTAGGTCTTTCCAGGGTATCTTTTTAAAAAAACATTTATCAGTAATTGAACACAACTATCTTTTCTCAGTGAAATAATTGTGCCTCCTTTAAATACGATACAGAACATCCCTCAAACCATAAGTATCTTTTTTTATTATTATAACAATGACCATCACAGTTATATGAATTTTCCTCTCTGATTTTAAGTGAGATCCCCCTGAGTCCTAGGACATCTTCCCTCTTGTTGGAATGTTTTGGAATTGTTGGCTGATTGAGTTTGGATGATGTATTAAAGAGAGATATTCCCTGTGCACATAGATGGTATTGCAGTGTAAACATTTGTAAATGATCTAAATATTCACTGCATTAGTTTCCTAAGGCTGCCATAACAACATACCACAAAATGGCAGCTTAAAACAACAAAAATTAATCATCCTACAGTTCTGAAGGCTAGAAGTCAAAAAACAAGGCATTAGCAAATACATACTCCCTCTTGAAACCTTTAGAGCAGAATCCTTTCTTGCCTATTCCAAGCTGCTAGTGGTTTGTCAGCAATCCCTAGTATTCTCTCCTGTGTCTGCATCTATGTGTCTTTGTCTCTTACAAAGACACCAGCCATTTCAGCCCAACTTAATTCAGTATGCCTCATGATAACTTAATTACATCTGCAAAGACTCTATTGAAATGACATCACATTCACCAGTACTGAAGGTTAGGATTTTAATATATCTTTTAGGGAAACACAAGTCAATCCATGACATTCGTCAGTTGGAAAGTCATTAAGTAGAGCATGTTATAATTATAATATAAAATGTCATGAAGTAGACATATATGTACTGATATGACAAGATATCAAAGACCTATTGTTAATAGAATAAAAAGGTTGCAGACCAATATGTAAAATATGGCCCTATGTGTGTAAAAAAGATCTGTCTTTATAACTACATAATCTATATGTCTATCTTATTTTTATCTTTACTCATGTTTATATCTATACCCATATTATCTTCTCTCTTCTGTGACACTATCTAGGGAGAGAAGAATAGGCAAATGGAGAAGAATTAACAGTCTTTCATAATATGAATCTTATCATATATTACCAGTATAGTTTTTCAATTATTAGAGAAAAAAAAAATAAAACACCAAAGAAACAGTGATGGACAGAGATGGGAAAGATTTTTATTTTGGTAGTTGTCTTAAGTTAGCTTCATTTTTTTTTTTTGAGACAGAGTCTTGCTCTGTTGCCTAAGCTGGAATGCAGTGGCGTGATCTTGGCTCACTGCAACCTCCACCTCCCAGGTTCAAGTGACTCTCCTGCCTCAGCTTCCTGAGTAGCTGGGACTACAGGCACACACCACCACACCAGCTAACTTTTGCATTTTTAGTAGAGATGGGTGTTTCACCATGTTGGCCAGGCTGGTCTCGAACTCATCACCTCAAGTGATCCCACCTGCCTCGGCCTCCCAAAGTGCTGGGAAATTAACTTCATTCTTATTAATTTCAGCAATGTGGACAAATCATTTGTAGTTTCTGAAACTTGCTTTCTTTTCTAAATCTACAAAAGTTATTTGCTACTTTTTCTCTCTCAGCCTCGTAATTCACTTTACTTACATAACCATTTGAAAACTTGATTGAAGTATCTCAAAGAAAGGAAATGAATGCAGTGATATATTATCACTTGAGTTTAATATGTGGAACTTGCTTATGTGGGAACAAGGTCTTTCAATTAAAGTGAAGGCAAACAAAAAATGTTGAAGAGGAGGTATTTCAGTTATATATAAGTTTTTAATCTCCACCAGACCCTATTATATACAGGGCATTCCTTTTTTTCTCCCCCTTCCTCTTCCTTCTCCTCTTTTTCTCTTCCTCTTTCCTTTCTCTTCTTTCATTTGCTCTCCTCTTACATTGCCCAGTCTCACTACATTTAAACTTTTCTTTCTACCTTCCATTAAAAAAATCCAACATTGAAACTCCACAGGAAAATAAAATATTTGAAGCTTTCTAATGTCTTTTTGTTGTTTATCTTTTCATTTTGGATATATTCAAATATACACACACAAAAGAGGGAATCTAATATCATTATGGATATTTTCAAATATACACACAAAAGAGGGAAGACACATACTCTTATGTGTCTATCAACCAGTTTCAATGATTACTAACATTTTCATATTCTAAGTTCATTCAGCACTCTCCATGCATAAACATTGTATTTTATTTAGCTTTCTGTTGGAACATTGAAAGAAAATCACAGATATCATACATTTCAGTTGCAAATACTTTGGTTTGTATTTGCTATCTTTTTTAAAACAAAAGTAAGACTTCACTGACTTATGAATACTTTCTCAAACATGGGATTTAACACCCTGTCAGAGACCCTAGGGGATGGGTAAAGTTAACTGCTTGGATGGTTCTCAGAAGCCTGGAAAAAGTAGTAGCCCTGCTGAGTGAAATTGAAATGCTTGAGTTGCTAAGGCAGATTTTAGAGGAAGCAAAAATGCTGAGGGAGATGAGCATGCAGGAGTGGGTATATTATGAGGCCAGAAGACTCACCAGAGGATTACCTTACATGGAAAGACCCAGAGGACACTCTATTCATTCAGAACATTGGGTATGGCTCAGAAGGGCAGCCAATGAGAGGGACAGCCACAGAGGGTACTACTTACATTTACCATCCGAAGAAGGCAAGAATAAAGGAACTGAAGGCTGGGAAATGGCTGCCAAATAAAAGGTCATGATTCCTTGCTCAGCTGAGTTTTCTATGCTTAGCCAGTTGTCAAATTAGGAATTCAGTAAATCTAGGGATGGCAAGATCAAGAAGAAAAACCCTGCAATGCCATGGCAAGTATGTACTATAAAAATATCTCTAGGTCTTCCCCAAATGGACTTGGGGCCATTTACTTGGGTCACTATACACTGTACATAGGGGAAATGACAATGTCCACATATTTTTGAGGACTATTGGACACAGAGTCTGAGCTGACATTGACACCTTGAGACTTGAAGGATCACTGCAGCTTCCTTCTTAGTGTGGAGACACCAGGGAGGTGGATAAAATATGGAGTGCTGGCTAAAGCCTGCCTTATAACGGGCCTATTCCTTGTCACTGGTGAATAATTGGGATTGCCATGGTTGCCAACAAACCTTCACATGGCGTTTTTGGCTTGTGGGTTAAGAGCTACTATGTGGGGAAAGGACAAATGTAAGACTTGAAGCTGTCTAAAATGCCAGACAAGACATTAAATATAAAACTATTCTGGTGTGTATGTATGAATACTACTGTCAAACTTAAAGATCTAAAAGATGCATGGGTGGAGTTTCCTATCATATCCATCTGGTTAGCCACTCTGGCCCCTGTAGAAATTAGATGGTTGCTAAAGAATCCACTACTCAACTGTCACCCAAGGGACAGCCCCAACTGCAGCTGCCATGCCAGACACGGTATCATTGGTGGAGCAAAGCAATTATGTCTCAGGGACATACTGTGTGATCTTTTATTTGGTAAATGTGTTCTTTTCCATTCTTAGTAGAACAGAAACAATGTGCACCCATGTGAACAACAATTAATTTAGTTTTGCCTTAGATACTAACTCTACTACTTTCTGTCATAACATAGTTCAAGGAGATTGGAACCACCTGGACCATCTGGATATCCCACAGAAGACCACACTGACCCATTATTACACTGATGATATCATGCTGATTGGGCAAGAGAAGCAAGAGGTAACTAGGGCTTGGTAATGCAGAGAATGGAAGATACATTTATGGAGACTTATGGCCTTGACACATGGGTAAAGTTTTTAGGGCACATACTCAGGAGTGTGTCAGGATATCTCTTCCAAAATAAAAGATAAATTGCTGCACAATGCCTAATGGTCCTCTTTTGGTTCTAGAGGCAGTATATTCTACACCTAGAAACTGTGCCCTGGCCCGTATACACAAAAGGCTATCAGCTATGACACAGCACTCTTGCCCCTTGCACCATATGGTCCAGTCAACACTATGCTATTGGAAGTATGCTATGTTTAAAAAAGATTCATTATGGAATTTATGGCCAGCACCAGTGAAATAATTACAATGCAGGCTTCTGTTGTTCTGGAAAAAGACCAAGCCATATGCAGTACAGAATGACATACTTTCTGAGAAACAGCCCCTGGAGTGCCACTGAGTCCTGGTAGAATACTTAATCATGGTTACCAAGTGACCATGCATCCCTAATTTCTTATTATAATCTGGGTTTTGCCAGACCTGCCAAATCATAAGGCCAGAGAAGCCAGCTGTGGCCCGTTGCACAATAGAAGTAGTATATCCAGAATTAAGACTTTAGAGATCAAAATGATATACCCAGGATCATGTAAGTAGGGATGTTTTAACAATGGAAACAGGCACAAATGTATGATATTCCAAGGAATATGGAATCCAAGGGATTCAAGTGGGTCCATTTTGTTGCTTTCTTCCCCAGTTGTAATTGTGAATACACAGATGCAGCAACCTTGTCCTAATGAGAGTCTGATTACCAGAGTCTCAGACCTTTCAGAAATGAGGGTTTGGGTAGTATTATCAGATAAGCATTAAAACTCACAGCGATGATAGCAGAGGTTAAGGAGAATTGAGGATGGATAGTGAAGTAGGGACACAGTGAGCACCAGTTGCAGCCCATGGTCAACTGTAGTGGCAGGGGAAACAGTTTGTCTTACTAACTTTCCTTTTCTATGTTTTCCTCAGGAAGGAAGGCCCACAGAAGTTGCTGTGTGAACATGTGTGGAGATGTGAATCCATATAGCTCAAAGGGTGGACTGTGACACCTATGAGGTATGTTGCACAGATATTTTTAAGAGAGAAGCTACTGTAAGGAGTGTTGTTAGCTGACAGCCTCCAGCTGCTTTGGGATCTACTGCTGCATTCAGCCCAAGGTCATTCTTCACTTAGGTTGTTCTCAATCAATAAGTAAGCATGGCAGGGGTACTAGAGCCAAGCTTTATCTTTCCCATGTCTTGCAGTCTTTGCTCTGGGGCTCCACATCAGCCTGGCTGACTCTTCCTTAGAACTGCATTGCAGCCTGGCATTTTCCCCTCTCCATCCTCCTTCTTTCCTCCTATTTTTTTGTGGGTATCAGACCCGCATGGTGGTCTGAGACTCCTCCTGTATACTTCTGTTTTCTCTGCCCTTTTATTTTTGCCACTGAATGCTTTGTACCTCTCATTTCATCTTGGTACCTGCTTCATGGAGGACCCAAACTGATGAAATATACTTGTTTTATATTGAATGTAATTACTGATATATATTTTTTATCCTGATATTTGCCTTCTAGTTATCTTAACTATGCTTAATCTCTTTTTCCTCCTTTGACTTGTTTTAAATTTTATTTCTTACACTTAAAGTATTAAGTTAACTTATAACTAGATATGTTTTTACTATTGTTTAGGTGTTATTGATCCAGAGATTACAGTCTGCAATCCTGATTTATAAAAGTCTAATATAAATTAATACATGGACATGTTTTAGACAATGTGAAGACCTTAGAACACTTTAACTCCATTTATCCTTTTCTCAAATTATGTGGTGTCATTTTCACATATTGAATTCTGTCTTTATTTTTCTTCATATTTTATTTTAATCCCCACAAAGATATATCCCCACACATATTGTTTATTCAGTCTGTGTTCACTTACCCACAAATTAGCCTTGCCACTTGAATCATTTTCCTTCTATCTACATAATGACATTTGTTATTTTAGTGCAGCTTTGTTCATGAAAAATTCTCTCAGTTTGCGCTTTTCTTTAAAAATTTATTTTTATCAGTTTTGTTTTTGGAAGGTATTTTTGCTGTTTATAGAAATCGATATAGCAGATGTTTTCTTTATGTTCTTTCAAAATATAATTTTATTGTCTTTGGCTTCTACTAGTTCTGTCTAGAAATCAGCTGTGAGGTTAATTTGTTAATTAAAAGGTTAATTCCTTTGAAGGGTTTTTTTTTTTTTTTTTTTTTTTTTTTTTTTTTTTTTGCTTTACAGCTTTCAAGTTTTTGTTTTTGTTTTTTATTTTGTTTTTGTTTTTTATTTTGTTTTTTTTCTGTCTGGTTTTTAACTGCTTGACCATGATGAACCTACATGTGGTTTAATTCTAGTTCAGCATTATTCCTAGGGTGTAGCTCTATAAAATTTCAATCAAAACCATGTGGTATTTCTTAGGGATCTTCTTTGTGTGTGATCATTGAACTCAAATTTTTGTAGCCTCATGAATTGCTGTAAAGCTCCGCTCAGCTTCTCGGCCCTCAGCTGCCATTTTCAGAGTTGGCAATTCCCTTAAGGGGAAGAGCTTAGCTCTCTGGGCCTCTTTCCTCTGCTTAGACGGTGGCACCCCAGATCTTCACTTTCTTGGGACTTTTCTTATGCTTTTACATAAACTAAAAAAAAATTCCATACTTCTGAGTTGTTCTCAGTTGGAAGGATAATCTGAAAAACCTGTTGCCAGAAGCAGATTCCTATGTGAAGCACTCAGAGCAGTGTGCAGCTCCATGGAAACATCACTCTTACCACAATACAACTCAGCGGTGTGGATTTACTTTAATTTGTTCTGTTGTGCACCAATAATTTTCCTCCTGATGACTTCTGTTTTTCTTTAATTCAGCAAAATTTTCAACCATGTTCTCTGTTCTTTCATTTGGGAACAATTATGAGGTATATGTTGGAGTTTCTTAATCTATTCTCCTTATTTCGTATCTCTAAGTTTTTTTTTTTCTTTATCCTCTATATTTTGTTTTGGGTACATTCCTAACTACTATCCTCCAGTTCACCAATTCTCTCATCAGTTGGATTTTTATCCTAACCTTTCTTGTTTCAGTGATTGTATTTTTCATTTCTATGATTTTAGTTTTCCTCTAGCTCTACTTATTCTTGATTCATATCTTCCTGTCTTTGCTCCATAATTATTGATTTTACTTTTGGAAATGAGAGTAAGACTCAGGGGGGTGAAGGGAAGTCCACAAAGGAATCTCCAGCATTTGGCAGCATTTTTTTTTTCTCTTAAGGTGTTTGCTAATGCCAGTGTCTAGAAATTGAGAAGCTAAGTAGAGTTTCAGTGATTTAATGGTGCTCAGGCAAAAATTGCCGTTTCCCCCTATATTTTCCTCAGTGATTTGTTGTATTAAATAAGTCAGTCAACTTTAGTGACAAAAGTACTCAATATATTTTAGCTGCCATTATTTTGTGTCAATATTGTTATCATTTTTATTATATTTCTTTTCCTCCTCCTCATAACTAGAGGATTTTAAAGTCCCTCTTAGAAGAATGCTTTAATATTTGCTATTATTCTAGAGTAATTTCTCCTGTCTTTTGATCTTTATGATGCTCATTGTTCTCATGCGCTTGGAAATTTTCATTTCCAGGTTCATCTTGTGTAGAATTTATGTGTATGTTTATGTACACATGTATGTGTTTTTCCCTCCTTTTTCCCTGCACATATCTCTATGTTTGTATGTTACAACTGCCTTTGCCCAGTGTGCTGAAATCCTCAGCTTGGAATCAGACCTTATTTTGGTGGCATGGGTGTGTGATCCTGAAGCATTATGAGAGTCATTTCCTAAGTCAGCAGGTTTGCTTGACCCAAGTTTGGAATCTTAACTGTTGATACTCTCTCTAGCATGGATGGACCTTTTTATAAAGACTTTGGCCATGGCAAGGAGCCCCGGTCACCACTGGATTCATGTTACAAAACTCACCCTGATGTCTAAAATGTGTTTGGGGTTTATGGTTTCTAATCAACCACCTAGAAATTGATCACCTACATATTTGTTCTGGATTGATCTGGAAGCTCACGTGGTCTGGGGTCCTAACCCAACTTAATTATTTCTGATTTATGAATGTCTAGTTAATATCATCTTAAGCACAAATACAACTTCCAAAATATATGCACATATTTTGTCATTGCTATGGGTAGATAATAAAGTTGTTTATTTAATGGGTAATCTTATAATACTACTTTGACTAGAATCAAATATTGCTATTATTATCAGTGGAAACAGTAGTAACAGTAGAAGTAATAGTGGTAATTATTGCAGTATTGGTTCACACTAAGCTTGTCATCACCTAAAAGTCTCAGATTTTTTAATATGAATTATTGTAAAGTCAGTGTTTGATTTCTTATATGCGCACAATTTTGGTGTACACTCATATATTTTTGTAAGCAGAAGGGGGCAAGCTACCAAATTCAGTTGGGAAGCCATCCAGCTAAAATATTTCTTGACAGTTTTGTAATTTCTGAATTACAAATTAAGAATAAGTTAAGAATTAAGCATATAATCCAGGCATTTAGTCAAAGGCAAGTACATGGATCCCTGCTAAATTTGGTTCTATATTAATATATTTAGAAATTACAAACTGTTAAGAAATATTTTAGCTGGATGGCTTCCCAACTGAAACATAAACAATTAAACATTTTCTTTAAGCAAAAGTAATTTCATGGAATAGATGTAAAATAGTTTCTTCTGTGTCAATTTTTTTCCCCAAAGGTTTCTTGTTAAATACCCATATGATAAAATTGCTGGCAGCTTCTTCTTTGTGTTCATCCTTTTCTTCCTCTTTCTATTGTTTCTTCCCTCTGTGATGAGGTTGAGGATTCCTAGCATCATATCTTTAGGGAAAAATAAATGTATCAGGCAAGATAATCCCATTAATTAATTTGGATTTTAGTTGTAAAGTATTGTATTAATCATAATCCCTGCATTGCAATACATTTTGATCATTAGTTCAGCTAGGTGTGGCCCTCTTTTAGTTCTTCGTTTATGGAATAAAATTTGGACTTCTATTTTAAATATAAATATTCATGTAATTAGAAACACATTGCCGCCCGGGTGCAGTGGCTCATGCCTATAATCCCAGCACTTTGGGAGGCAAAGGCAGGTGGATCACCTGAGGTCAGGAGTTTGAGACCAGATTGGCCAACATGGAGAAACCCCATCTCTACTAAAAATACAAAAATTAGCTGGGCATGATTGTGCACGCCTGTAATCCCGGCTACTAGGGAGGCTGAGGCCGGAGAATCGCTTGAACCCAGGAGGGGAAGGTTGCAGTAAGCTGAGATTGAGCCACTGCACTCCAGCCTGGGTGACAGAGTGAGGCTCTGTCTCAAAAAGAAAAAAAAAAAAAAAAAGGAAAAAGAAACACATTGCCATTTTCAATAAGTGGTTAAGCAAAAAGAGAGTACTTAGACAGGAATTGCCTATCTTTTGCTTATGCTCAAAGGCAAAATAACATGGTACCAAACATATTTGCATCTAATTAGCAGGTAAACTGTATATAATAATCTGTTTTAGTTTCACCAAGAAAGTGGTTGAAAATATTTTAAAAATTGAATTTGGATGCCTCCTGGTGGTATATACACTGCAGGTTCATCAAAGGATGCCCCCACCCCATTCTCTATCATCATACAACTTGATCTTTATCCATCTTAGGTTTCCTATCTCTGAAAACATTTTCATTTGCTACCTATGTTGAAAGCCACAGAATTAGTTAGTTGACCACGCTTGGAAACTGGACTTCTAAACGCAAATTCTTCGTGTGTGTTGTCTTTAAAATACGTACAGATGTAATACTACTGAACACAATTCCTAAAGAAAAGTTAATTTAGTATGCTAGAGAGTACTGGACTAAGAGTCAGGAGACCTATATTCTAGTCCTTGTTTTTTTTTTTTTGTTTTTTTTTTGTGACATATTCTTGGTGCGAAGCCCAGGCTGAAGTGCAATGGCATAAACTCGGCTCACTGTAACCTCCACTTCCTGGGTACAAGTGATTCTCCTGCCTCAGCCTCCTGAGTAGCTGGGACTACAGGTGCATGCCACTAAGCCTGGCTAATTTTTGTATTTTTAGTAGAGACGGGATTTCACCATATTGGCCAGTCTGGTCTCGAACTTCCAACCTCAAGTGATCCACCTGCCTTGGCCTTCTGAAGTGCTGGGATTATAGGCATGTGCCACCACGCCCGGCCTCTAGTCCTTGTTTTGCTACTAGCTAGTTAGTAATCTTAGGAAAACCTCTGAACTTCAGTGGGACTTTCCTTTTGCTTCCTATTCTATTTTACTACCAATCTACTACATCTTGCTGAACCAGCAACCTGAGAGTTACCTTTGATGGCTTTCTTTTTCCAGTCAATTACATTCAATCCATCAGAAAGTCGTGTTGGTTCTACCTCCAAAATATATTTTGAATCCTCTACAACAATCCCAGTCCAAAGTACCATCATCTCTCACCTAGATAAGAGTTACAGCTCCTTACATGGTTTTCTTGATTCTGCTTTTTAAAATGTAAACTGGGTTATTTTACTTTCTTACTTAAAACCATGACTTAGAATTAAAAAAAATATATATATTTTTTACCATGACCTAGAAGGCTCTACATGATCAACTCTTGCCTATTTCTTTAGTCTTGTATCTCACTTGCTTATATGGTCTAGCTACATTAGCCTTATTTCCTTCTTCTTTTTTTTTTAATAGTCTGGAACATAATAATCATAGGTATTTTAATGTCCTATTTCTTTTTTTTTTTTTTGATTTTGGAAAGAATTTTTTTTTTTTTTGAGACAGAGTCACGTGCCATCGCCAGGCTGGAGTGCAGTGGCACGGTCTCAGCTCACTGCAACCTCTTCCTCCCGGTTCAAGCAATTCTCCTGCCTCAGCCTCAAGAGTAACTGGGACTACAGGCATGTGCCACCACGGCCGGCTAATTTTCATATTTTTAGTAGAGACGGGATTTTGCCATGTTGGCCAGGATGGTCTTGATCTCTTGATGTCACGATCTGCCTGCCTTGGTCTCCCAAAGTGCTAGGATTGCAGGCATGAGCCACCATGCCTGGCCGATTTTGGAAAGAATTTAATATATTCTTTATTGTTAAGTGTACTCGATGCTGCACTTCTGCAGTCAAATGCTCTACCCTTGAGCTATACCCACAGCAATGCTGGACTTCTGAAACAACAATTATGCTTCAGCATAATAGCATATTCTACATAAATTCTGTTCATGATGCTTGTTCCTCTGATTTGCCTGGAATCGATGAATCATGTTCCAAGCACTCTTCTAGGCACTAAGGATACACGGCAGTGAATAAAGTTGAATGCCTGGTAGGGAAGTCAATAAACAATCCAGTAAATACAGTATATGTCGGGCAAGTACAAGGGAGAATACAGCAAGCAATGGGTCTAAGGAAGCTTTCTTTCTCTCCTCTGTACTTCCATACTGCCTTGTGTGGTGGCTCCAAGCTTTGGGCACCATGTCTTTTCTGTGCTGGCACAGCACCTAGCACTGAGTGGTTGCTTAGGAAATGTTTGTAAAATGAAGGAATTCACTTCTTTGTTCCCCATTCAACAAACCTTTCCCGAGTCTAGGCCCAACAGCTTAAATGGGCTGGAAGGCCAATGAGGTTCGAAACTCGGAGGCAGCCAGTTGCGGTGGCTCACACCTGTCATCCCAGCATTTTTAGAGGCCAAGGAGGGAGGATCCCTTGAGGCCAGGAGTTTGAGACCAGCCTGGGCAACAAAGTGAGACCCCCGTCTCTACAAAAAGAAAGAAACCCAGAGGAGATCACACAGGTGAGAGTGCTTTATAAAATTTAAAAATGAAAATTGTTCTAGAGAAATAATAATGCAACAGAGGCCAGAACCCCAGGACCTCAGCTTCCATGAGGCTGTGGGGCCAAGGGAGAATCCAGGACCTAAGGCTATGGGCCAGGCACTGGAACCCTAGGCAGGCCCCCGCTTTCCACCACCAGGGACCACATTCGGCCTCGGTCCCCCGGAGGTGCCCAGGGGCACTCACCTAAGCTCGTAGAGGCAGACAGCAGACCGTGACAGCCCGCTACCTCTGGAGGTATACAGGCACCATGTGCCCACCAACCACGTTGCCCTGACAATTCCCTGTTTCTTAACTAATATTTGAGTTACATGACAAGATGGTCTGCATTTATTGTCCAATTTGTTTCTTTTAGTTATTGGTTACACAACTCTTATATGCTCCTGTCTCTTTACATGCCTAGTAATTTTAAATATCAAGTATTATACATTTAAAAAAAGTAGAAGTTCCAGTTGATGTTATTACCCACCAGGGAATTTCAACTCTTCCTTTCACTGGGCAGATAGGGTGTGGAGTCTATCACCTGGACTGTGATGGGTTGAGGCTGGGTTGCAGTATATTTCTAGTTCGCCCTTGTTCTTAGGGCTTGGTCCTCCAGGGTTTTTCATCAAAGAGTCTTTGGGATTTCTTCTCAGTGGTGAAACATGGTAAGAATTTCCACTCTGATTTTGAGACCTTTTTTTAAAAGCAACTTTATTGAGAAATAATTTACAAACGATTACATTCACCTATTTTGAGTGTACAATGGTTTTTAGTGTATTTACAGAGTTGTGCTGCAGCCATCACCAGTCTAATTTTAGATCTTCGGAGAGGTTTTGACTTCACTCTTTAGCCTACCCCATGTACCTTCAGCATTGGCAGATGTCTTAAGAAAATGACTTACTTTATAATGATGCCCCAGAAGTCTTCATTTTTGTCACTCCTGCCCTGTAAAACTGCCAGCTCTGCTGGCTTTTCTGTCCCCAGCAATAGCTCTTTGGTGGGGACCCAGCTTGGATTCTCAGCCTCTAGATTTGCTGACACTCCCATATTGGCAAATGCCCTTGTGAAAAAGTGAATGGAAACCACCAGAGTTATTTCATCACTCTCTCAGGGCTCTAACTTTTTTCTTTTTTTCTTTTTCTCTTTTTTTTTTTTTTTGAGACGAAGTCTCCCTCTGTCACCCAGGCTAGAATGCAGTGGCTCAATCTCGGCTCACTGCATCCTCCACCTCCTGGGTTCAAGCAATTCTCCTGCCTCAGACTCCTGAGCCTCCCAAGTAGCTGGGATTACAGGCGCCCATTACCACACCCAGGTAATTTTTGTATTTTTAGTAGAGACGGGGTTTCACCATGTTGGCTAGGTTGGTCTTGAATTCCTAACCTCGGGTGACCCACCCCCTCTTGGCCTCCCAAAGTGCTGAGATTTCAGGTGTGAGCTACGGTGCCTGGCCGAAGGCCTCCAACTCTTGTGATTTTCCTCCCAGACTTTTTGCTGTTAAGCACTAGGAAAGTACAGGAAAGCCCTGTCTGCTTTTCTGAGGCTTCAGCTTAATGTTTTAGCCTCCCACTCTTCACAACCAAAGATCCCACTGGTTCTGTTACCACTGGGGACTCCGTGCAGGGTCCACAGTCCTCAATTCTTCTCTTCTTGGGAGAAAGAATTTGGCCAAGAGACAGAAGTAGATTTAAGGCAGAAACGAGAGTTTAATGAAGCAAAAAAAAAAAAAAAAAAAAAAAAAGTACACTTGTAAGGAACCAAGAGTGCAGCTCAAAAGATTGAGTGCCCTGCCTGATTGTTAGCTCGGGGCTCTTACAGATTTACTATTTACTGGCTTTTTTCCCCAGACTCTTCTAGTCATCCCTCCCCCAGGCAGGCTGTTGGCCACTGGCGGCAAGCACAGTGTTGCCTCAGTATCTGGGAGGGTCTGCATGCACCCTTTGGTAGTTGAAGTTATGGGCTTGCTCCCCTAGGGCAATTTTCCCATACCAGTGTAGCGCCCCCAGAGGAAGGTCATATATGAGTCAAACTCCGCCAGTTTGCTCCTTACAGACATGTGCATGCCTGGACATGTCCCAGAGGAAGGTCAACGTCTGCCATTTTAAGTTCATATCGGGAAGTTGTTGCTCACAAGTTCAAGGTGTCTCTTGTTTGTTAGGAAATTTTCCCCTCCCTGTCGTCTGCTACCTGACCATTGCTTGGTAGTCACCCTTCAGCCCCCGGGACATTCTTTGGGGCCCTATCCTGACCGGCTCATATCTGCCTATCTACCTACTCTAACAGCTGGTCTGTCCCCCAGCAGTGGAACGCTACCTGTGTTCTTCATTTGTATCCTTTAGCCTATGTCCAAGACAACCTATGCCCCAGGAAGACAGTGGCAGAACTTTAGCTCACCTTTCGAAGGTTCCTTCTCTGAAATGTATTCCCTTTAGTCCTTGTGGCTTCTACAGTCCTCTTGTGCCTTAAAAACGTGATTTTTAAATTTTTCTGACTTTGTTGTTAGTGGCACATTGGCCTTCAACCTATGGACAGCAGAAGTTAAATTAGCCTTATTTCTTGGAAAAGCCCCAGACTCTTTTTTACTTTGGGGTCTCCACATGTGCTGTTCATGCTATGTGGCACCCTCTCCATAAAACTTCTGGTGTTTGGCTTCCTCCACTTCTTCGTTCTCAGCTTGGATGCCTTCTTCTCAGCAACATGTTTTCTGACCACTATTTAAAGGTTTTCAGTCATCATTCCTTCCCAATATTTTCTATCACAGCATTCTGGTCTTTTTTTTTTTTTTTTTCTTCTTAGCACTCATCACAGTTTGAAATACCTGATTAATAATTAATAATTTATTTTTTATCTTCTCCGTGACAGTTTATGCTCTATGAGATTAAGAATGATATGTGTCCCTAATAATGCTTTTAGTAACCTCTCGATTAAACAAAGAAAGAAATGCTGAAATGAATTAGTGAATAAATAATTCAAAAAACAAAATTGGGCTTCATTCTCTTAGGAAAATTATTTACTTATATAGTTTTTATTTGTCTGTCTTTTTAGAGATAGTGTCTTGCTATGATGTCCAGGCTGGCCTGGAACTCCTGGGCTCAAGTGATCCTCCCACCTCAGCTTCTGCAGGTGCTTGGGACTACATGCATATGCCACTGCACCCAGCCCTACTTACATAGTTTTTTTTTTTTTTTTTTGAACTGGTAAATGACTTCCAACCAAATATTTCTAATACAATATTTTCTTTATTTCTCTGCTTTTACCTTAATCAATTAAATATATTTTGATTGCTTGCCGTGTAAATAGCTCTGTGCCAGTTATTTTGAGGTAAAACAAGATTTAAACATAGCTCTTTTTCTCATTTATATTGTGATCAATTTTAGGAGATATGATTTGTAAACCTTACAATCTCCCATTATACATGACAGTTAAAATAACTTAAACTAAATTCATTTTATTACCCTAAGACCATTCTCTTTCTACAATCTATATTTCCATTAGAATCATTGTCCTAGATACTGAAGCAAGACATTTTGAAATCATCCTCAGTTCTTTTCATTTTCCAAAGCCTAACAGACCTATGCTAGCATCTCAATCAGGCCACTCATGTGCTTGGAAAAGTTATTTATCTTCTTAGAACTTTACCTATAAAATGGTTAATACATAGATCAAATAAAATACAGAATATATGAAAAAAGATATTTTTCTTGGTATGGCAATATTAAAGACAAATAGATAATGTCTCACATTATTGGATTAATGGACAAGTTTTACTGGCAAACTTAACCAGCAAAAGGTCAGCAGAGGAAGTATGTGGGGGTGAGACAAGGGAGTTAGTAGGTTTGCTCTAGAAGAACCCTCCCTACCCTCCTTTAACTCTCCCATCCCCACTCTGCACTTTCATGAGAACAATCCTGTATGCAGGTAATTTACTACTGGGGCTTAAGTGCCCCACTGGTACATGTCAACATGTCTGAGAGTAATACTTGTCACCCTTGGAAGAAGTTAAATGAGGGTTTCTTGTGGGAAGATAAATTTTCCCTGTCTTGATCAGTGTGTTACCAGAGAATCTGAGCCTCTGTGATCATTCACCAGACAGTCTTGCTGGTTTCTTTACATGATGTCACCCCCTGACACAACCTGAGATGGAAATCAATTGGATTTTTAATGGCATCTTCAGTTTTTGTTATAAATGAAAGTACAGGGCTGAAATAGTAGTATGAGGCCAATCATGAATACTTGCAAAGTCTCCCACAATCACCCAGTTGTGGTATCCATGCTGAGATGTGAAAAACAAATTCCAAAGCTTAGATGAAACAGTAGCCAGGAACCAGATTGTGTCCAAGAAAAAGGCATGATATATTTGTCTACTCCTCAGTGAGGAAAAGAGATCTGGGGTATACAAACATGGTGCTCCCCCGGAACCTGTTGAAAATTGACCCTCTGCATTCATTTTGCATTGCCACCATGAATGTGGAAGTGCGGGAGCACAACTGTTGGAAGCCCAGCCAGCAGGGATTGAGACTGCTGCCAAGTGGAAGCAGCACCTACTTTTATGAAAGGAGCAGGAATAATTGGCACTCAGTCCCTCTAGAATGTATGTATTAAGGCATAACACCTGAAGCTCTGTAAAATCTTCAGTAAAATCCTTCTTACTGAGTAACATTTTGGGGGATATGATAATATGCTGTTTTCTGCTGCAAGATGCACCCACCTAGAGTGTCCATATGGAATCTAGTTATGTCTGGGTTACATATGTGGAATACTTAATGCTGTGCCTGCTACAGCTGGTGCTTAATTATTCAGCTGAATTCTGTCTTCAGCACATCTCTGATATTTGTCCTTTCCTTTTGATTTCTCCTGCTTTGGTGAGACCCTCTTGTCCTCAAGGACTCTTTAAACAGATCTCCTTATCTCCAGTCTTTCTTGCCTCAAGCTGGCCTTTCATATTAGGCTAAGCGTTAACTTTCTAATCTGAAATCTAAATTCTCTTATTTCCTGCTTTAACATATCCAAGGACTCCTTTTATAGAGATGAGGACTGAGAGATCTAGTTAGAATAAGAGTTCTTGAGTGTTAACCTAAGAGATTTGGGTTCATTAGATTTCTAATAAGAGTGATGGATATCCATATCCCTGTGTGCCCTTGAGCAAATTATTGGAGTTATTTTTGTTTCAGTTTTTTTGTCTTTAAAAATGAAGAAAATATTACCCATCTCATAGGATTTTAGCCAGGTTCAAATGTATTAATTTATGTAAAGTGCTTGGAACCATGCCAATCATATAATAAATGTTAAGTATATTATTATTACTATTTTTGTTGCTGTTGTTTAAATAGTACCTTAGGTTAAGTATACTTAAAGTGCCTGTGTGAGAACAGATTTTTGCTGGTTTTCATGGGATGATGAACTTATAATAGAATGTATATAAACTTTATCATTAATTACATTGCTACATTTAGCCAACTATTTTTCTTGCAGCAAGATTTTGTGGATGAAGGAAGTAGTTTGATGATTTACATTCTAGTGCTATGTTATTATCTTGTTGGATACCATAATAAATAATGCACAGAGAGTTCTCTTTTAGTAGCACTATCTGAGGTGATTTTGGTACAGGTGATCTTGGCTCTATCTTTTGAAAAATACTGACTTACAGGATAAATTGCATAGCCCTTAATATGACACCCCAGTTTATCACAATATTCTCATTTTACCCATTCTCCATAATTTTCTCCTCTTAATTTGGCTGTATTCCTCACTGTTTTAAAGTAAAAAACAGTATAGAGATAATAGGCAAAAATGAAACACTTCACTTACAAGTGGAGGTGGATTCCTGTGATTCCTGAGCTTAAAGCTAGAGTTAGAGTTGGCCAACACAGTTGGTCAAGCTAGAGGACTCAAACATGATGGTTAAAGGAACACACTTTCAGTAAGAAGTACTGGTAACCATGTAATCTGATTGCATTGGCACAGATTTAGGAAAGGTAGCAAAGCCATAAGGTGGGTGTAAGAAAATGGATGAGGAATAAGAGTTTGGACTAGGGCCAGCATTCAAGAATTTGGAGCAGGCAGGCAGTGTGATTCTTGATATACATTGCTTGCCTCAGCCTAGATCTGAAAAAGTTTTCTTGATTGGGTTTTTAGCAACTGTGTGCTATTATCCAAGTTCTAGAGATTTTGTTTTAGTAGGTGTGGGGTGGAATTTGAGAATAAATATTTTTTAAAAGCTCTCCAAATGATTTTGATGACCACCAGGTTTGGGGACCACTACCAGGAGATCTCTTATTGTTGTAACAAATGTCCTCATTTCCTGAAGGTGGTATCATTACCCCAATTCAAGACCTTTCATTGTCTGGCAGGTCAATGGAAAGTTTGAAGTGTGGTTGTTGTATTGCACTGCTACATGTGTTACAGTAACCGATCTCAAGGGAATTGGACATCCCCATCACCTGCCTCCCAAACACGCTGCCAGAGGACTAGTGCCAGAGCTGCTTTGCTCTTACCTGAACTTGCCCTTTGACCACAGTTGACTGGTCTAGGAGTAAACCACTCATTGAAGTAGAACTAATGAGTCTTCTTTGAGATTTTTAACTTGAGATCAGAAAGCCAAAGTTTTCCCCCTTATTCTTTTGTTAAATTCTGGCTGCCACATTTTCTACTATGAAATAAAACTAGTCTGTGGAGTCAGAGAATAAAGAATGCATAAGAAAACTGAAATATGAGATGGGAAGATAGTCCTGGCAATATTCAAAGTCCAAGTATTTTGGAAAATTCTGGTAGCTCTGGACCCATCCTTTGGGGTCAGAAGCAAAGAGGTTAGGATACCCTTAGTATTAGCAGATATTTGATATTTTGATATTTGATACTTGGTATTTTGCTTTGTAAAATCATTTATAATCAATTAAAAAAAATCTCCTAATTTCACGGAGACCCTAAATCTAATGCTATCTGAAGTATAGCAGATATGGTAGGCAGAATAATGATCCCACAAAACATCCAAGTCCTAGTATCCCAAATTTGAGAATATATTACCTTACACGAGGAAAGATTATCCTAGATTATCTGAGTGGGCCTAGTGTAATCACAAAGGTTCTTATAAGGGAAAGTGGGAAGAGGAAAGAGCATGAGAGATAGAGGGAGAGATATGATGACAGAAGCAGAGTTGGAAGGATGTAATTCCTGGGTTTGAAGATAGGGAAAGGGGGCCATGAACGAAGGAATGCAGGAGGCCTCAAGAAGCTGGAAGTGACAACAAAAAAGATTCTCCCATAGAACTTACAGAAAGATTGTAATCTTGCTAGCACATTGCTTTTAGCTCAATGAGATCCACTTTGAACTCCTGCCCCTGCCAGAACCATAAGATAATAAACGTCTGTTGTTTTAAGCAATTGAGTTTGTGCTAATTTGTTACAGCAGCAATAGGAAATGCACCAGGCAAAAACAAAGGCACAATTAGGAATTTCTTAGTGTTAGTCAGTGGTCAGCCTTGTGGTGCTAAGGGCATGGTTTCCAGTAGCTGAGGGCCCAGAAGCACACTCCTTAGTTACTCTCAGTTCAGTTGCCCACAGTTCCATGAAAGCATGTCCTATGGTTATTAATTTTGGTGACTTTGCATTGGCAGAGGGCCTTGAGCTCAGACTTAGCCTTCCTTTTTTATTCCTGCCTAGTTACTCTTTGAGAAAGGAGGCAAGTAATAAAGTCCTCCAAAGATCAAAGGCATTGTTTAGAACTAAGAGCAAAAAGTCACAACAATCTGAAAAAGAAGTTTCTATTTGTGAGTAAAATGGCATATTGATCACCTAAAGAAGACAGCCACTCCATAACAGAGAATTCAGCCTCATAGCTCTGCTGTTAACCTCTGTTTGCTCAGGCTCCCTAAGACAGGCTTGTGACCAATTATGCTGTGATTACCAATGTTCAGTGTAGCATGATCAGCTGCTGTCAGCTCTCATGTGCAGCCAGGCAAAGAATACAAAACAATTCTTGTTCATAGTTTAATGAAACCCAGTTCTGAAGGAACTTTTTATTGTATTTTTTTTTTTCCAATTTGCTCTCACCTAGGTTTTTGAATTTGCAAGATTATAAAACTTGTCCAACTGATTACTTTTCTGAAGAGCCATCGACTCTACCCAGCTTCTTGGGTGCCTCTTGTCTTTTAAATAATTATACAAACAGGTGTTTTGAAGAGGAAACCATAGTTTTCTTACAGCTGAAAAGCCAACTTTCAGATTGCAAACGAGTACATGTTAAAATATGTCCCGTATTCCAGGTAAAATCATAATGCTGTTGTGATTAATTTCCTTCACTTTGAAATGGAGAAGAACTCTATTTTACTTCTCAATATATCCTTCCCAGATGAATATTGATGTGTATAAATGAAGTGATATGGTCTGTACCATGTAGCTTAGCAGAAAACTAGATATTGCATTGGGTTGTTGGCAATGGTTTTACACAGGTATGATGTCTCATTCATGTTACAGTGAAAAGTCCATGGGTTCTCTTTTTAAATTTATTTTAAAATAATGTTGAACCTAGAGAAAAGTCTCAAGAATAATACAAAGAACTCCGTATATATTCACTCAGATTCATCCATTATTTACATTTTGCCAAATTTCTTCTCCTTCTCCTCCTTCTCCTTCCTTTTCTTCTTCTCCTTCTTCCTCTTATACTTTTTTCTCTTTATTTCTTTTTCTTTCTCCTTCTTCCTTCTTCTTTCTCTCTCTCTATGTATAATATATAATATATTTTATATATATATATGTAACCTCACATGGCCAGAGTATTGGCTATGTATATACTTATATGTATAAAATTACGTTATATATGTGTATTATACTATCTTCTCTGAGTCACTTGAGAGTGAAATGTTAACATTATATCCTTTTATTCCTATACACTTCAGTGCATATTTTCTAAGAGTGGAGACATTCTCTTACATGACTGTTTTGGTCATTTATTGCTGTACAATAAATTAATCCAAAGTTAATTGTGTAAAATAACAGTTACTTTTTTTGCTTATGGAGTTCATGGATCAGGAATTTGGAGTGAGGACAGTTGAGATGGCTTTTCTCTGCTTTATGCTGTCTGAAACCTCAACTTGGAAGACTCAAACCTCAGAAGGTGTTTTAAACATACGGAATCTGGAGATATCTGAAGCCTTCTTCATTCACATGCATGGTGTCTGGATTTGGATGTGTCAAAATCTGGGCTAAGTTGTACCTCTTGCCAGAACCTCTACATGTGGCTTCTTCATGTGTCTTTTGTTTTCTCATGGTATGGTGACATCAGGGTCATTGAATTTCTATCATGGCGGTTCAAGGCATCAAGAGCAAATATTTCTGTAAATCAGGTGAAAGCTTCAAGGCCTTTTTTGACAGCTTCAGAAGTCACACAGTGTCACTTTTGCTGTACTCTATTAGTCAAAGCAGTAACAAGCCTGTCAAGATTCAAGGGGGAGGAGAATTACAGCCCACATCTCAATGGGAAGAGTAATAATTCACAGCCATCTTTGTAACCACTGAAATCAACAGCATAATTATAAAATCAATTAATTTAACTTTGATACAATACAGTCAGCTCCCAAGTTCTTCAGTCAGGCTGACCAGGTCTGAATTCTGTCTCTGCCTCTTATGAGATACCTGACATTTGGCAGGTAACTCTGGTTACCAAGTCCTCAGGTTCTTCATCTCTAAATGAGGCCAGTGACACCTACGTCTTTTAGAGTTGCTTCAAGGGCTAAATAACATAATTACATGATGAGTCTGACATAAATAGTGGCTTACTAAGCATTAGGTCTTCCTCCTCAGAGAAATAAACATGGTACTGAGTACTCAAAAGGCCTATAATTGATTACGGTTATTTGGGAAGCTTTAGAGGTGACTGGCTTTCTGAGAAATAATGGAGAAATTCATTACAAAATTAAAATGTTGCCTTACTAAGTTCTATTTCTGAAGATTTTTCTTCCTTTTGTTTGATGCTAGATAAGTATCTTCAACCACCAGAGAGAATCCTTCAAATTTTTTAATACAAATTATAGTCATTTTAAGAGAAAAACTTATTCTATTCATCTATCAACATCATGAAAGTACAAACCTCAAGAAAATGATTAATTTCTTTTTAAAATTTTTATCATTACCCCTATTTATGTATTTATGGATTTATTTATTTATATTTTTTATTTCCATAGGTTTTTGAGGAACAGGTGGTTTTGGTTACATGAATAAGTTCTTTAGTGGTGATTTCTGAGATTTTGGTGCATCCATCACCTAAGTAATATACACTGTACCCAATTTGTAGTCTTTTTATCCCTCACCCCCCTCCCACCCTTTCCCCCTGAGTCTCCAAAGTTCATTGCATCAGTCTTACGCCTTTGTGTCTTCATAGCTTAGTTTCCACTTCTAAGTGAGAACATACAATGTTTGGTTTTTCATTCCTGAGTTACTTCACTTAGAATAATGGTCTCCGACTCCATCCAGGTTGCTGTGAATGCCATTATTTCATTTCTTTTTATGGCTGAGTAGTATTCCAATATATATATATATATATATATATAATCTCACAATTTCTTTATCCACTCTTTGATTGATGGGTATTTGGGCTGGCTCCATATTTTTGCAATTGCAAATTGTGCTGCTATAAACATGTGTGTGCAAGTATCTTTTTTGTATAATGACTTCCTTTCCTCTGAGTAGATACCTGGTAGTGGGATTGCTGGATCAAATGATAGTTCTACTTTTAGTTCTTTAAGGAATCTCCACACTGTTTTCCATAGCGGTTGTACTAATTTACATTCCCACCAGCGGTGTAGAAGTATTCCCTTTTCATCATATCCCTGCCAAAATCTATTATTTTAAAATTTTTAAATTATGGCCATTCTTGCAGGAGTAAGGTGGTATCGCATTGTGGTTTTGATTTGCATTTCCTTGATTATTACTGACGTTGAGCATTTTTTCATATGTTTGTTGGCTATTTATATCTTCTTTTGAGAATTGTCTATTCATGCCCTTAGCCCACTTTTTGATGGGATTTTTTGTTCTTTTTCTTGCTAATTTGTTTGAGTTATTTGTAGATTCTGGATATTAGTCCTTTGTCAGATGTATAGATTGTGAAGATTTTCTCCTGCTCTGTGGGTTGTCTATTTACTCTGCTGACCATTCCTTTTGCGGCACAGAAGCTTTTTAGTTTAATTAAGTCCCATCTATTTATCTTTGTTTTTGTTGCATTTGCTTTTGGTTTCTTGGTCATGAAGTCTTTGCTTAAGCCAATGTCTAGGAGGGTTTTTCTAGTTATTTTCTAGAGTTTTCATAGTTTCAAGTTTTAGATTTAAGTACTTGATCCATCTTGAGTTGATTTTTGTATGAGGTGAAAGATAAAGATCCAGTTTCATTCTTCTACATGTGGCTTGACAATTACCCCAGCACCATTTGTTGAATAGAAAAGAACATGATTAATTTCTGAATCACCATATGTTTGGCTACAAGTAGCAGAAAACTCAACTCAAAAATCGCTTAAACAATGAAGAAGAAAATTTATTATTTTATAACAAAAAGACAAGAAGCATGAACATTCCGGAGTTGGTTAATTCAGTAGCTCAGTGATTTCATCAATGGTTCAGTTCTTTCTATGTTTCTGCTGAAACCTCCTCCATGTGTTGGCCAGACCACAACTGGAAATTTCATGGTAATAAGAAGGCTGAAGCAGCTGCCAGCATCATATTCAGATATGGTAACATTCATAAAAAGAGATGATTTATTCCTCTGAACCATTGAAGAGTAAGAAAAATCCTTCTCAGAAGTCCTCCAGAAGATGCTTCTCATCTCTCATTCGGTAGACTTGCCATGCATGTGTCTAATGCACATGGGAAGGGAAATGGGACCGCACTGACTGCCTTAAACCAATTGGAATTCACTTTTTGGGGCTGCGGTTGAGACTGGGACTAACATCTCCTAAAATATTGCCCATTGGGAGGCAGCTGAATGAGTTTTGGGAGAGATGGGGCAATAAATAGAACCTACAAAATATATGAACTAGATTTTATGTTTTATTCAAGCATTAGAAATCGGAATATAAATATCGGCATCATTTGTAAATGCCTGAAGTTCTTGTTTTTTCTTTTTTGAGACAGAGTCTTGCTCTTGGCCCAGGCTGGAGTGCAGTGGCACGATCTCGGCTCACTGCAAGCTCCACCTCCTGGGTTCACGCCATTCTCCTGCCTCAGCCTCCCAAGTATCTGGGACTATGGGCGCCCGCCACCACGCCTGGCTAATTTTTTGTATTTTTAGTAGAGACGGGGTTTCACCGTGTTAGCCAGGATGGTCTCGATCTCCTGACCTCGTGATCCACCAGCCTCGGCCTCCCAAAGTGCTGGGATTACAGGCGTGAGCCACCGCGCCCAGCCCTGAAGTTCTTTATAATGCATTTTTGACAAGCAATTGGTTTGAAATATAATTAAGATGATTTGGTAATCAAGAAATATGAAGCAGGTTCAATCAACTTTGAAATGCTTTTAAACATAATAAACATTTCCAAGATACTACAAAGTTATTCAAATATAATAAAGTGTTTCTTAGGAAAGTGTTCACTTTTTTTTTGCATTTATGTTTCTTTTTAGTCCTAGCAAGTAAACTCTATACAGAAGGATTTATTTTGTCTTTGCAACTTTAATGTTTCCTATTCAATTTCCCTAGAAAATAATAGGTACAATTCAGAATGTATTTTAAAACTAAACATTATCATTTTCCTCTTCTAATTTTAATTTGTTTATGAATTTTTCCACCCAAGTATATTAGTGATTATAGGCCATGTTCAAAGCAATGACAATTCTTACTTATTAACTTGGTAATGCCTGGAGAAATGTGAAATTGTTCTGTAATGCAATTTGGGGAAGTGAAAGAGATTAGCTTTTAATGGCATCATGTCATTTGTTACATTATAGTTAATATCAGACAGGTAGGCTAAGTAATGATATAAAAAAAAACCATCCCCAAATATCAGTGGCATAAAACAAGAAAGGTTTGTTTTTGGCTCAAGCCGCATACCCATAGAAATTCAATGGCGTATAATGGGCTCTGTTCCTATTAGTGACTCAGGAACTCAGGCTGATGAAGTCACTATCTCAAATGTGCCATAGAGAAAGGGAAACTGGGGGAATCTTCAGGCCAGCAATTAAATGCTTGACCAAGAAACTCCACACATATATCTGCTCACACTTCATCAATCTGTACCAGTTACATAGCACTCCTACCCACAAGAGCCAGAAGTGTGATCCAACCTGGTTCCTGGGAGATGGAGAGCCACCAATATTGGTGAGCAGAATTTTTGACTATTGCAGAGATGTACCAGTGTACGTCACTACTTTTCAACAGAAGGGTAGACATGGCCCAATAGTTAGTTTTCAGTTGTGATAAACAAAATGAAAATTATTCAGTTAGGGTACTTCTCTAGAAGCTGGCATTATTAGAAATACACCTTCATGAAGGACAACAGCTTCTAGTCTCATGGTTTTGAACTGTGATGTTACCTTACCCTCATGTTAAGGGTCATGTTTTAGTAAAATCGAGACTCTTCTAAATAGATGATGTCCTTGCCTATGGGACAGGGAGAGGGTGATAGCAAACAAGTAATCCTTGGAGTATATTTCCAATTACTCCATCTAATTTCTTCCTCATTTTCTATTCATGAATCTGCTGTCCACATTGCTTTGACATCATTGATTTTTATTTTTTTCCCCATTTTGTTTTCATTTGCAAACATCGGTCCATGTCCATTTATCTGGCATACACGATGAATACTCTAAAAAGAACTCAAAACTTTTACTTCTGTTGTTGATAAATGATTACAGTGAACAACCACATTTTATCTGCTTCGTTTGATATGGATTCTGAATATTCCAGCTATTTCTCTCCCCTGAGCAATCCACCATAGGGTCCTTAATAAATCAGGTTTCAATAGCAAGATTGGCAGTAGAGGAAATGTGTCATGTAATACAAAATAAAGTGTGAACTGCAGCCACTAATCTCCATTGTTTTTGTTAATAATAATAATAATAACAATAAACAACACCCAAGTAGTAAATGCACTTCTCATTCTAGGCTCTCCAGTGGTAATTGTGATATATACAGATATTTTATATATATAATTTTTTTTACTCCACTCAATCCTCAGAAGAAATAGAGTGAGTTAACTGGTGTTATCCCCATCTTTCATGAGAGGAAACTGAGTCTTGGAGAGACTTGTCCAAATTTAAACAGCTACTAAGTGTCTCCAACTGCTATCAAACTTTGAAGATTAATGCTTGATTTTATTAACTGCCTAGTTTTTAAAATTTATTCCTTTAAGACGTTATCTGTACCTACAATTATTTTAACAGTAACTCGTTGCTTTCTACTTTATGTAATACTGTTTTAAGTATACCTTTATAATCTTTTCATCATACTCTAAGTGCCTCCAAAACCTCTGCATGATTATAGCCCTAACTCCTGGGACTTAGCAGGTAGTCAGTGAGTGTTTGTGAATGAATGAATGATGTATATGAGGTTCACAAGTTTCGCTGAAAGCTGCCAAACCTCCTCATGTGGTCAAGTTCAGACCAGGGAAATCTCTACTATATAAGCCATCAATGTGTCCATACAAGCAGAATTAACTATCTACCTTTCTCACCTATGTAGAAGAGAAAAAGTTTTAAAATGACTTTTCATACACAACTATAAAAAATTGCATGCCAGTTGAAGAAAATCTTGAAATACAGAAGATATATAAATAAAAGTCACTCCAAATTCCAAGAGTAGATACTGTTTTCCCAATCATTGTTTTTAAAGCCATTTATATACACACACAATTTTCTTAGCTGTAATAATGTACAGTTTTGTAGTCTGGCCTTTCAGTATTTTTTTTTAATTATTATCCTTAAGTTTTAGGGTACATGTGCACAATGTGCAGGTTAGTTACGTATGTATACATGTGCCATGCTGGTGTGCTGCACCCATTAACTCGTCATTTAGCATTAGGTATATCTCCTAATGCTATCCCTCCCCCCTCCCCCCACCCCACAACAGTCCCCAGAGAGTGATGTTCCCCTTCCTGTGTCCATGTGTTCTGATTGTTCAATTCCCACCTATGAGTGAGAATATGCGGTGTTTGGTTTTTTGTTCTTGAGATAGTTTACTGAGAATGATGATTTCCAATTTCATCCATGTCCCTACAAAGGACATGAACTCATCATTTGTTATGGCTGCATAGTATTCCATGGTGTATATGTGCCACATTTTCTTAATCCAGTCTATCACTGTTGGACATTTGGGTTGGTTCCCAGTCTTTGCTATTGTGAATAGTACCGCAGTAAACATATGTGTGCATGTGTCTTTATAGCAGCATGATTTATATTCCTTTGGGTATATACCCAGTAATGGGATGGCTGGGTCAAATGGTATTTCTAGTTCTAGATCCCTGAGGAATCGCCACACTGACTTCCACAATGGTTGAACTAGTTTACAGTCCCACCAACAGTGTAAAAGTGTTCCTATTTCTCCACATCCTCTCCAGCATCTGTTGTTTCCTGACTTTTTAATGATTGCCATTCTAACCAGTGTGAGATGGTATCTCATTGTGGTTTTGATTTGCATTTCTCTGATGGCCGGTGATGGTGAGCATTTTTTCATGTGTTTTTTGGCTGCATAAATGTCTTCTTTTGAGAAGTGTCTGTTCATGTCCTTCGCCCACTTGTTGATGGGGTTGTTTGTTTTTTTCTTGTAAATTTGTTTGAGTTCTTTGTAGATTCTGGATATTAGCCCTTTGTCAGATGAGTAGATTGCAAAAATTTTCTCCCATTTTGTAGGTTGCCTGTTCACTCTGATGGTATTTTCTTTTGCTGTGCAGAAGCTCTTTAGTTTAATTAGATCTCATTTGTCAATTTTGGCTTTTGTTGCCATTGCTTTTGGTGTTTTAGACATGAAGTCCTTGCTCATGCCTATGTCCTGATTGTAATGCCTAGGTTTTCTTCTAGGGTTTTTATGGTTTTAGGTCTAACATTTAAGTCTTTAATCCATCTCGAATTAATTTTTATATAAGGGGTAAGGAAGGGATCCAGTTTCAGCTTTCTACATATGGCTAGCCAGTTTTCCCAGCACCATTTATTAAATAGGGAATCCTTTCCCCATTGCTTGTTTTTGTCAGATTTGTCAAAGATCAGATAGTTGTAGATATGCGGTGTTATTTCTGAGGGCTCTGTTCTGTTCCATTGATCTATATCTCTGTTTTGGTACCAGTACCATGCTGTTTTGGTTACTGTAGCCATGTAGTATAGTTTGAAGTCAGGTAGCGTGATGCCTCCAGCTTTGTTCTTTTGGCTTAGGATTGACTTGGAAATGCGGGCTCTTTTTTGGTTCCATATGAACTTTAAAGTAGTTTTTTCCAATTCTGTGAAGAAAGTCATTGGTAGCTTGATGGGGATGGCATAGAATCTATAAATTACCTTGGGCAGTATGGCCATTTTCACGATATTGTTTCTTCCTACCCATGAGCATGGAATGTTCTTCCATTTGTTTGTATCCTCTTTTATTTCATTGAGCAGTGGTTTGCAGTTCTCCTTGAAGAGGTCCTTCACATCCCTTGTAAGTTGGATTCCAATCAATAAATGTAATCCAGCATATAAACAGAACCAAAGACAAAAACCACATGATTATCTGAATAGATGCAGAAAAGGCCTTTGACAAAATTCAACAACCTTCGTGCTAAAAACTCTCAATAAATTAGGTATTGATGGGATGTATCTCAAAATAAGAAGAGCTATCTATGACAAACCCACAGCCAATATCATACTGAATGGGCAAAAACTGGAAGGATTCCCTTTGAAAACTGGCACAAGACAGGGATGCCCTCTCTCACCACTCCTATTCAACATAGTGTTGGAAGTTCTCGTCAGGGCAACCAGGCAGGAGAAGGAAATAAAGCGTATTCAATTAGGAAAAGAGGAAGTCCAATTGTCCCTGTTTGCAGATGACATGATTGTATATCTAGAAAACCCCCTTGTCTCAGCCCAAAATCTCCGTAAGCTGATAAGCAACTTCAGCAAAGTCTCAGGATACAAAATCAATGTGCAAAAATTACAAGCATTCTTATACACCGATAACAGAGAAACAGAGAGCCAAATCATAAGTGAACTCCCATTCACAATTGCTTCAAAGAGAATAAAATACCAGGTCTTTCACTTTTTATTATGTCCCTTAATATCATTTTAAAAAGATGCTTGTCAGTGACCTCATACTTTCCTTTATATTGAGGGGCCATGATTTATTATTGGACAGTTAGGGTCTGTCATTTTTTGATATTATAAATAATGTTGTGATGAGCATCTTTCTATATAAATCTTTGTGAGCATGACTTTCAGTGTGCCATCTGTTCCTTGGAGTCCCTTGATTGGTGACACACACCTCTCTTAACTGATATTTGACATTTGGAACTGAAACTGTGCAGCTAGAACTTGTCAAGAAGACAAATAGGGTAGCAGTGGCCTGTCTTATGTTCATAAAATGGACTGGATACAACTATAATTTTGCAGGCTATTTGTTTGGTTAGAAGCTCAATGCCTCATTGATTCCACACATGATGTCCAAAAGAATGAAGGTGACTTTGGAGAGAGCCAGCCATTTAGAATCCAATTAATCAAGCTTCGGGGTAGTTTTGTACCCAACCAGAAACATCATGATCTGTCAGATTCCTGTTACTCAGAATTGGATTTTAGGAAGGAATGTGGTTTAGGGATAGCTTATAGGTGGTCTTTTGGAAATAACAGAGGAGCTCAATCTTTAAAACTATAAAGTGTAGGTTGTAGGAGTTGAAGGCTTTGGTAGAAAGAGAAAAAACGGTAACATATTCTAAAATTTAGTGAGCTTTATTGAAGACTGCTCAAAAGAGGAAATCTTTGATTAAGCTTGACTAGCAGATAAAGAGAGGACTGGAATTTTAAAATCATAGTCTTAGAATTGTTTTTGTGTCTTTGCTTCCAGGACATCAGAAATACATAACATGCCTATTCATAAAGTTCTTAAGCTGGGGTCTCACTTATTTTGTCAATATATTGCAGAACCATCAACAATTCAAATCCATATTTAAAAAAGAGCTGAATTGATTTCCAGTTACTTAAGCTGCAAACACGAAGACTTAGTATTCATCTCTAATAGCCAAAGAGATAAAGATTTTACCTTTGATCTGGAATTTATTTAATCTTCTAGTACAGAATTGGAGATGGGAGGTCCAAATACCAGATATTTAATATGTTTCAGTTTTGTTCTTCACTTCATGTTGATAATTTTGTCACTAGCTCTTAACACTTATTGTACTAAATTGCTATCTTAATATTAACATCAGAGTGTAAAAATTCAGCTGGCAAATGGTATGCAAATCAGCCTAATGCAAACTTTAATGGATTAGTGCACTCAAAAAATTCTTTGAAACAAAGGTAGCTGAAGTGGTAAAAAGACCAACTAATCAAGAGCCCCATTACAGAATTTTCTGGGGTTTAAGTACCCTCTAGAGGTTTCCATTGGTTACTTGGTGTATGCCCTATGGAAATAAAAAGGATGAAGTAAAGTTACAAAGTCATTTACTCCGTGTACACACTAGGTAAATGGAGAGGCTATTTCCTGTCTTAGCTGAAGTGTTTCCATTTGGTTTAGTTTTAGGAAGTCAGCGTAAATCATGAATTGGCCTTATGTTCCTTACCTCCAGACCCTACTCTTCTGCCTCATTTAGGGTGGGCCTAGTTTAACAAGATTAGCATCTTTATAAGACAATGGAAATTTGGGCAGATATTGACAGAAGGAAGACAAAGACAGCCACGTGGTGATGAAGGCAGAAACTGCAGTGATGCATCCATAAGCCAAGGAATGCCAAAAATTGCTGGCAAACACCAGAAGCTGGAAGAGACAATGAAGGATTATCTTCTACAGGTTTCAGAGGAAACATGGCCCTGCCAACATCTTGGTTTCAGATTTCTAGCCACCAGAATTGTGAGACAAAATGTTTCTGTTTGTATGACTTTGTTATGTATGGCAACTCTAGCTTTCACTAGGGTCTGCCAGATTCCATTCTTCTTAGCTCTGGCACAGATCAGACAGATTTCTGGTCACTTTCTGTTTTTTGAAAGTTGGTCCAGTTTAAGTCTCCAATCTCATATCTGATTTTCATTTCATCTCCTTCTTCCCTCCAGTGCCAGTGCTGGCCTTTCCTCTTCTCTGTGCTCCACAGGAGCCACCAAGTTTTCATTACTTCCCTGTGCCATGGGATGCAGATGGAGAAAAGGGCTGTATCCATCTTCTCCCTAGTCAGACTGCAACTATGAGAGAGGGGCAAGCCACTCTTGTAAGCATCCTGCCTTCAGCACTTGCTAGGCAGGAAGTGGTCTTAGCTCACGTAAGGGAGAACCACCCCAGTGTGGATTAGCACCTTCCAGGTGCTAAGTGGCAGCTGTAAGATTCTACAGCCTCTAGCAAGCTAGGGCAGCACCATATATCCATACTGTAGGTAACCCCACTATAACTGCCCAATCAGTTCATTTTGTCCACTGCCCAGAGACAGCTGATTTATCAAGACAGGGGATTGCAATAGAGAAGAAGCTTAATTCACACAGAGCCAGCTGAATGAAAGACCTGAGTTTTATTATTACTCAAATCAGTCTCTCTAAAACTTCAAAGGCCAGGATTTTTCAAAGATAGTTTGGGGGAAGAGGGAGGATGGCTAGGCAATGGGTACTTGCTGCTGATTTGTTGGGAGTACAATTACAGGAGTGTGGGAAATGGTCCCCTTGTTCACTGAGTCACTTTTGGATGGGGCCACAGGAGCAGTTGGTGGTTCCAGGTGGAACCATTGGTCATCAGATGCAAAAAACCAGAAAAGACATCTCAAAAGACCAATCTTAGGTTCTACAATAGTGATGTTATTTGCAGGAGTAATTGGCGGAAGTTGTACATCTTGTGCATCTGGAATAATGTGTGGCTAATCATGTATGTCCACACCTTAGCAGAATCCAGGTTCCTCTCATCCTCCTAGTGTGGTGGTCTCTCATTAGCTTTACAAAGGCCACTGAGTTTGGGGGAGGGGCTATTATCATTTACACTATAAATTAAATGTCTCCCAAAGTTAGCTTGGCCCAAGCCCAGGAATAATTAAGAGTAGTTTGAAGGCTAAAGGCAAGATGGGGGTTGGTTAGATCAGATCTCTCTCACAGACATAATTTTCTCACTGTTACAATTTTAGCAAACGTGGTTTCATCACACCCTACAATTAATTGTCTTGGGACTTTGGTTGCCTGGCTTCAGTGGACATTTTCAGCATCCTCCTCCTCCTCCTCACCAAAGGGAGAGAATGGACTTAGGAGAAGAACGGGACTTCCACTATGAATGCCGCATTCCTGTGGCTGCAGATTCCCATGACTCCTTTCCCTACTCATCTAGTCCCATTTTATAGCCTGGAAAGTTGTAGAGCTGGCATGAGAGTTGGGTCAAACAGAGCCAATTCAATCCTAGGGAAAGTTTATTGATTTAATTGTTAGTGACTCTCCTTAGGATGTGGGAGTATTTAATACTTCTTTGCTCTCAGCTGATGTCTCGGGTGTGCTGAAGGCTTATGATGCTTACAGGAGTGGCCTGTACCACTTAGAGTGAGAAGAGAGTGGGGTGGTATGACTGGGAAATAGATGGGTTACTGACTCCTGGGAAAAGAAAAGGTCATGGTCAACCTCTGTTACACCAGGAAAATGTTTTTTTGTTTATAGGTGTTTTCATTCCCCATTCTTCTCCTTTAATATTATAATATATGTTAGATTTTGCGGACATCCTATGATCAATGAGATGGAGGAGGAGCTGCATGTATAAGGTCTGGGGATGGGGTTGGCAGGTAGCTGTGGCTCATAGACTCCTTCCAAGAGGTGGGGATCCCAGTGAGTTTTGCTGGAAGGGAATCTGCTTCCACTCACCTGCTTGGAGGTTGGCTATGGTTTTGAGATCAATTACTTAATCAGAGTTAGCTGTGTGATGACTCCATCTCTAAATTCGGTATGCTCAAAATGTGATGTCCTGATGCTCATAAGCAGTACCACCTGGAATGCTGTTAGAAACACACATTCTCAGGCCCCACCCCAGAACTACTGAGTTAGAAACTGGGGTGGTTCCAGGCATCTATCTGAACACACACACCCTCTAGGTGATTCTAATGCACCCTAATATTTGAGAACTGCTGCTCCAAAGATGCCTCTCTTCTCCAATTAAAATTGACACCCTAGCCTCGCTAATAAACTGGTTTCTGCTTTGTATGGCCTAATGAAAAGATATGACTTACCTTAAAAAATTATTCCTTCAAAATTCTCTGACAATTTTCTATCCATCACACACTTCAGCCTAAAACTTTAAGGTGCACTTTAGTTGAGGCAAAGGGAATCTCTTTTCTACTTTCTGAGAGAATAGAACTCCAGAAGTTTATTCTTAACAACTTTAAACAAGATAATTTCCACTGGAGCTCAATCATCCTTACAGCGATGTTTATTGTTATGGAATATTTCCTTGCATAAGATGATAATTAAGGATGGGACTCACCCTTCCGTGTTGTATTTTCTCCAAAACAATTATCACCATCAAACATGCTACATATTTTACCTGTTTATTTCATTTTTTGTGTGTCTACCCCTGAATGAATGTATGCTTCATGAAGGCAAAGGCTTTTGTCTGTTTTATTATCTGCCGAGTTCTCAGGACTTTGGTCAGTACTTGACATCCTGTATACACACTCAGAAATTATTTGTTGAATGAAGATATGAAAGCTGGGCTTCAAGAATGTGTTTCAGAGGTTCTGGAGATTTCTGTTTATTAACTCATTGAAGAAAATTATGGGTTTTATTCTTATTTCTAATTGCGAGAATGCTTAATGTCACAGGCTACATAAGGGCCTCAGAAGTCACATTATTTTTGTACAATGTGAACAGGAGAATTTACGAGACTGCTGTGGAAGTTGGTACCTAGGGGTATGCTACAGGGCGTCATGAGCTGGAACTGAATAAGACATGCCCAAACAGGAGAGTCAGGGGAGAATAATGATCTCAAACTAACAGAAAATAATTTTTGTCAGTAACTTTGAGCATGCCAGTCTGCTGTTTGTGCAAGAATTCTCATTTGTAGGAGTTGGTTCTTCGGGATGGTAAATCTGTTCATTGTGCTGGGCCTAGCAGTAATTGTGCTAGGCCAAACACTTTCCAGGATGCAGTATTTCCATCTTCCTGTTTGCACATCTTATAGTTCCCACTTCACAGATGTTCAATGTTTTCTCACTTGTTGATGATCCCATTTTGACACAGTAGAGTTGGTTTCCACCCTTGAAGCACTGTGGGGGCAATAGGCAGACACATTTGGAAGTGGAGGCTGTAATGAGAGAGAGAGAGACAGTGTGACTTACCACAGTACATTAGGGTTTGGCTTTATCTAAATCATCCCCAGGGTGGCGAGCTCCTTGATGGTGTTAAATTAAGTTTGGTCTAAAGCTTTCTCTAATGAATGAGAAAGCCAAAAAATAAAAATTAAAAACAAAACAAAACAAAAACAACAAAACAACCCACCAAAGGCAATGACCCCAAAGACCCAACTGTGACTGAATAGAGAGATCTGTATATAAGAGACTAGAGGGCACTAGTAAGCCAGTAAGCTTAAAGAGTTGGCCTATTTCTGGCACTTCCCCCGTCTCACTGTCCACATCCAATGAGGATTTGCACTATCTCTGGCACCTCCCTTTTACTCACTGCCTACATTCAATCAGGCACTAGTCCTATCAATCCATTTCTCCAATGTCTTCAGCCTGTCCTTTCTGTTTTATTTTATTTTTATTTTTAACATTGGCATTGCCTAACTACATTCATCGTTATCATTTGTAGAGCATGTACTGTGAAGCCACACAATATGCCAAGCACTTTACATGCTTTATTTTTTTGAACCCTTACAGCAAACATATGAATAGGCTATCATACTAATTCTACAGAAGAGGAAACTGAGCTCAAAGAATGTAAGCCCTTTGCGCATTGCCACACAATTAGTAAATGGTAGAAGCAGGATTTAAATAATACATGACTCACAGGCCTGAGCTCTTTAACATAACTCCATATCACATTTGTTTCTTTCTTTCTAGAATATTATTGGGTTATGCCTGGGGATCTGTATTTTTAGTAGGCAGTTAAATTGAGTGATTCTCCTATGAGGCCTGCTTTTGGAATCACCAAAGCACTTCATAATTCATTTAAGTCTTATGTTCATGAAATAGGTTTAAAACAATCATTTAGAGATAAAGTTACCAAAGTTGAGTATATCAAATTAATTTTGAACAAAGGTTTATAGGCTCATATATTCTACATGTATGTTTTAGTCAAAGGTCAAAGTCTTCCACTGTTTGGCCTCAACTTCCATTTTCAACATTATCTTTTTTACTTTCTCCATTTCAAGTAGTTTAACTGTCTGTTTCCCCAACAAGACCCCAAAAGTGCTCCAGTTTTTGTTCTTTCTCCTATGTCATCTGCCTCTTTTGCCAGACTGATGTGCTCTTTCCTACTTCTCCCCATACGTCCAGTTTCTACAAGTCTTGCCTCCTCAATGAAGCATTTCATAGCAACATAACCATATTCTGATCTTTTGATCGTTTCTTTTCTTTTTTTTTGAGACAGGGTCTTACTGTGTCTCCCAGGCTGGGGTGCAATGGCACAATCATGGCTCACTGCACCCTCGAACTCCTAGGTTCAAGAGATCCTCCCACCTTAGCCACCCAAGTAGCTGGGACTACAGGTGCACCCAACCATGCTCACCTAATCTATTACTCTTTGTAGAGATAGGGTCTCATTATGTTGCCCAGGCTAGTCTCAAACTCCTGAGCTCAACTGATCCTCCTGCCTTGGTGTCCCAAAGTGCTGGGATTACAGGCGTGGACCACAATGTCTGACCAGATTTTCTCTTTTTTCTTTTTCTTAACTTTTATTTTAGTTTCAGGGATACATGTGTTAAGTTTGTTATATAGGTAAATTGAATCCATAAGGGTTTGGTGTACAGATTATTTCATCACCCAGGTAATAAGCATAGTGCATGATGGGTAGTTTTTTAATCCTCTCCCTACTCCCACTATCCACCCTCAAGTCGGCCCTGGTGTCTGTTATTTCTTTGTGTCCGTATGTTCTCATTGTTTAGCTCCTGCTTACAAGTAAGAACACGTGGTATTTGGTTTTCTGTTCTTGTATTAGTTTGCTTAGGATAATGGCTTCCAGCTCCATCCATGTTGCTGCAAAAGACATGATCTCATTGTTTTTTATGGCTGCATAGCATTCCATGGTATATTTGTACCACATTTTCTTTATGCAGTTTATTGTTGATGGGTATTTAGGTTGAGTCTATGCCTTTGCTAATGTAAATGGTGCTACAATAAAATACCTGTGTATGTATCTCTATGATAGAATGATTTATACCCCTTTGGGTATATACCCAGTAATGGGAATGCTGGGTCAAATGGTAATTATGTTTTAAGTCCTTCAAGGAATTCTGTTTTAAGTTCTTTGAGGAATCGCCACACTGCTTTCCACAATGGTTGAACTAAAGCAGATCTTTTATTTAGCTAAATTTTAGTGGTGTAAACTTGTCATTTTACAAAAACTGACATTTTTGTATACATTCTTATTAGTTAGATTTTCATATGTCTTTTCCCCAAGACAATGATAAGTGCTTTTTTGGAGAGCAGTGTGGCTCATCTGTCCTATCAACTCTTAACAAGGCGCTCAATTAATTCTTCTGGATCAACCGACTTGAAATTCTGAATTGTGCATGCAGGTATAAGTGTACAAAAAAGAAATTTATTTAATGGATCTGGAATAATTCATGTTGCCAAAATACCTGAGTCAGCGTGAGTATTAGCAATGAGGTCATGAATGAATAGCTTATTTTAGGCAGACATCGATTCTTTCCCATGTGTCTCAACTGATGGGGAAAAATAGGGAAAGGAAGTAGGAGATACTCATATGCACCACATGCCTGGGCATCTTGCCCTTGGTAGGAAACATTTTATGGAAAAGCATGCATTTCCGTACTATGCTCTCCATCAACCAGCTAGAGAAGATTCTTGTTCATTGTTGGAAAGAATGTTCTTGTCCATTGATGGAAGGGATGGAGTTTGGTGAAAGACAGGGGACTATTCCACCTCTGGTTAGGACATCAGTTCCTTAGGTTTTTGGAAGGGCCATGGTCACTACCCTTTTAGTATGGATATAGCTTAAATGTTCTTTGCTTAATTATTTTCAGAACTACCAGCACCAAAAGACCCTTCCCACCACCTCTACTAATTCATCCTTCAACACTCAGTTCTCACGCTTCTATACTTAAGAAACCCTTCCAGACCAGAAGATATTTCTCTCTCTTAATGCTCTTATCACATCCTGACTTGCACTAAAGTGATTCATGTAATTATTGTCTAATGTTACTCCTCCAAAAATTTGACGGGTAAAAAGGGTGCCTCATCTTAAAACCATCATCATGGCTGCTAAATGGATGTTGGCTGAAAAAATTTCCCGTTCCTGTCGGTTGGTGGTAGATATTTCTGAAATTCAGATAAAATACTTAATATCTATAAAATAGGCTTCTGGGGGATTTCATTCATGTTGTAACTTTTGAAAGGTGACCTTCATATTACTTTGAAGTTCTATTTTAAAGTTTTTTAAAATTCCATTTTAGATAGAGAAGGAAAAGAGTAGCTAAGAGCACAATGTAATCAAGAACACAGTTTAATCAAAGTGACATTCAATTGAACTGAAAATTACTAATATTCCAACTTCCCATGAGTGGCCTGGGTATAAAGTACATTTTTAGCTTTCTCTGTCTTCATAAATGCTATCATTTGTATATTGATACTTTTCTATAGTGCTAATCCAAACAGAACCCTCTGTGACATTTACTTTTGCTCACCAATTAAAGAAAGCTAGCAGAGAAAGATCATATCTTTAGAGGAAAAAAATGCTTTGAGTTTCCTGATTGTGTGCAGAACCAAAAAATATTTTAAATTGCCTAAATATATCTTCTATTAAGAAGTGTTCATGTATTAGTTTGACTACCCAAAGCATTCTGTTAATTTCACAGTTTTTAGTACTTTTTTTTTTAAAACAAAGTTAAACACCTCAAGTATGTGAGGATTTAGATATGTGTACAGCAAAGCGGTAATAGTAAAGACAGGTATTTCGATAAAATTGTAAACTGTTATTTTTCACTCAGGCAGATTTGAAAAAAAATTTGTGGGAAGATAGCAAAAAAAGGGAAGATAGCAAAAAAAAAAATTATTTCCAATAGAAGAGTTCTCTGAAGACTGCTTCTCTATGATAAATAAGGAAGAATGGAAGGTAACACTAAATACAGCCCCAAATGCCTGACCTATCTATTACAGTACAGTCAGGGAACAGTTCTTAACTTCCCTGCTGACCAAATTTTATTTTCTCTATGTATTTTTGACAATAATGTTCTTATACTACATTTCTCAGATAAAAAGTTGATATTTAAAATAAAAATGATGTTGTATAATACTTTCAGCTCTTTTCTATCACAGATTATTGTTTGCAAGAGACGTCAGTTGAGTAATGGTGTTGATCAAGCATCAAAAAAATGAATAGTAGAGTTTTTGTCTAAAAAGTTATTTAATAGTGATTAGAATTAAGCAACGTGCATATCAGGCCCTAGTTTTCTGTAACTTATATGGAATTGCTTTGTTTAGACATGGCATGAAGGTTGAAAACCCCAGATACTGGCATCCTGAGTTGTCACCATCAGATGCCAGCTATGTCCACCCTCTGTCATGTTTCAATCTTGTGGCCTGTCAAGGGAGCTGAAGCTTGATAATCAACCTTAAGTGGATCGGAAAAGAACTGGTTTTGAGTAATAAGACCTCTCCCCTTTCCAGGACTGAGCTGAAGAACACTGGGCCACAAAGTCAAAAAAGAGTCAAGAGGAACAATATGGTTTTTGTCTTTCTTTTTGCAAAAGTAAGGTGGTTTCAGCAAAGATTCCTTTGCATACTTTATGCTCCAATTTAAGATAATTTTTTTGGAAAATGTTCCACAAAGGAAATATCTCTAACTGTTTGGGTTCTGTTGTAATCTCCAATCCGTCTTTTGAAAAAGAAATAAAGCTTAGTTGGGCTATTTCAGGGTCAAACTTCATCTTGGAGCAAATGTACTGCTGTGAAGTCCCTGCCTCGAAATAATTCACAACTGTAATGTCTATGGCCAGTAAACTTAGGGAAAATGGAAATAGAATGCTACTCCTTAAGTATTAAATTGGCAGAGATACAAAGGAGTGATAACTCCAAGGTTTGGTGAGAGTGTGGGAAAGCAGTCTTTACTATATGTTCTAGGAAATATAATATGGCAAAAACATTTCTGGATAGGCAGCCAACATATTGTATCAATAAAAAAAATTTAAAAATAATATTTACCTAGAAATGTCCCTTTCTAAGCTATATCTGAAGGATGTAATCTTAGCTCACAGATTTATTTGTGATAGATTTAGGTATGATGGCACTATTTATGATAGCAAAATACAGGAGAAAAAATTTAAATGCCTAACCAGAGATTGGTTAAATAAATCATAGAATACCCGTATAGACTTTTGCAGACATTGAGAATTATGTGGCCGAATAATATATGTTGACATGGAAACAGTTCCATGACATAGTAAGTGAAAAAACAGCAATATATAGAATAACATGTAGAGTATGCTCCGATTTTATATTTTAAAAATTTGTAGTATATACGGGGCCACTCCTGAAATGTTCAAGACCCAGGGGCCAATTTTTTTATGGGGTGCTTATCTATAAACTATTAGAGTCACCCCAAATTAGAGTGTCAGCATCATACTGGCTTTCTAATTTCAAGCAATCTTGAGCAAGAATGCCCTGCTGGCTAGCAGCAGCAATTTGTTCACCAAGCTGTTTTCTGAGAATGAGGGTCTAGTCTGGGCCAGAGATGACTCCACAGGCATGAGCCCCAGAGCTCTTTGGGGCATCTGGCTGACCCCACGCATGGTGGGGAGGAGAAGCAGTAGAGAGCTGGAAAGTATAACAGTGCCTGGGTTCATGTGGGATGCTGTCTGGGCTCAGGGTGTCCTGCCTGAATAGTATTGTCAGCCTTGGCTAGACTAAGGCACTGAAAGAAGACTGAAAGAAATTTCAGGAAGATGCTTTGGCAATGCAAAATCCAGTCCTACCTGGACAGCACTATTGGCCTCAGACAGTCCCAAACACTAGAAGGAAACTTAGACAATTCTGGTGAAGGCCCTCCAAAGCTGGGACTCGGAAGGATGCCTGAAACACGAGATCGGGACAAGTGCTCTTCCCACTGGGGCCTAAGGGTGGTACTGATTACATATGCATAGAGAAAAGATTGGCAAGATATACACCCACATTACTACAGTAGTTATTTCTACTTGTGGGTGATTATAATTTTCCTTTCTGTTTAAATCATTTTATGAATTTTTTTTACAATGAAAAGGAATTATTTTTGATTAAGGATAGGTTATTTTTAAGAAAGATGATGTACTAGCTGAGATGAAGGTTAAGTGAGAGCATTTAGTATGGTCACCATTGGAACTTACCTGAACATTTTTCCCAGTCATAGCAGGTGTCATAGCCACAGGATTCTTTCTTTGTGCTGTTGGATGAAAGTCTTGTCCTTTCAAGACCCCATTCTAACTGGCGGCCGTCTTGGCAGGAACCAATATGTAGAAAATGGAGTTGCTGATTATTTAAACATTTCTCAGCCAAAAACTTACAAGCGGGTGAAGTAAAGTAATCGTTGGAGTCTGTGTCAAACACACAGAGATCTTCTGAATGATGGCTGCCCAAGAGAGGAAAGCAAGCATTTCTATATGAAGATCAGAAAAAAACAGGGGGCACGTAGCCAATGTAGTGTGTTCACTCACCAACCAGTTTTCTTTTGCCTGTTTTCCCCACCCCACTCCAAGCCCTGGGCTTGAGTGAGAGGAACAGGAAAGTGTTGATATAACTGAGTTTAAAGTTTTTACATGTGCAGAAGTTAAGTCTTTAAAACCAAAATGAGACTGTTATAATGAACAATCTCATTTTAAACAGGGAACTGGGCTGAGAGATAATTAAGAAACTTGCTACCCAATGGGGAAGGAGGAATTCAGCAGAGCACAGGAATATCAGTTATGTGGAAAATTCATTTATTTCATGTCTGTGCTTCAAAAAGCTCAGCTCTTCCATCAAATTGGTTACACTAGACTGGTTTTCCCAATTTCCAGACACAGTCTGTAGGGTATCTCTTACCTACAGTCTTCTTCTGGAGACATACAAATGCATTCAGATCCTGATTGTTTCTGTCCCAGCTGACAATGGCCTTTTAATTTTGTTAGAGTATCTGAAACAAAAGAAAAAAGGAGAAAAGAACAGTGCACAGCATGGATTCTAAGTGATAAGCTTGAATTCAGAGAAGAGGCAGTGGTAAAGGATTCATATTTATCTCTTGGAGTTAGATCATTCATTTTGGCTTCTCTAAATACATTGTCATTAAATATTCCACCTGAAAGGTCCTTTCCAGTGCACATGAGGTGTCATTTTCCAACCTAAAATTGCGATTATGTTCAGATAACTAAAGAAAATGGAACTGTTGAAATTTTTGTTCATTTGTTTTTCAAATATTTATTGAGTATACATGATATTCTCATCACTCTGTAAGGTTCTGGAGAGAGTAGATTGAGCATAAACTGACCCAGATCCTGTGCTCACCAAGCTTATAGTCTTGTGGGTGCAGACAGACATTAATCAAATGAGCACACTAATATAAATATAGAATTGTTGCCTTTCTTAGGGCTATCAAAGAGAAGCATATAATAAAAAATTGATGTAGCTAGAAAGATTAGAAAAAGTAAAATGAAGAAAGGTGAGGCTGTTCAATACAGAGGAAACATAAGGTATGGAAAAGTTCAAATGGGAGGCAGTGGTCGGGCATAGTGGCTCACGCTTGTAATCCCAGCATTTTGGGAGGCTGAGGCAGGCAGATCACAAGGTCAGGAGTTCGAGAACAGCCTGGTCAATATGGCGAAACCCCATCTGTACTAAAAATACCAAAATTAGCAGGGCATGGTGGCATGCACCTGTAGTCCCAGCTACTCAGGAGGCTGAGGCAAAAGAGTCACTTGAACCCGGGAGGCAGAGGTTGCAGTGAGCCGAGATTGTGCCACTGCACCCAGCCTGGGCAACAGAGTAAGACTCTGTCTAAAAAAAAAAAAAAAAGGCAGGCAGCATGTGAGTTTCCTGGAACTGAAAGAACCCAGTGTGGTTGAAGTGCTGAAAAACAAGAGGATGGAACAAGATGTGGCCAGAGAGGTAGGTGTCTGGTAGGCTGTGTGGGAGGCTAATAGGGTCTTTGAAGGGTTTTGTCTTCATTTTATAAATAGTAGACAGTCTCTGATAGGTTTTAAGCAGGGAGTGGTGTAACAAAATCAGCCCTCGATTTTGAAAAAAAGAAATTAATTATGGCTTCTGTGCAGAGAATGGATTTGAAGAGGCATGGTGGTCAATAGGGCTCCAGGGAGCTAATCTATGAGGTTATTGTGGTAGTTCAGGTGAAAGAGGATGATAATTTGGACCAAGGTTCCAGAGGTGGAAATGGAGAAAAGTGGATAAACTTGAGACACAGCTAGCAGGTAAAACAAGTGATATTACCTATTATGTAAGTTATGAGAGCTGTCAATTATATGATTCTTCGGTTTCTGATTTGCATAAAAGAATATACATTAGTGCCTTACCTGAAATAGAAAATATTAGAAAATGCTTAGTTTTAGGAAGGAAGGGTGATGAATTAAGAGTTCCCTACTGTAGATGTTGAATTTATGGTATCTTTAAGACATCCAAACAACGTAGATATATAGGAATTTAGATATTCATGTCTAAATCTCAGTGGCGAAGTCTGTGCTAAAGATTTAAATCTGTTATTTGTCTATGGGGGAATCACTGAAGCTATGCATGTGGATGAGATTCTTCAGTAGGAGAGTGCAGTGTGAGGCGAGGGGACAGATCCAAAACTTGGGAAACTCCAGTGATTAATGTCCAAGCACTGGCAGGAGCCTACCAAAAATAGAGGGCAACAGCCAGAAATGTCGGAGCTAAACAAGAATATGAAGCCAAGGAAAGAACATATGTGCAGAAGGTCAACATTGCTGAAGGCTGCCGAAAGGCCACAGAAGATAAGGAAAAAAAAAAAAAGTCCATTAGATTTAGCAATATGGATGTGAATGGCTTGAAATTCAGATTTTCTTACAAGAATCAGTGGAGAAATGCAGCTCCTAAATGTAGCTATTAATCCCTGCATGGCATTCTAGGCACTAGGACATTATGGTGGGAAAAAAAAAAGAAAGGAAGGATGGAAGGAAGAAGGTGGAGGAGAGGAGAGGAAAGGAGAGGAAAAAAGAAAGAGAAAACAGATGTTAATCAAGTAATTATAATAACGGATTTATAATAAAGGGCTGAGACAAGTATTCTGAAGAAAGGGAACATGGTTTCAGGAGACCACATACCATAAAGACTCCAACTGGGAAGATTAGGGAAGGATTCATAAGGAAATTACACTTGAACCAAGATGAGGAACTGAATAGCATGTCGGTGAGGGAGGGGGATGAAAATAGAGGGAGTGACACTGGGGGTGTATTTATGAAAGAGGGAACCTTGGTTTCTTTGCTCATGTTGAGGCCCACCTAGAGAACCTGGACCTGAAGCCGAACTCCTCAGTCTATTGAATGAAACACATTTTCTTGATCTGGATCTGACTATTCAGGCATCCCAAGAACCAAAATGACCTCGTGAGCAAGTTAATTGTCAAGGCAGGACTGGAGGCTCAGCTCACTCTTCCTCCTCTTAGCTTATCAAGTAGAAGGTTTGATAAGGAAAGGTGGCTCACGTAAGAAGCAAAAATAAAGATGTAAAAAATTCCTAGGTTTCTTATTCACAGTTGTTTTCCTTTCCTTCTATTACCACCATTTTATCTGGTGAAACTTGGCCCGGAACTCTCCTGAACTTGGAGACCTATCCTTCCGGTAAGGCTTTAGCTACTATGGTTTACAATGTGGTGATATTGTTTACCTGTGCCTCTTTGCCCTTTGTAATTAGGCCTGGGAGGAGCAGCAAGGTATACATTGTTTCCAAAAAGAATCAATTCAGCTTTCAAGTGGCACACAGCCTTGCTCTATCACTACAGGTTTGAAATTGTCAATGATCTTATGCAAGGAATCTGCTCTTCCAATCAGCCTCAGGTTGAAGCAGTGCTGGGACTCAGCTGCCCACACCTCCCAGCACAGGAGCAACAAATACTCCACAGTCTGTAAAGTGCTCAGGGCAAGAGGATCCTCTGAAGGGCTAAGGGAGGTGTCCAGGTCTGGGAGGAAGGAAAAAAGTAACGGTGTAGCATCTCACATCTTCATGAAGCAGAACTTTTTCACATTGAAAGAATTAATAATGTTTCCCTGCCTGAAAGTGTCTTTACCTCACAGTGTCGGGTTTTATTTATGATTGTCTTTCTCTTTCTGTGACTCCCCTTATTGGTCTTTCTGTCAATATTATTGGAGAGAAAGTATATGAAATAGGCTATGTATTTCCTTTATCTAGCTGTGGAACATTTCCTATTTCTCAGTTTGGATTATAATTTTAATTTCTAATCTAAGGGCACGTGTGTGCACATGCATGCATATGCCCTTATGAGGATACTGCCTACAGTGTCTTAAAGATCCTAACTTTCTGAAGTCTATGGCTTCCACATACATTCATTCCACTGACACTTACATTCCTTGTAATTTATTATTATGATCAGGAGTCTAGTGAAACCAAGACACAATACTTAAACCTGAAGTTCTCACTAATTTCCATGAGATCGCTTTACTGATAATTTTATTTAAGGTTATTCAAAAGGTTAACTTTCTCCCTTTCTTTCACACGTTATAAAAGCCCAGAAGAGAATAAAGGACGCAGGATGGCAATGAGCTTAGGGAATTAGCAGAGCTATTGCATAGTTCCGGTTTGACCCACACTGTCTAAACTTGCATCTTTTTTAGCCTCTCAGTGCTTAAGAAATATAATGGCTATAGAGGCTATACTACCAATCTCAGGGTGCACCACCTTATCAGACCCCAGAACACTGAGCTGCTACTCACCTTTTTCACAGGTGAGAGAGTTTGAAATGGGTGGTGTCCAGGAATTCCCCTGGCATGTGTACCTTGATGGCCCAGCAACAACAAAGCCTTTGGGGCAAGTTAGCTCAATGGATTCACCAATTCTATACAATCTCTGAAATGGTGTAATTGTCAGGACTTCCTGCACAACTGGCTTGATGCACTCCGTCCCTGCAAGAGAGCAACATTTCATATGTGTTTAGTGGAGCAGAATAAACAAAAAATTTAGGCAAATTTTGTGCAACCAAAGAGGTGATTTTGATGAGATTTACTGCATCTGTTCAGCTTTGGTGCCTCCTTTTGATCAGAAAACCTGGGGGATAAGAATCCTGGGCTTTCCCTCAGACCCTTCATTGAAAAATTCCCTTTAGTTTCATTATCTGAGATTCCCTTGCTAAAGAACTGGCTCCAGACACATCCAACTTTTATGAAATCATTGGGACCTTTTCCTTTCAAGAAACACTTTCTTTTCTCTTATCCCTAGTGGATTTCTCCAAATGCAAGTTACCACGCTATGACTGATGCAGAGTGATGGGCATTCTAATTGACACTGGTCTCAACTCTGCTTCATGGTCTCCCACAATAAGTCTTTGGACTCTCATTCAAGCCTTATTTGAATCTTGTTTTTCACTTTACTCTAGCACAGATATGTGCAGAGCCTAAAGCTCATTCACTCTTTCTCAGTAAAGAATGTGAACATGAACCAAGGAGTAGTGTCTTGGCGAAAACTACGTCTTACACAAAATCCCATCTTACACAAATTCCCATTTCTGTTACATAAAGAGTGTAAATATCATCTTCTTGAGACTCAGCATTTTGCGTCAATTTGAACATTGGGCAAAGCAGATGTCTGTGGTTAGATACAGCTTGCAGACTTCCTGGATTTCTTTTGAAGTGCATACTTCACAGTCCTATGTGTGTGACAGTAATAGGTAGGAGCAGGAACACTGAAATATGGAGATAATCTGGAAATCCAGTTTTAGCAAATGAGCCCTTCTATTTATTTTCTGCTTCACAAAATCTTTCACCAGAGTTACTAAAAACTAGTAAAATGTATTGATCTAAGGATGTGATTTTACTGTTTTTATATTGGGCACATTCATTCTGTAAAGTAGTCAAGCAAAATTGTTTGCCCAGTTCTCACGTTGGCATTCCACATCCCCTTGTCTCCAGGTCCCGTCTGGTAAGCATCTGAAGTACTGGTATCCAACAGTTTCAAAGCCAGTAAGGCATGAAATTTCAACATCTTCTCCAACCAAGTATAGTTGCTTTTCATTCTTAATTAAAGCAGAAACCAGAAATTATTAATGCTATGAATAACACTCTCTAAACTCTTTAGTCTCACACTGATCCTTTCTATCCTTCACTTCTGGATCTACTCAGTCACCAAGTCCTCTCAATTTCTACTTCTAAAAACCTGTTAAAGTTCTCTGCTTCCTGTTGCCATCATTGTTTTTCTTCATGATATTTATTCTTTCTTACTAGGGCAACTTTATAACTGGTCACTCTTCTAATCCATCTCCCTAAATTGGTTAGGGTTTTGTTTGTTTGTTTTTTTAACTTGAAAACTTGCTCCCCTGCTGGGAATGGTGGCTTGTGACTATAATCCCAACACTTTGAGAGGCTGAGGCACATGGATCACTTGAGTTCAGGAGTTCGAGACCAGCTGGGGCAATATGGCAAAACCCACAAAATACAAAAATACAAAAAAGTAGCCAGACAGTATTTTCTGTCTCCACAAAAATACAGAAAAGTAGCGAGAAGTGGTGGCATGGCCTGTGGTCCCAGCTACTTGGGAGGCTGAAGTGGGAGGATTGCTTGAGCCCAGAAGGTTGAGGCTGTGGTGAGCCATGATTGTTCCATTGTACTTCAGCGTGGGCAACAGAGTGAAATCCTGTCTCAAAACAAAAACCAAAAAACAAACAAACAAACAAAAACCCAAAACAAAAAAAAAATAGAAGAAACCAAAAAACTATATATGGGATGTCCTACTATTGCTAGAATAGAAAAACCATATACTCACCATGTAGTGACTATAAACTGAATAAATAATATATCTTACATATAAAGCAAACATATGCAGTTGCTATTATGACTGAGTGCAGATCATTTAAAAATGTTACTCAATTCCTAGTAACCCATTGGTCATTATATATTTTCCCAATTAATGGATTGTACAACTACCTTCATGTTGCTGGGGGGTGGGGGTGATTCACTACAATTTTCAAGGTAAAGTGGGTCTTAGACTTCTTAGTTTGGAATATTTATTTTAACTTACTTTACCACCCTCACCTCCTGCCATTTCCTCCCATAAAACCTATGCTCTAGCAAAACAAAACCCTGCCATTCTTCGAACATAAACTTCTTTTTCATGCCTCCATGTCTCCACTTGGTTGTTTCTTGTATCCTCAACACCTTCTCTCTTCCCTTCTCTCAAGACCCAGCTCAAATAGAACATCCTTTGCAAAAATCTTTGATTTCCCTAGTATCTTGAGGTACAACGTCCTTTCAGTTCTGAGGGAAACTCATGCAAAGCTCTATTTTTATAGTGTTTATCACGTTTATCAGCCCCACCCCTGATCCTTTAGTGGCAACTCCACAACCAGATCTCTGTCTCATAAATCTTTACACAGGCCTTAATTCTTTGCTGAAAGAATACAAAACATTATCCTTCTTAAGGAGCTAGTAATGCAATACAATTTTCCTTTACTGAGAGGGGCAAGAGTACCAAGAATTGACTAAGCAGTTGTTCTTCTGAGAATTGAAGTTGGGAACTTTGAGAGCGGTGAAAGCTTAATTGTCAGCTTATGTTGTTACTTGGCCATATGGTTAAACTTGTCTCCTAGAAGATTCTTAATTTTCTGGATACAAAACTACCATCCTACTGTTGGTTATTACTGATATGGCTTTGTTTCCAAGGGAAATGGACTAATGATTTGGATGTTTTCTTCAAAGGCTGCACATTTTTTCTTGCATTTCTTCTGAAATAAATTTTTGCCTTAAACTTTTGTTTCTATTTCTTGTTTCTTATGAATCTGTAACATATAAGTGTATGTTGCAATAATCAAACTTAGGGAAGTACATCTAGTAGACTGACTAAACAAAAAACCTTGCCAAAAGTCCCTGTCACTTACAGAGGTTGGACTTGTCTGTTACTCATTAAATAAATATACTTGTGTGCAATAACATCATTGCTCTAGCCTGGAATTAGGCATATCTGCCTCTATTTGAATCTATACAAGGGGCATTTTGCCACTAGAAATTCCAGAAGATGCTTATTAGGAAAAAATAAAATTTTATTACATTTGAGTAAAAACTATTGCCAGACAGAGACCAGGCCTTTAGTAAAGAGCAAAATAAAATAAGAAATGAATTTATCCATGAAAATGGGAATATATAATCTAACCTTACGAAATGAGTTAGAAGAATAATGCATCACTGTTGAAAGCCTTCGTGTGTTTTAAAAATGAGAATGTCAATAATTTTAACGGTCTTTGTATGCAGCCAGAACAAATAGATTAAAAGTTATTTTGGTATCTGGATCTGCCAATATGTGATTTTAAGGATAATGTTCTAGGGCAGGGGCCAGTAAGCTTTTCTATAAGTGGCCTGGATAGTCATCTGTAGGCCATATGGCATCTGTTGAAATTACTCACTTCTGCCATTATTGTATGAAAGTAGCCATAGACGATATGTAAACATATGAATGTGGCTGTGTTCCAATAAAAATAAGACTTTATTTTTTTTTAAGTGGCAGGTCAAATTTGGCCTTTGGGCCATAGATTGATGGCTCTTGTTCAAGAGAATTTGTTCCCAAAGTGTGGCTCCTAAACCAGCAGCATCCATATTACCTAGGAATGTATTAGCAATGGATATTTCTGTGCCCTTCCCAAAACCTTCTGGATCAGAAACTCGAGGAGTGAGACCCAATGATCTGTGTTTTACCAGGTCCTTTGGCGCATTGTTGAGTTTGAGAACCTATTTTCTAGAGTAAAGACTAATTAAAATTACCTTCCTCTGAAATATTTCCTCCCCATAAACTTTAAGGTATGGTCCTTATGCATGGGCAGAAGATAAGTGAATATGGAAGATACATTAGCCCAGACTACACTCCATGAATAAAACTATTTGCTGGACTTAGAGAATTGAGTGTTATTGATCTTTTATCATAAGTGTGATACAGTTGGGAAAAGATTAATGTAAAGATATTACTAAGTTTAAGAAAGGTAAAATGAAATAGGAAGCATGACTTCTGTGATCACTTTTAGATATCATGTATCACCTGTAAAATTTATGTCAAAGGGCATAGATCTGTCTGACAAAATGTATTCAGCTTTTAAAAAAATCATAGAAACATGTTGTGGCTTGGTAAAAAAAAAAGTTGAAACTTAAAGGTATGTGAAAATGGTTTTGACTGATTAAGAGTTCTACAGGTTTCTAACCTAATAAAAACAATACAGAATTAACACCTCCATGATTATAGCCAGTCTAGTGTGTTTCTCTAAACATTCCTTAGGTAAGGGTATCAGTTTGCTCAGACTCTGAAATAGCCAGATCTTACTTGCAAATTCTCACAAGTCATACAATCCTATATTATACTGAAGTTCTATTACCTTTCCAAGAAACCCAAGCAATCTGCTATACTTTAGTCTAACAACTGGCTATGAAGACATCTCTAGGAAATTCAAGATGGAAGAGTGGCAAAGTGTTTCTAAATATTATTTTGTACTTTTAAAGTCAATAGGAGATTATTCGAATAGGAAAACAGTAACTCTAATTAAAAGACAAGCTATACTTTTCGAGGTTTTTAAAACTACAAACCAAAAGTGAGGTTTAGGATGCTGACCCGGATAAATCCATTTTCTGGAGGAACTGGCTGAGGACACCCGGAATCTGCTTCTATCTCAGGAAGATCGACCTCTTTCATTTCTTCGTCATCATTGATACATGGTTGTCCACTAAAAGGGAAACATAAATATGTGTGTATATGTATGTATGTACACACATTTACATGTGTGTATATGCTTATGTGTATACATGTGTACACATTGCATACATATATGTATTAAATAGAAAACATTACACACAGAAAAAGGCACGGCAGTAGACCCAGTGGCTCATTAATATTCTGTGTTGGCATAGGTAAAGTTCTAATTATTTCTTTACTTAGCAGTAGACTAATAACCATTTGAACTCTCAATGTTATTGAGAGTTAGGGCAAAATGACCCATTCTTTTCCCTTACCCGGCCTTACTTGTTTTCCATGATTGAAAATGTGCAGTCTTCCTCTTGTCGCTTCTCCCCCTCACAGCGTTTCCCTCCTCGTTGGGGGGCAGGATTATTGCATTCTCGGGTTCTCGATCTCTTATAAGTAGCATCACAGGTACTCCAGGAAGACCAACAACCCCACTGTCCGTCTACTGCATCTGGAACAAAGGAAGACTCACTCCCATGGATCATGGTGCAGCTGAATTTGGGTTTGGAAGTGAGGCCAACCTGGTTTCCTCACTTTTTAGCTCAGTAACTTCCTTTGTGGGATATGATAGGGTTCTTCTAAGGATTAAAAGAAATTACCTGTGCAAGGGGCCTGACACATTGCCTGATTTCCTTTTAGACTTTGTTCCCATAAGCCTAAATAAAATGGCAACAAATGGCAATCATTATGAATTATTTTCAACTGTTAAGAAACCTCTGTATTCTTGGCTTTGGAGGCCTTTTAAAAATGTGCACTCATATGTGTATAAATATAAACATCTTCTTAACAGAATGCATATTAAATTACACTTTTAAAGGAAGTAGTATACATTCTTACTCCCATGCCTTACCCTGTTTCTAAGGAGGATTTGAGGTAACTATGAACATACTTAGTCCTGTATGAAAACTTTGGTTGTGGCTTAATTTATTTTTTATTACAAAGCCATCCTTCTATATTACAATACATAAGAGGCTTATAATATCAGAATCATATATTTTATTTGATGTTATGTTTGATTTTTTATGTTATGAGCATTGTATATGTATTCTTGATATATAAATACGCATATAATATATTCATATTCCTTAGATAGATACTGGTGTTATCCTCATTTTATGGATGAACAGATTGAGGCATAGGGAAGCTGGGTAACTTTCCCAAGCTCACATAGTTGGTAGGTTACAGCTGAGACTCACACTTTTTGCAGGTTTATCTTCCCTCTGAGCCTGTACAAGGTGGAGGTTGCTAATAGAAGTTTTGTTTCTTTTTAATTGACCAACTTAGAATACTCTTTGGAGGGGAAAACTTATCTACCTCACAATAGATTCCTGATACTTACTGGATTTATAATCTGGAGACTGTTTCTCACAGTTCTCACCATAGGTGCCACTCTGACACACACACAGACATTCAGTCCCTGAGAGGGTGGGTCGGCCATTATTAGGGCATGGAGCACACTGGCAAGGATCGAACTTGGCTGCATACTCTTGCAAAGCTTTCCTGAGGTTGTTCCGTTTTGTCACTGCACAGGGGATGTTTCTTACCAAGTCCACGATGGGGGCAAGCTAGGAGAAAATGGGAGAGAGGAGGTCCAGTCACATCCCCTTTGGTAATAGGTTGCCATTACTGCCCAGTTCTCTGAAATGAGAGGGAAAGCCTGAAAATTTTACACTTCAAAGGGATTATTGCAGAATATAGTATTGCACCTGTTGAACCAGTAGGCAAAAGCCTTCTACCTGTGGACAGGTGTGATGTATATGGCACTTACCTTCCCTACAATTTTACTGTGAAGGAAGCATGGGAGGTGTTGCTTACTTGGTTATATATCATGTTATTTATTAAGTATTCTATGCATGCATCAAAGCACTGAGATAGGTGACCAAGAGTTAGGCAACTCTTTCCTGCTCTACTGAAACCTCATTAAATTTGATTCAAGCAGCAAAAAATTTAGAGAGGATAAGAGAAGCTTTCCATGTTCTTTTTTTCCAGGACAGTTTTGGCTTTTGTTGGAGTTAGATGAGAAAATGTGGAGTGGGAGAAAATGAAGAAATAAACTTGCCAGTAGGATGAATGGAAGAATTACAGTAACAAATAATAGGCTAATGATAAATCAGTGCTCATTTTATTAACATCATAAAACCTCAAAGAAATGACCTTCTAGTGCAATATGACTTGCAAGTACCCGGAGGGGCAGCTGGGTCTCATTTTTCTCCCATAACATGTAGAGCTCAACACATCTTCACGCTGCAGGCAAATGATTCTATTTTCATAATGATTGAAACCTTTTATCTTCATTTAAATGAAATGAACATAACAGCTTCTTTGGAGGCCTTTTAAAAATATGGATATGTTTGGGGGAAAACAGGTTCTAAATGGCATATGGCTGATACGTGGGTAAAGTATTCCATAAATAATAAATATCACCTTTTAATGTAATTACAACAAATACAAAACTGGTAAATTCAATCAATAGTAATAGAAATGGATCTAAAATCTCATTTATCTCACAGAGCTACAAATGAAGACTTAGGAGTGTTCATCAAATAAGGAGTTGCAAGAAGAACACAGAAACCAGATTTATTGTATACATGAAAAAATAAAAAGTACTACTCAAGGAAAGTTTGAGCATTTTTATTCACTAAGTTCCATTTCCTGGTGTTTCATGCATGCTAGGAATTCTAAATACTGTACTGTTGAATGCTTGTTTGAATAGCAAACGCATTAGACATGCAATTTAACATTTAAAAAAAGGTACATTGTGCATGAATACTAAAGAAAGGCATTTCTTTCATTGTCTGAGAAGAAAATGGAAAATAAATTGTGTGATGTGCAATTTGGGCTGCTAGAGAACTACTTTAGATCTCTTACCTGGAATAATTTTTACTCTTACCTCAAAGTCAATCACAGCAGGATTTTCCTTCACTGATTCTAACCACTCAGAAAATGTCTTCTCCTCCAGACCAGAGCTCCCTTTCTCCCATGCCAAAGCTGCTCCATATTCACTCCTTCCACCTCGAATCAGGGATATGGATTTCTCTGCTCCCTGTATAAATGAACCTGCAAGGTGTTTCAATAAAAATGCCCATTTAATTTTAGTGCAAATTCCTATTCTAAAACAAACAAACAAAAACCTATTTGTACAGAAGGGAGAAGTAGATGGTACAGTATGTAGCTCCATTAAGAAAGCTAAGTGAAAAAGCAAGAGAACACTCCTCCTCCCTGTAGGGAGTTTAATAATAGAAATAATAATAACAGTACTAACAGCTACCATTTATTAAGCATCTGGTAGATGCCAGGCACTTTACACACATCTTATATAATTCTCATGACAACCCTGAGAAGTAGGTATTATTATAAACATTGAAGCCGAAAGTAATTTGTCCTGGAACACATGGTTACTAAGAGACAGGACTAGGATGCAAATATAGCCCAGTCCTTGACTACTCTGCCCCTTACTCTTTAATGTCAACCGCCCTGCTTCTGATTTATGTTAGCATATGTTTTGGGTGCCCAGAATAAGATAAGTCACATGGCTTCTGATAGCCAGTCAATTGACTGTCATGGTGAAACTTCCAATTACAGGGAAAAAATGGTGGAATGATTTTATATTTAAAGACAGAGGTGAAAGCACAACTAACACAGAAAAAAACCCCCATCAGGTTAAGAGTTGGCACAATGTTTCTTTAGACACAATGACATTTACTGTTAAAGTATATAGCACAACTCTTTTATACAAATTGCCATAACAATTTCCACTAACCAAATGGTAACTCTAACTAACAGGGATAGAGACTGAGTAATAAGGAATTGCCATAAGAAATAGTAGCAAATAAAAAGAAGGCTAGTGATATGAGCGATAGTTAGTGGCATTAATTTGGTGTCTATCAGTAAGAATTAGCTATGATCCCACTATTTAGCAATTCTATAGTAAGATAGTCTAGAATGATTAGGAAATGGATGCAACTGTCTTCCTATGAAGAAAGTAGTATGGCTGCTTTTAGAGTCAAGTGCATAACACAACACAGGTATAAGGCGTAACAAAACAAAGGTATACAAGGAAAATTTTAGAGGTTTTTGTATTTATTTTTCATGGAAAAGTAGAAGCCAAATTAGAGTTTGCCAATATATCATGTACAGACTGACAGTGGCTTCGTCATGTTATTTCATATTTAGATTGATACCATGTATTTCATAAATGGATTGACACTGGTAAGGGTTATCTGTGAGGGGCATGGGATCCTGAAGAAAGAGTAAGTCTGTTTACTGTTCCATTAGCTTACTCTCACAAGTGAGCAAGTGCCTTAAAAAGATTCCAGAAAGAAAATGCAGATTGAAGATAATGCCAATAATGCAAACAAAAGAAAAAAAAAAACTAGTAAAAGACAGAATGAATATTTCTACTTATACAATCTTCTCAGAAGCCACATCGTAAGATGAACACCAAAGCTGACCAAAAGCATGTCAAAAATTTCAAGAAACTTTTGTAATATATGTATTTATCAATGAACTTTTTTTTTTTTTTTTTTTGAGATAGAGGTCTCGCTCTGCCGCCCAGGCTGGAATGCATTGGTGCGATCTTAGCTCACTGCAGCCTCTGCCTCCTGGGTTCAAGTGATTCTCCTGCCTCAGCCTCCCAAGTAGATGGGATTACAGGCATGCGTCACCAGGCCTAGCTAATTTTCATATTTTTAGTAGAGACAGGGTTTCACCACGTTGGCCAGGATGGTCTTGGTCTCCTAATCTTGTGATCTGCCTGCCTTGGCCTCCCAAAGTGCTGGGATTACAGGTGTGAGCCACTGCGCCCAGCCTGAACTTTGTTTTTAAGTGTGTGCAGCCACTACTATGAGGAAGATAAAAGTTCTGTTTGTTTCATATATGCTATTTAAAAAACAATTTCCATTTTTTACATTTGCATATTTTAATGCACATTTTTGAATAATACATTTCTACAATTCTTTAGTAAAAATGTATAAATTAGTGATATATCCTCAAAAAATTTTAAAAATGATATAATTACAGATTTGAGAAGTCTGAAGTCCAATGATTTAACTGAAATAGCTCAGGGTTAGAAATAGGCAAATCTATGTTCTTGTGTGTGTTTTGCTCTTCAATGTGTCTGTGACTTTGACTTTAGGCAAATTGTCATCAATAATTTGTTGAGAATCTTCTATATGTCAGGCCCAGATAAATATAAAATATCGTGTTAAGAACTCAGACTCTCAATGAGTATATGGAATAGGTATATAAATATGCTAGCAAGACTATGGAGAAATAAACAAGGATGGAAAAGAAGAAAGGAAGGAAGGTAGAAAGGGGGGAGGGAGGGAGAGAGGGAGGGAAAATGGAAGAAAAGAAAGGAAATTAAAAAGACCAATAAAATAGTTTTTGCTTAGTATTACTCAATGGTAAAAACAATGAACAATTACTGAGTTAGGAAAATGAAATAATTCTGTCATCTTTGGCAATTAAGGAGGATGGCGCTCTGAAGGAAGACTGACATGTTCCTGGAAGGAAAGGTGAGACCTATTAGGGAGATCATGGCCCTAATATTAGGGAGACAATGGCCTTCTAAGCATGGGCACACCATGGGCAAGGACCTGGAGTCAGGGCCGTTGTGCCATGCTCTGGAGACAGCACATATAGGCATGAGTTTGAGTTGAAATGGAAGGTCCAGGGAGGGGGAAGAACAGCAGAAATGAGAGAGTCTGGATGTAAAGCCAAGGAAATTAGACTTCATTCTTCAGGTTTAGAAACAATTGCATTCCCTAGAAACAATGAAAGGTTTTGAGGTGGGGATTTAAAATGATTCAGGAATATTAGCAGTATTGTGTCATCTGGGTAGCAATGGGTAATTGAAAAGCCAGCTTGGAGCCTATTGCAACGGTCTCTAACTTTGCAATGTCCTCTTGTTCCTACAGGCTGAAAACTGGGGTCCATATGTGATATTTTCTCATGTCAATTCCTCTACATTAACTCAGTTTCCTAAGTTGCCCTGATTCCAGTCTAGTATTTTCTTATATTTTAAGTAAATTTTTATACTGAAGTATAATATTGACACAGAAATGTACATAAATCATTAAGCATACAGCTCAATTAATTTGTAAAAAGTGAGCACACCCATATAATCACTGCCCACGCCTGGAAATAGAACTCTAGCAACACCGGAAAGCCTCCTTCATGCTTTTATCCAGTCATTATTCCATCCCCAAATGCAAACGCCAATTGTATTATTATTGCTATAGATTAGCTTTGCATATTTTTAACTTTATATGTAAGGTTTTAAAACATGTACTCTTTTGTGCCTGGTTTCTTTTGCTCAGTTTTATGTTTGTGGCATTCATCTATCTTGTTTGTAGTAGTAGTTAATTCATATCATAATTTGCTCATTTTACTCTTGATAGACATTTGAGTTGTATCCAATAAATGAACAATGTGGCTTTTCTTATTTTTGATCCATGTGTGTGCATATTTTTGTTGGCGCATATCTATTAGTAGAGTTTCTAAGTCATAAATATGTGTGCGTGCATTTATGTTTCACTTTAGTAGATATTGCCAAATAGTTTCCAAAATGGTATTACCAATTTATACTCCTACCAGCAATGTATGGCAGGTTGTGAAGTTCTACTGCCAATACTTGTTAATTTAAATTTTTTCATCATTTGCATGAGGTGGTATTTTATGGTTTTAATTTTATCCTTTTGATTCCCAGTTATCTTTATCATATTTTCATGTTTATTGCTTTTTAAAATATGTTCTTTTGTGAAGGGCTTATTCTATATTTTTGCTTATTTTACAATTTCAACTACAATTTTCCTATATTATATGTCTTTACTACATGTCACTTGTGCAACTACAAAATAATTATAGCAGACATGTATTGAATATTTAGTATAGCCTAGGCTTTGTCCTCATCAATTTATATGGATTGTTTATTTAATTCTCACAATAAGCATAAGTAAATACTATTATTATTTTTATTTTACTTACAAGAAGAAAGATTAAACTCTTGATGTTGATTACATAGCCAATCAACAGTGGAGCCAACACTTGAATATAATCTAGCCTGAAAATTTAGGCGATATGCAATGAACTTAATACATCACAGCATGAAATAATTTCTATAAATAACATTTTACTTTCCTACTTGGTAATTTTTACTGCTTTCCCACTGAATCAATCCAGTAAAGTGTTCTGCTCAATAGTAAGTCTGTGAATTTCTTGGCAAGGTATTTTAGGGGAAAACTGCATAGTATATCAGCTTCTTAAAAAACTACAATGTTCTTTATAATTTTAAAAGCTGAGAATTTCTCTTAAACACTGTTACACTCAAAGTTTTTCAATTTAAAGATGGAACTCCCTTTTCACATGCAGCACCTATTAACATTCTGTAGATGATATGTGGGATAGTGACAATATTTAATAGGATTAAGTCTAATTTTTTTAGTAAGGCATACAAGCCCTGTTTTGTATGGACTAAACCTACCTTGTCAGCTTTATTTCACAAATTTATGCTCAAGCTAAATAGAAATACTCATTTATTCATTTACACATTCATTCTTTTCCTCTCTATGCCTCTGTGTCCTCATCTATAAAATGGGGGTAATAATTGTACCAGTCTCATGGGGTTGTTGTGAGAATTAGAAGTTAACACACACAGAACACTTAGGACAGTGCCTGGAGCATAGCAAGAGTTCAATAAATGTTAATTACCCATTCATTTATTCTTTCAAGCATTCATGTGTTCAATGAGCACATCTATTAAACATTTATAATGTGCTAAACATGGTATGAAGTACTGAGGACATAAAGACCATGTCACTGTCCTGAATTTGCATACTGTGGAGGAAATAGAAAGTAAACATAATACAGTGTGATGAGTGCTATGATGTTGTGAATGCAGGTTGCAGTGAGTACGTCTAGGAGGGCACCTAACCTTAATTATGAACAACAATAGAGATGGTAATCAGGTAAGACTTCTTGGACTGTCTGCTAAAAATTTCAATTTTGAAATTTTTCAATTTTGAAATTACAATTTCAAGATTTTGTTACTTCAAAATAGCTATTACATCTTTAGCATATTTAACACTTAAGCAATGCAGAAAAGCACAATAATTATTCCCCTTGTTGTTTAGTCTTAGTTTTATACAGTAAATGAATCCAGTTCTCATTGCTTCATCTTTGCTCACTGTTTCTTTACTCCTGGGCTCTATATTTATCTGTTGGATTAATGTTTTAATATTAATTTTTTTATGTGTTTTTATATTTTCTTTATCTCTATTATTTCTCTCATAATTGAAGCTGAATCATGGGCTTTCTATATATACAGCCTCAGGCTGGAGAGAGTCAAGAGAGAAAAAGAGCAAAATTTTGTCTTTCGAGATCTCAAGTATACTTTTATAAATCTAGCAAAAATCATAGATTTGAAGGCTAGGGTTTTTAATGTCAAGGGCCAGGCTCTTGAGAGAGAAAAAGAATTCTTGAGTCCTTAATGCTTGAACTAAAATATCAAGAGCCACACATTTTAGGATTCAGAATCACAGAATTTACAACATCAACCACAGAATGATAAAAAATGTATACAACAGCCATTTTCCTTCTCAAAAGTAGGAAAGATTTTGAGCAGCTGGGAGAATGGGGGAATATTGGACATGTGGTAACTAAAATATAGACTTGATGGATTCCTTAGTGCAGGCCTAAGATTCCACCACTTTGGGGAAAATCTTGGAAATAATAGTTTGACAAGTAGAAGTTTGATAGAAGCTCATAAGAGGCTCTGCAATAAGTTAATGGAAAATGTGTATTATGAAAAAAATGCATAGCTTTCAAATTTTTTTGCACAAAAATAAACTCATACTAACTTATCATAACATAGCTGAATAGGATCAAGCTTGAGGCACAAAGAGGGATAAGACATCAGTTTGAAAAGAGTCCCTATCAGAGCAACTTGAAATTTGCTAAAATAGAAGTAAGACCAAACATCAAATTTATGGTGAAGCTTGGGAGGAAGAATGGTGAAATCACTGATGCCTTAGGAAAAGTTTATGGGGACAATACTTCAAGGCAATCAGCAGTTTACAGATTCATAACTCATTGTAGGAAGGGAAGAAATAATGTTGAAGAGAAAACTCCTAGCAGTAGACCATCTACATGAATTTGTGAGGAAAAAATTTACCTTATTCCTGCCCTAATTGAAGAAGACTGATGATTAACAGTGGGAACAAGAGCCAACACTGTAGAAATCTTAATTAGTTCAGTTTACACAATCATAACTGAAAAATTAAAGATGAGCAAACTTTCCACTCAATAGCTGCCAAAACTACTGTGTCCAGATCAGCTGCAGACAAGAGCAGAGCTTTCAATAAAAATTTTAAACATGTAGGATCAGATCCTGAAGCACTTTTAAAAAAGAAATGTACACAGGAGATGAAAAATGGATTTACTAGTATGGTCCTGAAGACAAAGCACTATCAAAGTAATGGCTACCAAGAGGTGGAAGTGGGCCAGCCAAAGCAAAAATGGCCTAGTCAAGAGCAAAGGTCTTGGAAATGGTTTTGTGGGATGCTCGAGGCATTTTGCTTGTTGATTTGCTGGAGGGTCAAAGAATAATAACATATTATGAGAGTGTTTTGAGACAGCCAAACTTTTAGCAGAAAAATGCCCAGGAAAGCTTTACCAGGGACACCTTCTCTACTGTGACGATGCTCCTACTCATTCCTCTAATCAAACAAGGGCAATTTTTTAGATGAGAAATTATTAGATATTCACCTTACAGTCTTTCTTTGACTCCTTCTGACTTCTTTTGTTTTCTAATCTTAAAAATGTCTTTAAAGGGCACCCTTTTTTTCAGTTATTAATGTGAAGAAGATTGCATTGACACAGTTAAAGTCCTAGGACCCTCAGTTCCTTACGGATGGACTAAATGGCTGGCATCATTGCTAACAAATGTGTCAACTTGATGAAACTTATGTTGATAAATAAAGTTTATATTTTCTATTTTTATCTTTTACTTCCAGTTCCCTGTGAACTTTTTGAAGTCCTCTCATGTACATTTAATCTTCTCAAGTAGTAGGAAGGGAATGGCAAGCCTTGTAGAGAATCTTTTGTATCCAACATGGCACCCAAGCAAGTAGTTCCTTAGTAGTCTCAAGGCCCTCACATTTCACTGTGATGTACAGAAAACAGGCAAGGGTTCCCTAAAGCCTGAAGAAGGTGAGAAAGTCTTGAGAAAGAGTGGTAGACAAAAGATGGCCTGGCCTTTTTGTGAGGAAGATTCAAAGGATATGGATCTAGTAACCAAAAGCCAAGGCAGGACCATCAACATTGGCAATAGGTGCCAGTGCATGATTGTGAGAACCAGAGGAGGCAAATGACCTATCAGATGAGGCTAGCCAAGGCAAAGAGAAACATGCTAACAAAGGTCTCATTCTCCCTGTGACTCTAGGATACTATCTGGCCACCCTTCCCCAACACATATGCATATGCATATGCATGTGCATGTGTACATACACACATACGCACACACACACAGGCACACACACACACGCACTCTTAAATTATCCCTGACAAGCAGCAAAGGAGAAAGGTGAGGGAATCCTGAGTTTGACTGAAAATTGAAAACTGAAACCCAGAACGGCTGGGTTACATTACACTGGCAATTTTATACTTTTTACCACTTAGAAGAAATAGGAATTTGAGAGTATATCAGTTCATTCTTTCATTGCAATAAAGAACTACCTGAGACTGGGTAATTTATAAAGAAAAGAGGTTTAATTGGGTCACCGTTCCACAGGCTGTACAGGAAGCCTGGCAGGGGAGGCCTCGGGAAACTTGCAATCATGGCAGAAGGTGAAGAGGAAGGAGTCACGTCCTACATGACTGGAGTGGTAGGAGGAGGGTGAAGGGGAAAGTGCTGCATACTTTTAAACAACCAGATCTCATAAGAACTCACTATCACGAGAACAGCAGGGAGGAATTCTGCCCCAATGATCCAGTCACCTCCCACCAGACCCCTCCTCCAACATTGGGGATTACAATTCTAAATGAGATATGGGAAGGGATACAAATCCAAACCATATCAGAAAGCTATGTTAAGTTCCATTAAAATATCCTAGCTTTGAACATCTGAATTATTCCAATTGGTTTTTCATTCATGTCTTTGTTGCATAGATTTTATAGTTGAGTAGTTTTTTTCCAGTAGGACTTAATACTGTATTTCTAGAATTTGTCTTGAAGTTGCATATTTGAACAATATTTCCCTGTATATAATCAAGAAAAAATTCTTCCTTTATTTCAGAGACATATTCTTATATAACATTTTTTAAAAATACAGTTTTTCTATTTCATTTACTGAGATCTCTTTTTCACGGATACTAATTTTCACATATTAAATTACATTTGTCATTCCATTTCCATCAAATTTTCTTTAATAATATCTAAATGTTTTTCCATGTTGAGATTACTTGATATCTTTCTTGTATGTGATTAATTTTATTAATTTTATTTTTAAAGAATTATATTTTGTCCTTGCATTGTATAATTTATTTATAATTATAATGATTATGTTTCTCAATGTTTGTTTTTGTACCTTAGCTTTGAAATCTGTTTTAATTAATTCTTGTATTTAATCTGTCTATCTCTGAGTTCTTGATTTATTGAACTCATATTCTTATTAAATTATTTTACTACATGATAAACTGATATAGAATCTGTATTCATATTTTGGTTAATATTACCAGATTATTTGCTTTGCATGCTATATGCCTTTGTGCCCTCTTTTTCTTCTTTGCTATAAGGAGTGTGCAGTTGTCAAGCCAGTTCTTCTCATTTTGCTTATGCATAACACAGTCATGTGTATGTAGACCATCTACCTGTTCTGATATCATATTTAAAATTATCTGTTTATTATTATAGTAAATATTATATTTTATTTGTTTCTTGTCTGTCTTCTCCATGAGAAGGTAAGCTTCAAATTTGGGAATGTCTGTGATTCTGCTTCCCTTTATTCTAAGTAGTCAAGCAAAATAAGGAAACAGAATTTTACAGAGAGGAAGGAGTTATTTATAATGGCAAGGCATAGGAGAGAGCATGACTTGTTTAGGAGGCTGTATAAAGTTTAGCTGTGCAGAGAAGGACAGGAACTTATGCTTAAGGCCATGTGAAACCTGACATGTTCTAAGTATGAAGGTTTCATGAATAAGATTTTCCATAGAGAAGATTCCTCTCAATAAAATGTGTAGAGTAGACTGGAATAAAACAGACTACAAGCAGGAAGACCACTTAGGGGGCTTCTAAGATAATCCAGGTTGGAAATACTGAATGGAAAGTTTGCCTTCCATTGAAGGTTTTATATCCATGGAAATAAAAAGAGGAAGACAACTTGCAGAGACATTCAGGAGGTAGAATGAATTGTGCATGGTTACTTATTAGATATAGAAAGAGGGTAGAATCAAGGACAGCAGCCAGGTTTCTGGTTTGGCTGATTTAGTTGACGGTGATGCCATCATCAAGGCTGGGACTGCTGAAGGAGAGGAAAGGTGAAAGGAGCCAACCACTGCTGGTCACTCTGCAAGGCTCCTTATAAACACCATGTCACTTAGTCTTCACAACAGTCCTACTGGGCTATAATGTAAAGGCTATGCTATTAGATATGAGTGAGAACCAACAGCAGCAGGGAGAGAATATGTGAAGCATTGTAGCCTATAGACTTTCCGGTAGAGATGTTTAGTGGACAGTAGATGTCTGGAGTTCAGAAGGGATGTCTGGGTTGGGGATTGGGATAGAAAAGTGAAAGCCTATTGGGATTGGGGATTGGGATAGAAGAGTGAAAGCAGTGGCTAAAATTGGGAAGGAGTAAGATCATTCTGCAAAACATAACTTGTATCTTCTTTTTTCAGTATTTTTTTGCCTGGATTTTCTTTCTCACTCTTTCCATTTGCCAAAGTCTTCAGCCATTTTTAATGCATGGCCCCAAAATAATTCTTTTCACAAAATCTGATGTATTTCAATCCCAGGATTTTCTTCTGCCCATAGTCCTTTATAGCCTTTTAGAAACTATACCTCTCTTAGACCCTTGTCAGTCTGTATTTTTAATGGATGTTTATATGTTTCTTTACTTTGTAAGGTCCTGGTTCACAGCCATATGCACTTCACAATGCCTAATATTGAGTTCTGTCCATGAGCAAAATCAATAAATTATTCATTAAACAGCCTAAGTATGAGATAAAGAAAACCTTAACAATTTCCTTTTTTAGGTAATGCTAATGCTATTTTATTTGTATCCCCTATTCCAACACACAGGGTTCTGAGGAAGAGAAATGAAATAAATGAAAAGCTAAAAATAGCACAGTCACATCCAATATGGTCTGTAAATGACAGCCAGGCTCAGGGCACACTGGATAAGCTGCTAAGAGAGAGTACTGTTACCTTCATGTTTCTCTGACAGCTTGTTGGTGGTGCACCTATGTTCCACTTTTGTTTTCTTAGCAAATAAAACGCGTTTCTTTGTTTCAATCCTGACACAGTGTTTGGCTTCTTCCTCGGTTAAACCTAGGAGATGAAGTACAAACAGAAACCACTGAGAATGCACCATTGACAATTCAAAGAGGAACATGGTGCTCTGGTCACTTCGGATCTACAGATACTTTATATTAGCCCCTCTCTTCCCCAGTCCCCATAATCTTAAGTGACAGCTCAAGTTAGTTTTACCTATAGATTCAATCCTGCATGGGCCCAGAGATGATCCTGAACAGGAGTCCCGTGAGTGCCCATCATCTCCCCTTTCAGCACTGACCCTCAGAAGCACATATGAGCCATTTTGGCCCTTCCCATGGGGATGGTGATGTCCTGTCCTTGTTGCCTGCCACTTGTTGCCACTTAACACAATGGAGCTTTAAGCTCTCCCTTTCTATTGGCCGCTGCACTGTGTAGCCCTGCAAATCAAAAGATTATGACGTGCTCTGATCTGTTCTCTACTCCAAGACCTACTTTCCGGGCCACTGCTGATTCTGTGAGACCTGAGTCCACTTCAATTGCTTCCCTGTTTGTCACCTAAAATGCAAATCTTCTTGGCCATGCTTCTTCCGTGAACACTCATTCTCATACCTCTCTGGGCTTCTTCTCCTTAATTCACCTGCTCACTCAGCCCCTACCTCCAAATCCTTTTTATTGTAATCTCAGAAATTCTGACTTCCTGACCTATGAATTATTTTCAGACTCCTCCTTGGCTATTCTATCTCTTCATGTTAATTCAAGCCTGTACTTGATACTGTTTCCACTGTCATCTCCAGCAGAAGTTCAAAAGGCCACATTCTCACCCCATTCATGTATGGGAATTGGGAATGATATCTTCCTAGTTTCTCACTGCTGCTTTCATTGGATGACTCCCCATGGTCTTATAACCTGCGAAAACCTTGATGCTCTGAGGCTCAGCCATCCGGTTTTAATACCTTTAGTCCTCATTATTCTCCTTTATCAAACTCTCTAGCATCATTTGTTGAAGATTTGGGCATCTGAACCACTCCCACCACAGTCCTGTGATCATTCTCAATGGCCTCAGAATCTGTGTGTTAGTGGAAGAGTGCAGGGAAACAGATGTAGTATTTTTGTAGGCTGAGTTAGTACTATCTGGGGTAATTGAGGGAAATCAACATTTTCTTTTTCTTAACAGCTTCCCCAGGCACCTGACTCACTGCTGGAAACATCAAAACTAAAATCCAGCTCTTTTGATGTTTAGTTAAAATTTGCCTTGCAGAATACGAGCACATGAGAGGTAGAGCTGTTAATATAAGCTCTTAAGCACCTAAAAGCAAAGTAGGTTATCAAATACTAGTATTTGGGGTTGCAGGTCATAATAGCAGGGATGGGTGTTTTTAGAGCTTGAGGTTCTGATTAGGTGTGATATTGAAATGGAAATCTGAAGGCATAGATCGCTGAGAAATGAGGCTGGGTAGATGTGAACTGGGCCTGTCTACCTCATTTTTTGTGACAGTTTTGAAGAGATGCATTGTTATTTGGGAGTAAAAAATTCTTGGTTTGAAGCCCTCATGCTTAGTTTGCATATTCAACCCTAACAAAAAGATGGTTGTTTCAGTCTGGTTGAATAAATATAATTCATTTTTCTTCTAGTAGGATTGTTTTTATAAGTGGGTTAGTCAAATATTTAGGCCATACTACGAATGTAATGCATTTATAGTGCATGACTCCTTTTCTTAACCATTCTTTAGGCTCTTATTATTTATAAGTAATAATTAAATTGTATGTGTCCAGTTAATTAACTATAACATAATGAATTAACTATAAACTTAATTTCATTTTTGAGGGCTATAGATGAATCTTCAAAGATTTGAATGATGAATATTTTTTATGACATTGGTCATGCAGTGATTAAAATATCTGGACTTTATCAATGAATTTCTGTGCAATCCTTTTCTTCCCTGCAGTATGTCCAGCTTTTTGCTGCTGGACCTCTATCTGTATGAACTAACAAGCTACTTGATACTGCAGTACCTCATCTCTTAAACCTCAGTGTTCCTCTGCTGTGGAGCACAGGAATGAGTATTTCAGTAATGTCTTTAGCTACCCTGATGCGTAAAAGACAGGAGTGTTAGTTGAAAATTTCACATTAGTAAGTAGTGTGGTGAATAATTTTTAACCTCCAATTCAGTGTAGAAGATGACTTCCCAATAAAAGGAGTTTAAAATTATCCTCTTGCATATTAGGATATTTTTATTGTTTGATGTTTTCACTGTGTTTATGAAACTCTTTTCACCTTGCACACTGAAGCAATGCCAACTTTTATTCAAGGTTTTAACTTGACTATGGGACATTGAACAATAGAGAAATAAATCAATGCATGCAAATAAAAGGCAATTTAATTTTGTTTTCTTTTTCTTGAGGGAAAGAAAGTACTATGAAATATTCAAGTCATTTTTCAAAAATTAACAACAGGGGATATAATTCTTATTGAATAAGGCATAGCAAAAATTAAATCTATACTTTAGTTTCATGTTATGATGAGGTAAAGGGAGAGAGAATAGGAGGAGAGAAAAGGGAAGAGGCCAGAATACATATTTATCTAGAGAGTTGGGAAAGCCAGGTAAGCACATGAACTGGAGAATTTCATTTTCTTGAGAAGTCATTTCTGTCTGGGTGTGCTTCATTTTAACAACAATTAAAATTTTACAGATAAATTATTCCATATAAACTTATTGAATACAAGAATATCGAATACATCTTACTGAGAGCTTGTTTGGAGGTTCTAGCAGGGGAGTGCAGCTACTCATATACCCTTGACCTAAGACCAGTCCTCCTCTGTTGGAGGTGGTCATCCTCTTTGACTGAGCATGCAGCTTTGGAGGGACACACATAAAGTGGTGAGGGAGGAAGGGGACACCCATCCAGCCAGCCAGATCAGCCAAATCAACCCTGGCGATCAAAGAAGTGACAGATGTCACAGCTAGATCATCCTCACATCCAGAATACATCTTACTGAATATATATACACACATATATATGCATATATGGACACACTGTCAATACATGCATACAGTGTATGTGTGTGTATGTATGTACTGTGTGCATGCATGTATATATGGATATGCATGGGTATTTATTTGGAATTTCCTATCACATCCCAAACTCCTTTTCTTTCCTTCATTATATGTAACTGTCAGTCTCTACCTCTACAGAGAAAGAGATGGAATGTGAGAAGGTTTCCGTAGGAAAGTATAGCTCATCACTCTTCATTTTGGTGATGGGGCTTTAACTAATAGTTGATTAAAGATTCACCCAGTTCTCAACTGACCTGATCCCTAAGCATTTAGGGGCTCTGCTCTGAATGCATGAGGATTATACTCATCAAGTGGGAAATTATTTTCTGGGCTATAGCAGAAGTGACCAGAATAATTTCTTCTGAGGGTGAGACAAAACCAAGTCAAGAGCAGAGATTTCCCCTAATTACTTCTGCTCAGCATTAGTGTTGATACTATTTGCAGTAGCAGAAGACATCAAATTCACATGCAAGAGTTACTCCAGTGGAAAGGATAACTGAAAGGAAACATAAAGCATGCAGGCAGTGTGGAAAGCCTACAATAACGCAAATCTTTTGCATTTAGTTTCAGGTTTCATCACCAGTAAGTGCTCATCTGGCCCACTCTAGCTTAGTCGCTTGTCAAGTTTTTAACTTTTCTTTCATCATATGTTTCATCTTGGCTTGTAGTTAAAATTATTACAGGAAAAAATTGCTATTTAATTCGTTATAAGGTATTGCTTTATGAAATTATATCCTATAAAAATGTTATTCATAAATTATCTTTTAGAATTTAGTGCCAGTACAAAGTTGGTTTCCCTTGAGATATTGGCATGCATCTTCCTCTTTGGGTAACCACTACTGTGTAAGCTTATGATGTTCCCAGATGTTAGGAAATTTAGAGACAAATATGATGCCTAAAATCACAGTGGTTAAGCATACTTATTTTTCTTTATTTTTTGGTCTTAGTTTTCTATTTTTGTTTTATTTATTTGAATGTGTATTTTTTATCATTCTTCATATCATTTTGGAAATAAAGCAGGATCTAAATAAAGTCAAAGCAGAATAATTAAAATGATAGAGTAAGAGAAAAATGTATTGCATGCTATCATACCAGTTAAAAAGAGTGAGGACTGAAGAAAGTTACCTGAGTTCTTTAGTTCCTCACTGCTAAACTGATAGAGAAGGTCATACACGCCTCCCAGGGAGCCAGAGGTGAAGTAATGAGTCCCAAAGTCATCGAATATTCGGCTGTACAAAGCAGAGTTGTATTCTAGAGGCAGATGGTTAAGTGCTTTCAAAAAGACATCAGAAAGGTGCAGATCTTTAGCTTTCGTTGTGAAGTTTAAGACTTTCATCACTTTATGGATCCTAATAAAACTAGAATCCTAAATGGAAGAAAGAAGTAAAAAGATGATTAAAGGTAATGAAAGTTTGAAGTACCTAGCATTTAAATGTCATTGATTTATCATTAGTTTCATTCCCACCACAGAATTACAATAATTCTCACTCTCTATTGCATGTTCTCACGTACAAAATTATAATTTTCATTTTGCTTTCCAATACCAATGTCCAATGTGCAAAACAGGTAAGATTATCTCAATAATGTAAACTGTGTAATGGGGGCACGTGTTCTCTAAGAAAGAAGAAATCAGTGATCAAAAAAGTCATCTTTCTCTCCTGATTGCCAATCATGGCTGCATTTCTACTGAGTTTTTATTTAGAATATTTGCTAATGTGAATAATTGAAAAAGAATTGTGTGCATTTTGAACTGGAAGTTATGCAACTGAGATGGAGGTTATGCAAGTGAGATTCAAGTTACAGCTTTGTCATTCTGGAAAAAGCGTTTCGATTCTCTAGACTTCAGTTGTCAAATGATAAGATGAGGGCTTGCACCTGGTAACACTTCACATCTCCTTTCAACTCCAAAATGCTGATTCTAAATTACTTAGTGGGTGAAATTAAGTAAAATTATTTATATTCTCTCTCCTCCACCCATATGCAGAAATATATGAGTTTTTTTGTTTACAAACTTATTTATTTATCATTTCTTTTTATGTCAGGTTAATTGAGAATTAGCTGGTCAATATTATGCTTAAAATCTCATTTCCTCAGATTATCTTTCTACATAGCCACTGAGGTTTATAAGTGTATTTATGTACATTGTTTTAAAAAAAATTTATATACTTTATCTGATCTCTCAATTTTAACAAATTGTAGTAATAGTAACAGAGTAAGGACCATGTTTTAGCAAAATAACTGTATTATAACTGTTAATTATTAACCGTATTCCTCTTTGCTATAAGTATGGCAAAAGATGACTGCTGACACAAAAGAAAAAAAATAATCCCAAGGATTGAAAAAGAATCAGCATTAATCTCCCTTCTGTCTTTCCTTTTCCCTGTCCCTCTCTTCCTTTATTCTACCTTCTGGCCTTCTATACATTCATTGCCTACCTATCTGAGATGCTGTAGATACAGAAGTGAAGAAGGCAGACAAAGTTCGTGCCTTTGTGGAACTTCCATTTTAGTAAGTGCTCATTAATTCTATTTTTAAGTTTAATACTTGAATTTTGTCAGAGAACCATAGTTTTCAAAAGTTGGAGAGCCCTTGTGCTTTTAATAAGAAGCACACTCACTCCCTGAGTATCTGAACTGCCCTTTCTGGAAGGTTCAATATTTCCAGGTTTCTTTAAGGTCTCAGTCGTGGAAAATACAAGTTAAACTTTGGTAGCTCAACTTAGCACAATAACCTCCATGGTGTTCTACTTGCTGGTTCATGATACCTGAAACTGGCTATTTTAGATTAAAAAAATACATTACTATAGGTTATTAAACCACATATAATCTATTTCAACAATGTGTGAGGTCCTGCTTTATTTTAATAATATTATTGTGGTTTCCATTTTGTAAAGTATATCAAGAAAATACTGAACCTGACTGAGTTATCTGGTATTTTGCTTGGAAACAGACTGTTTGTCCAACAAATGTCTAGTTTGATCTGTGAATGACGAAACAACTAAAGCTTTATGCTCTACTGAAAGACTTGGATTGATTTTCAATTTTGTGGTATCTTGTTTTCTCTACTTGAAGACTAAGAGAGGCTTCAGTAGTATTTTCTTTTTTCTTTTTCTTTTTCTTTTTTTTTTTTTTTTTTTTGTGAGATGGAGACAGAGCTAGCTCTGTCACCCAGGCTGGAGTGCAGTGGTGCCATCTTGGCTCATTGCAACCTTTGCCTCCTGGGTTCAAGTGATTCTCCTGCCTCAGCCTCCCGAGTAGCTGGGACCACAAGCCCCCGCCACCACGTCTGGCAAATTTTTGTATTTTTAGTAGATACAGGGTTTCACCATGTTGGTCAGGCTGGCCTCAAACTCCTGACCTCAGGTGATCTGCCTACCTCAGTCCTCCAAAGTTCTGGGATTATAGGCATGAGCCACCGCGCCCAGCCTCATTTCCTTAGACTGAAATTCCTTAATTCTGTTCAGAACTAATCAAAGATGACAGTAATGATGTTGGATTGAACTATATGAAGCTAACAATTTTTTGTTGTTGTTGTTGCTCTGTCACCCAGGCTGGAGTACAGTGGTGCGATCTCCGCTCACTGCAACCTCCGCCTCCCGGGTTCAAGTGATTCTCCTGTCTCAGCCTCCTGAGTAGCTGGGATCACAGGCGCACACTGCCACGCCCGGCTAATTTTTTGTATTTTAGTAGAGATGAAGTTTCACTGTGTTTCCCAGGCTGGTCTTGAACTCCTGAGCTCAGGCAATCTGCCCACCTTGGCCTTCCAAAGTGCTAGGATTACAGGCATGAGCCACCGTCCCTGGTGAGGCTAACAATTTTGTAAATCAAAAATGGTTGAATAACAGTAGTTTAATATGTTCCAACCTGATATTGTGAATAGCTCTAAATTTTTTAACTTTGGGACAGACTATTAGGAGATCAAACAATAGCTGTTTATCTACATATAAGGGTTTTACAAACGTTCTCTAGCATGTTTGAAATACATATAAATCACATACGTGAAGCAAGACATAGGACTGTACCTATGTCTCATACAAACATGTCTATCTATCTCCCTTCATCATTGACTATGTTTATAAGCAGTTATTTCCAATCCTGCATGCTATATTATACTGAGCTAGGGAGCTAAAAATAAAAAAGGCCATATTCCCATGCCCAATCCCAGGTATTCTGAATTAGTAGATTAAGGGAAAGTGCTAGAGATGTGTATTTTTACTTACAAGAAATTCTGATACTATCTTGTCTTACAAAGATAATTTGTTAAGTTTGGAGGGCTCTATAGGACCCACAGCCCATTCTAAACTAAGTTATATATATATAAAATATATGTTATATTATATATATAAATTATATATAGTTATATATAATTTATACATAAAATGAATCTATTTCATTGTCATTTTTACATGTCTGTGTCACCAGAACTGTGTTCTTTCTGTATTTTGCTAAAATTATGAATAAATAAATGAATGAATAAAGAGTCAAATATCTTGAAGTGTAATACAATGAATAAGAAAAGTAAGCAAAAATAAGACAAACAGATTTCAGTTCCCAACTCTAGCATTTATTTACTGTAAGATCACTGGAAGTCACTTAGCTTCTTGGACTTTAGTTAGTGCCTGACTCATGGTAGGTATTTGATAAATGTTCGTTGAATTAAAAATGCGTATATGAATTTCAATCTATTCATCTGCAAAATGATGTTTAAATATTGACTCTGATAATCTCTTAGAATTGTTTTGAGGATAAATGAAATACTTGGGAAAACTATCCACACAGTGCTTTAGGTCTTATATTTGTATAAGTGCATAAATGGTTGACTAAATAAAAGTAGAAGAGCAATACGATAAAAGTAGGAGCAACCGTAATATGGTGGCCTCCAGTTGCTGATCTCATTAACTCTGACATTGGTACCTCTATTTCCTCCCTCTCTAGTTCCATGATTCAGGGCTCATTCTCCTCATTCATCTCTTGGGAAAGAGCAAATGCTACTTAGAGTGGTGGTTGTAGTGAGCAATAGACAGTATTTTAAAATATCTTTGTAAATGTCTAAAAATTTCAGATAGAAATGTGTCTTCTAAATCATTTAAACACTGTGAGACATATCTAAGAGATTTAAAATGAAAATAATAGGAGAAAAAGGAACACATGAAGCTGTAGCTTTGTATATTAAAAGGGTTCTCTAAGTCCCTGGCAAGATTAACAGGAAAAGTCCAATACTTAGACATACCCTAAGTTCCAAGTGCAAAAAAGAATTGTAACTTTTCAAGCAGGGAAAAGAAAATGAAAAAATTTGCTCTGAATATGATTGTTCTTATACAGCAATGGAAATTAGAAGACAATTGAATAACATCTACTATCAAGAGAAGAAGATTATGATACAGTCAGGATATTCTTTATATTTATTGCTCAGGGAAAAGGCAGGCAATGTTAGATACAAAAGATTTAGAGAATATACCTTGCATGTGTCCTATATGAGGAATTAAAAAAAAAAAAAGGCAACTGAATGAGAACAGGGATCTCAAGAAAAGGAATATAAGAGGAAAAAAATGGAGATAGGTAAATGTGCGTGTGTTTACATAAATGTAGCAAAATACACATTTTGTTATATTTTATATATGTATTTGTATATGTGTACAAATATATACATCTATACAAATATGTATATAACATATAACAAAAATATAAAATACAGATTGTCATATTACATGAAAGGTCAAAGTTCTGTTGTATGGAGTTTATAAGAAGCACACCTACAACAATATGAAAAAAAAGTGAAGATAAAAAACATAACAATAACAGTCAAATGCATGCAAAATGGAACCATTAATATACATAATATTTCTATAACTTTTGAAGTGAGATATAACAAAAAATGGAAAAATTACTTAAATCTGTATTAGAAGTCATACTGGTACAATATCAAAACTCTCCCCTTCTTATTGCATGATTACTGGAATTACTGTTAATTTTCAAGAAAGAATAAAAGGTTGGAAACCATTTTTGATACCTTTTTGTGAGAGGCTTGAATGGCTTGTTTGAAGGCAGAATTATGGTTGATATTTTCACTTCTCTTTGAGGAATAAAAAATTGGTACACTGAAAGAGCTCCCCCCCTGACTTGAGAATGAGCCTTGTTGATTTTCATTGTGTCCAAGAGAAGTTAAATCCTTGTAGAAATCTGTTTTCAAGTCATCTTCTGCAGTTTGTACCTGGAGAAAAATCCATGTAAAATAAAATATAATTTAGGAAATACTGGAGCGACTTGTGGATATCTAATGAAATGATGATTTATTTATTTATGCACTCAGCCAGTATTTATTGAGGACACATTTTGCTAGAGAACAAAGAATAGTGTTATTTCCTGCACTGAGGGGTTAATAGTTTAGTTAGAGAGAAAGATAATCACCAACACTTAATGAGGTAAGTACTGTGTGACCAGTGGAATCCCACAGGAAATATAAGACCCTGAGAGGCAATATCAGGAAACCCTCCCTCAAGGAAATGCCACCTAAGCTGAGACTTAACAGGGTGATAAACAATGAAGGTTATTTTTAGCATGTCTGTGATTTTGATGCAGTGTGCAGTCTAACTAAGATACTTTTCAGTTCTGACAACTGGGCTTGTTCTTTATAACCAAGTCCCACCTTGTTTTATACTTTTTCAAGAGACGAGTCTGACTTCGGGATCACAGTTTCTGAGGTTGGGTTCCCATTGCCTGCTACCAAAGCTCCCAGTGCTGATCAACTCTTGATTGACCTTTGTGTTAGTCATTACGCTGTTTACAACTACTCTAGTCTCTTTCTGGGCACATAAAAAGCATGCATTTCCCTACTCTTTTTGGCCAATAAAATGTAAATATAAATGGTATCTGTCACTTTAAGAGTTGATGGGCAATATGTCACTTCCCCCCGCCCCTTTTTTTTTTTTTGCAATTCATCATCACACCAGTCAGGATGTGTCAAAGCAGGATCCCTTAAGTCCCTTGCTTTCTAAGTGACTATTATCAGTAGAACGTACAGTATGAGTGGCACTGTTTTAAGACACTGACATCTTAGTATTGATATTGCAGTGTAACCTAACTTGTCTTGATTAAAATGCTGAGTCTGGTGTCTGTATTCCATCATCTGTCCTGTAGTTATTCTAAGGTCTTCTAACTCCCTGCCCAGTTGCCTTCTCTTCCTTTCATGAGTCTCTTTAATCTTTGTATACCAGCCAGCCAATTATTTCATCTATCTTCATAAGCTACAATACTACAAAAGAAGGGAAGTGAGATGCCTGCTGAATTTCTCCTCCTCTATTGTTTTCAATAAGGTATAGCTTAGGTTTGCATAGCTGCCTGCTAAAAGCATGCCTAAAGAATGAAGTTATACAGAGATCAGTTAAAAGAAAACCAATAGCTTGTGACCTTGACTCTAGTCATTCCCAAATTTTTGTTTGAAGAAATACCACTATGACCTTCTTCAGCCATATCACTATGACTTCAGCCATACCACTATGGCAGAGTTAAAGATTAGCTCAGGTAGCTTCATAAGGTTGGACAAGTCTTAGAGCTACATTGATAAGGAAATGAGTTTAATCTGCTGTAAAAGAATTTTCAGGCTGTATTTCCTCATGTAACTTGTTATCCAGGCTTGTGTTATCAAGCTTTGTGGGTTAACCCAGTGATCTGTTAGTAAATGTTTAACAACTAGCTCTCTGGGAAGGGGAAGAAAGCCCTGATTTGCTATAGCATTTTTCTTTTCCATTGTGCATATATTCCTACCATGGCTGATTTCAAGCTACCTATGTGATGCCCTGAATTCATATTGGGAAGAGATGCACAGTGGCAAATTACAAAGTATTTTCATAATACAGATCCAATAGATGTAAATAACCCCAATAGCATGGATAATGGTAAAATGTAGCCAAATAATTGAAAAGTGATCAATTTTGAGCAATTATAACCTTTGTTTTTAATGTGTTTACCTGTGAGATAATATATTTGATATTTAATAATGGCTGTGTTTTGACCAACAAATATATGAAAAAATGCTCATCATCAATAATCATCAGAGAAATGCAAATCAAAGCCACAGTGAGATGCCATCTCACACAAGTCAGGATGACTAGTATTAAAAAGTCAAAAAAACAACAGATGTTGGCAAGGCTGTGGAGAAAAGGAATGCTAATACACTGTTGGTGAGAATGTAAATTAGTTCAGCCACTGTGGAAAGCAGTTTGGATATTTCTCAAAGAACTTAAAACAGAACCACCATTTGACCCAGCAATCTCATTCCTGGGTACATATCCAAAAGAAAACAAATTGTTCTACCAAAAAGACACATGCACTTGCATGTTTATCGCAGTACTATTCACAATAGCAAAGGCATAGAATTAACCTAGGTGCCAATCAGCAGTGGATTGGATAAAGATAATGTGGTACATATGTGCCATGGAATACTAGCAGCCATAAAAAGAATGAAATCATGTCCTTTGCAGCAACATGGATACAGCTGGAGACCATTATCCTAAGCAAATTAACACAGGAACAGAAAAACAAATACTACATGTTTTCACTTATAAGTGAGAGCTAAACATCGGGCACTCATGGACATAAAGATGGCAACAACAGACACTGGGGTCTACTAGGGGGGGAAGGGAGGGAGGGGCAAGAGTCGAAAAACTGTTGGGTACTCTGCTCAGTACCTGGGTAAAGGGATCATTTGTACCCCCAACCTCAGCATCACACAATAAAGCCAGGTGACAAACTCGCATATGTATTCCCTGAATCTAAAATGAAAGTTGAAAAAGAAAAAAAAAAATCTATGTTTCACAATTGGATTCCAAAATTCCTGAAAAGTTAACAGTTGACTCTTGTGAACTCAAAGAGCTGGGTCCAGCACATCATTGTCTAACTTCAAGGGGGATACATTTTAACTGATAGTTTATGAAGGTGCTCAGACTTTTAACCCACTGTGTGGAGTTTTAATGTCTTTCTTGATATACTACAAATGTCTCATCTAACATAGGCCGCCTCCGACTATAAGAGCCAGAAGCCAGGAATCCTTATTTTTCTGTGCCATTTATTTGCTGTATAACTCTGAGAGAGTTGTTTAACTCCAATAAGCCTAAATTTTCTTTTCTTTTCTTTTCTTTTTTTTTGAGAGAGTCTCACTCTGTCGCCCAGGCTGGAGTGCAGTGGCGTGATCTCGGCTCACTGCAGCCTCTACCTCCTGGGTTCAAGCAATTCTCATGCCTCAGACTCCTGAGTAGCTGGAACTACAGGTGTGCACCACTACGCCCAGCTAAGTTTTGTATTTTTAGTAGAGACAGGGTTTCATCATGTTGCCCAGACTGGTCTTGAACTCCTGACACCCAAGTGATCTGCACCCCCTTGGCCTCTCAAAGTGCTGGGATTACAGATGTGAGCCACCACACCCGGCTAAGCCTAAATTTTCTGTTAGTAATGTGGATGTAAACAATTTTCTACCTTTCTGGGGAGGTTGTTATGGGAATCAAGTAAAGCAATATATGAAAGTACTTTGAAGACTCTAAGGTATCATATGAGTATGAAGTGTTATCTAAGCCTCAATTTGCTCCAGCCTCATATACTTCCTTTATTTTGTTACTTGTAAAACTACATGAAATAGATGTTTGCTGAAAATACAGGCAATATCCTTTTGTGAAATGACCATATTTTGAAAGTAAACTTGTGGATTGGTTGTTTTGGAACTGGAAAGCAACTTCCATCAGAACAATATTACATATAAATGTTTAGGTTTTAGCTCTGTCTACAAAGCCTGTTCAAATACAATATATCTTAAGAGCAGTATTATCAGTCTTCCCAGAGGTATTCAAATTTGACGGTTAGTTCCCAAAGACATTCCCCACCTATCAGTATATATTAGATGGTTTTAAATTGAGTGAATTGAATTGGAAAATGCCTGTATTTATATGTATATAAAGGTCTTTTTAAAGGAAGGATTAAATGAGTTTTTGCTGAACTCATATTACCCATAAAGTGGTTCTCAGAAATAATTACAACTCTGAAATTCTCTCTAGCTTGTCAAATTTCTATGCATGAACGTCACCATTAAAACGTGTATTTTCTGTTCTTATCACAATTTAAAAGAAGCAGATTACTCACTTTAGTGCAACGAGTATGGAGCACTTACGTGTAAAGCATGAGTTAGATTCTGAGAGTAGGTAGTATGCTGCTCATTATAATTTACTAAAAGAAACAAATAAACCAAACCAACTAATAAAATAGGAAGAAAAGTAAGCAGAACTATCTCATTAGACTGACTCATCATGATTTTTCTTATGAGCCTGGCACTTTAAAAAAAAAGTCTATTTTTTGTGGTTATCTAAGAGCACTACCTAGGTTAGGAGAAAATTCTGAAGAAATCAAACTGTTTATCTGTGTGGAGCTATTTTAGAGCTGAATATTCAATGGAGAAAGCATGGACTCGAATCAGGAAAACCTGGCCCTGAATCTTGAATTCACTTCTTGCTAGCTGTTTGACTTCTGGAAAATTAGTTACCTTAGTTTTTTCATCTGTAAATTGATAACACTGGCCTCATTGTGTGTGCATGGATAAAATACAAACACATAACACGTGATTAAAATGGTTCACCACCTTTTTATTCTGTCCCTTCATTCATCACTAATTTTGCATGAGAAATTTAGCTTATAATCACTGACGGTGTTGGAGTTGCCACCATGCTAGGCTGTCATACCTCAAAGCCGACATTTTCCAGATTGGCCGGAACACGGTATGGATTACTTGTCCTACTGCTTTTGACAGTTTTACATATTCCTCCAGTGAAAGAGTTATCAAGGACTTCTCCTCTGGGCTCTCCTGCCAGAAAATGAAACCTAGAAACAAAGTAATTTTCAGGAATTCAACAGATGTAGAACAATCTTTAAAATTTACCTTAGTTATATGAAAGGAATTCCTCTTCTAAACCTTTTTGCCTCAAGACAAATGACTTGAAGGAATCCCCCACACCTCCGCTTTTTTTTCCTAGTCCATGGTGAGGCATGCAAGGAAGCTGGAAAGCCCAAACTCAGCTTCTCTGGCTCTATTAGGTTCTCCTATTCCACTTACTTAATTGTTCTTGGCTTTCAACATACAACAAAATCTGGATTTATAATTTTTTATGACTTACAAAGCCAGTGCAAAGTTTGGAAGCAGATTATGAAATAAGTTATTATATAATAAATGCTATCCCAGGTCTACTTCTTTCTGAGTGGAATTCTAATAGAGAGCTCATAATAAAATAGTAACAGCAATATTTTAATGGAATTGTAATAATATTATAGTTTTACTAATAACTGACTATAATATTTAAAATATATTTTATTTAACAAATGCTTATATACTATTTACTATAAGCCAAGCAATAGTAAGTGCTTTACAAATATTAACTTGGTTAAGTACTTTACTAATAATAACTTATATTTATTACAACCATATGATGTAGATATAATTATTATACCTGTTTTACAAATGAGGACATTGAGGCACATAGAGATTAATTAGCTTAGCATAAATCAACTATTTAAGAGGTTATTTTGTTATAGATAAAAAAACTTCTCCAAGATGCTAATGCTTTTCCAAATTCTAAGAGATATTAATATGTATTCTGTGAAAAAAGTAGTTTTTTTGTCAAACAGTTTGGTAATGCTGTATTACATAGATTATAAAAATCGTTTTCTACAGGTCATGTCACAGCCTTAAAAATATAAATTGTCAGTCTCCAAGTACATTTGACCAAATAACCTTGTCTTTCATAGAACATGTAGTGTAGTTCTACAGAATATCACTGGAAAATTCCATGTAGCAGAAGGAATAGCACCAATGCCCTTCCCTTCTCATGACCCTTCAGTACACCCATCCCTTCTGATAGTTGTGGGGGCTCAAGGGAACTCTAAACATCCTCAAGAATGTCATTGACCACTTACATGTCTGTTTCCCTTGTACTTCTATGGCATTAACTCACAAGACAAAATGTACCTGAAAGGCACCACCTTTACCAGAGCTGAAATATTAAGTTTTGTAACTATCACAAAGATCTGAAAAAAAGACAAATAGACTCATTCATTTGTGAGGGAATCAAGAAGCAGTTCACTATGGGAGGCTTTTGCGATCTATTAGACATTTGGATTTAAAGCAGAAAATTCGACCAATTACTCAGGCGCTTCTAACCAAGGGGCACAATATTTTTCTATCAAAGAGGAGCAAGGATAGTTTGAAAGTTGTAAAGTGATGTTAGAATACTGAAAAGAAAGTAAGGCTAATATAAATACTTGTAAATTCTCTACCAATAAAATTGTGTTAATGTAAAAGTACACAGACACACACATACACACACACACACACACACACACACAGCTTTTAAGTTTCTGAAATGGTTTCTTCACTTGAAAATGGAGCTAATTGCTTTTTTATAGTAGTTGTGGAAATTAATAGTGACTAGCACAGGCCTGGCCTGCCCTATGAAAGGAAACAATACATACTATCTCTCCCATTTTTTCCACCAGGGAAAGTATATTTTAATTTTATTAAAAGGTTGCATACTAAGTTCAAAAGTAATTGCTTGCAGAAACAAAATCAACAAACAAAAATCAAATGTATTTCCCTACAAATAGCAATGAACAATCCAAAAATAAAATTACAGAAACAATTCCATTTATAATAGCCTCTCAAAGAATAAAATCCTCAGGTATTTATTTAACAAAAGAAGTCTAAGACTCATATACTGAAAAGTATAAACAATGTTGAAAGATATTAAGTGAAATCTCAATGAATAGAAAGACATTCCATATTAGTGGATTGGCAGAATTTGTGTTGTTGAGATAGCAGTACTTCCCAAATTGATTTATAGATTCAAGACAATCATTATCAAAATCTCAGCTGCCTTTTTTTGGTAAAAATTCACAAGACAATTCTAAAATTCAAAAGACCCAGAACAGCCAAGAGAATCGTGAGAAAGAAGGACAAAGTTCAAGGAATTACCTTCCTGATACACAATTTACTTCAAAATTAGGGTCATCAAGACAGTGTAGTAGTACTGGCATGAGGATAGACAGACATATAGATCAATGGAACAGAAATGCATCTAGAAATAAACCCATACATCTATGGTCAATTGATTTTCAACAAGGGTGCCAAGACAGTTCAATGGGGAAAATAGTCCTAAATGAATGGTGCTGTAATGACCTAATGGTTATATTGCAAATGAATGAAATTGGGCCCCTTTCTCACATAATGCAAAAAAATTAATCAAAATAGATAATAGAACCTAAATTTAAGAGCTGAAACTATAGAACTTTTAGAAGACAATATAGGACTAAATATTTGTGAACTCCAGTAAGACAAAGCCTTCTTAGATATGACATTAAAAGCACATTCAACAAAAGAAGAAATAAATATATTGAACTCCACCAGAATTAAAAACTTTAGTGCTTTAAAGGACACCAACAAAAAAGTGAAAATACAACTCATATAATGGGAGAAAATATTTCCAAGTCACATATCTAATGAGGAACTTACACCCAGAATATACAAAAAATGCTTGGAACTAAATAAAAAAACCAAATTACTCAATTAAACCATGAGCAAATAATTTGAGTATCTAAATATATAGTTCTTTGAAAAAATATGAAAATGACTAATAAGCATGTGAAAAAATGCTCAAAGTTATTAGTCATTAGGAAATACAAATCAAACCTGCGATGAGATACCAGTTCATAGCCATTAGAATAGCTTTAACCAAAAGATGAACAGAAACAGTTTTGATGAAGGTGTGGAGAAGTTGATTTTCAATCATATGTAACTGGGGGAAATGAAAAATGGTGCAGCTGTTTTGGAAAATAGTTGGGAGTTCTTCAAAAATTAAATGTATAATTACCATAAGACCCTGCAATTCCATTCCTAAGTATATATGAAAGAGAATTGAAAATATATATCAATGCAAAAACTTGTACATGAATGTTCATAGCAGCATTACTCATACTAGTCAAAGTAGGAACAAACCAAATGTTCATTAGCTGATGAATGAATCAACACAATGTGATAGAATGATACAATGGGTTGTTATTCTCTCATACAATGGAATGAAGTATTAACATATGCTTTATATGGGTGATTTTTAATATTACATTTTTAAAAATTGTCACATAATTGTACATATTTATGGGGTACGTAGTGATGTTTAGATACATACAATGTATAGTAATAAAATCAGGGTAATTAGCATATTCATCACCTCAAACATGTTGGGAATATTCAAAATTTTCTCTTCTCGGTATTTGAAAATATGTACTAAATTATTGTTAACTATAGTCACCTGCAATGCTATAGAACACTAGAACTTATTCCTCTTATCTAGCTGTAATTTTGTAACCTTTAACCAATCTCTTCCTATCCTCCCCTTCCCCTACTCTTTCCAGTCTCTTGTAACCCTTATTCTAATCTACTTGTATGAGATCAACTTTTTAAGCTTCTGCATGTGAGTGAGAACATGTAGTATTTATGTTTTTGTTTCTGGCTTATTTCACTTAATATCCTCCAGGATCATCCATGTTTCTCCAGTGACAAGGTTTCATTCTATTTTATGGCTGAATAGTACTCCATTTTGTATATGTAACATGTTTTCTTTATCCATTCATCTGTTGATGGACACTTAGACTGATTCCATATGTTGGTTATTGTGAACAGTGCTGCAAATAAACTTAGGGATGCAGATATCTGTTCAGTATACCGATTTCCTTTGCTTTGGATGTATGCTCAGTAGTGGGATTGCTGGATCATATGGCAGTGCTGTTTGTAGTTTTTTTGAGGAATCTCCATACTGGTCTCCATAAGAGCTACATTAGTTTACATTCTCACCAACAGTGTATGAGCTTCCTTTTCTCCACATCCTTTCCAGCATTTGCTATTTTTTTGTCTTTTTGATAATAGTCATTTCAACTGTAGTGAGATGATACCTCATTGTAGTTTGATTTTCATTTTCCCGATGATTAGTGATGTTGAACATTTTAAAATATATTTGTTGGGCTCCTTTTGGTAAATGTCTTATTAAGTTCACTGGTGAACTTAATCCGTTAAATTGGATTATTTATTTATTTTTGAGGTGAGTTGAGTTCCTTATATATCCTGGATATTAACTCCCTGTCAGATGAATAGCTGGCACATACTTTTTTCCACTGTGTATGTTTATGTTGTCTTTTCACTCTGTTACTGTTTTCTGCACTGTACAAAAAGCTTTTTAGTTTGATATAATCCCATTTGCTTTTGTTGCTTCTGCTTTTGAAGTCTTTTTCATAAAATGTTTTCTCACATCAATGTTCTAAGGGTTTTCCCCTACATTTTTCTCTAATAGTTTAATAGTTCTGGAATTTTACATGTAAGTCTTTAAGCTATTTGGAGTTGATTTTTGTATAGCATGAGTGGTGGGGGTCCAGTTTCATTCTTCTGCATATGGATATCCAGTTTTTCCAGCACCATTAATTAAAGAGACTCTTGTTTCCCCAGTGCATGATCTTGGCACCTTTGTCAAAAATCAGTTGGTTGTAAATACATGGTTTTATTTCTGGGTTCTGTATTCGGTTCCATTGGTCTATGCATCTATTTTTATGCCAATAGTGTGCTGCTTGGGTTACCATAGCTTTGTAACATGTAACACATGTAACATGTATATTTTGAAATGTAGTAGTGTGATGCCTTTGGCTTTTTTTTTTTTTTTTTTTTGCAGAGTCTCTGTGTGTTGCCCAGGCTGGAGTGCAGTGGCACGACCTCTGCTCACTGCAACCTCCACCTCCCGGGTTCAAGCGATTCTCTTGCCTCAGCCTCCCAAGTAGCTGGGACTACAGATGCCCACCACCACGCCTGGCTAATTTTTGTATTTTTAGTAGAGATGGGGTTTCACTATGTTGGCCAGACTTGTCTTGAACTCCTGAACTCATGATCCACCCGCCTCGGCCTCCCAAAGTGCTGGCACAGGCATGAGCCAGCACTCCAGGCCTGTTCTTTTTGCTCAAGATTGCTTTGGCTATTAAGGTTTTTTGTGGTTCCATATGAATTTTAGAGCTTTGTTTCTATTGCTGTAAAGCAAGTCATTCGTGTTTTAATAGGGATTACCTTGAATTTGTAGATTGCTTCGGGCAGTTGAGTCACTTTAACAATAGTAATATTCCAATCCATAAAAACAGGATGCCTTCCCATTTCTTTTGTGTCCTCTTCAAGTTCTTTCATCAGTGTTTTATAGTTTTCCTTGCAGAGATCTTTCATCTCCTTGGTTAAATTTATTCCTAGGTATTTTTTTGTAGCTCTTATAGTTAGCTCTCTTGATTTCTTTTCCCTCTAGCTCGTGATAATATATAGAAATGCTACAGATTTTTGTATATTGATTGTGTATCCTGCAACTTTACTGAATTCATTTATCATTTCTAGGGCCTTTTTTTTTTTGGTGGAGTCTTTAGTGTTCTCGCTATAAAAGATAATGTCATCTACAAACAGTGACAATTTGACTTACTCCTTTCCAGTTTGGATCCATTTATTTCTTTTCCTTGCCTAATTGCTCCAGCAAGGACTTACAGGACTATGCTGAATAACAGTGGTAAGAGCAGGTATCCTTGTCTTATTCCAGTCCTTGGAGGAAAAGTTTTCAACTTTTCTCTACCCAGTATGATGCTAGCTGTGGGTTTGCCATATACAGCCTTTATTGTGTTAAGTTTCTTCTATTTCTAATTTTTGAGAGTTTTTATCATGAAAGGATGTTGAATTTTATCAAATACTTTTTCCACAACTATTGAGGTGATCATATGTTTTGTTCTCTCTGTTGATGTGATGACATTATTGATTTGCATATTTTGAACCATCCTTGCATCTCTGGATTAAATACTACTTAATTATAGTAGATATCTGGGATGTACTCTGGGGTTCTGTTTGCTAGTATTTTGCTGAGGATTTTTGCATCAGGGATATTGACCTGTAGTAGATTTGTTGTTGTTGTTGTTGCATCTTTATCTGGTTTTGGTATCAGTGTTATACTAGTCTTGTAGAATGAGTTTGGAAAAGTTCCCTTTCGATTTTTTGGGATAGCTTGATAATAATTGGTATTAGTTCTTACAAAGTTTGGTAGAATTCAGCAGTGAAGCCATCCAGTCCTGGGCTTTTCTTTTTTGGGAGACTTTTTGTTATTGATTTAATCTCATTACTCACAATTGGTCTGTTTTCTATTTCTTCTTGATTCAATCTTGGTAAGTTTTTTTTTGTATCCAGGAATTTATCCATTTCTTTTAGATTTTCAAATTTGTTGGCATATTGCTGTTTATAATAGTCTTTAATGATCATTTGTATTTCTGTAGTACCAATTGTGAGTATTGGGATGAATCTTAAAAACATTATGCTAAGTGCAAAAAGGCAGACACAGGCTGCATATTGTAGAATTTCATTTTTATGAAATGTCTAGAATACACAAATTTACATGAACAGAAAGTGAATTAGTGGTTTCCTAGGGTTAGGAGTCAGGTAGAAGGGGGAAAGAAATGAAGCTTGATATCTAATATGTACAAAGGTTTTACTTTGGGTATGTTGAAAACATTCTAAAATTATATCATGGTGATGGTTATATAAGTCTTTGAATACGCTGAAGATGGTTGAATTAGACACTTTCAATGGATGAATTGTATGGCATGCAAATTACATCTCAATAAGGCTGTTTTTTAAAATGAGTGAATTCTGTGGGTTGTCTAAGATGCATATTATATTCAAATAGCTGAAAGCATAACAGCGAGGACTAAAAAACCATTGACCTTATACTGCTTTACACTATGTACTTATGTTTGTCACAAGCAAAAAAGGGCTTGAGAAAAATGGCTCTCAGGTCATGAGGAATCTATGAAGGTGACAGCTATTTGTGGAGAACCTGAAGATAGGATTTTATGGAGGTATTTCCAGCAGACCATGCCTGAGAAATCTTTTAGGAGTTAAGCCAGCTATGAAGAAATTTTCAGTCTTATTCTTTCCTTCCTCCTCTCAGATGTTGATACTGACTTAAAATAATTTAGTGTTTCACATACAGCATTGTTTCTAAAGTGCTTTGATCTAATCTGATTTATGTGTCATACTTTGTAACTTTTTGAATATAACTAGAAATATATAAATCAAAAATATATATTTGTGTGTATGCATGTATTTTCACATATATATGTGTGTGATCCCTACTCACAGATCTCACTATTTTGCCACATAGATGAATGTGTCCTTTCAACTGTGTGTGTATCTATACACACACTAAGCCTGGGTAAAAACAAATAGCATGCTATTATTGCCTGATTCTTGCTTCATATTTAGAACCTAGTGACTGATGTTGGCAATGTAGAAATTTTTATATCTCTTGTTAAAATTTTTCTTGGAGAAATATCAGTTAAGAAGGTCAGCCACTCAGGAAGCTATTTTTTTTTTTTTTTTTTGTGGTTAGAAATATGTTGGATAGCAGGATTGGAGAGGCAGAGATTCTAAGGCCAGCAGATTAGAACAAGATTACAGTAAGCAATTCTCAAAACTCTCAGTCTCTGGGGAGGCAAGGAGAGGACTGGTTGTCCCGAGCCGGCAGGCTTTGCTCATTTCTCAGAATCACTGGGACAACAGCTCTGGTTGGCAGAGGGCCACGTCGTCCTTCAGCCAAAGTACACATAGCATGTGGTCCTCCCCATCTGTAACTCTAGAGTCTAGATCAACTGAACAAAAGGTGATTTTGTAATGTCACCCTTCATCAATCAGAACATTAGAAAATGTGATTATCAGTGGGAGTTTTTGGCTGACGTTTTCTTGTAGGCAAACCAAGAGAAGGAAACCATTTCTGCACATGGATAAGAATATGTTGTTGAAGCACTTTCATCGAAATCAGCACTAATTAGAAATTCTTAGGACAGAACATCACATCAGTTTATAGTCATCCAACATATAGATGAGGAAACCGAGGCCCAGAGTTGTTAAATAACTCGGCTGTGGTGTAGTGAGATAATGTAGAACTGGTTCTAGTTCTACATTAGAACCAGCTGAGTTATTTAGAACTCAGCTCCTCTTACTTTCAGACTAATGGTTTTTCCATTTTACTGGTGTCCTCGGGTTTGGTTCAATATTTTCTGGGTTTTATTCTAAATCAAATAAGGTTGTATTTGCAATTGTGGCTGTTTGTCTTTGGTGCCTCGAGTTTTCATATTATGCAACTCTGGCAGCATTAAGTGAAGATTCTAATTTTCTAAAGTCCAATATGAAGCAATAGAAATTGATAGCAAACTATCTGCCTTCTGGCCAAAAATTTAAGAGGGGTTTCTTTATTATGTAAAGGGGAGAGTATAGGAGATTATCTTTACTGATTTTTTCTTATGTTTCAAATTAAGGCTCAGTTTTTCTGTTTTCATAGCCTTCTCTTATATTTCCTAACATCATCTAAAACACAGGTTCAGTCTAATGAATTTAGAACCCCTGGTAAAACCCCCAGTGTGCTCATGATTGGGTATTCCTGTAGTAGGAACACTAGAAGAAAGAGCTATGTGATCTCCTGAGGTTTCTTCCAGGGTGTCTCATTTGTAAGGTAGATGTAGTCCTGAATCAGCATGAAATCATGGAAAAAGCCTGGGTTTTGAAGTCTGGATTTGAATCCTGGTTCCACCATTTGCTAGTTGGTAGACTTGGTCAGGTTATGTAAGCTTTCTGGGACTCGTTTCTCAGTTTGTAAGCTGAGACTGGATGGTAATATAGGTCTGGCTTCTGCCATTAGGCTCTGCTGACCTACCCACACGTCACACAGCCTATGGGAGAGAATACCTAGCTATATTCACTTCACCTCTTACTCTCTTACGTTTTCACACCCTTGTTGCTTAGCCCTCTCTTTTTTTCTATATTTGCTTAACTTCTTTCCTTTTGGCTTTATCGCTCATTATTTGACTCTGGGTTTGCTTTTCATGCTGGAAGACTGGTTTTGTTTCTCTAGTGTTTTGGCTTTCAACCCACCCATAGGCATACTTTTATCACACCCTCTTTCTCCATTTGCTCCTGACATTTCTGAGTGGTTACTCACCCATTCAAGGCCTACCTCCAGGACCCCACCCTGGCACCTCCCAGCTTGATGGGCTTAGACCAGTCTGCTCTAATCCATTCCAAAACTTTCTGAGAGATGTATGAGAAATAAAACAAGCCATGTTTATGAAGGGCCCATAGCATTGCCTGGCACAAACTATATTTGGAAATGCTAACTTTTACTTCTCAGGAGTGAGGATCATGGCCACATACCTCCTGAACATGGTAGCTAAGTATCAGAGATAGGGCTGGTAGGAGTAGTAAGAAGTTAATGAGGAAGATGGACAATGATGTATCTCATTGCTCCCTCTGACTCATTTGTTCTGATACCTGTTCTCCCCAAGATGATAAAAAGATGTTACATACCCATTGCCCATCAACTGTACACTAGGGATGGGATTATACTTCCGTGTGCATACTGCCTTTGTCCTCCCACAGTCCCTTTCATCTGAATTGTCTCCACAGTCATTTTCTCCATTGCATTCTAACTTTCTGGCAATGCAGCGGCCTAGTCAAGAAAAGCAAACAAAATCAATGCAACAAATTATCATTTTAGAAAGTATTTATTAATTTGAAACTCAAATGCTTTAAATTTCAAGGTAAAGTTGAAGGCAAGTCTTCACTGTTTTTGATAGAGTTTTAGGGAGCACATAAAAATGGAGCGATAAACTGATAAATTTCCACTTGTAAGATTATAAGGGTCACCACAGAATTATTTAGTTGCTGATTGTCTTTAAAAAGAGAAATAATCCTAGAATATAATTCCCATTACAGTGAGCCGCTATAGAGATCATGTTCAGTAGGAGAAAATTAACAAGAGGTTCAGAATTTTGTTTTGATCTAGGATGGGAGACTCAAGGTCACTGTTTTTATTTAAAAACCTGTAACTTTATAGACACACACACAGATGCACAGTCACACACAATAACATGGTTGGATCTCTCAAATTTTATGTTGGGTGAAAAAAGCCAGACACATGAGTCATGTCATGTGATTCCTTTATATGATGTCCAGGGAGAAGGAGGGGGAATTAACTAGAAAGGAGAAGGAGGGAGCTTTTTGGGTTTATGGGAATTTTCTATATCTCGATATAGAAATCTGTATTTTCTATATCTTGACATAGGATTGTTTACATGATTGCATAATTTGTGAAAGCAAAATTGCACACTTAGAATTGCATATTTTACTATATATAATTAGTACAGATTTTATTAAATATATTAAATATATCTACTATCTATTTTACTATATATAATTACTGTATATAATTGTTTTCCTGCATATAATTTGCTATATCTATTTTTTGGACAAGTTAAGTGTCTAGATACTACAGTAGCAAGTAGAGTGAGCAAATTTAGAAAATGGTACAAATTCCATGTACCCAAATAATTACCTTCCATTTCTGACTTACTGAATTTCATAAGGATCCTTGGAATCAGTATATAACTATATATTATAGAAATTGAAATACTTATGTGCAATGACAGATATCTCCTCTCCTGCCTTTTACCTTCTTGCCTGTAGTCAATGATGTTGGCATCTGTACCAGTATGTACAGGTCCAACTGACAATGATTAAAGGTTTTACTTGAGATTATCTGGTTGATTATTTTAAGATGTGATTAGCATCTCACTACAATTATGCATGACTGTTTTGACTAAAATTCTTGGGAAAATTGGGCATTCTGTTGAATTAATTTTTTTAATTAATAGTGGGTTCCCAAGAAAGTACTTGGTTTCAACTTTTTTGGTTAATAATCTTCACTTAGAAGGTAGAGTGTAATTAAAATAATTACATTTTCCATCTTGCATTATGTCAGGACTATTATTATAAAGAATTATAGCTACGAGCACTATAATCACACAGGACTGGAAATGCAGATTGAATTGAATGTCTGTTCATCCCATGACTTAACCTGAAAGATGCTCTATTTTTAAACAGTGCATTTCTAGTTTTTTTGTTTTGTGTTGTTTTCAGGACAGAACAGAATGGGCATTTTAGTTTGAAATAGAGAGGCTATTTATTAAAATATGAATCTATACATATTACATTTTTTAAAAAGTTTTGAACCTAGCACTTACAAATTTAAGCAAAGGTTTATTTTTGATATGGTTACACTAAAATCTCACTTTGTTAGACAGAAGGAGGGATACACATGTAGAGTATAGTTCTCATTAGCTTAGCTTTGTGAGCAGAGTACCAGATTTGTGAGAATACAAGAAATTCTATCCATTTAGTACTTATAGGGATATCTTAGAGAGTCCATTAGCAAGGGTAGGGATGAAGGGAAGAGGATACCTCTTGAGGGATGTTTAGGAATAGGCCTGATGTGACATGGGTGAGAATGGTTCCAGGTCATAAAAACTCTATGGAATAGAAAGCATAAGGGGAGAGATATTGTAAGCCATAAATATATTCTATACCAAAGAAGGAATGAGAAATTAAAGGACAGTTTGAATATTGCAGGATTTGCAGAAGTCAGCATGCTTAGCCAGCACATGCATGTATACATTTACACTTGGAACCATGCAATCATTTAGAAATTGCACGTTTTTCCTATCCATTGGAAGCGATTTGTGTCACTGCAATAGTATTATTTTTTAAAACCAGCTGCAAATTCTCTAGTCTTTTATGCTTAAAATTAGGACTCTGAAAGAAGAGTTGGTATATTGCATGGGAATTAACATAATGGGTAACTCTTAAAAATCCACGTATACATCAAAATAATCCATTTAGTCTTGGGGACTCTTGGGAGACTCTGAACATCAGTCATAATGGAGGAAAGGCAAGATGGTCAATCTTTTCAGGAGAGATAGTTCTTTGTTAATTGAGAGCCAAGTATCATCTTGAGTCAGAAAAACAATCATTCATAAACCTCTTACTCCCATTGACAGTGGCATTAGTAGATGCTTTTAGGAGAGCAAAACAGTATACCATCTTCAATGGAATATTTAACAACCAAAAGGCTATGACATCACCCAGTCCGAATGGATGCCAACTATATCTGTGACAAGGATTTACCAATCAGTTCCTGGATCATGAAAAGATCTAGGGATTTTGGGCTCTGGGAAGCAGGGCATGGGTTACTCAGGGAGTACGGAGTAGCAGCCGCTTAACAACCATTACAGACACATCTTCATAATACAGTTATTTGAAAATCAGTGGTTATGGACATAACTGTTGATGAACTGGCGATCAGCTGTGCTTACACTGCTAACCTTTCTAAAATTGTTCATTATAAATTGGTGACCAATGGATGCATCTCAAGGCTTCTCAAACTTTAAGTATTTTTGGCCTGAATGCAGATCCTTTGTAATTTTTCATAGATTTATCATCTACTGAATAAGAGTCTTTTTTGCTTATATGTAGTAAAAACCATCTTTCAAGCTTCAAATAGTTATACTTCAGTTCTAGAGCTTGATTTTGATACTCTGGATATAATGATCAGGTCTGTATTACCCTCAGCCATTCTCATTCGGATTTTGCTCTGATTCCCTTTTTTGTCAATTTGTGACATGACCTTATTCATATAGACACAAAATATATCTCCCTACCCACATCCTGCTCTCAAATTCCAGGTTTGGGGTGGAGGTGGATAGGGGAAAACCCTGACCCCAGCATTCCTGTCTGACATTCAGAAAAAGCTGGCAAAGCTGAGGGCAGGATGCAGGGAGTAAGAGGGGAAAACTTGGGTTCCAAGGTCTTGGGTCAATTTTCTGTGGAATTGGAAATTTGCTATCTAGTTATAAATACTTTACTTTTCAGGATATCTCAGAGTACACAGAAATGATAGAGATTTCATTCATCTGAAATTTAATTTTATTGTAACTTTAAGTTGACTGTTTAGATAGGAGGTCAATGAACTATGGCCTGTAGGCTAAAACTGACCTGAACTATGGCCAACTGTTTTTGTAAAGAAAATTTTATTGAAATATAGCCATGCTCATTTGTGTATGTGCTTTTGACTTACTCTTTTGGAATTAATTTTAGAGCCAGTCAAGAAAGTTTTCTACATCATCTCTAGTCATCTTCCAACATGATATCTTAATATTCTTGTCATAATAAATTATATTAAAAATCTTTTAAAATATGTCATTTCTTTTAAAATTATCCTGATTATAGATTTGTGCAGATCAGGTAAGTGGTCAAAATGGTATAACTGAAAAGCCATAATTTTACAGTGGAATATCTTGGGAATTGGCAGCATAACATTCCCATTCCACTCTGCTTAAAATGTGGTGGGATTTCTCTGTGATGGATTCTACTGTTAGTCAATTGGAGTAACTTTGATTTAGTCAAGCTATTTTTAGTGGGGACTGAACATTTCACAAAAATACATTACCACTGTCACAGCGAAATTTATTCTTGCAGTCAGCCTCTTCAATTTTGCAGAGCTTAGATGGAATGCATGGTTGAAAGGCTACCAGAGGCGCAGTGCATGGCTGTCCCCCAAACTGACTGGGACGCAAGACAGATCTAACTTTAGACTGAAAGGAAAGAAGAGAAAGATATAACTCTGAGGCAGGGTCAAGGTCAAAATGTACCTAAGAAAACTGGGCTCCTCAATCACAACAGTGATTTTTCCTATGGTAATATTTCTTATATTTTTACTAATGATTCTTCCAATTCCATTATTATGCTCCCTTAGGGAAATAATCACCTCTGTGGATCTCTGTTTCCCAACCAGTAAAATGAGGAAGTGGGTTAAAAAGGTTTCTAAGGCTTCTTATAACTCTGAAACCATATGGTTTATACGTTTTCAAAATAAAATATATAAATGTTTGCTGAGAGTCTCTTGAGTACAGTAAATTCCTCCAGGCCATAACAGTAGCCTTTCTGTATCTTAAAGATAGTGTGAAGGGATAAATGTGAAATAATTTTGAGGTTCTTTTGCATAAGAGAGTCCCTGTGAAAACCAATGCGAATGTAGTCTACACTTTAAAAAGATTTTAAATGGCGAGTAGTAAAATGGTGAGTCAAGGGAGAATAGAAATATGATAGGACTAAAAAGTACTGACTTTGAAGTCAGAAAATTCAATTTATTAATTAATGGGTGTATTCTTGGGCAAATTACTTAACCCCAAATGAGCAATAACTTTCTCATCTGTAAAATGGGTAGAGAAACACAATATGATGTGAAGTTTGAATAAGATGACACATGAAAGGGACCTAGAACAGTTCCCCTCAGAAAGTAGCTGTTCCACAAATGAGTTTCTTTTTCTTCCCTGCTGTGTAAATGCTCAACACGGCCCTAACTGTGGTTCACATTGGCCGATGCCCTTACAGGAATGAGTTTGTGGTGGGTAAATATTTCAATGGGGAACAATAAACAAATTGAGGGACTGCTGTGAGGAGAGGGAATGTAGAGGAAGGGCAAGGAGTGAAAGTTTTGATTCATTTCCCTCATTTCTGTCTGGTTTAAAATCTTGGACTGAAACCCTGTTTTTGTTGTTGTTGTTGTTGTTGTTTTTTTTTTTTTTTTTTTTTTTTTTTAGTACGAGTTGAGCATACCTAGTTTGAAAACCTAAAATCCAAAATGCTCCAATATCTAAAAATTTTTGAGTACCAACATGATGCCACAGTGGAGTATTGTATATGTAAATACTTATCATAAATTTGTCTCATGAACAAAATTATTTAAAATATTGTATAAATTATCTTCAGGCTATATGTATAAGGTATATCTGAAACATAAATGAATTTCATGTTTAGACTGTGTCCCATCCCCAAGCTACTACGTTATGTATATGCAAATATTTCAGAATCCACAAAACATCCAAAATCCAAAACACTTCTGATACCAACATTTTGGATAAGGATTACTCAATCTGTATACACTTTTGCTTTCAGAATTCTCAGAAGGCACAGGCAGTGGAATTCAGAACTGGGTAAGTACAATATCAATACTGGGAGCAAAATTTCCTTTTTGTGTTCTTAAGACAGTAAAATACATAAAATAAACCCCCTCTTCCCCCCACAAAAGTGCTAAATGGAATTTTCCCTCAATGGAAGCTGAGACAGTTGATTTTCAGAAATTGAAGTAATTCAGCATTACTATGCTGTTAAGCCTGTCAGGGAATCAGAGCCCTCTATTGTGATTCATATTTCCTGGAAATGCCCATGGTTGCCTACCTGTTTTTCAATACAAGGGTCACAGTCTGACCATGGTCCAAAATCTCCCAGGAGGCAGTTGATGGGGCATCTTTGCCAGTTACATTCTCTAGTCTCCTGCTTGCTGCAAATCTGTTCACAAAAGTTTTCCTGGTAGTACTTATCTACTACTATTTGTCTGTAACCATGAAGAAGAAGTTGCTTAGAATGAGTGTATTCACCATATATCCTGCTCCATAATCAAAGTATCATTGAGCATTAACTACAATAAATAGAAAAGAAAGAAAATTTTCATGGAAAAATTAGGCAGGTTGGCATATATGCAGTTCTCACCACTTAATAGAACTCAGGACATACTTTGTGAGGCTCAGCATAAAATGAAAATGGGAAACCTCTTGCTCAAAACTAAGAACTTCAAGACAGCAAAGGCAGATCATTAAGCCAAGCATGAAGCCCTTCTAAGTGTGGGGCCTGTGTGGCTGCACATGTTACACCATGAAGCCAGCCATGCTGGAGCTCCTCTAATGGACTGGAAGGCAAGGAAAGATGAAAGGAGAGAAAGATCCTGCAAACTGCTTGGAGGAGGACAACATAGGGGGCTGTGAGGCTAAAGATTCAAAGAGAAAGTGGCATGAGAGAAACATCCTGAATAATTCACGTGAATTCTCCAGGTAACAGAGGGAAGGGAATTTGGAGGAAGCGACATGTGCAAAGATTTGAGGCAGATGAGAGCATGTCCAGGTAGCTCTCCAGGGAGGAGCTTGTGTGACTGGCCAGGAATATTTGCTGTTCTTTTTAGGCAGCAGGGAGCTACTGAAGGACTCTTGAATAGAGGAATATTGTAAACAAATCTGTTTTCACATATATAGTAGATGGTTTATTGGGGAAGTAAATTGGTAATTTTAATGAGATTCACACTACATATGTAAACATAGTTTTCTAAAATAAGGATCCTAAAAAATTCTCTAATGGTTAAAACACATTAAATATATGCTTTTCTCCCCTAACATGTGAGCATTTCCATGGTACAGAAACATTTAACAGAGTTAAAGAAACTGTGGGGGACAAGAAGTCTGAATTGGTGAAAAGACTGAATTATTAAATGTTATCAAGAAAGAACAGTTTTGTTGCCATTTTGTATATGCCAACAATCAAGCTAATAGCTAGCAGTTCTGCTCAATTGAGGTCCTGTTAGACTCGATTTAATGAGTAGAAAATTCTCTATAATTAACTCACTAACTATAGGCAAGCAAAGTTGTATGCTGATTGAAAAAAGCTTGGGTAGTGATTCTAAGCAAGTTAAATATTCAACTGAAAGTGTTGCACAGATTCTTAATTAAATTTCTTTGAAACCCCTCGTTCTTGTAGAAAGAACAAAAGTAGACTTCCTTTCAACCTCATAAGAGAGAGACTTCAAATTTCATCCAAATTTGTAAGTTCTTACTTTGATATATATATGTTCCCATTGCTTAGTGTTGCACTCCTGATGTTGCTGACTTCATCCTTGAGTCCTTCCAGGACACAAAGAAAAGCCACAAAGCTCACACCCACCTGTGTCTGCTCTGGGTTCCAGAATTGCAAGTTTTTGAGCAGCTGGTCCACTGAGTCCATGCATAGTGATCACAGAAGCAGGCTTGGCCCTTGTTGATCAGAGCATTCAGCAGGATGAAGTACAAGACAGAGCGTCTGGCCATGCCTTGAGAGCCTCCAGGCCCTAAAATGAAAGAATACATAACACATATCAAATGCTTTTTTGAGGTAAACCTTCACAAGTCATCCTGAGTCAGAGATTCAAATGTGATTTTAGAAAATATTTGCATTTTTCTGCCTTCCTTAAGGCAAGTCAACACCTACAAATTCACATGCTCGTGAGTACAAATCCTATTTTTAAAGATTTTTAGGGTGGAGATTACCATAGGCACAACCTCCAGTACTAGTAAGTTTCTTCAAACGGTTAGTGATAGGCTACAAGACAAAGTATGTAGCATGTATTTGTAATCCATTTCATTCCAAAAAGTATTTTAGATTTATACAGTCTTACCCTTCTCAAAACACCTGCTCCTTTTGTGTGAGCAATAGCCTCAAGTACATTTCAGCTGTTCCTACTTTTCTGGGACTGGGAAAGAAGTTTGGATCATTCTTCTGGAAGCTCTTTTTCATTTCCTGACATGCTGGAAACCTGCTAAAGAGAACGTTCACTGACTCCATATAAAGTCAGAGAAATAAGAGCTAGTAAGGATCTTTGAAACCTCCAGGTCAAACTCCTTCATTTTATGGAGATAAAATGAGGCTCAAGGCAGTGCAATAGTGTTGAGGCTGCAGGTCAAGTAGGAGCTCACAAACCCTGGTTCTTGAATGAGGTGAAGCCCTTCACTGAGTTTCTAACAATCCTAAGTACTGTGTTACTGCAGTATCAAGATGCCTGGAGCTCCACCACTCAGGCCACAACAGGTTGAGCGGAAAAATCTTTGACCAGTGGTTCCCACTTATGGTCTTGAAGATCCATGAGTTATTTGCAAAACCATACCCACCCCGTTATTGCCAGTTTAATCGTTATATCCCTAATGAAACATGCAACATTATTAATATATGCATACATATCAATAATTCTGCTGTAATTAATATAGTAGTAACTTTTACTTTAAAAAGTTAAATGCCATTCGCCTAATTTTTCTGTCTCAGTTTCACTATCTATAAAATAAGAGTAATACCTACCTCATAAAGCTTTTGTTAGGATTCAGTAAGAAGGTTCATGTAAACTGCTTAGAACAATTATTGGCATAGAATCATCACTTAATAAATACTAGCTTTTCAAATTAGTAATAACTTTTAAGAATGTTACAAATTTAATAGTAGCTGTTGGTCACACATTTTTAATAGATATTTCCAAATTGCCCTGCTAAAATATGGCTCTCTCATGTCCCAGAGGATGAGTTTCTGATTATATTTCTACGTGATTAGTTTACGTTTCTTAGTTTTCATGAAAGGATACCTCAGTAAAAATAAATGGGGTTCATCATTTGATAAATCTTGGTTTAAGTCAAGAGCTTGAGATCAGATATAAAAATTGTTTTTTCAGTATGTTCAGAAACTAGGGTATTTCTTGTTAATAAATCAGTAAGCTTTTTTTTTTCTTTTTTTTTTTTTTTTTGAGATGGAGTCTCACTCTGTCACCCAGGCTAGAGTGCAGTGGTGTGATCTCGGCTCACTGCAAGCTCTGCCTCCCGGGTTCATGCCATTCTCCTGCCTCAGCCTCCTGAGGAGGTGGGACTACAGGTGCTCACCACCACATCCAGCTAATTTTTTGAATTTTTAGTAGAGACGGGGTTTCACTGCGTTAGCCAGGGTGGTCTCGATCTCCTGACCTCGTGATCAGCCCACCTCGGCCTCCCAAAGTGCTGGGATTATCAGTAAGCTTTTTAAACTCTTCTACAAGCTCAAAGAAAAATGCCAGAATAAAAGTAACCAAATCCATTGACGTATGGCTGAATATGTCTTTCAATTTAAAATGGAATGAACACACATTTGGGTATTCATTGTATGCTGCTAGGCATTGAATGAGACACAAAGAAATAGAAGCCTTTATCACTGTCTGGGAGGGTAGAAAGAAATTGAAAATACTACCTATGCTTTTTACCCAAGCTTTTTACTCCAACTCATAGATATGCTGCTAGAGTCCTAGATTATTTCAGTCATAAAAATGAGGGGCTTTTGGGCATTATTCAAGATGGCTGAATAGGAAAAGTTCCAGTCTACAGCTCCTAGTGTGAGAGACACAGAAGATGGGTGATTTCTGCATTTCCAACTGAGGTACTGGGTTCATCTCACTGGGGCTTGTCGGACAGTGGGCGCAGTCCATGGAGTGTGAGCTGAAGAAGGGCGGGACATCGCCTCACCTGGGATGTGCAAGGGGTCGGGGAATTCCCTTTCCTAGCCAAGGGAAGCCATTACAGACAGTACCTGGAAAATCGGGACACTCCCACCCTAATGAGGCACATTTCCAATGGTCTTAGCAAATGGCACACCAGGAGATTATATCCCGCACCTGGCTCGGAGAGTCCCACACCCGCAGAGCCTCTCTCACAGCTAGCACAGCAGTCTGAGATCAAACTGCAAGGCACAGGGAGGCTGGCGGAGGGGTGCCCGCCTTTGCTGAGGCTTGAGTAGGTAAACAAAGCAGCTGGGAATCTCGAACCTGGTGGAGCCCACCACAGCTCAAGGAGGCCTGCCTGCCTCTGTAGACTCCACCTCTGGGGGCAGGCATAGCTGAACAAAAGGCAGCAGAAACTTCTACAGACTTCAACGTCCCTGTCTGACAGCCTTGAAGAGAGTAGTGGTCTCCCAGCACGGAGTTTGAGATCTGAGAATGGACAGACTGCCTCCTCAAGTGGGTCCCTGACCCCCGAGTAGCCTAACTGGGAAACACCTCCCAGTACGGGCCGACTGACACCTCATACAGCTGGGTGCCCCTCTGAGACGAAGCTTCCAGAGGAAGGATCAGGCAGCAACATTTGCCGTTCTGCAGTGTGGGCTGTTCTACAGCCTCCGCTGGTAATACACAGGCAAACAGGGTCAGGAGTGGACCTCCAGCAAACTCCAACAGACCTACACCTGAGGGTCCTGACTGTTAGAAGGAAAACTAACAAACATAAAGGACATCCACACCAAAACCCCATCTGTACGTCACCATCATCAAAGACCAAAGGTAGATAAAACCACAAAGATGGGGAGAAACCAGAGCAGAAAAGCTGAAAATTCTAAAAATCAGAGCACCTCTTCTCCTCCAAAGGAACGCAGCTCCTTGCATGTAAAGGAACAAAGCTGAACGGAGAATGACTTTGACCAGCTGAGAGAAGAAGGCTTCAGACGATTGGTAATAACAGACTTCTCTGAGCTAAAGGAGGATGTTTGAACCCATTGCAAAGAGGCTAAAAACCTTGAAAAAAGATTAGACAAATGGCTAACTAGAATAAACAGCATAGAGAAGACCTTAAATGACCTGATGGAGCTGAAAACCATGGCACAAGAACTACATGACGCATGCACAAGCTTCAGTAGCCAATTCAATCACATGGAAGAAAGGGTTTCAGTGATTGAAGATCAAATGAATGAAATGAAGTGAGAAGAGAAGTTTAGAGAAAAAAGAGTAAAAAGAAATGAACGAAGCCTCCAAGAAATATGGGACTATGTGAAAAGACCAAATCTACGTCTGATTGGTGTACCTGAAAGTGACAGGGCGAGTGGAACCGAGTTGGAAAACACTCTGCAGGATATTATCCAGGAGAACTTCCCCAACCTAGAAAGGCAGGCCAACATTCAAATTCAGGAAATGCAGAGAATGCCACAAAGATGCTCCTTGAGAAGAGCAACTCTAAGACACATAATTGTCAGATACACCAAAGTTGAAATGAAGGAAAAAATGTTAAGGGCAGCCAGAGAGAAAGGTCGGGTTACCCACAAAGGGAAGCCCATCAGACTAAAAGCAGTTCTCTCAGCAGAAACTCTACAAGCCAGAAGAGAGTAGGGGCCAATATACAACATTCTTAAAGAAAAGAATTTTCAACCCAGAATTTCGTATCCAGCCAAACTAAGCTTCATAAGTGAAGGAGAAATAAAATACTTTACAGACAAGGAAATGCTCAGAGATTTTTGTCACCACCAGGCCTGCCTTACAAGAGCTCCTGAAGGAAGCACTAAACATAGAAAGGAAAAACTGGTACCAGCCACTGCAAAAACATGCCAAATTGTAAAGACCATCAATGCTAGGAAGAAACTGCATTAACTAATGGGAAAAATAACCAGCTAACATCATAATGACGGGTTCAAATTCACACATAACAATATTAACCTTAAATGTAAATGGGCTAAATGCCCCAATTAAAAGACATAGACTGGCAAATTGGATAAAGAGTCAAGACCCATCAGCGTGCTGTATTCAGGAGACCCATCTCATGTGCAGAGACACACATAGGCTCAAAATAAAGGGATAGAGGAAGATCTACCAAGCAAATGGAAAACAAAAAAAGGCAGGTGTTGCGATCCTAGTCTCTGATAAAACAGACTTTAAACCAACAAAGATCAAAAGAGACAAAGAAGGCCATTACATAATGGTAAAGGGATGAATTCAAAAAGAAGAGCTAACTATCCTAAATATATACGCACCCAATATAGGAGCACTCAGATTCATAAAGCCAGTCCTTAGAGATCTACAAAGAGACTTAGACTCCCACACAATAATAATGGGAGATTTTAAAACCCCACTGTCAACATGAGACAGATCAACAAGACAGAAAGTTAACAAGGATATCCAGGAATTGAACTCAGCTCTGCACCAAGCGGACCTAATAGACATCTCCAGAACTCTCCACCCCAAATCAACAGAATATATATTCTTCTCAGCACCACTTAGCACTTATTCCAAAATTGACCACAGAGTTGGAAGTAAAGCACTCCTCCGCAAATGTAGAACAGAAATTACAACAAACTGTCTCTCACATCACAGTGCAATCAAACTAGAACTCAGGGTTAAGAAACTCAAAACGCTCAACTACATGGAAACTGAACAACCTGCTCTTGAATGACTACTGGGTACATAACGAAATGAAGCCAGAAATAAAGATGTTCTTTGAAACCAATGAGAACAAAGACATAACATACCAGAATCTCTGGGACACATTTAAAGCAGTGTGTAGAGGGAAATTTATAGCACTAAATGCCCACAAGAGAAAGCAGGAAAGATCCAAAATTGACACCCTAACATCACAATTAAAAGACCTAGAGAAGCAAGAGCAAACACATTCAAAAGCTAGCAGAAGGCAAGAAATAACTAAGATCAGAGCAGAACTGAAGGACATAGAAACACAAAAAACCCTTCAAAAAATAAATGAATCCAGGAGCTGGTTTTTTGAAAAGATTGACAAAACTGATAGACCACCAGCAAGACTAATAAAGAAGAAAAGAGAGAAGAATGAAATAGACACAATAAAAAATGATAAAGGGGATATCACCACCGATCCCACAGAAATACAAACTACCATCAGAAAATACTATAAACACCTCTACACAAATAAACTAGAAAATCTAGAAGAAATGGATAAATTCCTGAACACATACAACCTCTCAAGACAAAACCAGGAAGAAGTTGAATCCCTGAATAAACCAATAACAGGCTCTGAAATTGAGGCAATAATTAATAGCTTACCAACCAAAAAAAGTCCAGGACCAGATGGATTCACAGCCGAATTCTACCAGAGGTACAAGGAGGAGCTGGTACCATTCCTTCTGAAACTATTCCAATCAATAGAAAAAGAGGGAATCCTCCCTAACTCATTTTATGAGGCCAGCATCATCCTGATACCAAAGCCTGGCAGAGACACAACGAAAAAAGAGAATTTTAGACCAATATCCCTGATGAACATCGATGCAAAAATCCTCAATAAAATACTGGCAAACTGAATCCAGCAGCACATCAAAAAGCTTATCCACCACAATCAGGTTGGCTTCACCCCTGGGATGCAAGTCTGTTTAACTTACCCAAATCAATAAATGTAATCCATCATAAAAACAGAACCAACGACAAAAACCACATGATTATCTCAATAGATGCAGAAAAGGCCTTCGACAAAATTCAACAGCACTTCATGCTAAAAACTCTCAATAAACTAGGTATTGATGGGATGTATCTCAAAATAATAAGAGCTATTTATGACAAACCCACAGCCAGTATCATACCGAATGAGTAAAAACTGGAAGCATTCCCTTTGAAAACTGGCACAAGACAAGGATTCCCTCTTTCACCACCCCTATTCAACATAGTGTTGGAAGTTCTGGCCAGGGCAATCAGGCAGGAGAAAGAAATAAAGGGTATTCAATTAGGAAAAGAGGGAATGAAATTGTCCCTGTTTGCAGATGACATGATTGTATATTTAGAAAATCTCATCATCTCAGTCCAAAATCTCCTTAAGCTGATAAGCAACTTCAGCAAAGTCTCAGGATACAAAATCAATGTGCAAAAATCACAGACATTCCTATATACCCATAATAGACAGAGAGCCAAATCATGGTAAACTCCCATTCACAATTGCTTCAAAGAGAATGAAATACCTAGGAATCCAACTTACAAGGGATGTGAAGGACCTCTTCAAGGAGAACTACAAACCACTGCTCAATGAAATAAAAGAGGACACAAACAAATGGAAGAACATTCCATGCTCATGTGTAGGAAGAATCAATATCGTGAAAATGGCCATACTGCTCAAGGTAATTTATAGATTCAATGCCATCCCCATCAAGCTACAAATGACTTTCTTCACAGAATTGGTAAAAACTACTTTAAGGTTCATATGGTACCAAAAAAGAGCCTGCATTGCCAAGACAATCCTAAGCCAAAAGAACAAAGCTGGAGGCATCTTGCTACCTGACTTCAAACTATATTACAAGGCTACAGTAACCAAAACAGCATGGTACTGGTACCAAAACAGAGATATAGACCAATGGAACAGAACAGAGCCCTCAGAAATAATACCACACGTCTACAGCCATCTGATCTTTGACAAATCTGACAAAAACAAGCAATGGGGAAAGGATTCTTTATTTAATAAATGGTGTTGGGAAAACTGGCTAGCCATATGTAGAAAGCTGAAACTGGATCCCTTCCTTGCACCTTATACAAAAATTAATTCAAGATGGATTAAAGACTTAAATGCTAGACCTAAAACCATAAAAACCCTAGAAGAAAACCTAGGCAATACCATTCAGGACATAGGCATGGGCAAGGACTTCATGACTAAAACACCAAAAGCAATGGCAACAAAAGCCAAAATTGACAAATGGGATCTAATTAAACTAAAGAGCTTCTGCTCAGCCAAAGAAACTACCATCAGAGTGAACAGGCAACCTACAGAATGGGAGAAAATTTTTGCAATCTACCCATCCGACAAAGGGCTAATATCCAGAATCTACAAAGAACTCAAACAAATTTACAAGAAAAAATCAAACAACCCCATCAAAAAGTGGGCAAAGGATATGAACAGACCCTTGACATTTGAGAAATGTCTTCTCAAAAGAAGACATTTATGCAGCCAACAGAGATATGAAAAAAATGCTCATCATCGCTGGCCATCAGAGAAATGCAGATCAAAACCACAGTGAGATACCATCTCACACCAGTTAGAATGGCGATCATTAAAAAGTGAGGAAACAACAGGTGCTGGAGAGGATGTGGAGAAATAGGAACATTTTACACTGTTGGTGGGACTGTAAACTAGTTCAACCATTGTGGAAGGCAGTGTGGTGATTCCTCCAGGATCTAGAACTAGAAATACCATTTGACCCAGCCATCCTGTTACTGGGTATCTACCCAAAGGATTATAAATCATGCTGCTATAAAGACACATACATACATATGTTTATTGTGGCACTATTCACAATAGCAAAAACTTGGAACCAACCCAAATGTCCATCAATGATAGACTGGATTAAGAAAATGTGGCACATATACACCATGGAATACTATGTAGCCATAAAAAATGATGAGTTCATATCCTTTGTAGGGACATGGATGAAGTTGGAAACCATCATTTTGAGCAAACTATCACAAGGACAGAAAACCAAACACTGAATGTTCTCACTTATAGGTGGGAATTGAACAATGAGAACACTTGGACACAGGGTGGTGAACATCATACACCGGGGCCTGTAGTGGGGTGGGGGTAGGGGAGAGGCATAGCATTAGGACATATACCTAATGCTAAATGACGAGTTAATGGGTGCAGTACACCAACATGGCATATGTATACATATGTAACAAACCTTCACGTTGTGCACATGTACCCTAGAACTTAAAGTATAATAAAAAAAAATGAGGGGCTTTTTTTCCCACTCCACTTGCAAGCTGATTCTAGTTCGTCGGTAAGTAACTCGCCTTTCCTGGTTTTCCTCAGCAACACAGAACCACAGGGTATTGGGACAATAGTAGCCAGATAGAATTTAAGTCGTGATCAGACATATAATGTGAGTCCCAAACATTTGGGAGCTGAGGCTCCCAAATAATGTGAAGCTTTCCTTTCAACCACTAGATAGACTAGAGAAGCCACTCCCCTATACCCTTCACCCTTGCCCCCCACTGCCAAAATTGGAATTTTCTCATACAGGGACCTTTTCAGCAAGAAAAACTAAATAGATACTTTGTTGTTGTTTTTTTTTCTTATTAGATGTTGGACAAGACAGATATCTTCCAGAATATTTCCTCAATTGTAGAGAAAACAAATTCTTAAAGCTTCTGGTGAAATTTTCATGTAAATAATTTGGAGAAGTTAAATTGCAAGAGATTACTAATTCTCAGTTCTCAGCAGACACTGTCTTTTAACTTCCAAAAGCTTGAAAGGTATGGGTGAGTTTTATTCCAATTATCATCAAAAACTGCAAAAACAGAACCCTTATAAAATATTCTGATCGCTCTTTAAGCTATAACTGTTCTGAGGCAATATGGAGCCTGATATAAATTAAGATGGTAACATTAAAACTTATTTGATGAGGTACTAATGAAAGAGCTAATTGGTAGCTTTTCTTTTTTAATATTCTATTATTAGGAATACAAATTGTTTTATGTTAAAACAATTTTATTTTTATTTATTTATTTTTTTGAGACAGAGTTTCATTCTTTCACCCAGGCTGGACTGCAGTGGCAGGATCTCAGCTCACTATAAACTCAGCCTCCTGGGTTCAAGCAATTCTCTGCCTCAGCCTCCCGAGTAGCTGGGATTACAGGCCCCTGCCACCACACCCAGCTAATTTTTGTATTTTTAGTGAACTCGGGGTTTCACCATTTTGGTCAGGCTCGTCTTGAACTCCTGACCTTGTGATTCACCTGCCTCGGCCTCCCAAAGTGCTGGGATTACAAGCGTGAGCCACCAAGCCCAGCAACAATTTTTAATCAAATAAAAATAATTACTTCTCTGAATTTTTTTGTTATGATGGCCTAGCATATTGTATTATATGGTTTCTTATTTATTAATTTCCACATCTCTAGGCATTCTGGAGGTATCTAAAATTACACACAGGCATTTTACCCATTACTGTACAATTTTCATACAAACATAGAATAAAAGAATGTTCGGTCAATAGAGGAAGATAGGAAAAAAGTCTTCCACTTCAGTGCCATCGTAGAAAAGCAGAAATTCTTCAGTTTTCTCATAGTTGCCATCCCCTCTTGAGTTTTCCAAAAATCAGTGATCCCATTGAACCATTGATGATAGCTTTATGAGCATTTAGAGAATTTCAATTAAAATGAAGCCCATCTTATTCTAACCTGTCACTTTCTAATGTATTTTACTCACATGAACCATTTGTCTGCAAGGCAGTTCAGCATATCTTACCCAACAGATTTCTGAGGATGCTCTAGTTTATCCCCAGCTATAGGTTCTTCCTTTACATCTCCATGTAAACTTACTGAATTTCTTATTTCTTATTATTTTTTTCTGTGCATGCCCAGAGGCTCAAGAAATGAGCCTTTCTATCTTTCTACCTTTACTATCGCCAAGGTAAGCTGGGTAGTCCAGGTGCATGACTGACCTTGGCTAAAGAGTATGTTTGCTTTACTTTTAACTAATTTAACTCATAGAGAAACTTGATCTCAAATGTCCTCTGGAATGACATTTGTTTAAAAAACATGACCTCTGGTTCTTTTCAGATTTAAACAAAGCAATTATAAAAAAGAAAGACAAAGAAATGGTTATAGTCTGAGTTACATATTTTTATGCATGAAATTGTAATTTTGTTGGAAACATGATTAACAATTTTGAAATATTAAGATTGAAAATGAAATCATCATATTACTCACCTTTAAGCAGAGTTTGTGGTGTCCTCGGACCTAAGCTGCAAATTATTGGGGAAAAAATAGGTATGCAGAATGAAGAGGGTATATATGTTAATCCAAACAAAGCTTCTTTTCTTATTGCTAGCTAACACAAGGCAATGCTGTCATATCCCAGAAGCCTAGCAACACCTAGAGGGTTGTCAAAATAAATGTTCTCTGGAACTTGAACTTTGCAAATGATTACACCAATCAGTAGTAACCCTGAAACTCTGGGTGTTGGATGTTACACAGAGTCCTGAATTTTCAGTGAGTTTTCAATTCAAGGGCTATTGTAGTAGCTATTGCTACTGCATAGAAATCTCTCTTTCCATTTTAAAGAATCCTTTAGATTAATTGCTTAAAATTGCTGCCCCCCTTAGGAATGTATAGATTCTTAGTTTTTGATTATAGAATAGTTATTGGTAACTATTTAAGAAATGTTTTTGGAGACAATGTGATTGTGTATGTAGAAAATTCAAAAGAATCTACAAACATTAGAATTAATAAATGAATTTAGTATGATTTATCAACACAAGTTTATTATAGTAAAAAGTGTTTCTATATGCCAGCAAAACCAAACAGAAAATTTAATTTGGAAAGAATTAAAATAGCAATGATCAAATGGGCTCTTTATATGTAATGATGATTACGCTTCTCTGAAATGGTTGCAATTTAACTTTAGATTGAAGTAAAATGGATTTCATCCTAAGGTGAAGCAGAACAAAATAGTGCAATAGAAAAGAAAAAAAACTATAGGGACTGAGAATGTGGATACATATTCTAGTCTTGTTTCTGCACTAAGCAGCTACCAGCTATGTGAGCTTCAATAAATCACTATACCTCATTGGAACACTGGTCCCTCATTTGTAAAACAAGTGTTTTTCAAACTTTTTTCAAAGCAGTAGAAAACAACTAAAACAAATATTCCTTAGACAGCTTAGATTTTTATCACATGGTGGGAAATGATGATCTCAGCAAGTCTAAAGATTACTTGAAACACAGCTGGGAACCCACCACTCAAAGGTCACATAGTTTAATATACATGGTAGTAACTTTCCCAAGGCCAGAGTAAGTCAGAACTGGAATACAGATGATCTGATTTCCAGTCTTTTTTCTCTCTCTTATACTACATTGAGATTTTAAAGATTGAAATTTGGGCCTAAAGAGAAAGTAGAGTGGTGTGCTGCAGACCAGTGTTGAAGCTAGTTTGGGGCTGGGATAGCAGCTTCACCCTTGATTACCTGAGAAGATAAACAGGAAAAGAAATATTTGGTGATTGGACAAGAATATATGTCATTTAATTTGCATATTTCTTTCTTTAATTGGTCTTTGAGGTCCTAAAATAAAATTCATTTGTCCTGAGTTCAAGGTGTTTGGAGCTAAAGGCAAATACTGGAAGTCATAATACAGAGAGATGCAAAGTTAGGTGCCAGTAGGATGAGCTTAAAGAGGACTTTATTTGTAATGTGGGCTATGAAGAGGACAGAGAAGTAAGATTGTATGCTGTGGCACTGGAAAAACACAGGTGGAGAGAGTTAAGGATGGTAAGGGGAAATCCTTGAGATGGAATGCGAATGTCTGTGATCCAAACACTAGAATTGACCCAGCACCAACTAAGAATCTAGAATCTTTTCAACAATGTATTTGGGTTCTCCATCTTGGGTTCTTTTGGAAGGTTAAATGACATATCTCACTCATGAGTCCTTTTTCTAGAGCAGGGATTGGTAAACTAGCCTGATGCCCGTTTTTGTAAATAACGTTTTATAGGAATAAAGTCACACAATTGGCCATTGTTTATGGTTGCTTTTGTGCTACAATGGTAGAGTTAAGAAGCTGGCAACAGAGGCTCTCCAGCCTGAAAAGCCTAAAATATTTACCGTCTGGCCCTTATAGGAAAAGTTGCAACCCAGAGAGAAATATTTCTGGTCTGATACATACAACAAAGTGTCCAGTGGCTTTGGGAAGTAGAAGTAGGCTAATTGGGACTGATGAGTAGGTGATTGTTTCAGAGCTAGGAATTGAATACTTGTGTGCAGTTGTGCTCAGGTCTGACTCTGTGCATGCAAAGAATATAGGTGTTCTCTAAACAATATTTAGATGTGTGCTGCTGAAAAACAAAGTCTGCTATGAAGTTTACTGGCACTGGCTGAGTTGCTTCAGCAACTGCAGGCCTTCTGAAGTTTTGGCTGGTAACACAGAAGACCTTCTCACACAAAATCTCCTATTTTCATAAGGTAGATAGTTGCTATTGACTGACCAGTAGAAAGCATATAATTGTAAAAAAACAGAAGGGTGCAGGAGAAAATGAGGGCCAGGACATGGAGAGTTAAGATGGAGCAATTATCATTTTACCAGAAGGAGAATATGTATTCTGTTAAAAACCATTATTCCTCTTTTAATGATAATAGATTCATAGCCAAATGGTATTTTCTGCCAAGAAAATAACCACAAATATAAAATAATGAACAATGGAAGCTGCTATCTGAAGGCTTTTTCACATGCTAAGTATTCACATGCCAACTTATCATTATAGCAAAAGTACTATAATTTCTTATTAGAGCCAAGGCTAATGACCCCATCTATTTCAAAAACTCTTCAGAGTGTGCTTTGTCAGTCAATATGTGAGTAGATAAAGTGAAATGGCAGATTGAACTATTTCAATTGGGGGATCATAGATCAAAACTCTCAAATATGGAGGAAACAGAAGGTATTTTGGACCTCAGGCTTCCACACTCTTTGTGTCTTCTCTTTCCTACTAAAATTATTAGAAAGATAGTCTAAATTGACTGCATTTGATGTTTTGCCATCTACTCCTCATTCACTTCACTCTTTGAAATCTATGTGATAAATACAACCAGCCTACACCAACTATTCTCTCAATGACCACCATTAACCTCCTAATTGCCAAACTGAATGACCTCTTCTAAATCCACTATTGGCTTCCTGGACAAAATATAATACATGTGTTTCTCTGAACACTTAGGAAATTCCTCTTCTGCCTTCCTCTATGATTCTCTTCCTACACCCATCTAGGATTTTATCCTCACCCCTTTTCTTTCATTTGAGATTTCATCTACTTCCATGGGGTTATTGATCACCTTTGTATTGATTGCTTCCTAGTCCACCTGTCTTAGTATTCTAATGTTCAGACAGATAATAGAAACATCATATCACAGAGATCACATCCTCACTCCCTGACTCCTCCTATCCTTTTAGATGCTAAATACATGAGGCAATTTTATCTTTTATTTAGCTTTTATCTTTGAAGTATCTCTTCTATGCATTCCTCATTTTTCCACCTTGCCATCATGTCTATGGCTACAGTTCCACTTCCAGCCATTATGAAACCATACCTTGAAGATTGCATCAGTGGCTTAGCTGGTCTCTGAGCTTTAGAACTCCTCCTGTAATTTCTTCTAATCTACTCTGCAAGGATACTCTAGAGTTCACCTCTCAGTAGCACAACCCTATTCAAAATCTCAGTGTTATTCTTTTAAGGAAACCACGAAATTAGCTACAGAGTCCCAGTCCCTAATATTGGAAACCTTGAGCAATTTTATTCCATATTACCCTTTAGACTCATTTTCTCTCCTTCATTTTGCATAGTCCACCATCTAGCCAAATTGGATAACTTGCTGATCCTCAAAATGGCCTATGGTTTCTCTTGCCATTATATTTTTTCCCTTGAAACTTTTTCTTCCCCAATCACAAATGTAGTGTATTGTGTACCTCTTCTTTGGGGGCCATTCCAAATGTATTTCCTTCTTAAATTTTTTCTACATTTCACAATCATTTTCACACTTTAGATCAGATGCTACATGATTCCTCCACCCTTTAAACATATGAATCTCTTTTTACCTTTCATATGGAACTCACTTACTATTGCCGGATATTATGATCATTGTGTGCTTTATTATTGCCCACTCTTAGTCCACTTAATAGATTCAAAGTTCCTTTATACTGAGCCTGAATAATATTTATCTTTATATTTGATAAACATAAAAGTTAAATCAATGTTGATTGAATTGAGTTGTCTACACACAAAGAGTTTGTGAGAAAATTGCTGAATACGCCTCTACAAATGTGCCCTTAGCTAAATTCCACTATGTAGATTCTCATGTGTTTGGCAATAAGAGGTAACAATCTTTCATATAGCAAAATGCTCCAAGAATTGCTTTTATTTATGTGTTTGTTGAGTTGTTGAACAATGCATAATGATGATATTAAATGGAATAAACTCTTTGGTGATTCTTTGGAATGGAAAGAAAATGAGCTACAATTTAGTCTCCAAATCTAAAACTGGTCTAACATAGTAATAGAAATCTAGTTTGAGACAATAAAGCCAAACTTCTGCCAAGTTTTGCCCCTTCTAGGATTATACAGAAACTTAGGTTGGATTCCAATTTAGAGCTTTGTGGGAAAAGGCAGAAAAAAAAAGCCTATTGAAGTCAGATGAATTGTACCTAGACTCTTGGGTCAGCTTTCTAGTTTGTTTCTTGTCCTCCTGTTGTCCCAAACATCTTGAATACATTACTAAGGTATTTTTTCTAAAGCACTACTACAATGAAAATCACAATCTAATGTTTTGGTAGCATTTTATGGTTTGCAAAGCACTCTTCAAAGTGCCATAGGAGGAACAGTATCTTGATTCATCCATTTCACTCAATTCACAAATATTTACTGATTATATACCAGGCATTATGCTGGGACTTAAGATACAAAGATGAATACTTTCGGTTAGTTCTTTCAAGAACTTCACCTCATAGTAATAGTAGTTGGATAGGAAAGAAAAAGAACGTCAAGAAGTACTAAAAATTATAAGAAATCCGTCTATTCACAGAAATCGTAACTTCCCTTGTTTATGCAGTCACGTATTCTCTTATCTTTTCATCATATTCACTGTAATTACCACTGTTGTCATTATCCAAAGGTTTTTATTCACGAATTTTGCAAAAATTTACTGCAAGGAACTGTTCTAGGCACTTGAACAGTAAACAAAACAGAAAAAAAAATCCTGCCTTTGTAAAATTTACAATCTCCATAAAGACAGGAGAGAGAAAACAAAATAAATAAATGAATTATATGGTTTTTAAGAAATATTTCTTTAATGTTTATCCAACTATTGTGTCTTCTTAAAATGCAGGTCATTCTTTCTGCCTCTTTTTTTCCTGGGTCTATGCTTTCTTGAAGAAAATCTGTCCAGCCCGATCTCACAAAATTTAATCCTGTAGGACCCACTGAGCTGGTTTCAGATCTCATGATTCTGCCCCTTGGACAAAGTGATAGGCCAGGATTGGGTATGGGTCATTCGGATTTCATGTGCCAGGGTTGGGGAGTGGGACTTAGAAATACTATTTAAACACAGTGTGAAGCTTGCTTAAGCCGCATGCAGGGAGAAGAAGAGAATGCCTCTGTAGAGAGAAAAAAGAATGAGGTAAGGACTGGAAAAAATGTACATGTGAGAACATGTGGCCTTAGAGAATATAAATACTGTCCCTGTGAAACTCAGCTGCACTTCCTTCTCTTGTGTTTCATAAGGCCCACCTTTTCCTTCTAGTAAACTATACTTTGAATACATTTTTGTTACTTGCAAGGAAGTTATCCTAACTAGGATGTATTTTATGATTTTCAAACAATTGCAAACAATTTCAAAAAAGATACTCCAACAATTTCACAAGTGGCACTGCTTAATCAGAATGGATGCTGTCCAGTTTATTCAAGCCATGTGTGCTGGCTGATGCCAGCCCTGAGCCTGATGCCAGCCCTGAGCCTGATGCACAATTATGTCACACAATCTCCAGCAAATGTAGAAATTAATAAATTAGTTGAATATTTACTAAGATTCTTTACCTCCTAGGGTGGTATAGAAAAAGGAAGCTGGAAATCATGCTTCCAAATCTGGACCTCTTCTTTTAGGTAGGGTCATCTAGATTTGTCTGTAGGATGGAAGTGGGGAGACTGAGAAAGAAAGGCCATTCTGTGGTCAGATAAAGCTGTTGAGAGAGCTTTGGGAGGGCTGTATTGAGCGCCCTTTGTTCTCTGGGGTGTAAGTAGCTAATAAATGAGGCAATGCAAGCAATGAAGGGACATGTGAAGTCCTTGAAATAACTCTGACAAAGTGCTTTGAGGGAAAATTGTTATTCTGAGTTCTGAGGTTGTGGGAAACTACTGAAAAACTAATGATAGCAGTGATATAATCCTCTGGGCACAGGGCAATACCTAAAGCATGAAGAAAAGAAGGAAGAAATAATTCCAGGTCAGAGGTTATTGAAATCTTAGCTAAGTTCGTAGTTACAAGGCAAAGAAAGACATGCTGTGTTGTCATGTAAGCAACTCCAAGTTTTAACATCTAAGGGAGAAAAAGGCAGTGAGAGATAGAACAGGCCACTCTTTGAGACATGAATCACACAAATAAATATCAATTTTTAAAAGTTCTTCCAGGAGAAAGGTTGTCTCAGTCAAATGCTTGAACGCCTGACAATCCCATTAACATCACATGCTCTGTGTATTGAATCCTGCATGGGAAGACAGCAGTTTCCAATCATCTTTCTACATATTATCAGGAGTGTGGCCAAAGTAAAGAGGGAAATGAAAGAACAGGAACAAATTGAAAAGTGTTTGAGGTGGTCATTTTTTAAAATAATCAAACTCTGATGAATAGTTGTATTTTTTATTAATGATGACAAGAAATAGTCTCACAGTAACAAAATGTCAACATCTACTGACCTGGGGTAGTGTGTAATACAAAGACAAATGGTTTCCTGATTTCTTGCCATGTTTTTCAAACACTTGCAAAAATGAGGCTGGCCATTTAGCTGTGTTTATTCTTTTTATGATAAAAAGCTACTTTGTCTTACCAACCTTCCCTGGACAGCCCTCATTTTTATGCAGATAGTGTATTATTTAAAAAGGAGAATCTAAGGCTCTGGATACTTAAGCAATTAGTCAAATTAATGCAACAAATAAATGGTAGAAGAGGAATTTGAGGTCTTCTGCTCTCTGGTGGAACTTGTTTTACCTTGTTCTTTATTTTAATCTTCCAGTATTCCCTAGCTCCCTCAAACCATCCTGTTTTGCTTACTTTCCTTCAACAGACTTACTAACGTTTTGTGTGTAATCAGAAAGAAGGCGTTTATATAAATCAGATTTATTTTTTATTAATTATTTTAACTGCCTATCTTTTTTACTATAACCATATGAGTGAGGTGCAGTCATATCTCATTTTGGTTTTGATTTACATTTCTCTAGTGATTAATGATGTTGGGCCTCTTTTCATGTGCCTGTTGGTCATTTATATACATTCTTTGGATCGCTAATTTTTTAAAAAATGATTTCAACTTTTATTTTAGATACAGGAGGTACACATGTATATTGTGTAATATTGAGGTTTGGGGTACAAATGATTTCATTATTTAGGTAGTGATCATAATACTCAATGGGTAGTTTTCCAGCCTTTTCCCTACTCCTTCTCCCCTGACCCAATAGGCCCCAATGTCTATTGCTCTCATCTTTATGTCCATGTGTGCCCAATGTATAAACAGATTTTTTAAAAAAAGAGCAAGCATCTAACATACATTCTTGGCAGTTTAATTTTAATATTTCATTAAAATGTTATCTTTTAAAACTAATATATTTATGTAGCTAAAAAAAAAAATAGAAACACAAGACTTAAAGCAGCAAACCAAAGCCACTACTCCACCCTGTCCCAGCCCTGCAGTTTTCTTTCTAGTACCAGTCACTTTAAAATTAGAGCTGTTTTATTTTTTTGCTGTTGTTGGTTTTCATCTCCATATTTCATAGTACTTGCTACCATGTAATTACATTTATCCTGAGCCCAGGCCTTTATGCTATAGTTTTCATGAAAACTCTACAATACACTGTCATGATTTTTGCTTTAAGCTATACATTCTCAACAGGGATGATATTTCCCTCCAAAAGGATGAAAATTGATGTTCGTGGGGTTGGTGAAATATTCTCAGTTATTACAATGGTGTATAGCCCTGTAAAGCTCAACCCTATCTGATGCAATCACATTCTTTAGAATTTAATTTCTCCTGTGTCGTTTTCATGGGTATCCCATGAGCAGCACTGACATTGGGCTCAGGGAATATACATAAAATGTATATAAGATCAGTGCTACAGCAAGTAGATGGCTTTCTTTCCTTAATAGATTGCTAGAAATGGCCTAGCCTACTCAAGTTTATTGGCTGCCATTGGCTACCTTATGGATGTTGTTTATGTTTGATCCTCATTGTTTTGGTGTGTGACTAGGGCTTTGAGAATTAAATAAAAGCAGTGTTTTAATAGTTATTTGGAATAATTATTCAATAGTTATTCAAAAAAGTTATTCAAGTCTATAAAAGTTATTCAATCCATCATTATACAGGTGAGGAAAACAAAAAAGTATCAACAATATATAAATGAATATCTGGCAGCTAGTTAAGTTAAAAGTTATTTTCTTATATTGAGCAGAAGTTAAAAGTTAAGTTCACTGGCCAGCGTGGTGGCTCACACCTGTAATCCCAGCACTTTGGGAGGCCAAGGCAGGTGGATCACCTCAGGTCAGGAGTTTGAGACCAGCCTGACCAACATGGTGAAACCCTATCTCTACTAAAAAATACAAAAATTAGCTGGGCATGGTGGCGGGCACCTGTAATCTCAGTTACTTGGGAGGCTGAGGCAGAAGAATTGCTTGAACCCGGGAGGCAGAGGTCACAGTGAGCCGAGATCATGCCATTGCTCTGTTGCCTGGGCGACAGAGAGAGACTCCATCTCAAAAAAAAAAAACAAAAAAAAGAAAAGTAATTTTGTAATTATTTTACTTTTGCTCAAAGTTAATAGTTTTGAAAACTATTACTGTGTATTTATATATGTTGCTAACTTTCATAATTATATAAGTAAATAAATTATATTGAAATTTGCAATAATCATGCAGTTACAAAGTTGTTATATGCTAATAGCTTTTTAATTTTTTAAATATTACATTTAACTTGTAAAATTTAGTCATTCTGAAGTTTGCATTAAACAGAAAAGTTTTATATTTTTTATTTTAATGTATAAAGCACAGATGTATCTATAACATATAAACAAGAGCACAACATATCTTGGGTATAAAAATGTCAAGGAAGGAATGAACAATTACAATGTAAAGTTTCTAACAAGTTTCCTTGGGGGGAAATAATGGAAAAAAGTTTGAAGAGTTAATTTAAACAATTGCATTATTTCAAAGAAATTAAAAGAAAAAATAGTTTATTTATATGAATCTCTATATATTTACTATTTCTGATACCTTTGTGCATATAGCTTCCCCTGCTCTTACGAGTCAGGTAGTATTTTACTACTTTCTGTTTTCCAAATTTTGTTAAAATATTATGTTTAGTGGGATCTCCTCTATTTTCCTTGTCCTTCGGGTTTATAGCATTTTATTTCTTTTCTCTTGTATTGAAAGAGTAATGAAATAAGCCCACATGGCTAATTACAACGTTCAATAGAAATTCATTTAGCCTTTTAAATGGGAATAAATTTAATATCCTAACTGTGTTCATTTAACCAGAAACTTTCCCTATCCCCTCTTCCATTTTAAACTTAAATATGCTTAAATTCTCTGGAATTTCTATTGTAAATAAAACCTTCCAATTTGTTTTGATCACAGATCTAAATTATGTAATTTATGTTATTGTGAGGGATAAATTTGTACTCAGCCTGGAGCTGAACTTACTTCAGATACCACTGTAATAAACAAAAGCTTGGTTTCTATGGTTTCTCCTATAACTAACATTTAGAGATTAACAGGTATTGTTACCACACTGGGCACTGGGGCGATATATGTCAGGGGAGGCAGGAAACAAAGAAAGCACCAGATAATTAGAGAAAAAAAACTGTGATGATTTCGTTATTCTCCAAGGACTAGATGGTTGAATAAATCTGTACTTGAATAAAAATGCTTTTTCTGCTCTTCTCTCTGGAGTAATTTAAGAGAAAACCAATGAGGAACAACAATTACACAATAGGCTGGGTGTCTGGGCAATCTCAGGTCCCAGGGTACCAAGCAAAACTCTCAAGCTGGCTTGGACATGGTACCTTCATAGCCCTACTCCACAGTAAAGGATAAATTGAAATACCTTTTCTTGTCATCAGGTAATATGTTTAATTGGTCTTTTGTGCGATTGTATTGGCTTAATCTTTTCTAACTGGTTAAGTTGGAGGTGGGTGAGAAGCAGTTTATTTTAATAAGAACTGTTCTGTTAGGCTTAGATGTATGAAAGATAGCAAAAATACATGTCATTGAAGGAAATTCACAGTTTATTTATGCAATCTACTTTTAAACCAAGTATAGTAATCAAATTTAGAAAAGCTGGCAACAGAAACCGTACTTTTATTTAATATAAGGTTTATTTTGTTAATATTTCAACAATGTTTCAATAATATTCTTTATTTTCCTTCTCCAGTACAGGATCCAGCCCAAGATCATGTTCTATTTAGTTATCATATCTATCTCTTTAATATAGAGAGCAGTGCCTAAATTTTCATTGTCATTCTAGATATTGACAATTTTGAACAATAAAAGCAAATTATGTTTAGAATATTCTTTACTTTGGGTTTGACAGTATCACATCTGGAAATAATGTCAACAAATCTACTATAATTTTCTTTAATTGACAAAAATTGTACATGTTTGTCTATATTTAAAGTGCACGACATGATGTTTTGATATATGTATACATTGTGCAATGGCTGAATCAAACTAATTAACATATCTATTACCTCACATACTTACCATTTTGTTTTTTGCGGTGAGAATACTAAATGTGCTGTCAGCAGTTTTCTTTTTTTCTCTTAAAATAGCTTTATTGAGATGTAATTCACTTGCCATGCAATGCACCCATTTAATGTGTACAATTTAATAGTCTTCAATATATTCACAGAGATGTGCAGCCAGCACCACAATTTAATTTTAGAACATTTTTATCACTCAAAAGAAACCCTGAACCCATTAGCAGCCACTCCCTATTTTTCCCTATCCCTCCTCCCCAGTCTTAGGCACTACCAATCTACTTTCTGTGTCTATAGTTTTCCTTATTCTTCACATTTCATATAATTGAAATAATATAATACGTCGTCTTTTGAGACTGATTCTTTGACTAAGTGCGTTTTCAAGGTTCATCCATGTTGACCATGTATTAGTATGTTCCTTTTTTTTTTATTGCTGAATAACACTCTGTTGCATGGGTATACTACATTTTGTTTATCTATTTATCAGTTGATGGTCATTTGTGTTATTTCCTCTGTTTGGCTATTATGAATAATGCTGCTGGGAACATTTGTGTACATGTTTTGTGTGAATATATGTTTTCAATTCTACTGAATATATATCTAGGAGTGGAGTTGCTGGGTCATATGGTAGCTCTATCTTTAACATTTTAAGGAACTGTCAAATTATTTTCTGTAGCGATTGCACCATTTTGCATTTCTACCAGCAAGGTATTAGGGTTCCAATTTCTTTGCATCCTTGCCAACACTTGTTATTTTCTTTTTTTTCTTCACATTTCCCTGGGAATTTACATTTACAGGAAATTTGCGTATCCTTGATGGCTAATCATGTTGAGCATTTTGTTTCATGTGCTTACTGGCCATTTGTATGTCTTCCTTTGAGAAATGTCTATTCAAATCCTTTAGCCATTTTTTAAATTATACTTTAAGTTTTAGGGTACATGTGCACAACGTGCAGGTTTGTTACATATGTATACATGTGCCATGTTGGTGTGCCGCACCCATTAACTCATCATTTAACATTAGATATATCTCCTAATGCTATCCCTCCCCTCTCCCCCAACCCCACAACAGGCCCCAGTGTGTGACGTTCCCCTTCCTGTGTCCATGTGTTCTCATTGTTCACTTCCCACCTATGAGTGAGAACATGCAGTGTTTGTTTTTTTTTGTCCTTGCGATAGTTTGCTGAGAATGGTGGTTTCCAGCTTTATCCATATCCCTACAAAGGAAATGAACTCATCATTTTTTACGGCTGCATAGTATTCCATGGTGTATATGTGCCACATTTTCTTAATCCAGTCTATCATTGTTGGACATTTGGGTTGGTTCCAAGTCTTTGCTATTGTGAATAGTGCCGCAATAAACATACGAATGCATGTGTCTTTATAGCAGCATGATTTATAATCCTTTGGGTATATACCCAGTAATGGGATGGCTGGGTCAAATTGTATTTCTAGTTCTAGATCCCTGAGGAATCACCACACTGACTTCCACAATGGTTGAGCTAGTTTACAGTCCCACCAACAGTGTAAAAGTGTTCCTGTTTCTCCACATCCTCTCCCAAAACAGCATGGTACTGGTACCAAAACAGAGATATAGACCAATGGAACAGAACAGAGCCCTCAGAAATAATGCCACATATCTACAACTATCTGATCTTTGACAAACCTGACAAAAACAAGCAATGGGGAAAGGATTCCCTATTTAATAAATGGTGCTGGGAAAACTGACTAGCCATATGTAGAAAGCTGAAAGTGGATCCCTTCCTTACACCTTATACAAAAATTAATTCAAGATGGATTAAATACTTAAATGTTAGACCTAAAACCATAAAAACCCTAGAAGAAAACCTAGGTGATACCATTCAGGACATAGGCATGGACAAGGACTTCATGTCTAAAACACCAAAAGCAATGGCAACAAAAGCCAAAATTGACAAATGGGATCTAATTAAACTAAAGAGCTTCTGCACAGCAAAAGAAACCATCATCAGAGTCAACAGGCAACCTACAGAATGGGAGGAAATTTTTGCAATCTACTCATCTGACAAAGGGCTAATAACCAGAATCTACAATGAACTCAAACAAATTTACAAGACAAAAACAAACAACCCCATTAAAAAGTGGGCGAAGGATATGAACAGACACTTCTCAAAAGAAGACATTTATGCAGCCAGAAGACACATGGAAAAATGCTCATCATCACTGGCCATCAGAGAAATGCAAATCAAAACCACAATGAGATACCATCTCACACCAGTTAGAATGGCGATCATTAAAAAGTCAGGAAACAACAGGTGCTGGAGAAGGTGTGGAGAAATAGCAGTTTTCAACTGTAGAGTACATTGTGATTAACTATAGTCTCCATGCTATACAGTAGATCTCCTGAACTTGTTCCTCCTGTCTAACTGAAATTTTATGTCTCATGAACAACATCTCCCCCATTCCTATCACCTCCCTCCTGCGGCCCCTGCTAACCACCATTCTAGTTGCTGCTTCTGCGGGTTCTACTTTTTTAGATTCCCCACATAAGTGAGATCACACAATGTTTGTCTTTCTTTGCATGTCTTATTTTATTTAGTGTAGTGTCCTCCAGGTTCATCCATGTTGCCTCAAAAGATGGGATTTCCTCATGTTTTAAGGCTAAATAGTATTCATTTTTGTATATACACCACATTTTCTTTATCCATTCATCTGTCGATGGACACTTAGGTTGATTCCATATCTTGGTTATTGTAAATAATGCCACAGTGAACATAAGAGTACAGATATCTCTTTGACATACTAATTTTATTTCCTTTGGATGTATACTCAATAAAGAGAATGCTGGATCATATGGATTTCTATTTTTAATCCTTTGAAGAACCTCCATACTGTTTTCTATAATGTCTGTACAAATTAATATTCCTACCAACAGTGTGTAAGAGTTTTCTTTCCTCCACATTCTCATCAAAACTTGTCATCTTTTATCTTTTTGGTAATAGTCAATTTAACAGGTGTGTGGTGATACCTCATGATGATTTTAATTTGTATTTCCCTAATGATTAGTGATGTTGGGCAGTTTTTCAAATTCCTGTTGGTCATTTGTATGTCTTCTTTTGAGAAATGTCTGTTCAGATCTTTTGCCCATTTTTTAATTGTTTTTTTTTCTAGCTATTGGATTGTTTGAGGTTTTTAATACATTTTGCATATAAACTCTTCATCAGACGTATGGTGTGAAAATACTTTCTCCTATTCCGTAGGTTGTCTGTTCACTCTATTGATTGTTATCTTGACTGTGCAGGAGATTTATAGTTGGATGTAATCTCATTTACCTATCTTTGCTTTTGTTGCCTGTGCTTTTGGGGTCACATCCAAAAAAATCATTGCCCAGACCAGTGTCATGGAACTTACCCCATGATTTCTTCCGGTAGTTTTATAGTTTCAGAGTTTTCTTCCAATAGTTTCAAATCTTATGTGTCTTTGATAACTTTTCAGTTGATTTTTGTATACAATGTGAGATAAGGGTCTAATTTATTTCTTTTTATGTGGATATCCATCTTTTCCAACACTACTTATTTAAGAGACTGTCCTTCCCCATTGTGTGATCTTGGCATCTTTGTGAAAATCAATTGACCTCAAATATGTGGATTTATTTCTAGGTTCTCTATTTTGTCCTATTGGTCTATGGGTTTGTTTTTATGCTTGTGCCATTCTGTTTGAAATACTATTACTTTGTAGTGTATTTTGAGGTCAGGTAGTGTGATGCCTCCAGCTTTGCTCTTTTGGCTAAAGATTACTTTGCTATTTGAGGCATTTTTGGTTCCTTACAAGTTTTAGGATTTGTTTTTCTGTTTTCTGTGAAGAATGCCATTATGATTTTAATACAGATTGCATTGAATCTGTAGATCGATTTTGGTAGTATGGACATTTTAACAATATTAATTCTTCCAATTTATAACATGGGATATCTTTCCATTTACTTGTGTCTGCTTCCATTTTTTTCAGCATTAATATATAGTTTTCAGTATACAGCTCTTTTACCTCCTTGTTTAACTTCATTCCTTTATTTTTGTGGTAGCTTTTGTAAATGGGATTATTTTCTTGATTTCTTTTTTGGATATTTGTCATTGGTGTATGGAAATACTATGATATTTTAAATGTTGATTTCATATCCTGCCACTTTACCAAATTTGTTTATTGGTTCTAATAATATTTTAAGTGCAGTCTTTAGGGTTTTCTACATATAAGATTGTGTTATCTGCAAGCAGAGACAGTTTACCTTCCTTTCCCATTTGGATATCTTATTTCTTTCTCTTGCTTAATTGCTCTGGCTAAGACTTCCAGTACTACACTGAATAGAAGAAGAAAGTGGGCATTTCTGTCTTATTCCTAATTGTTGAGAAAAAGCTTTCAATCTTTCACTGTTGAGTATGATTTTAGCTGTGGGTTTGTCACATATGGTCTTTACTGTGTTGAGGTACATTCTTTATATGCCTAATTCATTGACACTTTTTTATCATGAAAAGATGTTAAATTTTGACAAATGTTTTTTCTGCATCTATTGAGATGATAATATGGTTTTTGTTTTTCCTTATGTTAATGTACATTTATTGTACATTTATTAACTTCCATATGGTAAATCATCCTTGCATCCCATGGATAATTCCCACTTGATCATGGTGAATGATTGTTTAAACATACTGTTGAATTCAGTTTGCAGGTATTTTATGGAAGGCTTTTGCACCTATGTTCCACAGGAATATTGACCTGTAGTTTTCTTTTCTTGTTGTGTCTTTGTCTGATTTTGCACTTAGGCTAATGCTTACATTGTAGAATGAGTCAGGGAGAATTCCTAGCTATTTATTTGGGAGGCTGAGGCAGAAGAATCACTTGAACCCGGGAGACGGAGGTTGCAGTGAGCCAAGATAGTGCCACTGCACTCCAGCTTGGGCGACAGAGCACGACTCCATCAAAAAGAAAAAGAAAATCAACTCTTAATTTTATTGATCATGTTAATTTTTTTTCTATTTTCTATTTCATTTATTTCTCCTCTGATATTTGTTATTTTCTTTCTTCTGCTAAGTTTGAGTTTAGTTTTTCTTTTTCTTGTTTCTTGAGGTGGAGTTTGTTTATGTGTGATCCTTCTTTTTGTTTTAATGTAGGTGTTTATCTCTATAAACTTCATTCAGAACTTTTTTTTTTTTTGCTGCATCCATAAGTTTCAGTAAGTTATGTTACCACTCTCATTGTGTCAATATATTTTTAGCTTTTCTTTTTGATTTCTTCTTTGACCTGTCAGTTGTTCAGAACTGTGTTTAATTTACACATATTTATAAATTTTCAAATTTTCCTCCTGTTATTGATTTCTAGTTTCATATTATTGTGATCAGAAAAGATGGTGCAATTTGATTTCAGTCTTTTTTGATGTGGTAAGACTTTTTTTTGTGGCCTAACATGTGATCTATTCTCAGTAACGTTCAGTGTGTGCTTTAGAAGACTGTGTATTTTGTTGCTGTTGGATGGAATGTTTTGTATATGCCTTTAAGGTCCATTTAATCTGTAGTGTTATTCAAATCTTCGGCTTCCTTATTGATTTTCTATCTGTATAATGTAGTTACTGTTAACAGTGGGGTATTAAAGTTCAATACTATTGTTTTATTGCAGTTTATTCTTTCAGTTCTGTTAATATTTGCTTGATATATTTTGGTGCTCAATGTTCTTTTGTTGTGGGAAGTCAGGGACCCCAAACAGAGGGACCAGCTGGAGCCGAGGCAGAAGAATATAAATTGTGAAGGTTTCATGGACTTTCATCAGTTCCCAAAATTAATACTTTTCTAATTTCTTATGTCTGTCTTTACCGCAATCGCTGAACATAAATTGTGAAGATTTCATGGACATTTATCACTTCCCTAATAATACTCTTATAATTTCTTATGTCTGTCTTTACTTTAATCTCATAATCACGTTATCTTTGTAAGCTGAGAATGTACGTCATCTCAGGACCACTATTGTAAAAATTGATTGTAAAACATATATGTTTGAACAATATGAAATCAGTGCACCTTGAAAAGAACAGCATAACAGGGAAGATAACCATAAGGTCTGACTGACTGGGGGGTTGGGCAGAATAGAGCCATATTTTTCTTCTTGCAGAGAGCCTATAAACAGACGTGCAAGTAGGAGAGATATCAGTGAATTCTTTTCCCAGCAAGGAATATTAATAATTAATACCCTGGGGAAGGATTGCATTCCTGGGGGGAGGTCTATAATTGGCCACTCTGGGAGTGTCTGTCTTAAGTGGTTGAGATAAGGACTGAAAAAGCCCTGGTCTCCTGTAGCACCCTCAGGCTTACTAGGATTGGGAATTCCAGCCTGGTAAATTCTAGTCAGACTGGTTCTCTGCTCTTGAACTCTGTTTCTTGTTAAGATGTTTATCAAGACAATGTGTGCACAGCAGGACATAGACCCTCATCAGTAATTCTAATTTTGCCTTTGCCTTTGTGATCTTTATTGCCCTTTGAAGCATATGATCCTTGTGACCTACTCTCTGTTCGTACACCCCCTCCCCTTTTAAAATCCCTAATAAAAACGTGCTGGTTTTGCAGCTTGGGGTCGTCATCACAGTCCTACCAATATGTGATGTCACCCTGGAGGCCCAGCTGTAAAATTCCTCTCTTTGTATGCTTTCTCTTTATTTCTCAGACTGGCTGACACTTAGAGAAAATAGAAAAGAACCTACATTGAAATATTGGGGGCTGGTTCCCCTAATATTCTTTCCATATATAGTTTCTATTGTTATATCTTTTTGATGGATTAACCACTTTATCATACAATAAATTCTATTTAGTCTCATCTAAGTATAGCCATTCCTGCTCTCTTTTGTTTACTATTTGCATGGAGTATCTTTTTCTATTCTTTCACTTTCAATCTATGTGCATCTTTAAAGCTAAAGTGACTCTCTTGTAGACAGCCTACAGTTGGATCTTGTTTTCTTAAAATACATTTATTTTTTATCCACTTAGCTACTCTTTTAATTGGAGAATTTAATCCATTTGTGTTTAATTATTGAAAGATAAGGATTTACTTGTTTCATTTTTAAAATTGCTTCTTATTTTGTAGGGTTTTTTGTTTCATTCTTTCTCTTACTGTCTTACTTTGAGATATTTATGATTTTTTATGGTGACATGTTTCATTTCTTTTTAATGTACATACTATATGGCTTTGCTTTATGGTTACCATGAAGCTCACAGAATTCATCTTAACAGTTACAGTTAAAGTTACAGAATTCATCTTACAGTTAAAACCAGTCCATTTTTAACTGATGACAGCTTAACTTTGTTCACATACAAAAACTACACTTTTGCTTCTTCCATTATCGTGTAATCATAATACATGTAATATCTAAGCTAATATGCTGTTACAACCATCTAGTTTGTTTTTAATAGGTTATAGTTTTCATTTTGGGGTTTGTTTTATCTTTTTAAAAATAAATTCTGATCCTCTGGTAAAATTCTCCATTTTGACATTTATTTTTTTAAAGTACTAATTAGACTTATTTTAAAGTAAGTGGTGTGCCTATGATTCTGTTTCTAACATGTTATTCCCCTCTTGTTTGACATTTGGTTCTGTGTCCTGTCTTGCCTGGTAATTTTTTAAAAATGATAGACACTGTGTGTGAAAAAATCACATGTTCCTAATTAATAATTTTCTTTAATATAAGAATTTCTTTAATATACTTTCTTTAATACAGTTTTTTTTTTCTGGCACAGTTAGAGTAGTGACAAATAATACTGCTTTACTCAGTGATTGGGATAATTTGTGCTGAAGTTTAGTGTCTGTGGAGATGACTATATCTGTTTTTTCTGTCTTCTTCAGGTTTTACCTTTTAAGAATCTCAAAAGTTTGTTGTTCTTGTTAGGACTCCTAATTCATAGCTGTCTTTGTTGTATCCCTGTAACTATGAGATTTTCAAAAATTCTTCTTAGCTTTGTTATATATTGCTTTCTGCTTTGTTTCTTAACCCTTCAGGAATGAGGAAATATTTGAACATAAAAAGCTGAAACAAATACTGAGTTTACTTCTTTGTATGTTTCCCCCTCTGCGTATCCCTTGAGTTGTGGCCGTCTTAGTAGCCCTTACTCACTTCTGTTTCCTACTACACTACTCTGAGATAGTGGAAAGCTCTGATCTGCTGCTCTGTGCTAAATCTTTTGGCCTACTTCAATTATCAGTTAGTAAATCCCTTAAAAGAAAAGTGGCAGAGAATTTGTCTTAACCACATGGATTTTTCTTTCTCTGGTTTCTTGATCAGTAAAGTATATTTTGCCTTGGATATTCTCTTTTTAATTTTAGCTTTTATGGTTGCTTTTGCTAGGAAGCTTGTTAGTACTAATAAGTATCCTGTCAGTCAGAATCAGAAGTCATACGAGGTTGTTTTTTAAAAAGCAGGTATGCATTGTTTCTGATTAGTAAAGTTATGTGTGTTTTCTTAGGCATTTGGAAATACAGAAAAGTAAAAAAAATTTTAAGTCATTCATGATCTTTTTTGCTTCATTACCCTCTCTTGATTAATTCCTGATTATTTTTCTGTTTTCAGTCTCAATTAACTTCCTCAGAGTCAAATCAACTCTCATATTAATTAGATGCTATTCATAGCACCTTATTTTTTGTTCTTTTTTCTCATATTGTGTTGTCATGTTTCTTTTTGTGTTTATTTTATTAGCATTTATATCTCTCATTACATTATTAGTTTTACTGTGACAAGGACCATGTCTACTCTTTCTGTAAACCCAGTATCTATTACAGCCTTAAATACAGCAGATATTTTATATTTATAGAATCTGCTGCACTAGCATTATTTCTGCTTTGTATGCATATATTTTCAATTAATATTCTATTATGTATATAATTTTCATGTGTATTACTGTATTTTCTGTATTTAAAAATTAATTTGACAACATATTATAAACATTTATTCATATAAAGTTTTGTTTCTAATATCAGCTCAGTCACCAATTATTTGATCTTGGAAATTTTAATTAACATTTTTAGCAGTCAGTTTTCTTATCTGTAAAATAGGGAAATGATAACTGCTCTAACTACTCATTCTGGTCATTATCAAAAGTAAATGAGACCACTGATCTTCATGGATCTTGTGGCACAAAAGATATGGGATATGAAATGGATAAACAATAATGTCTTAAACTATTGTTACCATTGTTTCTTGATGGATATTCTACAAAAAGTGTAAATGGGCTATATGATGTAAAATCTATGTTCACTTTAGAACTCTAAGGAAGGCATAATTCTTTTTCACTATAGATGGAGAAGCTCTTCACATATAGAATATTTACAAGATGGCAAAGGGAAGACTGTCAGGAGCAATTGTGTAACAAAACAAAATAAAGCTAAAACGAGATGCAGCTATTCTCATTACAGCAAAGTAGGCAATAAGATTTTTGTAGAGCACTTTGGAAGGAGGCAGACACATTTGTAGATTTGTAATAAGCACTGAGTTGCTCCAATTTAGTGCATGAACAAAAAAATAATTGTAGTTATTAATAAGAGCTGAGAATAAAAAAGACCTATCTAATCTTAGAAGATTTGAAAGAAGAACACTGAGACAAACAGCAAAATCCAAATGAGACCTGATCATTTGCTCTAGCCACGTTAAGTTATTGGCAGGTTATATGAGAACTCCATCTATCTCTATATTTACAGTTTATTTAGTTCTTTTATAAAAGTTTTTATTATTTTCTTTTGGTCATAATAAATATATGACAGCATTAATAGTATCAAATATCGCTTAAATGATTTCCACAAATATTTCTGTTTCCATAGTAAATCTCTAATATTAAAATAAAAACCTTCAAAGTATTGCTATATATGATACATAGATGAGTGAACTTTGCTTAACCATAGTCAAGGTTTTGGTAAGCCAGAATTTACAAAACAAATTATATAATATTACCTACAGAATTCTTTCCCACAGGGGTCATTCTTTCCAGGTGGATCTCACATTACTACTTTTGAAGGAGAAAAGTAGAAAACACTATGTAATTGCAATGTATCAATATCAATAACTTCCAGGTGAAGTAAATTCCTCGTAACAATGATAGAAATTCCACTTTCCAATAATGTTCATGGGAAAATCCTAGAATATTCCAGTGTGGGATACTTTGTTATTCTACCCTTTCGTTTTTTTTTTTGTTTTTTGTTTTTTGTTTTTTTTTTTTGCTTGGAAGATGTTGCATAACTTAGGGAATGGAAATCATTTTGCCAGATAATTTGGCAATAAATATATTTCCCACATGCTTGGTCTTGTAAATCCTATCTGGCAAAGTAGCCATTTAATCAATAGAGTAAGAAAACAGAGATTTAATCTAGAAAGTGATTGAATTAGCACTGAGTGTAGAAGCTGGACAAAAGTGGAAATATCATTGCTCTGTAGTTTCTCCAATTTTATAAATGATTACTAATGACTAATGAACCAATTGCCTAGTTCCTCTGCACAGTTTGGGAAAACAGAAGAGCAGAAAACCCTCTGCCTTGAGATTGCTGTACTGTGGTGACTACAAGGGAATACAATTAGTCATGTTCACTAGTAACTTGTTAAATCAGCTTTATAATCATGAGAAACTAAGAAAGTTATGAGGAGCCAATAATGCCAAGGTGATAAAATATGAAGGCACATTTGTAAATGTGAATTACTCAGAATACAAGGTAGATAATTTATTGTTGCCTGTTGCTATAATAATTCCTTACTAATGAGACTTTATTAATTTGTAGTTTGAGATGATTTGGAATCTTGGCTGAGATTTGTCCTTCTATTCACTGTGAAGATGAGATTTGGAAAGCAAGTTAGCAGCCAAAAATGAGGATAATATTTTTGAAAGTCCAAGTCCTACATTCTCATTCTTTTTTTTTTTTTTTAATGTTTTTTTTTTTATTATACTTTAAGTTTTAGGGTACATGTGCACATTGTGCAGGTTAGTTACATATGCATACATGTGCCATGCTGGTGCGCTGCACCCACTAACGTGTCATCTAGCATTAGGTATATCTCCCAATGCTATCCCTCCCCCCTCCCCCGACCCCACCACAGTCCCCAGAGTGTGATATTCCCCTTCCTGTGTCCATGTGATCTCATTGTTCAATTCCCACCTATGCGTGAGAATATGCGGTGTTTGGTTTTTTGTTCTTGCGATAGTTTACTGAGAATGATGGTTTCCAATTTCATCCATGTCCCTACAAAGGACATGAACTCATCAATTTTTATGGCTGCATAGTATTCCATGGTGTATATGTGCCACATTTTCTTAATCCAGTCTATCATTGTTGGACATTTGGGTTGGTTCCAAGTCTTTGCTATTGTGAATAATGCTGCAATAAACATACGTGTGCATGTGTCTTTATAGCAGCATGATTTATAGTCCTTTGGGTATATACTCAGTAATGGGATGGCTGGGTCAAATGGTATTTCTAGTTCTAGATCCCTGAGGAATCGCCACACTGACTTCCACAATGGTTGAACTAGTTGACAGTCCCACCAACAGTGTAAAAGTGTTCCTATTTCTCCACATCCTCTCCAGCACCTGTTGTTTCCTGACTTTTTAATGATTGCCATTCTAACTGGTGTGAGATGATATCTCATAGTGGTTTTGATTTGCATTTCTCTGATGGCCAGTGATGATGAGCATTTTTTCATGTGTTTTTTGGCTGCATAAATGTCTTCTTTTGAGAAGTGTCTGTTCATGTCCTTCGCCCACTTTTTGATGGGGTTGTTTGTTTTTTTCTTGTAAATTTGTTTGAGTTCATTGTAGATTCTGGATATTAGCCCTTTGTCAGATGAGTAGGTTGCGAAAATTTTCTCCCATGTTGTAGGTTGCCTGTTCACTCTGATGGTAGTTTCTTTTGCTGTGCAGAAGCTCTTTAGTTTAATTAGATCCCATTTGTCAATTTTGGCTTTTGTTGCCATTGCTTTTGGTGATTTGGACATGAAGTCCTTGCCCACGCCTATGTCCTGAATGGTAATGCCTAGGTTTTCTTCTAGGGTTTTTATGGTTTTAGGTCTAACGTTTAAATCTTTAATCCATCTTGAATTGATTTTTGTATAAGGTGTAAGGAAGGGATCCAGTTTCAGCTTTCTACATATGGCTAGCCAGTTTTCCCAGCACCATTTATTAAATAGGGAATCCTTTCCCCATTGCTTGTTTTTCTCAGGTTTGTCAAAGATCAGATAGTTGTAGATATGCGGCATTATTTCTCAGGATTAAGAATCTCACTCAAAGCCGCTCAACTACATGGAAACTGAACAACCTGCTCCTGAATGACTACTGGGTACATAACGAAATGAAGGCAGAAATAAAGATGTTCTTTGAAACCAACGAGAACAAAGACACCACATACCAGAATCTCTGGGACGCATTCAAAGCAGTGTGTAGAGGGAAATTTATAGCACTAAGTGCCTACAAGAGAAAGCAGGAAAGATCCAAAATTGACACCCTAACATCTCAATTAAAAGAACTAGAAAAGCAAGAGCAAACACATTCAAAAGCTAGCAGAAGGCAAGAAATAACTAAAATCAGAGCAGAACTGAAGGAAATAGAGACACAAAAAATCCTTCAAAAAATCAATGAATCCAGGAGCTGGTTTTTTGAAAGGATCAACAAAATTGATAGACCGCTAGCAAGACTAATAAAGAAAAAAAGAGAGAAGAATCAAATAGACACAATAAAAAATGATAAAGGGGATATCACCACCAATCCCACAGAAATACAAACTACCATCAGAGAATACTACAAACACCTCTATGCAAATAAACTAGAAAATCTAGAAGAAGTGGATACATTCCTCGACACATACACTCTCCCAAGACTAAACCAGGAAGAAGTTGAATATCTGAATAGACCAATAACAGGCTCTGAAATTGTGGCAATAATCAATAGTTTACCAACCAAAAAGAGTCCATGACCAGATGGATTCACAGCCGAATTCTACCAGAGGTACAAGGAGGAACTGGTACCATTCCTTCTGAAACTTTTCTAATCAATAGAAAAAGAGGGAATCCTCCCTAACTCATTTTATGAGGCCAGCATCATTCTGATACCAAAGCCGGGCAGAGACACAACCAAAAAAGAGAATTTTAGACCAATATCCTTGATGAACATTGATGCAAAAATCCTCAATAAAATACTGGCAAACCGAATCCAGCAGCACATCAAAAAGCTTATCCACCATGATCAAGTGGGCTTCATCCCTGGGATGCAAGGCTGGTTCAATATACGCAAATCAATAAATGTAATCCAGCATATAAACAGAGCCAAAGACAAAAACCACATGATTATCTCAATAGATGCAGAAAAAGCCTTTGACAAAATTCAACAACCCTTCAGGCTAAAAACTCTCAATAAATTAGGTATTGATGGGACGTATTTCAAAATAATAAGAGCTATCTATGACAAACCCACAGCCAATATCATACTGAATGGGCAAAAACTGGAAGCATTCCCTTTGAAAACTGGCACAAGACAGGGATGCCCTCTCTCACCGCTCCTATTAAACATAGTGTTGGAAGTTCTGGCCAGGGCAATCAGGCAGGAGAAGGAAATAAAGGGTATTCAATTAGGAAAAGAGGAAGTCAAATTGTCCCTGTTTGCAGACGACATGATTGTTTATCTAGAAAACCCCATTGTCTCAGCCCAAAGTCTCCTTAAGCTGATAAGCAACTTCAGCAAAGTCTCAGGATACAAAATCAATGTACAAAAATCACAAGCATTCTTATACACCAACAACAGACAAACAGAGAGCCAAATCATGAGTGAACTCCCATTCACAATTGCTTCAAAGAGAATAAAATACCTAGGAATCCAACTTACAAGGGATGTGAAGGACCTCTTCAAGGAGAACTACAAACCACTGCTCAAGGAAATAAAAGAGGACACAAACAAATGGAAGAACATTCCATGCTCATGGGTAGGAAGAATCAATATCGTGAAAATGGCCATACTGCCCAAGGTAATTTACAGATTCAATGCCATCCCCATCAAGCTACCAATGACTTTCTTCACAGAATTCGAAAAAACTACTTTAAAGTTCATATGGAACCAAAAAAGAGCCCGCATCGCCAAGTCAATCCTAAGCCAAAAGAACAAAGCTGGAGGCATCACACTACCTGACTTCAAACTATACTACAAGGCTACAGTAACCAAAACAGCATGGTACTGGTACCAAAACAGAGATATAGATCAATGGAACAGAACAGAGCCTTCAGAAATAATGCCACATATCTCATTCTTTATTAATAAATAATAAATGGCATTATTGCCTTCTTTTAACCCAGGCGAAGAGGAGAATATGGGGCAAGTCTATTCACACCAGAAGCGAAAGTAATAAAACCCTTAGACCACTGGAGAAAAGAGGAAGAGAAGAGACAAAGGGTTCAGGAAGTGATGGAGAAGAGGTGAGACATGACCAGTGTTGTGCTGACAAATGATTAACACTTGCAGCATTTGATAATTTTTATGGTGTAATATCTGACATCATGAATAATTTCAAGTTACCAGCCTGATGTCATTGAAAGTAGAATTAGAAAGATAAAATATACACAAATAACCTGAAGGGCATAGATATTAGTAAAACCTATTTTGTTAGTAAAAATTGGTAAAAATGTATTAAAATTATTAGAATATGGTGAATTAGAGTTTTTATTACTTTTGTTTTTAATATAATTAATTTAAATTGGGTTCATAAAATTTAATTTAAAATAACTTACGTGTTTAACAGCAGGCTAATAACATTCCTAAAAATCTAAAAGTCAACTTCTTTGAATTTTTGTTGATACATAATGTTTGTACATACTTATGGGGTAAATGTAACATTTTGTTACATGCATAGAATGCATAATTATCAAGTCAGGGTATTTTGGGTATTCATCATCTGGCACATTTATAATTTCTTTTCTTTTCTTTCTTTTTTTTTTTTTTTTTTGAGACGGATTCTTGCTCTGTCGCCCAGGCTGGAGTGCAAATGGCATGTTCTTGGTTCACTGCACCTCCACCTCCCAGGTTCAAGTGATTCTTCTGTCTCAGCCTCCCCATGAGCTGGGGTTACAGGCCCGTGCCACCACGCCCAGCTAATTTTTGTAGTTTTAGTAGAGATGGGATTTTGCCATGTTGGCCATCCTGGTCTCGAACTCCTGACCTCAAGTGATCCACCTGCCTCGGCCTCCCAAAGTGCTGGGGTTACAGGGGTGAGTCACTGTGCCTGGCTGAGCATTTATCATTTCTATGTGTTGGGAATGTTTCAAGTCATCTCCTCTAGCTATTCTGAAATACACAATACATTGTTGTTAACTATAGTCACCCTACTATACACTATATATAGTATATAGTCACCCTACTATACTATCAAACATTAGAACTTACTCTAACTGTATGTTTATACCCATTTTCCCCATCCCCCACCCCTCAAAACACCTCCACACCTTTCTGAGCCTCTAGTACCTATCATTATTTTATGTCTCTCTATAAGTTTAATGATTTTTAGATCCCACATATCAGTAAGTTTTATTGTTCTGTGTTTTGATAATAGCAGATATCTTCCTTTCACTTCTGGGTGTTGGACTCCCTGAAGCATATCTTTCAGGTCTGGTTTAGTGGTGATAAATTCCCTCAGTTTTTGCTTGTCTAGGAAAGGCTTTATTTCTCTTTCATTTATGAAAGGTAACTTTGCTGGATATAGTGTCCTTGTCTGGCAATTTTCCTTTCATCACTTTGTATATATCATCCCATTCTCTCCTGGCCTGTAGGGTTTCTGTTGAGAAATCTGCTGTTAGTCTGTGGGGGTTCTCTTATATGTGACTAGACACTTTTCTCTTGATGTTTTTAGAATTCATTTTTTGTCTTTGACTTTTGACAGTTTGACTATAATGTGTTAGGGAGGATCTTTGAGCTTCCTGTATCTGGATTTCTAAATCTCTTGCTAGGCTTGAAAAGGTTTTTAGCTATTATTTTGTTAAACAAGTTTTCTATGCCATGGATCTTCATTGGTCAGGCTGCATTGTTAGTGGAAGCTCTGGTGAGGTTTTGCTGGAAACAGGGACACCAGTCCAGTTTTGTTGCCCCATAGGTGCTATTGGTGGGCCAAGAATGCCTGTTCTTGGACCCCTGAGCAGTGTACACAGCCACTGGTGGTAGCAGGTTTAGGCAGGCCAATTCTTGAGCCTCCAGGTGGCTTTCTTGGGTGCCAGTAGGAGCAGCTGTGGATCAAGCAGATGGGTGAGTCCTTGGGCCGCTGAGCAGCATGCATAGTATGGGCCATGGCAGTAGGGTGGCGGGATAACTCTTGGGCTTTCAGGCAGCATTCTCTGGTATTAATGGTGGCTGTGATGGGCCAGGTGGGCCATTCCCCATACCCTCAGGTGGCACATGTGGATGCTGATGTTGGTGGTGGCAGCAGGCTGGGCTGACCCATCTTCAGGCCCCTGGGAGGACTGCACAGATACCAGCAGTGGTGGACAGGGTGAGGCAATCCTCAGGCTTTCAGGCAGCATGCTTGAGTGCCAGCTGCAGGTTTTCTGGGCTTGTGGTTGGGGCCTCTGGTGGTGCACACATGTGCCCAGAGTGACCGATGGGGTGGGGTGATACCCCAGGTCCCTTAGTGGCTAGATGGGGAATACCAGGTGAGGTGGGCTTCTCTTTAGGTCTCCCCTCCATAGTGTGCATGGGTATAAGGTGTAGTGGGCACAGTAGGGAAGTCCTTAGGTCTCCAAATTGCGTGCTCGGATGACCGGCATTATTGGGCTGTTATTAGAGCCCCTGATGCTATGTGTGTGCACCTGGGGTGACTTACAGGGCAAGACAACTTCCCAGATCTTTGGGCAGCATGCTCGCAGGAGTGGTGGTGGTGCCAGGCCAGGTGTGCCTGTCCTGAGGCCCCCAGTGGCATGCATAGGAATAGGCTGTGGTGGGCAAAGTGGGGCAATTCCCAGGCCCTGGTTGGCATGCCCCAGCAGCAGCAGGCTATCCTCAGCATGTATGCAAGTGTGTGGCAACCTTGCTGCTGGAGGCGGGGTGGGGTTCTGCCAGTGGCAGCCAGTCTAGGTAGGTGGCTCTCAGGCTCTGTGGAGCTCATGCTACAGCTCTCTGGCAGTGATAACAGCAGTGGTAGTGGGTGGGAAGATTCTAACAATAAAATTTTATGAGCTTATATAAGCTGGCGCTAGCACACCACTGGATCTTGGCTTCATTCTCTTTACCAGGGTTGAGCCCCTGGGAGATAGTAAAACATGTCCAAATAAATTTGGAGGAATCAAAAAATATTGTACATTGAACTGTGATTCCCTGGACATAGACTAAAGACTTTACGGGTCATGCAGAGAAACCATGAATTCAGAATGGACCACAAGCAGCATGGTTGGAGAACAAGAAAGCAGCAATGTTGGAGGAAGTGAAAGGATATGGGGTAATATTTCAAATTTCATAAAGCCTACTTGTGGTTTCCACAAGCTCAGTGTGCTATATGGGGTGACAAAAAATTGTGAGAAAATTCATGGAACAGAAGAGACATTAACTAGATGGTATGATAGGAAATGTGGGTTTCAAAGTGGATGCTACTACATATAAAGCTTCAAAAGACCAGATAGCAAGACTGGTTCAATATGGATATTGTTTGAGGATGCTTAGTACTTAGGTAGGACAGAACATTCACAATAGCAGCCAGCACAGTGTGAAAAGACAGCTGGTGGACCAGTGTCCCCATCATTCCTCTTCCATGAGTATTTGGATGAATCTTGAAAAGGAGAAGGTAAAATAAAAAAACCTATAGCAAGACAAAAATAGTCCTAAGAGGGAGCTTAAGTTTGAGCTCATTATATAGTTACCTTGAATAATATTAATTGAAAAGTTTAAGACTTTTTTCCTCATTAATTGGCATAGGAGCAGAAAGGAAAAAAAAACTTGGAGAAAATAAAGTTACATTTTTGGACTATGATATGGTTTGGCTGTGTCCTCCCACCCAAAATCTCATCTTGAATTGTAATCACCATAATCCCCATGTGTCAAGGGTGGGACCAAGGGTAGAGGTAATTGGTTCATGGGGGCGGTTTCCCCCATCGTGTTCTCATGATAGTGAGTGAGTCTCACGAGATCTGATCATCTTATAAGCGTCTGGCATTTTTCCTGCTTGTACTCACTCCATCCTGCTGTCCTGTGAAGAAGGTGCCTGCCTCTCCTTTGCCTTCTGCCATGATTGTAAGTTTCCTGAGGCCTCCCCAGCAATGTGGAACTGTGAGTCAATTAAACCTCTTTCCTTTATAAATTACCCAGTCTTGGGCAGTTCTTTATAGCAGTATGAAAACAGAATAAACAGGGTACATCTGAGTTCTAGCAAAAGTTACATTTTAGAATACATCTGAGTTTTGATTTCTCTGTAGTTAGCACACATTATATGGAGAATGTTTTCTTAATTAAGAAATTGTTTTCAAACATCTTTATATAAATTATGTTTCATTTCAAAATAAATTTCTAGCCAAAATTTTTCTTTCAATTCTCTCATGTTTGCAATAACCTTAGAAATCCCACATTTAGGCTTTCCTGTCACCTCCAGAATGGTACGTCAACAGATGAATGGATTAAAAAAAGTATGTACACTCAATGGAATACTATTGATCCTTAAAAAAGAAGGAAATTCTATCATTTACAACATAAATGGAATTGAAAAACATTATGCTAAATGAAATAAGCCAAGTACAGTAAAAAAAAAAAAAAATACTGTGTGGTTTAACTTACATGTGGAACCTAAAACAATGGAACTCATAGACGCAGAGAGTAGAATGGTGGTTGCAGAGGCTGGGGATGGGAGGAGGAATGGGAAGATAATGGATAAAGTATACAACATCTCAGATGGGAGAACTTTTCTTTTCTTTTGAGTTCTATTGTACAGCTTGGTGAATATAGTGAATAATAGGATATTGTACATTTCAAAATTGCTAAGTGACTAAGTTTCAAATGTTCTCATCACAAAAAAAGTTAACTATTTGAGATGATGACATGTCAACTAGATTGATTAACTAGGTTGATTTAATTATTCCACATTGTATTCATAAATCATAACATCACTTTACCTCCACACATTTATACCATTATAAATTATCTATTAAACATTTTTATTGTGTGATTTTTATGTTGACACTCATATCTCATGATTTGTGAGCACATTTTCTATTATTTTGTGCCATTACAGGCATTTCAAATAATTGTTTACTTAGTGATTTGTTATGTTAAAAAATTTTTATTCTAGGCTCTTTAAACTTGTGTAGTGCTTCATAATAATCCATTAGGCTTTTTGAGCAGAATTTCTTGAATCTAGCTGCTTTACACATTTTTTTTAAAGTTCTTTTTGATTTATAAAGTTTCTTTGGGAACAATGAGACTAGTTACTAAGCTAGACATGACTGTTATTACTTAGTATATCCTTCGCAGAGTGTGGATATAGCAATAGCTGTAGGTGGTCTGTCATATCTCCTTAGCTCTCACTTCTACACACCAAAGCCTACTTAATGAAATCTCTGCTACTCTCTGCCTGAAGGCTTTTTAACAGCCTTGGGGAAACTCTTAGCATATGTAAAAGGCAATCCAGAAATAACAGAGAGTTAATGATGCTAAGTAGCACTCAAACTTGGACAGCTGGGGAGGTGGTAGAAAAATATTCTCACTTTCTCTTTCCTCAGTTGGAGTAACTCTGAGATGTGTTCTACATTGTCTTCTAAATGTGGAATTAAGTCACATTTGCCTACACTAAAAACCAAGGTCATAACACACAATATTGTCTTCATTTCTTTCCCAGTCTTATCACCTTCCATTCTATACCATTAATTCTTGGATCACCATCCATGTAAACTACATTTATCTCTTTGACTCAGGACCTGCTTTTGAGAAAACATAATCTAATATTAAAAGGGAGTCACAACTATAGAAAAAGATACTTTTGAACTTAATGTGTGAAAAATAAAGTTTTATAATAAAGTTGCAAAAGCAACGTTGTAAATATGAACATTCTAAACCAAATAACTTATTATAAGTTCCTCTCTTCTTTTTATTACGTTTTCTTTCTTTTGAGACAACAATAACAGCAGCAAAAGCTAAAATTTTTATGGTGTTTAGTAGTTCCAGGACATGCTCTAAATATTTTACACATAAAATTCTGTTAATTCTTATAACATCTTTATGGTTGGTAGGTGTATGATAATGGTAGGCATACAGAGAAAAAGTGATAAGTTGAATTTCATGCCCAGGATCATACTTCACAAATGGTAAAGACTGGGTCTAACTCAAGCAGTGAGATTTCAAAGCCCATACTAATAAATACCTTGCTATGTAGCTTCTATGCAACCTAATCTGCAACTATTGCTTCAATAACTACCTGCACAGACGTGGCTCCCAAATTTATAATTCTAATCTATGCCTTGTGTCTATGACCCTCCAGAACTGTCAACCACTGTCCCCCTTGGAAATTGTTCTTAGATGTCCCCAGGGGAAGAGCACTTCAAAGCCAAGGTATTAAAAGTCAAACACATTTTTTTTTTCCTTTAAATGTGATTCTCTTCTACATAATAAACTTTAGTTAATATCACAAAATTCAATGAGTGAATGTAGAAAGGATCAGGATATTACCTTATCTTCTTAATTTTCTGAGAGTTTTAAATCATGAATGAGTTATGAATTAGCAATGAATTTTTCTGCATGCTTTCTCTGCATCTAATGAAATGATTGTATGGTCCTCATTTTTTCAGTTAAAATGGTGAATCATGTTGATTGATTTTTTAATGTTAAACTAACCTCACATTCCTAGGATTTATTGCACTTGGTCATGGTTTATTTTCCTTTTTGTGTTTTGCTGAATTCTATTTGTTAACATTTTTTATAATTATTTTTGTATCTATTTTCATTAGTGGTCTGTGATTTTCTTTTATTGCAGTATCTTGTCTCATGTTGGTATCACAGTAATGCTGATCACATAAAATAAGTTGTGAAGTTTTGCCACCTTCCCTACTTTTCTGAAAGAGTTCATGTAACATTGGCATTTTTTTCTTCCTTAAAAATTTAACAGCCATGTGTGGTGGCTCACGCCTGTAATCCCAGCACTTTGGGAGGCCGAGATGGGCAGATCACCTGAGGTCAGGAGTTAGTGACTAGCCTGACTAACATGGTGAAACCCCATCTCTATGAAAAATTAGCTGGGCGTGGTGGCAGACACCTGTAATCCCAGCTACTTCGGAGGCTGAGGCAGGAGAATCGCTTGAACTCATGGGTGGAGATTGCAGTGAACTGAGATAGCACCATTGCACTCCAGCCTGGGCAAAAAGAAAAAAAAAAATTTAACAAGATTCACTAGTAAAGCCATCTGGACCTTGATATTTTTTTCCTGTGGGTAAGTTTTTAGTTAACATTTCAATTTCTGTACCTTAATTTGCAAAGTGGCTTTCAAAAAAAATCACAATCAGTTATTGAGTTCTATCAAATGCTTTTCCTTCATCAGTTGAGATAATCGTATTATTGTCTCTTTATTGTATTAATATAGGAAATTACATTGATTGATTTTTTTTTAAATCTTGAAATTAAAAACTTGGAAACCTGGAGTAAACCCAGGTTAGTTGTCATGTATTATCTTTTTAAACTACTGAAAATCCTTGCTTGATGATATTTTGTTTAGGAGCTTTGATATTTATTCATGAGAGATGTTGACCTATGATTTTCCTTTTTTAAAAGTAATGCCATTTTAGTTTGGATGTCACAATTATTCTGGCCTCCTAAAATGAATAGGAAATTATCCCTCTGAAGAAGGTTTCCTTCCCTTTAGGAGGGCATTTAGAGTAGAGGTAGATCATCTTAATACCCTCGAAGGTAGAGATGAGTTGAAGAATTAGTCTTTGACAATTCTTAACTTGTCAAAGTTAAGACTTAAACTTGACTCCTATGATGTTTACCAGGGCCTCCTTTTCGGCAAGCCATGAACTCCAAATTTTAGTCCCAGTCTAAAAGTCTGCTACTCTCTTAGTATCTTGGTGCTACGTTTCTCTTGGATTCCATGCCTCTTGGCTTCTTTGCTGTTAGATCTCTGTTTCTAGGCCATTGCTTGTAAATCAACAGATGCCTCCAGGTTAAAAGCTGGCCAAATGCTAGGCTCATTTCTGTACTTTGCTTCTCTCTAGGATCTTGTTCTTTTACATCCTCACTGATGCCTTCACACAGATGTTTTTGAAATTGCATCCAACTATTCTAATTATTCTTAGTGGGAGTGCTGTTCTGATAAAAGCTTCTCTGCCATATGTGCAGGCAGAGAGTGTCCAAAGTAATCTTCAGGTGCAAAAAAAATTAGTCATACCACTTAAAGCAATATTAGTTACATCAGCGTGACAGCACAGTCATAGGTGACTCATTGGGCCAGGGTGCATCTAACTAGGAGTTTTTGAAAAAGCCTGGAGATGCTGTGGGCCCATAAACCAGTCCAGGGCAGTCTAACTCTAGGCTGTTTCTTTGTGAGAAAAAGACATTCTTATGTGTTTATACTGTTGTTGTTGGATGTCTACTCCCAGCAGCTAAATGCAATTCCTACTTGATTGAGAAGAGGGCAAGACAAACAAACTTACTTGATGAGGACTAAAATGATGACTGTATGTTTGAGCTAGAAAAGGAAAATTTGGGATAAATAAGAGCAATACATCTTTACCTTCTGGGGAGTAATTCAGTAAAATATTTACCTCTAGAAGTAACATAATAAATTTATATGGTTATAAAATCAGATTCAGAAAGTTAAATCTGTGCAATAATGACAGATATCAGTTAAGTATTAATAATAAAAATTTTGGTTAGATATTATACTCTGATCATTACTTAGATCAAATGTGAGAAAACCTGTCTTTCCTTGTGCCTACATGCCATATAAAGTACTAGGCTGACTGGGCACAGTATTAGGCCTAGATTATGCTATGTTTATGCTGATTCTACCTCTCTAAATAAGCCAATTCAAGGAAGTCCTAGCCAGAACAATCAGGCAAAGGAAAAAAAATAAATAAAAGGCATCCAAATAGGAAAAGAAGAAGTCAAACTATCTCTCCTAATTGACAATATGATCCTATATCTAGAAAACCCTAATGCCTCCTCCAAAAGTCTCCTGGAATGACGTCAGTAAAATTTTAGGGTACAAAACTAATGTACAAAAATAAATAACATTACTATACATTAATAATGTTCAAGCTGAGGACCAAATCAAGAATGCTATCTAATTTACAATAGCCACAGAAAAGTAAAAATAAAATAAAATATTTAGAAATATACCTAACCAATTTGGGTGGATCATGAGGTCAGGAGATCAAGGCCATCCTGGCTGACATGGTGAAACCCCATCTCTAATAAAAATAGAAAAAAATTAGCTGGGCATTGTGGCGGGCGCCTGTAGTCCCAGCTACTCAGGAGGCTGAGGCAGGAGAATGGCATGAACCCGGGAGGTGGAGCCTGCAGTGAGCCGAGATCGCGCCACTGCACTCCAGCCTGGGTGACAGAGTGAGACTCCATCTCAGAAAAAAAAAAAAAAAAGCAATATATCTAACCAAGAAAGTGAAAGATCTCTACAAGGAAAACTTGTACAAGTGAAAACAAAATACTGCTGAAAGAAATCAAAGACACAAACAAATGTACAAATATTTTATCCTCATATATTCAAACCAAAAAAGAGCCAGAATAAGCAAAAAAAACAAAGCTGGAGGTATTATATTACCCAACTTCAGATTATACTATAAACCTATAGTAACCAGAAAAGCATGATACTGGTACAAAACAGACACATAGACCAATGGAACAGAACAGAGAACCCAGCTTGTATGCCTATAGCCATTTAATCTTCAACAATGTTGACAAAAATAAGCAATGAGGGAAGGACTCCCTATTCAATAAATGATGCTGAGATAGCTGGCTAGCACATGCAGAATAATGAAGCTGGACCTGTATCTTTCACCATATACAAAAATTAACTCAAGTTAGCTTAAAATTTTAAATGTAACAACTCAAAACTATGAGAATCCTAGAAGAAAACCTAGGAAATACCATTCTGGACCTCAGCCTTGGGAAAGAATTTATGATTAAGCCCTCAAAAGCAATTGCAACAGAAACAAAAATTGACAAGTGGGACTTAATTAAACTAAAGAGCTTCTGCACAGCAAAAGAAGCTATCAACAGAGTAACCAGATAATCTACAGAATGGGAGTAAATATTTGCAAGCTATGCATCTGACAAAGGTGTAATATCCAGAATCCATTAGGAACTTAAACAATTGAAGGAGCAAAGAACAAACAACCTCATTAAGAAATGGGCAAAAACATGAACAGACATTTCTGAAAAGAAGACATGCAAGTGGCCAACAAACTTATGAAAAAACATTCCACATCACTAATGATCAGACAAATGCAAATCAAAACCACAATGAGATACCATCTCACACCAGTCAAAATGGCTACTATTAAAAAGTCAAAAACCAACAGATGCTGGATAAGCCGTGGGGAAAATGGATGCTTATACGCTGCTGGTGGGAATGTAAGTAGTTCAGCCACAGTGGAAAGCAGTTTGGAGATTTCTCAAAGAACTCAAAACAGAACTACCATTACCCAGCAATCCCATTACTGGGTATATAGCCAAAGAAGATAAATCATTCTACTAAAAAGACACATGTACTCACATGTTTGTTGCAGTGCTGTTCACAATAGCAAAGATATGGAATGAATCTAGGTGGTCATCAATGGTGGATTGGTATATATACACTGTGGAATACTATATAGTCATAAAAAAGAACAAAATCATGTTCTTTTCAGCAACATAGATACAGCTAGAGGTCATTATTCTAAGAAGTTTAATGCAGAAATAGAAAACTGAATACTGTATATTCTCACTTCTAAGTAGTAGCTAATCATTGGGTACTTATGTACATAAAGATGGAAACAATAGACACTGGGGACTACTAGAAGGGAGACAGAAGTAACAGGACAAGGGTTGAAAAACTAACTATTGGTACCATGCTCAGTACTTGGGTGAGGGGATCAATGGTACCCCTTACCCAGGTAACAAAACTGCACATGCTTTCCCTGAATCTAAAATACAAGTTGAAATTACATTAAAAAAAAGTCAGTTCAAGTTTTTAAAAACATAACAATAATACCTGAGTATTTCTTTTTTTCCCAATAGTTAAAATAATAACAATTTAAATGCTTGTAAATACTGAAAATGATAGTAGAACTGTTATATTTGTATTTGCTCCTATAGATATCCAACCTCTACTTTACTTTGATGTAGTAAATCAACTTTAATTTTAAAGCTCTAATTTTGAGAGCCACAGAGGAGATTTTCTTTCATCCATAATCTTTCTGCTATAACCTTCAGCAAAGCATAAGAGAAATTAATGTTAGGGATTAGCCAGATGTGTTTTGAATATTGGCTAAATTGTTTTCACAGCTCAATCTATCATACCTTCGGCTTTATTTGAGCTCTCCCTTGCTGATGAGCTGAAATTCTACATGTGGGTAAAAAGTGTATTTTATCTGAAAGCCAGGAGTCAGAACTGAATAAAGCCATGGATATTGATTATTCCTCATTAACTTTGAGTTCTCAGAGCAAATAGGCTCATTTCAGATCTAATCCATACTATGGACAGAATGACTAACTTACAGGAGTACTCATAAGAAAACTGACAAAAATGTGTTTCAGAGTCATGTTTAAAAAAAGAAAAAGAAAGAAGAAAGGAAAACATGGATGGACAGCTTTTCATAAATAATGTACTACCCTCTTAAATGGAGATAATTATATGCTCCAAATTCTTTGGGTGGGTTTAGATTTGGACTTTTTCAGCTGCATGCACAGAGTCAATTCCTTCCCACCTTGTGGTCAACAGCTTTTAACTAGGGACAAATTATCCATAGTTAATGGTATCGGGGGAATTTAATATGTGGCTCCGGCTTTGCAGCGTCACACCCTATTTAACAGACTAGACTATATATTCCAGAATGGAAAATTCCACCTCCACTCTCACCCTAGGCTTGAGGAGAAACTTGAAGTTATGTTACCCAATAGTGGCACCAAACTCTGCGGAATTTGCATATGTCACATAACCTTGTGGGTCTCAGCTTTCCATCCTTTAAAATTACCGGCATGAGTTAGATGATTTCTAAGCACGTTTTTAGAGCTGTTGTCTACCTGTGGTCCTAGAATTAATGATTCCACTCCACAAATGTCCTTTAAACTTAATTTGTACCCAGTTATATTTTAGACCCTGGGATGAAAAAAATGAAAGTTATTGTCTCTATCTTCTCTGTCCCATTCATGTTGGGCCTAGTCAATGGAATGTGAACTGACCTGAAGTACATCATATCTGAGCAGGATTTAAATGTCCTGGCAGAGTTTGATTTGGCTTCTTGCATTCCTATTATCCACTATACACACTATATAAAGTGGCCCCCAAGAGCCACTGGTCCTCTAGCTGGGACCTAGAATGAGATCACATAGAGTATAGCCAAGCTTGAGCCCAGATGACCCCAGGTGAGCCCAGGTAAGCCACAGTAAACCTTCAGACTTGTGAGCAAGGAACAAATATTTGCTGTTGTAAGCCACTGAGATTGTGTAGTTGTTTCTTGCTACCTCAGAAGCTGACTAATATAGTGGTTTATTATTTAGTAGGAAAGAGATGTCACCTTCCCAGAAATAATTTTAGTGTAATGTGAAAAGATTCTATGTTTAAAGCCTTTCAATATCTTAATTTGGTATAAAGAAAATAATTTGACACATTACTTTTTTTGTCAATCGTTTGATCAGATTATTTTCTCTACTTTATATCTGAAGACCTTGAAGCTCAGAGATGATTTATTACTGGCCACAAATCACCCATCTTGAGTGCGGAGAACTATAATAAAATTTAGAATCTCTGAGTTTTGAATTGAAACTCTAGGTCCATCTTACATATTATTCTCCTGCCTCTGGCATAAGTATTTTAGTTATTATGCATTGAATCAGGTTTACATGCAAGTTCTTAAATAAATTGACAACAGCTGATTCAGGCCAAAAGGAACTTATTTAAGAAAAGGTTGAGTAGTCCAAATAAACAACAAGCAGGCTGAAAAATCTGGATAGGGGCAGCCTGAAATTGTACCCCAAATCATCCCAGAACCATATATATATATATATTTTCTACCAAGTACCAGATGCAATAGGTTGGATCACTGGCACCACTGGCACTAGACATTGAATGCTATTGCTGTTATTAGTGTGGCAGGCATATTGTCCTTGAAAACTTGATCTTGTTGCCACCAACCCTGTAGTCATGACCAAAGGGAATTCTTCCTGATATCCTCCTCTTTGTGTCCCTTGCCCTAGAAGAAAAGTTTGGAACAGCTGAATCTTAGGTCAAGGACCTAGGTCTTCGAATTTTCAGCTTTATGCTTACACTAAGAAGTTTCTCCCAAGTTAAGAAAAGGGTTCTGATGCTAGAGAGCTAAAACAATGACAGACGCTAGGCAAATACAAAATATATTTTTGCAAATGCTCTTCTTGAAGCTGCAATGTAGGACAGACTAGGCTGCGTGTGCCTTCCTTTCATTCTGGGATACTAGGTAGTTCAGGGATTTTACTGTGCTGGAGTCTCTGCATCAAGGCTGGGTATATGGGAAATGCAAATTTTATCTGTGGTTAGAAACATGAAGCAAAAAGCAAGTAAAGTCTCTGCTAAGGGAAAAGATATGGTTGGGAAATAAAGGGGCTGTAAATGCATGAAACTCAAGGAGAGAGGCAAGAAGCTAAATCCATATCCTAAGTAAACCTTATGGCAAAAGATTTTATAGCGTGGCTATCTTTTCCAGATGCTTGGGCCACATGTGTGTACACAGATTTGTTAAGGTAATATGCAAATTCAGATACCTAAGACCATTTAAAGGTGGTTTGCAAATATTCTGTGATTCACTTTCAAACTTGGCCCTATTTTAACTAATATAAATAGACATTCCTAAAGCATTGGAAAGCATGAGCATTGTGTATTCAAAGAAATATGTTAACCTCATTTGGCTGGTAGAGATTCTGGAAACAAGATGTAAGCCAAAAATTAAATTCTTAGCCTTCCACCAGTCTGCATGGATGGCCCCCCTCCTTGGCCAAGAGGATCTCAAAGAAAAATTAGTTCAGGCCTTGTTGGGAGGGGAGGTCAGTTATGCCTCATTATACCCCTCCCTTTGGAGTTGAGGCAAAACTGACCAGCACTAACATTAAAATAGAGACCATAAGACCTACAAGACAGACTCTTTGTAGCAGTGAGATACCCAACTCCAACCTGATTCTGATATAGATAGCATCTAATGACAGATAGCAGGTCCTGAAGAAAAGAAAAATATTTTACCTCAAAATGTAATTCTTTGATGTATTTTGAAATGGCCCTGCAAAGCCATCTCTTTTGGGAGAATTTTACCTTCTGTAGAGAGTCTCCTTCCCTTTCCAGGTCTTTTCCTGATTCAGGGGAAATTTAAGAGTTTGATACCTTTTAAGTTCTGATAAGAGACATTTACCATCTATTCTTTCTGAAGCTTGCTACCTGGAGGCTTCATCTACATAACAAGAACCTTGGCTTCCACAGCTCCCCTTATCTTAACTTTTTCAACCAATTGCCAATCAGAAAATCTTTGACTCCACCGTTGGCATGTGAGTGGGCTGAACCAATATATACCTCACATTTATTGATTTATGTCTTTGCCTGTAACTTTTGTCTCCTTAAAATGTGTAAAACCAAGCTGTAACTCAACCACCTTGGGCACATGTTCTAAGGACTTCTTGAGGTTGTGTTCCAGGCCATGGTCTGTCATATTTGAGTCATATTTGGCTCAGAATAAACTTCTTCAAATATTTTTGAAGAGGGGAAGAAGGCATGGGCTTGAATTGAAATCTGATTATATGTTAAGAATGACATGTAATTGTTTTAAGCATTTGATTATGAAGTCCCTTGGTATACTTTTCTTCATTTATGTTATGCATGGGATTTTTCCTTTCTGGCTGGTAGGAATATAAACATCTCCAACCTTGTTTGAGCTCTGTGGTTTTCACCTGTAATCCAACCTCTTGGGTGGTTCTTTGCTGGGCCTCAGGTGGTTTCCTCATACCTGTGAGCTGACTGATACTCACCCAAAGGCTGGAGGAGGGCCCTCACCAAATTTTTATCTCATAAATCTCTCTCTGTGTAGCTCTCTCCTTTTTGTTACCCTGCCCTGTGAACTCTAGTTGGCTGTACATCCTTACAGTCCCAAGTCTGTTTTCTTAACTCTGGGAGACTCCCAGGCTCCACTTGGGATTTTCCTCCTTTTCTTGAGGCCTAAAAACTTTTATCAAGGCTGTAAACTAGGGCAATTGTAGGACCCACCTAATTTGTTTTCTCTCTCCCAGGAATCACTGCTCTATAGAGTGTAGGGTCCAATGGCTGAAAAACCATTGTTTTATTTAGCTTGTTTTTAGGTTATTTTGGATTGTCCTTGTTACGCTTTCTTGATCCAGAGTGGAATGTAATTGTACGGATAATATGTGCTATTGTTTATATCAACATCAACAATAAAGAAAGTGTTTTTTAAAAATATGGTATTTTTATTGTAATTTCTCCAAAGCTGTAATTAAATTGATAGTGCTTCCTAAAGGTGTTTTTGAGTTGTAAAAAATACATTGTATGCAACAGTGAAAAAATATTTTGATAATTATGCCCAAAAGGCAATGTGTAATTTGGGATTTTATAACATTCCAAGTTCTCTAAGTATAGATCCCAACCTTAAAAGTTGCAAATATGGGCAAATTTCACACAGTTGGCCTTATTTATTAATAGTACATGTTTCTAGGAATAACTTATGTATAAAAGTACGTTCCTGACTGCAATATATATAGGAAAAAATTATTACATAGAAAAGAAAGAATAGTTTTGGCCAGGCATGGTGGCTCACACCTATAATCCCAGCACTTTGGGAGGCCGAGGTGGGTGGATCACTAGGTCAAGAGATCGAGACCATCCTGGCTAACACGGTGAAACCCCATCTCTACTAAAAATACAAAAAATTAAATTAGCCGGGTGTGGTGATGGGCGCCTGTAGTCCCAACTACTTGGGAGGCTGAGGCAGGAGAATGGCGTGAACCCAGGAGGTGGAGCTTGCAGTGAGCCGAGACTGCACCACTGTACTCCAGCCTGGGCAACAGAGCAAGACTCCATCTCAAAAAAAGAAAGAGAAAGAATAGTTTTATAATTTTTGTCTTCTCCTTAGCTAGTAAAATAGAGTTTCTACAGAAGTACCTACATGTATAGCCTCCATTTCTTAGGTTTAATTAAAATATTACTTATAGATTATATCACCAGCCTCATTATATAGCTACCAAGTGGAGAGTGAAGAGAACCTTGATAACTCCCTTTACAGAACCTTCACAATTATTCTAATTATTATCTGATAGATCAGAGATTACCACTGTGTATTTCAGCTCAATGTAAATGTTAAGTGATCCCTATAGAAAGGAAATCATAATACAGTGTTGGAATAGACTTTAATCAAATTGACAACATTTTATCTTTATAAAATTTTAACTGAAGAACAGTTGCAATCCAGAAAGCAAGATTTACAGGAAGCACACAGTGACTAGTCCTGCAAGAGTTTATGTGACTTCTGCTACTATGGATCTCAGTGAAAGCGTTTTAGTCTCCTAGATAATTTTGCAAATGAGTAGACAGGTATAGAGGGATTGTGTCACTTTAAATTTTGCAAGAAATTGGTGAAGACCCAGAGTATAATGCATAGGTGCTCATGTCTGATTCCTGGTCATCCACATCAACTTCCCAGAGAACAAATGCTTTGAGGGGCCAACTAGAAATTAACTTTAAAAAAGGATAAGAGTCTTGGCCAGGCATGGTGGCTCATCTCTGTAATTCCAGCACTTTGGGAGGCCAAGGTGGGCAGATCACTTGAGGCAGGAGTTCAAGACCAGCCTGACCAACATGGTGAAACCCTGTCTCTACTAAAAATACAAAAATTAGGCGGGCATGGTGGTGGGTGCCTGTAATCCCAGCTACTCGGGAGACTGAGGCATGGGAATTGCTTAAACCTGGGAGGCGGCGGCCGCAGTGAGCCGAGATCGCCCCACTGCACTCCAGCCTGGGAGACAGAGTGAGATTCCGTTAAAAAAAAAAAAAAGATAAGAGTCTTAACATGGTTACACAAGATCCACTTTCATTCTTTCATATTCTTGGTAGAAGGGAAATTGGACTCTTTGGGCTGCAAGTAACGGAGACAAGGGCTTACTTATAGGAAATATATATAGTAGTACAAGTGTGTCTTATGGAATCAATGACAGTCATGAAGCCAAGCCTTGGGAAGGGACTCTAATCAGGAAATAGGAAACTGTGAAGCCTGAACATATCTCCACTTCTCTCTGCCTACAATATGCATTCTTATACCTGCCCTGATTGGCTTTTGATTTTTGTGGTCTATGAAGGGAAGACAATGTTTCACAACTGAATTTACGTGCTATAGGTCTGTCAAAAGTAAAAACAAATTGGCAGTTCCAATTCTTAATTCCCAGAGAAGGGAATATGAGTGGCCAGCTTGGTCAGGAGTTGACCTGTGGTCCAATAAGGAGATTATATTACTGTAAAGAGCTTATTTTTATAGTTCAGCCTCTACAGAGGGAATAGTTCCCAGGTAAGGCAAAATCATTGTGAAAAGATGTCTAAGCATCTGTGAGTGGAGATGTGCTAACAGAAAGGAAGTATGGGGTTACATTCCCAACTTTTGACAAGTTAGTATCATGAGGTTGCTGTGCAGTGAGAGCAAATGTCATGTTAGATGTAATTTGGGGTTAAGAGTCTTAGATTCTTGCGATAGTTTACTGAGAATGATGGTTTCCAGTTTCATCCATGTCCCTACAAAGGACATGAACTCATCATTTTTTATGGCTGCATAGTATTCCATGGTGTATATGTGCCACATTTTCTTAATCCAGTCTATCATTGTTGGACATTTGGGTTGGTTCCAAGTCTTTGCTATTGTGAATAATGCCGCAATAAACATACGTGTGCATGTGTCTTTATAGCAGCATGATTTATAGTCATTTGGGTATAGGATAGCATTGGGAGATATACCTAATGCTAGATGACGAGTTAGTGGGTGCAGCACACCAGCATGGCACATGTATACATATATAACTAACGTGCACAATGTGCACATATACCCTAAAACTTAAAGTATAATTAAAAAAAAAAAAGTAAAAAAAAAAAAAAAAGAGTCTTAGATTCTACAGGCCTCAGGCTGGACTGCACCACCCAGACTGCTAAGCTTCCCTTAACGTCACCTTTTCAGTTACTGAAATCAGAGGGCCCCACTGCTGAGAGAATTTTGTGGTTTGATGACAGCTAATCTTTGTATCACACAGGGGTTTCTCAATGTTGGATATAAGTTCTCTGGCATAAAGCTTGCCTGGTTTTATGTTACGATATCCTGCCTCTAATGACCTCAATAATGTTGCCAACTGCACCGTATTCCAAGCCAACCTTCTTTTTTTCTGGAATATCTGTACCTTACGAGCAGATTGAGTCTCTTATTAGACAGATTGAAGGCCAGCCAGCTCCTTGATAAAAGGGAACACATTTTACAAATGGGTAAAGGAACAATTGCCTCATGGTGCAATATCAGTGGGAGGTTCCCATACCCACTTTCCATCCCCAAGTCCAATGAGGTGTGTTTTGTTTTCTGAATGAGGTAGGCTTTCTGCAGTTTGGATGAGGCTTTCATCTTTGTTTACACTAAAAATACTACAGAGAGTACTTCCAAGTTTTATTTATTTATTTATTATTTTTCAACTTTTATTTTAGGTTCAGTGATTACATGTTCAGGTTTGTTACAACGGTAAATTGCATTTCACGGGGGTTCGGTGTACAGATGATTTTGTCACCCAGGTAGTAAGCATAGGTAGTTTTTTGACCTTTACACTCCTCCCACCCTCCTTGCTCAAGTAGGCCCTGGTGTCTATTGTTCCCATCTTTGTGTCCACGTGTAAGCAACGTTTAGCTCCCACTTATAAATCAAAACATGTAGTATTTGGTTTTCTGTTCCTGCATTAATTCACTTAGGATAATGACCTCCAGCTACATTCATGTTGCTGCCAAGGACATTATTTCATTTTTTCATGGCTGCATACCTTTCCGTGGTATATGTATACCACATTTTCTTTATCCAGTACACTGTTAATGGGCATCTAGATAGATCCCATGTCTTGCTATTGTGAATAGTGCTGTGATGAACATATGAATACATGTATCTTTCTGGTAGAATGACTTATTTTTTGGGGATACATACCCAGCAATAGGACTGCTGGGTTGAATGGTTATTGCACTTGATGAATAAAGTGTTTGGGAGTAGGCTTCAGGCTTCTTTAGCTTTAAGGAAGGGTTACCACTATGAAAGTAGAAGCCATCGGAATAGAAAGCCACAAACAACCATATCACATCTACTCACCTACCTGCTTTTGTAGGCACATACTCTGCCCTCCCTGTTGTTAACAGTCTATTCTCCCATCTAAGGCTGACATATATACTACCTCCCAGCCCCCTCATGCTGAATTAGGAAGATTCCACCGACATATTCCCTTTTTATTTTTTTGGCTAATTATCAAATTTTCTTGCTTTTCTGGATTGTTCCCACCTACATGTATGTATTTGATATTATTTACTTAAAAGAAAGAAATAAGCTTAACAACCATCAGCATAAATTTTTTAAATCAAATTTAAAATTTCACATAGAAAAAAATCTTTTTACATAATTAACTCATTTTTTTCTACCCAATCATAAAACTTTACTTTTTATGACTTAAAAACAACAACAAAGAAAAAACCCACCAGGCATGGTCTTCACAAGCAAAAATTAAATTGCTTTAATTTTTCTTATTATTCTATAATAACATAGTCTTGGTATTATCTAAATGTTGACTTAAAGCTCTTGTTAATGTATTATGAGGAAAGGAAACATAAAACACATTTGAAAGTCATTATTATTGCATTGCTGTACAGATCTGAAAATTCAAAGGTGACTTGTGAAGTCAAATTTCATAAACTTCTTTATTCTATATGAAGTGAAGAAGGATTCTGACACTTATTCAATTGTTTTTTGTTTTTATTTTTGGCTGAAGTATCTACACTGTAGTAATTTCATGATTTGGTTTAATGATTTTATTAGCTGAAATATGAGACAACCACATTTAAATGAAAATAGGAAGGTTATATGTTAACAGAAAAAGTTTCTAACTGGAAGGCAGACATGCCCTTTTCTAAATGTCAGATCTTGGAACCCAGTCATTTAAGTGTTTTGATGCTGTTTGAGTCCAAAAAATATTTTTGAAAGCTTCAAAGAATTTACTTATATTGAACAGGTCTTAGAGGGAAAGACCTGTTGAATGAAAGTAACCACATCTATACGTACTGTATTAGCCCATTCTCATGCTGCTATGAAGAAATACCTGAGACTGGGTAATTTATAAAGAAAAGAGGTTTAATTGAATCACAGTATCACATAGCTGGGGAGACCTTAGGAAAATTAACAATCATGGCGGAAAGCAACTCTTCACAGAGTGGCAGGAGAGAGAATGAGTGCAAGCAGGGGAAATGCCAGACACTTATAGAAGCATCAGATCTCATGAGATTCACTTATTGTCATGAGAACAGCATTGGGGACCCACCCCATGATCCAATTACCTTCATCTGGTCCCACCCTTGACATGTGGGGATTATGAGGATTACAATTCAAGGTGAGATTTGGGTGGGGACACAGAACCAAACCATATCACATATACAGTGAGATCAACTAACATGTTTATGGGTTTTAAGTTCACTAATAATGAACTGGAGTCTGGGTCACTGTCACAGATGAGAAGTTTCATTTTAAAAGCTTTAAAAAAGAGAATGTAATAAATTGGTGTTGCCTTTAGGGGATCTTGCTCTAATGTACTTGAAAACATTTACTTATTCAAATTCAAAATGATTAAATCAAATGTTTGATGAAATTATGAAAAAGATATAAATCTAACCTTAGTTCTTCTTAATGGGGAAACAAAGAGTAAAAATAGCTGGCAAAGTGTGAACTAAATACGTGGCTTATTTTACTTTGCATTCCTTGGTGAATGTATATGGGTTTCTAGAATCTCTTGTATTTTATTCCATTGTTAATATAAGCAATGATGTCCAGGCTCTTGACAAATGTTAATTTCAATTTTAAATTCTATTTTTCAGGTCAGTCCAATGCCATTAAAAACTGCATAGTTGTCCCAATTTTCAGCCCCTGAAATTACCAAAAAAAAAAAAAAAAAATCTCTGTTTTCTGAGATAATAGCACTATTTTCCTACAACAAGACTTAAACTGTTTTCAGCACATTACCACCTTAAAAAAATCAATAAACCCCTTGGCATAAATATTGAGAATTTAAATTACCAATTGCTTATAAGTGGGCCTTAACTCTAATTTTAGGAAGAGGTTTCTGTTTCCTAATTAGTTCATTTTATTGGCCTGAGGCTGCACTTAAAAAGAATAAAATTATCCATTATTTTTTCCTAATATCTCCCAAATGTCGTACCTATTAAGAATAGGGACACCGTCAGCTTTCAGCTTTCAATAGGGGTGCTGTTGGCATTATGATGCGTCAGTTCTTCCTTAAACCAGAATGTCTCACAGAAATTGAGGATTATTTGGCATGTCTGGCCTGAACCCACTAAAAGCCTGGGCTGTCCCCACACATTTCCAAATGTCCTGTAGAGAACAAACCACTCTCAGCTGGAAATCTAAACACCTCTGAGGAGAAAGAATTGTTTTATTCAATTTATCTACTTATTATCCAGTTATGGATAATGATTTCTAGGTTATTCATGAGTTGCAGCCAAAGCTTCCTATAGTTTAATTTTTTTCCTCAAAAGTAATTCAGATGAATATTTTGCTTTTCGTCCACTATAAGCTTATTATAAGGTACAAAACACAAGTTGATTATTTTTTAAATTTTCATTTGCCTAGGCAAATGAAGTGGTAACTTGAACACACACACAAACACACCACACACACACACACGCCAGCTTTGTGACTTAGTTACATAACTTTCTTCAGAAAAAGGACATACTACAAATATTGGAGGCACAGACTTTCAAACACGTTATATCAAAACTTGTAATTAGTGCTTTCAGATCCCTTCTCTTCAGTAAATCCAGAATTGTTCAGTAAAAACAAACAAATAAACCCCCCCCCAAAACAAACAAACAAATAAAAATGCTGCAACTGCTGGCGCAGTGGCTCATGCTTGTAATCCCAGCACTTTGGGAGGCCGAGGCGGTCGTATCACCTGAGGTTGGGAGTTCGAGACCAGCCTGACCAACACGGAGAAACCCCATCTCTACTAAAAATACAAAAAAAAATTAGGTGGGCATGGTGGCTCATGCCTGTAAATTCCAGCTACTGAGGAGGCTGAGGCAGGAGAATCACTTGAACCTGGGAGGTGGAGGTTGTAGTAAGCCAAGATGGCGCCATTGCACTCCAGCCTGGGCAACAAGAGTGAAACTCCATCTCAAAAAAAAAAACAAAACAAAAACAAACCAAAAAAACCCCTGCAACTTCTCTAGTCTTAAACACACCAGTCCTATAGATGGATACTGTGGGTAAGGAGAAACAGAATGAATGAAAATGAAAACATGAACAAGTTAGATTTGACAAAATTACACTTCAATTAGTAATGACAAGATACTACACAAAGGTTTGTTTTCCAAATGTGAAATCTCCATTGACTTCACAAAGACATTGTCACACAGCAATCACATATTATAAAAAGCACCATCGCAAATGTACCCAAAACCATATTCTATAAAACTGAACTACTGCCTTTGTAAACTTTCATCTGGAAATCTTTTAACCAGCCATTTCAAGAAGCACCAACCTCATATGCATGCCCACCAATTAAAAAAAAAGAAGAAAAAAGTAGAAAACTTACTATGCATCTATGACTTGAAGAAATACCAGCAGATACTTCAGCACATCAAAATCCAAGTCCAGAGTAACTGGTTTCATATTTCTTATTATGAGCTCTCAGCAGGAATCTTACTATATGATGAAATATTTAAGCTAGAAACATCTCTCTTTAAAAGTATTTCAGTTTTTAAGACTCAGTTTCAGAATAAAATTTAATGAATGTTATGTTGAAGACATACAAAATTAAGAGAGACGGGTATATTTTAGGGAGAAACTCCTATGTATGCTAAACCGGATTGAGAATCTCTACATTTTAGTTTCCTTTTTAAAAGAAATTGCAACAGAGACTCAATGCAAATCCAGACACAACTGTGTTGTTCTGTTTTATCTTCCTACCCCCATCTCCTGCTTATTTTTATCTTTTAGTGCTTTTTTACACAAATTAAACATTGCAAAAACTATTCCAATTTTTAAAAATCGCAAATTCAGAAAGATTGGAGTTGCATCTCAAATATTTAAAAACAAATCTTACAATTAAAATTTTCAAATAATAAAAACAGTAGTTTAAAACTTATTTAATTGTCACTTATCAATCCAAAATTATTATCTTTCACTTCATTTTTAATGAGATTGATTTTCGTTTTTAAATAGCAATGTCACTACATCAGAATGCGGTGATTTTTTTCTGCATTCGAAATACTTTCAAATTCTATGTTTTTGACAGGTTTTTAGATTACATAGAAAATGAATAAAAAACATTCTGTTGAATAAAATATACTGAATTATATAATAAGCAAGACACACTCCTTTGGAGGATAAACTGCTGGCAAAACAAAATATCCTGTATATATATAAGTGAGCAAGAAAATTCTTTCTCTTTTTTCTTTTTTCTTCTTTCTTCTTTTTCTTTCTTTTTCTGTCTCTTTCCCTTCTTTCCTTCTTTCTTTCCTTTCTTCTTTACTCTCAAAATCCACTTTTCCTAAAGTATGTTCTACAAAACTGGAATTGAGAATTAAGGTGGGCAGGGAGGAGAGGGAAAATAAAAAGATAAAATAAAGACAGATAAAATTATAGCAAACAATTGGTAAAGGCTACAGTCACACTCCAGGATGGTAGGCACTGCTTGAAGTAATTTAAAATGGAGCAAAAGCTCAGATTTGTATTGTAGTATGAGGATCAAGGAGGAATTTAACACCTGAAACCATTGTGCCTTTTTATTGTAAATGCTGCTTCCTCCTTCCTACCTCCATAGAAAGGACTTTTTATTTCGCTATTTCTTCCTCTTTGAGGTCCTCTAGGTGTGCATAGTGAGCAGGAAGTTTGTGTCTTCTGGGATAACTCAAAAGATATCTTAAAAGTCTCATTTTTAAGACTGTGTATATCTGTATGGATAGGGCTTGTGTAACTGACTTCCCAGTTTTGGGGTGAAATTCAACCTTTTCTTTTGTTTCCATTCTTAGAAAACATGGAGAGGCATTCTTTGATTTAGAAAAATTGAGATTATTAGAAATTTTGCTTTTCTGTGTTCTGTAATCCATTTGGTTATGACAAACTTCATACGTGACTGCTGTTTGGAGTCAGTGTGCAAACAAGCATTATCATATTATGAAGAGATTTAATTAACTAGGTAATATGTTTGAATATCCAGTACAAGGTGAAGGCTGCAAAACAAATTAGTTTTACCCACTATCTGAAAAGCATTCCTTCAAACGGAGGGATTTTCAACGTACTTGATTCTTTACTCATAGATCAGGTGGTAAAATAACTAGTTTTATTTTTTTATTTTGGCTGAAGTGTTTTCATCTTTTCTTCACTACGACCTAAGGAAGAAAGCTATTATAACATAAGTATATGACTGGGTAATTTTTTGTCTTTGTTTTTGGGATTGAATTGAAACATGATGTCATTTACAAGGGTGTAAAGTGACCAAACTTGGAAATAAGCCATGGCCATCTCATGGAATTTGTTCCCCAACATTTACAGTTTTTGCAGTGACCAATAGAACAAGTGACCACGTGCAGGTAGTTTATAGGCTGATAGATAGTTCACTGTTCCATGTGAGAAGGATGAATCAAAACTTAAGGTAGATTGGGTGAAAGATATTTGCTGTTTTTAAGATTATTTGACTTTTTAAAAAACTGTAAATACAAATTTCACGTAATTTATTTGAACAATGTCTACTCCTTCCTAAGGTCATTTGATTTCCTCAAAATTCAAGGTCAGACAAGGTTATGCTTCAGCCAAGATTTGCTTTTGGTCCCGTCTTACCTTATCTCTCCTCACCACCATCACTCTCAACTTTGCCTAGAGTTCCCCTCCTCCTAGACCTCTCAGTTGTTTCTCTGTAAACATCGCCTTAGTACTCAGAGTATGTATGACAGCTGCTGAGTGTATAGTGTCCTTATTTTTACAACATACAAGATCTGACCTGCTTAGAAATCTTTCCTGGTTTCCTCCTCTGTCAGACAATCTTGCTTCTCTTTATGGCTTTAGATTCAGGCTACCCAATATTAACAAAACCTGTTAAAGTACTCTTTGGGAGCATCAATAGGTTGGTGTGTGTGTCTCTCCGTCTGGGTAACATCCTTATGTTTTCATAGAGGTCACTGGAACCAGAACACTTAACTCAAATATAGACTGTACTCTCTTCCCTCAATATTATGGCAGAAATAGGTGCCATTGGTCTCAATAAGGACCAACGGATGCAGTATATTAATAGATGGTTCCCATCACCCATAAGTAGCATGAAATACCTGCTTTTTCTGATGTATGATTGTTAAGTTATGGGATAGGGTTCAGCAAAAGCATTAATAGCAACAGAAAGCAAACTATTTATTCCTCTTTCATAACATGAACCAGAATCAAATAGTTGGAAGCCAATTTTTGAATCTGAAGCAGATAATGTTTCCTGTATCCTGCTATTATTTTTCTCCCCAGCATGTGTTCAATGAAGATAAGTCCCGTGAATAGTTATCTGACTCCATAAAAACCATTAGGCCAGAGTCCAATGAGATATCACAGCTGTGCTACGGATGAGATAATAGAAAAAGAACAGCATTCAAAGCTTTTCATAGTATCCATGTATACCTTGAAGAGGGTAGTGGACAGAAGACAGGACCCAGAGTGACGTGGTCCTGACTTCCCTGGGCAGGCATTGAGGGGATGGGATTGGAGTTGGAGCCAGGAAGAAAAGTTATTTAAAGAAAGAGCCAAGAGACTGTTCTATGTTATTTATCTCCTAAAACCTAGAGATTGGGATAGTTCTTTCTTTCCTCATGTTACTGTGGAAGAGTAGGATGCAACCAAGATGTTACAGTAAACTTCAGGCTCCTAGATAAAGCCAAAAAGCAGGATGAAATTGATGGTTCAGGGGCACAGACTCTGAAATTCTTTCTCAGGAAGTGCCTATCATAGGTTCAACCAAAACAAGTCATTAGAACATGTGTAATTCTGTCCTAGTAAGGTCTAAAAGTTGGCTAGTGTGCTGGTGCCTATATTGCTTCCTCTGGCCAAACTGCAATGTCGGGTTTATTTATTAATGGCTATCTTTCCATTAAGCCTGCTTCCACAACCAAATGGAGATTTCTCAGCCTGCCGAAAGGATAAGTCTGACCTCTGTTTGCCTATGTTCTTTAGGCTAGCCTTTTGCTTAATTTTTTAAAAGCTGACTTAAAGATATGACTTTAGGCTACATTAGTAACAGAGGGAAATCTTGGCAAATCTCACCGACAAGAGTGAGTGAGAGCTTCAGGGGTTTGTGCCCCAATGGCCAGGTTTCATCCAAGAGCATTTGTGTCTAAGTGTCAGAATCAGGATATTTTTTAAAACGTGTAGATGTTTTCTTCATGATTAGGTCAAAAGATCAGCTCTACTCACTGGGATCCTATGTTTTAAATAACAAAATGTTTTCTATCTAACTCAAAATACACAGAGTCAAGCTATGTCTATATCAATCAATACATAGAGAATAAAAGTGAAATATTTACTTCTTCTCTTAGATGATTTGTTTTTATCCTGTAAACATTTATGGTGCCTAAATGTTGTTCTGTCTTTTAATAGATTTGTACTGATACTTGCAAGAAAGAAAATGTCAGAAAGATCACGGTAAGATAAGAGTTAAATGTTTAGGAAGAAGAATGAACAAGAGAAGGAGACTTAGGAAGATGTAATGGTCTCTTATACCTAAATAAAGAGAAATAACAAAAAGACCACACATGCAACCACTGAGTGCAAATGTAGTCACAACTGCTGCAATGAGTGGCTGTCTCCCACTAGTTTTTGCTTTGGTTTACAGCATGTCCACACTAGTCTTGACTGAAGTTAAAGGAAGATCTGGTTTGCACAAATATTTATTATTAAAATGTAATATCAACAATTCCTTAATTTGGAAAAATATGAGGAAATCATCTGTGGGCAGAAAACAATGGCTCAAGGAATTTTTAGAGCAAACAATTTTGATATCAGCAACAAATTATTGAAGCAAAAATGGAAATCTCACTCCCTTTGTCTTACTTTTTTAAGACAAGTGGAATGTTTACCTATTATCCAGAGCATACCTTTGTAAACCAAGGAATCACTCGAGAATAAAACGTCCTTATAAATAAGAGGCACAGAGGGATTGGAAGCTGTTCCCTGATATATGGCAAACACTAGCATTCCTTCCCTTTGGAAGAGAATGACTTTAATCTCATTTTTGCATACATCCAAAATGAGAATGCAGTTTTCTTAGGATGCTCTAGCAAAGCTCTTTCATTCAGACATGGGCACTACCTGGGAACCAAAAAGCTGAACTCTGATTTAAGCTCTGGTCATTATCTATGGAGCCTTAGAAAAAAAAAAAAAAAACTATCATCTGGCTTCAGCTTCCATATCTGCAAAACATGGAGATTAATTTAGAGGCATTTAAGGATTCCTCCCAGTACCAATATTTTGGAAATCTGTATTTCTCCCTGAAAATTCAGAGAAAGAAAAGAGAGGTTCATAGAAACCATGTCTCTAGTACATGTCCTGTTGGTCATGGGCATTAAAAAATAAAGATAATACTGTGGTTTGAGTAATGAAGACATTTTTATGTTTGTGAACAATTGTGTTTTCTATGCGAATCTCCAGTTAGGAATTACAGAACAAATAGAATTAGAATTTGTGGTGGTATGCTTACCGTGTATATAGTTAGGGACTTTTCTCCATGGCCAAAGAAGTATATGTCAACATGTCACAGCCTAATTTTCAAAATTTGTGAAGGAGAGAGATTAAGATGTTCTCTTCATTAAAATAGCACAGGAATTTTGGAGAAGATAAACCAAGTACAATAATACTTACAAGGCTCTGGGTTTTAGCACCTCAGCGGGCAAAGAGATGCTGTACCAAAATGTCTTCATAGGCAGGCAGATCTGTGAGATGCAGAACATGCTGGCCTGGCCTGCCCTGTGAAGTAAACAAGTCCCTTAGCCTCTTTTTGTCCCAGATTCCTTGTCCATAAAAAAAAGGGTTGAATATCTTATCTTCCTAGTCACTTTCAGTTCCAGAGTTTTATGACTCTTTAAGAACAGATTAAAACGTGGTCAAAGTAATATATAAACAAATTGTACAGATGCATATTTTAAATTCTTAAGAAAATATTAATAAGTTCTTCAAAGACACTCATTTAAATACGAATTATTTATGAGCTAATTAAAACTCATAGAGTCACATCACTTTAGATATGAAAGAAACCTTCAGTGTTCCACACATCACTGTATATCATGATTATTTGTGAATGTGTCCCTTCCTTGAAAGCTTTTGAGGACATAAATAGTCTATGTTTCTTTGTATCATCAGTGCTTATACCAGTAAAGATATAGAGTGTTTACTAAATAAAAATTAGTTGAGTAAATTTTGCAGATAAACAGAAACTTGAAAATATCTGCTAAACTACTCAAAGTTTCACACATAGCTAGAATAAAACGTCTCCCTCTTCTGATACCCAATGCAGAGACAGCTGATTTCTTCTTAAGGCTAAATTGTGATGTTTTCTAAAATGTATCATCGGTAATAACATTTACTTATAAAAACAGGTCTTCTGAGGACTTCAAGGCAGGACCAATAGAACTGAGCAGAGAGTAAAGCGCACAAAAAACATTTAGTAACTATTGATTGATTGATTGAAACATGAATCAAATTACTCTTATCTTCTTAAAAGTAATAAAGTTATATCTCTGTGGTAGCCATCCCAAGATGGCTGCCTTTCTTTCTCCTGTGCCTGTATTATGTGCTATTCCCTTACCAAGAGATGAAGCTTATTCCGCCACATCCTTGAATCCCACCCTGCCACTGATTTAACCATTAGAGTACTGACACTATATCAGGTCTGGTCCTGACCTTTGGGAGTATAACAGCTTTCACCTTGGTCTCTTGGAGGCCAGAGCCACCATACATAAAGTTCACCTTCAGTGCTGAAGAGGTACTTAGACTACATGGAGAGAGAGAGAGGCCCATCTTAGCCCAAACTTCCAGCCACCCCCACCCTGGCTCTTGGAATGCGAAGAAAGCTGCCTCAAACCCTCCAGAACAGCTCATCTAGCTAAATATCGCAAAGTGACCACAGTCAATGCCTCAAGGAGCAGAAGAATTATACAGCTGAGTCCCGCTTGAATTAAAGTCAGATAAAATATTGAGATATAATAAAAGATTATTGTTCTAGATTACTTAGTTTGGGGGTAGTTTATTATGAAACAATAAATAACTGGAACACTTCTTTATTGAACAAGTATATAATTTTACTTTTCTATTTTTCTATATTAGGAAATTAGAAAATAATTCTAATTTTCTGTAAGTAAAATTTTGCTGACCCCCCTACTCTTATCCCAAATAAATACAAGTTAGAAAGATTTAATAATGCTAATTTCAAGCTTTGCTATGTTAAGAATATGTCCAGGATATCAGCATTAAGAAAAGCTATAGCTAGCTTCTTTATTTTATAGAAAGGAAGTTAATTGTAATGTGATTTATGGTGCATAAGCTACAGTATCAATTTCTTTCCCCATAAATGTGCCCTACCTTTTACAGAGAAGCCAATTGAAGCAGTAAAAATTTGTCTTAGTACAGGCATTTATTTGGCCAAAAGAATCCTGAAAGAATGACTGTTGTATGTAAGCTGTTTCAGTCCCTTTCTTCCCCTTTTCCTTATCCTTTATTTAATATTTCCATTTTCATTTTAGACTCCTAACTCACTTATGTATGGATTCTTTCAGGAAATCTTTATTGAATGCCTGCATTCCTGATACAGTCCTAGGCACTGAAAAAAAGGGTATGATTACTAAGAGATAGTCATGTACATCAAAGAATGTGAATTCTATTACAGGAGAAAAATATATTAATGCACAGTGTCCACAGGGTACAATAAGTATAAAATTGAAGTAAGTGCAAAGGTGAATGAGAACTTAGTGCCTACAACAGTAGGGGAAGTTATCCCACAGAAGGTAAAGTTGGGTCTTGCAAGATAAATTTTGCAGACAAAAAACAATAGAGACATTTCAGGCAGAGAGAATGACATCTGTAAAAGCATGAGAAAGTAAGGCAAAAATGGCAAAACTTCCATTGTTAATATAGCAAAGAATTGACAGGAGGGCAGGGGAATAATAAGAGATAAATAATGGGCTACAACAGTTGTGGGCTGAGGGCAAAGAGTGAAGAATGCATGCCATGAGCTGACAGTCAATTAATGTTTACCCAGTGCTCCCTACAGGGCCTACTAAGTGGGTAGCATGCCCACCACCACCTCCAACTGATTAGACCTGGCCTGCAGCTAGTTCATCTTTTGGCTTGAATGTGACCAAGCAGTTTCTCCTGCTTGGGCATTTGTCTTACTAGATAAGGTCAATGACTGTACCTGGTCATATAGTATGCTTAATTAAATGGTTATGTAGGCATGACGTCAGTTCTGGTGTCATGGCAAGCCAGGACCACAAGCAAGTGGGCAGCAGAAGCACTATAGACTTGCTGAGTCTGTGGATAGGAAAATGGAACTGACATGCTGAGAAAGGCAGAAATGAAGGACCATGTGATCACAGTAAACATTAGAGTGAGACAGAGCCATTAATAGATCCATGAGAAGAAGATCATATCTGGGAGAAGGGTGTGAGATTATACAGTCAGACCAAAGGTAGCAGAGACATCAGCCAGATGGGGACTTGGTTTCATCCATTGGCTCTGACAGTTACTTCTGACTTCAGAAAGAGTGCTTCTCAGGTAACCTGATGTCAGAATCTAGACACTATCATTAGGAGTCTGAGTCTACATGGAGTGTCTATGAAATAAGGCAAATAAAGTATAATGTATACTGATGATTTCCTATTGACTAAGGTGATGGGGAATGGCTGCAAGGATGAAGAAATTCAAAGCACATTCAAATGGGACACCTCTCTCTAATTATGTTATGATGGGCTGGCTTTCCCTTTCTTCCACTCAAGTCCTCGTATTTTGAGGAATGATTTGAGCTCTCCATTCTTCTGAGATGTGTTGCTTTCTCTTTTATCAATGATCACAGCTAACGCTGGTAATGTTCCATTGACTTAATCTACTTAAAACTCAGCAAGGGCTGGGTGTAATGGCTTACTTGAGGCCAGGAGTTCAAGACCAGCCTGGGCAACATAGTGAGATTTCATCTCTAATTTAAAAACAAAAAACAAAAACAATCCAATAAAACTCAGCAAGTCCTCACTTTAGTCTAAGTAGTGTTCATACATTGAAATACTGGACACAGGACCTCAGAAAACTTCACTTTTTTAAAGAAAATAGTGTAGCATGAGGCTGTGAAAAGCTGGAGTGAAGTAAGCTAGGTTTTGCATTGTGATTTTCTTACCCTTGGGATCTTCAGACTATGGTTCTGGAGGGTGCTTAATGTAGGCTATGGTGGTGTATCTAGTAGAACAAATGCCTAAAATATAACAAGAATTTCCTTGTTGATGGGATAGCTGTTGATGCCTTATCCACAGCTGTCCTTGGATTCTCTTTTTTTCTGGTGATACAGAAGAGCAGGAAGAAAGGGTGTAACAAGTAATCCATGGGAGCAGCAGGTATCTTTAAGGGGGTCCAAAAGCTGCTTGAGATCCACTGCCTGTTGTCATATCACGTCCACCCTTCAAAGGATCCAAGGCCTAAAATCTTTGAGAAAAACAGTTCTTGACTTTAGAGCAACAGTAGAAATCTTTACTTCTTTTCCAATACCGTTTAGAAGAAGAAATTAGAAAAGGGGGAAAAAAATCAAGCAATGAGCAATGACCAAAGGAAGGAAAACAACAACAACAAAAGAAAGTCCTCTGAGGAAGATCAGAGTTGAGTTTTATATGTTTATTACTGGCTGAGATATAATGGCACTTGAAACCACAGAGCTGCTTTCCCTAGTTGATATATTAGCCGAGTACCTGAAGTCTGACTGCCCTTTGCTTACCACCAGGGTGCACCAGTGTACACAGTATTCCAAACTTCTAACTCATCAGGGTTTGTTAGCCTTTAATAACTGGGCTAGTCAAAAGTTACTCACTTTTGAAAAAGACCATTTGGAGGGAATTGAACCTGTAAGATACTGTTTATCAAGCCACAATTCTGAAATCCTCTGGATTTTAAAAATTACATCTACAGTCTGCTTTGCTACAACAAGTATTTTAAAATGAAAGTTAACTCACATGCATTGGTAATCAGGGGAATTATGTAGCACAACAGGGCAGACAAATTGAACCAAACATGATTTTTCCCAGTATGTCCATCATTTGACATGATCAAGGGTAAGTTTCCTCACAGTTAAATAAAATAAAACTGTAATGACATTTGCAGATCTTAAAAAAAAAAAAGTTGAAAAATCTCAAAATGTCTTCTGTTTAGTCCAAGATAGCAGCTGGTTAATGGCCTTAAGAACTGCTATGCTGTCCACTGTGCTAAACTATCTGAGGGTAGCGTAAGTGAAGATTAGAACCTGGAAAGACATTTCCCTGTGTTAAAACAAAATGACAACAACAACAAAATACATTCCTGAATCATATTTTTATTTTGGATGTAACTGGCTTGTATTAAAGCAACTGTTTTTAAAGCCCTCCATTTCCAAGAAGAGAGCTTTAGACACCGGAGGGTAAACTGATTCAGGTTCTAGGGCGAAGGCAAGTGGAGATTTAACTCTGCTAGTGTTCGCTTTAGGATTGTTACTGCTTTTGTTAGTGCCCTGGCCAAAAAGTGCTGTAGGTTTTGAGGGATCTGTTTCTCACACTGTTTTTCTCCATGAACCCTATTATGTTTAATGCATGATTTTGAAAAATGTGAGAATGCACGTATATATAGTGATATGGCAGAAACACCTGTGCCGAGAATTTTTCTTAAACATTTGCTTAACCCTTACTAAATGCCAGATGTTTTTCAAAATATTTTATATACATTAACCTATTTAATCCTCAGAACAATTTAATGAGGTTGGTTCATTACTGTCTTCTTTTTTACAAATGGACAAAATAAGGCAAGGGAGAATAAATGAACAGCAAAAGGATGAATGTTTTAAAAGAATGTGAATCTGGATGGGTAGGAGGAGGAGGTCCTATTCTTTAAGTTATGCCCATGGGAGGGCTCTCTTAAATGGTGAGTTTGCTGGGAAATAAGGTTTCATTAGAATGAGGCTATGTAGAAGGTAGCATACAACCTCATTTGATGAAAACTGGTTTTTAAGCTTTGCCACATGTGTTTAAATGCACAAGCCATTTCGTTTTTAACTCAGTGAGGCACATATTCCTCTTTCCAAACTTTTCATCAAGTTGTCAGTAGATATTCCATATGAAGTAATGCTATGTGTGATGAACTACAGTGATTGCACAAATTCATATCTCTAAAACTGGTTATTATGGTAACTTAGAGTTTATTAACTGCATCTCCCTTTCCTCCCTCCCTTTCTTCCTTCCTTTTTAACTCCTAAGTTAGATTACCTACTGAGATTGGCTAAGTACAAAGTCAGGCCAGACATGGAATATGGAGACCCTATAAATCTCTGGTATATAAGCTTCTAAAAGGCTCACTTGATTACTTCTTTACATGAGAAATTGCTGCTTATAAAGAAATTCTTTTAGAAATTGATTTAATGTGAGTAAATAAAATTTCAATGGTAAATAAGCATTGTGTGTGAGCTGTCTATGGTACAAGCTTCAGACACCAGCAAGCAGAATGTGGTAGGTCATATTATCCTCAGCTGCCTTTCTGTGAATCTGAAGATTATTGAAAACGATTCTTGTTTCCATAATGAGTTCATAATGCAACAAAGAATGACAAGAGTTTACCATATCACTCTGATTGTATTCTGGGACTCTGGAAAGAGAAAATTCCATCATTGAATTACCATTTTATTTGACATTTCATAATGAAATGAGAATGCATAAAAATAGGAAAATAATGCATGTAAATTGATAAAGAAAGAAAAGTATGACATTGTATTTTACAATTCCCCCTTCCATTCTTTGTAACAAAATGCTTTTTTGATTTATTTTTAAATTTTCCATTTGGTGCCAAGTACCTGAGTGTTAGTTATACTGCCAAGAACCTGAGGGTTAGCTACACTCTTCTTTTGAGAACAAATTTGGACTTTAAGGCATCCCAGTAGTTACAGATTAGTGTTTAGCAAAATGTAGGCTAAGAATTATGTCTATCAGAATCACCTGAAGTGCTTGTTAAAAAACATAAATTCTTAAACCACAGTCCTATTTACTAAACTACAATATTTGGATGTGGGGGTCTAGATCTGAACTGTTTTTTTTTTTTTGTTGTTGTTGTTTTAAACGGAGTCTCACTCTGTCACCCAGGCTGGAATGCAATAGCGTGATCTCAGCTCACTGCAACTTCTGCCTTCCACCTCCCAAGTTCAAGCAATTCTCTTGCCTCAGCCTCCCAAGTAGCTGGGACTACAGGCACATGCTACCATGCCCGGCTAATTTTTTGTATTTTTAGTAGAGCTGGGGTTTCACCGTGTTAGCCAGGATGGTCTTGATCTCCTGACCTTGTGATTTGCCTGCCTCGGCCTCCCAAAGTAATCCTCACGCCTGGGATTACAGGCGTGAGCCACTAGGCTCGGCCTACCTCAACATTTTTTACAAGGTTCTTATGGCTTTTACACACACTAAAATTTTGTGTGTGTAAAATTTGGGTTTAAATCACTGATTTAGAAAATCCAGAGAATTTACAATAGGTATAGTTGTTGCAGCCAGGCAAAAAAAGCCATTGATTGATTAATTACTATAGATCCCAAGTTTTTTTCTGATTAGACAGGCTTTGTTTCTTTTTTTTTTTTTCTTTTAATTTGCAGTTTATTGAGTTTTATGTTTAGCCTTAAAAGGTCTTATCTTTTCCAAGATTATAAATAATACTCTTATATTGTTACATTTAAAGTTTTGATTCCCTTGTAAGTTATTTTTGTGAAAAGAGTAAAGGAAACATCCAGTTATATTTATTTTTCAAATGGCTGACCATTATCCCATCTCCATTTATTAATACAAATTAAGAGAATCAAATAATCTACTTAGTCATTTGAAGACTGAGGACCAAGTCAACAAATCAAAATCCAGTTGTGCAACCAATCTCAGAGGTCTTGTTTGACTGAAAAATGATATTGTAAACAGCCTATACCCAAAGTTTGTCAGGATAGTCAAATTAATTTATGAGTGCAGAAAGAGCCTTAAAACAATCACTACCATCAAGATTGTAGAAATGTTTAGGTTTATCCTAAAATCTTTAGTTGCAGAAGAGGAAACCTCCAAATTAAATATTGATACATGCAGGACCATGCTAAGTGTAAGAGACCCTTTTCAGTAGTTGTTTGACTTCTAAGCAGACTTTTGACATTGCTGAATACTCCTTTTCGAAACAGTCTCTTCTGTTGGTTTCTGTGATTTAACATTGTGTACGTGAAGGTGGCTGCACTTGGTGGCTTAACATAATTAAAGTTAATTTCTCACTCATGTTAAGTCCAATAGTGTTTTTCCCCAGGGGATGGGGAAGTTTTCTGGCTTCTTTTGGAGGCTGACATGAACTGACTAGATGGAGAAGAGAGAAATTGTTATGGGAAGATCTTACGTATCAGCTTTGAGAGTGGCGTTTATCACTATTGCTCTCATTCCATTAGTTAGGATTCAATCGTATAGCAATACCTAACTGCCTGGGAGGCTGGGAAATACAGCCTAGAAAGAAAAGTAAGCACGTTGGTGCTCAGTGAACAATCTCTGCTAGACAACTTCACCTTGTTTTCTTTCTCCCTCTTTTATGCTCTTTCTCAGATGCATCTGTGACTTTTTTTCACTACCTAACCCTGAAACATGGATTTTCCTCATGGCTCTGTCCTAAATCTCCAATCCTTTTGGTCTTCAAACTTTCCCTGGGCAATCTCGTTCTTTCACCTGACTTTAATGTGCATCTGTAGCCCCAGGAGCCCCCAAAGCAAAGTCCAGTTGCTACTGAATTTTTATCCGCCAGTGGCTCAAAGGTATGTCAACCTCAAATGTGCAAAAGTGAACTCTTCAGCATCCTGATTCTTTTCTCCTTCCAGCCTTTTTGGACACAGTAAATGGCAACGATCTGTTTCAAACTGCCCAAATCAGAGACCCAGGAGTGCTCCCTGACTCCTCCTACCTTTCCCTTCATCATTGAATTAGTCATTAAGGTCTGATGATTCTAGTTGCTAAATATCTCTTAAATATAACCATTACTCCATGTCCATTTCTGCTATCCTAGTAAAGTCCATCATCCCTTCCCTCTTTTCCTGGTTACTGCCCAAAGTCTTGCTCCCCCTCAATCTACTCTTTATATTGCCACCAAAGTCATTTTTATAAAATTAAATTATTTATTTCTCTGCTTTAACTCTTTCAATGAGTTTTCTGTGCCATCACAATAAAGTCCAAGCTCTCGAATATGATTTATAGTGTCCTCCATGATTTGGTCCTTCTATCCCCTTTCTTGACCTTCAATTCCTCCCCTCTTACTATTTTTCTTTAACATACTGTTTTCTCAAGCATAACATTTTTTTCTCTGGACCTCTGCTCATGTTGTCCCCTTTACTTAGATCTGTTTCCCTGACCCATTTGAAAGTCTAAATACTATTCATTTTTGGGGTTTTAACTTAAACATCACTTCCTTTTGGAAACCTACAAGAATTCCTTAGTTCATACTGATTCATATTAGAAACCTGTAAGGATTCCTTAGTTCATATTAGAAGCCCTGCTTATTCTTCTGTGACACTTTGCAATTTATTGTGTTTTCTTGTTTAAAATGTTTATTTACCCTCACTCTTCTGCACTCTCCAAGAAAGCAGGAGTTGAATCAGTTATGTTTACTGCTTTATCTCCAAGATTCTTACTGGGTATGCAGAAGTTTGCTGGTGAATGAATAAAGTTATTAAGTGAGAAACTCAGCCAGCTACTATCATATTTCTGCAAGTTCTGTGAAACAAATTGTTGCTTATGTGGTCCAGTTAAGTGATCTGTGAAACCGTTTTCCAGAAGTCCAACTTCTGATGGCATCTTCACGTAGCACCTCCAATCACTTTCTTTGACGAGAAGAATAGGATTGCTTTTTGTTTGCACACACTTTTTTGTTTCCATTACTATCAACTCCCTCAACAAACCCAGGCAAAGCTAAGGAGCGATTTCTATAACACTTCCCAGAGGAACACAGTAAAGGAAATCAGAGAGACATCTATGCATTGTTTTTTTCTTTTATCTCCATTAACCTTTTGTGAACCGCAAATTACTTGAGAACAGCTGGGCAAGAGGGAAGAGAGAGCTATTTTGTTTAAAAAAAGATGTGTGAACATAATGACTAATTTGATGCTTTCAGGTTTTATCATCTACAAAGTTACAGTAATTTTCTTAACTTACAATTGACTAGTATAATATTAATCAGGAGACATATTGAGTATGTACATACAGTGAGAAAGGACAACTCTAAAAATGCCAACTGACTTTGGAAAACTTAAATGGAAAAAATGTGTAACTGAGGTGGAAGCTGGCTATTGCCACACCGATCTTCCTTCCAGCATTGAAAAATTTATTCCCCTGGTTATGGAGTGCTCTCTGTTATATTTCATGATTGCTTGGCTGAAGAGAGCTAACCACCCCCAAGGTTACTTCCTTTTCTCAGGTCAGGTTGCTCTACTGACTAGGTTGCCTTGAGCATGTAACAGCCTGGGCCTCTTGACCCAGCTTGAGGCAACTCTTAAAGATTATCCGTTAAATGTGGAGCTTCCCACGTGGTTGGCTGGGGTCTCCATTTGAACACACCACAGCCCACGTTCTCCCTCTGTCCGATAGTGCTTCCTTCTCCCTTCCCACAGGTATCGGTCGTGGGAACACTCCCTAATGAACTTCCCATATGCTAATCTCCATGTGCTGTCTCAGATTCTGTGACACACACCTTCTATACTAGGCTGCAAATTTAGTCTCAGATAGGATTTTTTTTTACTCTGTTATCCACTAACTTCTGGATGGTAAAATTGGAAGAGGAGATATGGTTTGTGCAGCAAGAGGGGCAAGGGAGTAAGATTGGGTTTGAGGATGGAAGTAGGAACTGAAACACAAGGCAGAGGATAGATGGACTCCTAGAAACTTTAGCTTAAGTTAGGTAGAATTATTTAAACTTCCTAGGTAATTTGTAGGTTTTTGCTATGAGAAGAAATCTTTTCTGCTTCTGACCAGTAAAGAGCTCTGTGACTCTTCCCGCAAGTTTGCTTTTTATATTTTGTCTTATACTGCTAGTTTATTGTTTTTTTTAAAGTAGCTTATAACTCAAGATTTTTTAGAGTAGAATCTAGATCTTATGCCTCACAATTTCCACGGTTTCTACCTCAGTACCTTGAATGTCCAAATAGTATAATATAGATAAATTGTTATCAGATAAAGTTTCTTAAAAATAGATATCTACCTAGCTGTGCCTTATTCAATCTAGAACTGAATTTAACTTACTCCTCAGCCTGGCCCTTCCACATTATAACTTTTTTTTATCCCACCTGATTTTAAGATGCTATCAAAACCACTTTTCAAGCTTGGTTAAATAAAATAGCTTTTTTTTTTTTTTATCATCAATACTTCTTTATTTACTGTAATGACTAAATGTAACAATTCCATTATCATATAGAAAGTGACTCCACCTAAAGTTGAGAACCTAGTATGCTCCACGGGCTATGCAGAATACTCTACCTGCAATCTTGAAATACTCTCTGGAGTTTGAAGAAATATGTGCCCAGTGTCTTTTTTTTCTGTTTATTATATTTTATTGTGTTGAATTCTTGTAGGAACCAATTAGACAGATTAGATTAATCTTTCTTAATAAGAATGATTAACAAAAACTCATGCCTTACACTTGCCATGGAACAGGAAGTCAAGTTCATTGTAGAGTCAGTTTTTAGGTCCTGAGCATTCAGTGATGAGACCAGGTCTTGTGGGAGATGGCCGTTCATGCCCGCCTCCTGAATCTTATGTGACATTTTAATTTGCATGACCTGTTTTCATTGCTGTTGGAATTGCTTTTAGTTTGTCAATGAAAGAGTGAGTTAGTTTGTCAGTCACTCAAAGGAAGGAAAGCAGCACAGGAGACCAAGAACCACATCAAGCTAGGAAAGAATAACATAATTAAACACACATGAGTGACCTGGAGAGACTAGAGAAGGGTGTTGTAAATCTTCAAGTAAAAGAATAGATTGTAAGTATGAGCAAGTTTCTCATACTGTGAAGTACAGGAAACTGGCAAAAACTTAGATTAGAAACTTGTCTCATTTCAGCCTTTATTGAATCCCATTATATGTATTCCTTTCACTGTGCTACCCTCCCTGCCCTCGAAGAGGCAACAGTGGGGATAATGATGAATACAAATATGACATCACTACCCTAATGCACTTGCTGGCAGAGGAGGGGACAGAGGAGGACCAATACAATTCTGGAAACAGGAACTTGTGTCTGGGGGAAGTTGAGCTTTCAGTCTCGGTTCTTAAAAGGTTATTTCAGGATATTTCTTAGGAAAAAAATAGGCCCAAATGTTGCTGTTATTGAGTTATCTTTTCCAAATAATCTGCTTAAGAAAATTTTCACGTTTAAGTAGGAGCTTGCCCGAAGGAAATAAAACGTTATCCTCCTATTGATGGCAGGTTTACCAAAACCATATTCTGTGAGCACAACTTTACCCACAAAAGAGGTCAGTCATACCTATATTCCAGTGAAAATGAAATTCCTGTTTCCTGCATTTACTTGTATAACGTGGTGAAAATCACTCCACACTTCTCTCCCTTGTATTTTTACCTGTAGCAAGTCCCTGTGGATCTGAGATGTTTCTACAGCATCTCAGAGGAAGCAAGAGGAGAAAAGGAGGAGAGAAGGGGTGTGGCTGTGAAGTCAATGGCTTCAAGATGCCAGAATCTCAGACCAGACACAGGGGCACACCTATGGAATGTGTATAGGTTTATTTTCTGTTATCTGCCCTTTCTATTAAAAAAATCTTTGAAAAGTAAAGTAGACGGTGACTGTTAGCAGATTGTCCCCCTTTTTTTGAGACCTTACCTTACAAATAATTATTTTCTGTGAATATGAGTCAGTACAGGACAGAGAGCAGAGCCCTTGGATGCACACAGACTCGATTTGGATCCAGCTCGGCCCCTTAGTAGTTGTTATGATAGAAATTTATTATTCAACACCAATTAATTTAGTACCTGTAAATAGCCAAGTCTCGGGTTCCTAAGTTCTGTGTATACAAAGGAAGCAATAGCAGAAGAACTATATTTATTTATAGTCTGAATTGTTTTTGTAAATGTGGATAGATCTCGTTGGGCTTTGATTTGTTTGGTAGGCAGAGAGAATATATTTTTCAGCTGAGGGAAATCAAATTGTTTTAGAATTTAAATATCAGTGATTTAAGTCACTGTTCCCTCTTCCTGTATAATTTTTTTTTTCTGAAATGCAATAGGTCATCTAACCAGTAGATCATACAAAATCCTGTGATGATATTTTTTAAAACACTTTTCAGGAAGCTTATAAAATATGTAACTGGATTACTCAAGTGAAAGTAAGCTGTCAGAAGATGTGGAAGTGAGTCAGGCTGGAAGTAGAGGTAAGAGACGAAAATCACTATAGCAGCAGACTAGGGCAAGAGTCATTAATGCAGCCAACCACTATATTTAATTCTGATCTTCATCATAGACAAGGCCAAAAAACCAAAGGCAGTGAGATATGAAATAAATCTATTGGGGAAAACGTTCTCTTTCCTACTATTAAATCTTATAAGAAACTTATATACGCTTACATGAGACAGAGAGATGTTAAATTTGCTGCATATAACAGGAAAACCCCAAATAAAAATGATTTAAACAAAGTAGCAGCTATTTATTTCATGGGATATAGGGAAACCCAGTGTGCCTCAGGAGTCTTCGTGGTGTCATCACAGACCCAGGCTCCTATTTTCGGATCCATCGTCTTCAAGATTTGTGGCTTTCATCCTCACAGTATCCAGCAGTCCAAGATGGCTGCTGAACTCTGACCATCACATCTGAGTTTCAGGTGGTCAGCAAGAAGAAGGAAACTCCAAAAGTTATTTGTCCCTTCCCATTTAACAAAATTTTCCAGGAGTTGTATGCAACACTTATGCTTCTATTTTATTAGTTAGAATTTAGTCATGTGGCCACATCATGTAAGGGTATAGGCTTGGCTGGGAAAAGTAGTCTTTTTCTGGATAGTAATGTGTAACAGTAAAAATACTTCATAAGCAACTGATAGTCACTGTCACAGACAGGGAATAACAAAATGGATGATGTCTTTAATGATAGTTTTACAGAAAATTCAAATATGGTATTTATAGAAATGCGTTACCAGTGGCAAGAGAACAGAGTCCTGAGGCCACAAAATATTGGTGCATCTGTACTATTTTACTTAGCTCAGGTCTTGGGCATTTCTTCAGGAGAAGTAAATGCTGAAGCTCCAGAGAAATAATTACATATTTAACATGTTGGCTCTAGTTCACTTCCCTAGGGACCAACCAGCTTTTAAAACATGAAGTTCTAATAAGGAAAACATAAATCCAGTTCTTACCCATGAGATGTAATTGATGCATAGTCTTATATTCTTTTGGCCTTCTAACAGGCAATAGCTACACAAAACTTTTACCCGTGGTTTCTGTAATAATTTAATTGTGGAGAAAGTGCTTTGTCCAAAGCAAACAGGTAATCCAGATGTCAGGAGTTCCCCCTAACCCTTTAGGTCTAATGAAGATTGATTTGAGCCCCGTTGTCTGGACTGTGGAAGACCAGAGCCCTTTCCAAGATTACCATGAGCTTCAGAGGGACTCAGGTTCTTATGGTCACCTCTGGTTCTGAACACCTGCTGGTACAAATTGATTTTTTTGTTGTTGTATTTTTTTTTTTTTTTGAGACAGAGTTTCAGTCTTGTCGCCCAGGCTGGAGTGCAATGGTGTGATCTCAGCTCACTGCAATCTCCGCCTCCTGGGTTCAAGCGATTCTCCTGTCTCAGCCTCCCAAGTAGCTGGGATTACAGGCATGTGCCACTACGCCTGGCTAATTTTTAGTAGAGACAGGGTTGCTCCACGTTGGTCAGGCTGGTCTCGAACTCCCGACCTCAGGTGATCTGCCCTCCTTGGCCTCCCAAAGTGCTAGGATTACAGGGGTGAGCCACCACGCCTGGCCCAAGTTGTCTGTTTTTATAGATTAACTTGCTCATGTTGTTCTTCTTGCATACTGTGTGGAGGCTGAGGTAAGACCTGGATATTTTTCTTATTTTCCATACACATAAAAATGCAAATCAAAAGAAAATCTATAACAAAACCAGAAAACTCCCATACAAGGTAATTTGTGGGTCAAGGACTTTCCTGAAATATATCAGAGTAGAAAAGTACATCACATGTACACGGACAATTTTAAACAGTAGACATATTTTGGATAAAATGTCCTTTAGCCACCACGCCATTGGAGACATTTTCTTGGCAGCTTTATTCTCATTTCTGCTTTTGCTAATCCCTTCTTATATGGTTTGGCTGTGTCCCCATCCACATCTCATCTTGTAGTTTCCATAAAATCCCCACGTGTCGTGAGAGGGACCCTGTGGGAAGTAATTGGATCATGAGGGCAGTTACCCCAATGCTGCTGTTCTTCTGATCGTGAGTTCTCACGAGATCTGATGTTTTTATAAGGGGCTTCCCCACATCCACCTCGTTCGGCACTTCTTGCTGCCGCCTGTGATGAAGGACGTGTTCGCTTCCCCTTCCACCGTGATTGTAAGTTTTATGAGTCCTCCCCAGCCATGCTGAACTGTGAGTCAATTAAACCTTTGTTGTTATCACAGGCAGCCAGATTTTGTTGGTGTCATTCCTACATTGAACTACCTTTGATCTATGGCTGCTTTTAGGATTTTAGCAGTGAAAATGAAAGCCCTTAGGAGGCTGAAATTAGATTATGAATGTGAAAGACAAATCACAGTGCCTGCAAATAAGTGCACGGTAGTTATTTAATAAGTGTTAGGTATTGTTACTAAACAATCTTCAATCGATACTGCTTTTCTCATTGAGAGAAATGTTGAGTCTGTTTATTCTTCTGGTGCAGAGTAGTTTTAATTTGAATACAGAGACCTCCAGAATCTGGATTTGGGGACTGAGCCTAAGTCAGGAGTCGTGGTCGGCTGGTTCTCAGGATGTGTCAGTTCTTGAGGTGATTTTGTAGGAACACTGAACTAGCTAGTTCTCTGTTACGGCAATCAGTTTTGAAAATGCAGCAGCTAGCCATTTAAGAATCAACCAGGTGAGCACTGACCATAGTCAATTAACTAATGTAGCGAGAGGGAAAGGTGATAACTATCTTTTAAAGTGTCTAATATCTGACTAAGCTGATCTGACTAATGATAATTTATTTTGAGCTTCACAACCCAAATGAACAATAAAAAGTTACAACCAGCCAACATCTTGAAAATGTCTTCGCCTCTGTATCTTCACTTCTGCCTTGCAAACCTCATCTCTTACTCTCTTCACTAACTTCCTCTCTTAACCTGCCTTCTTTTTCTCCCTCTTCTACATTTATTATTCTTCTGCCTCTTTAGATCCCTTGCTTTAAGTCATGATTTAAGAACTATAGTGCTTTCCTTTTCCTTAGAATTTATTACACATATTCAATAAATGACCAATTTCACTTTTAAAAGTAGGTAGATTGAATATTTTCTTCTGTAAATAAAGCAAACTGTCTAGTTATTTTTTGCACTCAATTGATTTTCCTTGTACAATGTTATTCCTTAATTGAAAATGGCTTATTCTAATGGGTCCAAATGTTTCTCCTCCAGACTGTGTTTTGTTACCTCCCTATAGTTTCTCAAGTTATTTAACCACCATTTCTTGAAAATTTGTTAGATGTTGGACACCAAGACAGATGCTGTAGATTAGATTTGGCTCCCTTCCTCAAGGAGCATGTAGTATATGTGGAAAACAAGACATAAAATACACAATACACAATTTAAAATACTGGTTCAAGACATTATATGTAAACTCCCTACTGTATGTCTTGTTAAGAGGTTTAAAACTTAAATATGCCAGACCCAGGTTAGTGATACAGTTATATTGTCTCTAATCTCCTAACAGCAGACTAAACTATGATAAAAGGCACTTCCCAGTGCTCTTTACAAGGAAAGCAAAACATGGATTCATTTTCTTTTAGAAATAAATCTATAAGGGTGGCACAGTCATAAGTCCTATTAAGCAGTGATATTTTCTCTTTTCTGAAGATTATTACAGTAGATTTTGCCCCATATTCTAGATTCACTATCTCTGGCACTCACTCAAAATAGAGTATCATTTAAAAGAAAGACACTTCTTTCCTTATATATATGACTAATATTTCATCTAAAATGTCATTTTAGATCTAATAGTCAAGTCCCTGGTCTCAATTAGGCGAAGGTAGTCAGATTCTCTATAAAAGGAACTCAAGACAGAAAAAGTAGCTCCTTTTTTTTTAATGTAATAAATGGAAAAAAATACTTTCTTAGGTTACTCACTGGTTGTCTGGGATAGGTAATAAATTATGTAGCCTCAATAAGTCTTAACTAGCAAGAAAAAAGCATCCTTCCTTACTGAAATCTTCGGGGTAGATGAGAGAGGCTGACCACTTTCACCCTGAAGATATGTGTTTTAAACTCATCCTTGCACCTGAGAGGCTCACAGATGTGGCCTCACCTGAGATCACAGGTCAGTGTGGAGAGAGCCAGATAAGGATAGATCAACTTTCATACATCTTTCATATATCCACTTGGATTTCGATTTATTCTATAAAAGCAATTGATTTCTATATGGAGGGCAGGGGCAATATTACAGGGTAGGAGAAGTCATTGTTTATGTATCACAAGCAGTTCTCAAAAATAGTGCTTCCCTGATTTGCTTAACAAAAGGCAGATTCCCAGAGCATTTGAACTACCTTGGGCATAAGGAGAGAGGGAGTTGGGTAGGAGTGGGGCAAATGGAAAGCTAGAGATTATAGGCATTTGACACGTTAAGAAAGATGGTGCAGTAGAATGAAATAGCATGAGGAAGAGAATACTGGCTTGACTAAAGAGAGAAAATAACTGAGAATTTCAGGACCTTTGGTGTAAGGGAGAGCTAGATCTATGAAGGAGCTTGAAACTAAATGGGAATCTATTGTTTAGTGGGCCTGAGATGTTTCTGATTTTGAAGTGTGTGTGTGTGTGTGTGTGTGTGTGTGTGTGTTTAAATGGTAATCAATGCATATTTTCAAATGTTTTCGAGACTTACAAGGATATACAATAAAAGTGCTCCTATAATCACTGCCTCTTAAACCACCCAATCCCAATCTTGGAGGCAACTGATATTACCAGTTTTTTTGTGTGTCCTTCCAAAGATGTTTTATGCATGTATAATATGACTATATTTATTCTCTTCCTTTGCCAATATGGAGGAAAGCTTTTTGAGAGTTACATGCTTTGAATAAGAGAGAAGCTCCAGAGCATTAGAACTGGCCAGAATGCCAACTCATTTTCTTGAGAGATAAAAAGAAAACAGAAAAATAATCTGCTGAAAATGGAGCAATACATACAATAGTTTGAATGAGGGTGACTATTAGATGTCCCTATTTATTTGTATTATGGAATATATTGGGGTATTGTGCCCTGCCTGGTGTTACTAGACATACATTAAAATAGAGGAGGTATAACTTATTAAGGGAGTACCATCTGAATGGCAAGGTAACCTAAGCAAAGGAGGACTGTCCTTTAGAGCTCTGTCACATTATAGTTTAGATAGGTTTTCCAAGATTTATTATGCAATATTCATTTTCAGGACTTCAGGAATTTAATTTCAAAGTTATACCTAGAAAGAAGAAGTAAACGTCTTTGACCTATTGAGTTCTTTTTATCTCTGGTTATGATATAGCCTGTTTTCTCCTTAAATTCCAACTCCTCAAGGCCAGAAACTGAGCTTTATTTATCCTTCTATTTTCTACTTAGTCTAGTGATTAGAATATGGTAGATACTCTGTAAATATGTGATGGACGAATGACTAAATGAATACGTTTCTAAATAATCAACCAATCCATCAAACCATCTATGGCTTAATTTCTTTACTTTCCAACAGTGAGTATTTTCATTTCAGTTTTAATTAAAATATGGAAAAAGGCATAATCATTCAGTTTTTAGTATTGCTCTGTGGCAAAATTTCATGAAATTCACGGTGGCCATTCTTATGTTAGTTTTGCTAGATTAACATATCTTAAAATTCTTTTCTTTTTCTGTTTTATCTTCAGTTTCCAAAAGGGCAAAATATCTGTATCTGGAATAAAAAGCAAATTTAAAAAAAGAAATTAATTAAGCACTTAACATTTTTTTAAACATACATTTTAGCATTAGAGGGGTGATAAAATCAATCATTTCAAATGTGCTGTATGAGGGGGGTTCGATTTAATTCATTTACTTAAAAGGTGACGCAATCTGCACAATTAGAATATCAATAAAAACACAGCTGTTACATATAAAACAAACTCTGAAGGAATTTCCATTATTATGATTGCTAAAACCACAACAACAACAACAAAAAAACATGCTTTGCACAGCTTTGTTATCAGGAACCTTTGCATTTGACATTTTGGAAGCAAGAAAAGGGAATGGCTTGACAAGTTGAAAAGCCAATTCATCATGATGTCTGACATTTGGGAGCTGATATTATCGTCTGCAATTTAAAGTTCAGAATTGATAAAGTGCAATCATATAGCCCAGCAAACAAAGGGTCTTATTGAAATGTATGTACTCTGGGAAAACAACATCGAGTCACAAAAACTTGATGGTTTTGAATTTGAATGTTTATTCCTCCTCCTCTCATCCCCAATTTCTCCAAAAAAGTGAGTTTCTACCTTCTGCAAAAAACAAAATTGTACGTACAAAAAACCTGATTTTATATAGGGGGATTTATGAAGGGGGATTTTATATAGTGGATCTAAAAATACACTATATGACCTTTCTCATCATGGTTAAGAGACTTTTCTTAAACGTATATCATGTGATATTTGTTGACTATTTGTTGGCTTTGTTTCTTATCAAAATATGAAGGCACATGAAAATATGTTCAACGCCACTATGGAGATTCTGTGTAATAGTTCTTACGCTGCTGTGTGCTTATACATAAGGTTTACTGGTTAGGGATTCCTATCTGGTAACATTAGCAGGCATTTTTGGGAGCATTTGCATCAGAACATAACCAGTTGGAGAAATTCTTCAGCAACTACAGCCTCAAAAGTCACAGAAGGTGCCTCTGAGTGCTCAGATGATCTCCTGTCCTTGAATCTGGTCATCCACTTTCCTTTTCATCAAAGGAATCAGCATTAAGATTGGGAAATGGGCATCAATGATTTTATGTTCATTTCTGTCCTTGTCTAGCAGTGACGATTCTGCTGCTCTCTCAAAGTTTGGCTTGCTTCGTGTACTGTGCCCAGATTTCTTGCACTTACTCTTGGATCAACAAAGCAAAATATTCCTTTTATTCCTTTCTTACAAACACTGCAAGAAAAAGCACCTAATGATTTGTACAATTGACAACTGCAACCATTGCTCTAGGGCAGAGTGAGGAGAACTCATATTCTCTCTAATGTAATCTAGAAGTGCCTGTTCATCTACCTTATGACTGAGGCATGCATTTCATTGCTGCTCTGTGATCTAATTCAGAGGAGAGATAGCTGCTGCATTTACAATTGATATATAAAAATAGCTGGTTTCACTAGACACTATCTGACGTCAACGGAAACATTAAAAAGCAGTGACCAGTCTGCAGAAAGTCTTGGTTGAAGCTAGTGCAGCTCAGTCTGCAGATACTTAAGCCATACCATTTTTTCCTTTTGACAAACAGCCATCTTTTCCTATTGCAAGGTAATTTTCATCAATCATTTAGCAAATATATGGTCAAAGTTCAAGCTCTTTTCACTACACCATAGTGCATAATTCTGTGTCGAAGTTTAGCCACGTTTGAGAATGATTCATATTCTGTGGATATGTTAGGAATGGATTTATGAGGACCCTTGGAAATTTCTCAGTAGAATCCTATGTAATCTGAAGCCCACAGACTAACTTTTACTATATTAGCTTCCACCATTGGCTTTTCTAGAGGTGACTGATGCAAAAAGCCATTAGACTCTTAATAGTGACCAATGTAGTGCTGAGGTCCTCTTGCAAAATCTTTCCAGGATATGGAGCTTACACCAGGAACCAGATATGAATATAAAAATGCCAGACAGAGTCAGGCTCACGAGTCTGCCAAATCTGTTACTCTGTAAAACGTTCTGCTGCCCTTCCTCCAGTATGAAGTCTCTTCCCCATTCCTCACTATCAAGCTAAATTTGATTCTGCAAATGACCCTAACAAGTCTTGCCTGACCACTCTGACATATTATCTTTCCCCTTCCTCATCAGACTACTCCAGTTCTTGGTCATTGATCTAGCTGAAACTGTCATCAGCTCTCTCTTAATTGCACTTTCCCAAAAGAATGCCTGCCTGACTCCTGTTCACACCATCTTTCAACATACCTTAGTTGCAATTTTTCTTTTTTTTGAGACGGAGTCTCGCTCTGTCACCCAGGCTGGAGTGGAGTGGCGCAACCTGGGCCGACTGCAACCTCCACCTCCCGGTTTCAAGCGATTCTACTGTGCCAGCCTCCCGAGTAGCTGAAATTACAGGCATGTACCACCACACCTGGCTGATATTTTTATTTTTAGTAGAGATGGGGTTTCACCATGTTGGCCAGGCTGGTCTTGAACTCCTGACCTCAAGTGATCCACTTGCCTCGGCCTCCCAAAATCCTGGGATTACAGGCATGAGCCACCATGCTTGGCTGTAATCTTTCTAAAATACCAATCTGATTATGTTAGCCCCTGGCTTGACAACTGTCAATGTCTCGCTGTGTGAGAGATCCCCTACCTTTATGTCTTTTAACCAGGCCAACTCATCCATATCCTAGCCAGAGGTCAACTAAACAAATCTTTGGTCTTTTAGGCCTTAGAATTGTTGATTTTTATTCTCCCCTTGCTTCTGTTATCCAATCATTCCTGCAACCACTTGCCTTGTGATACTCTTCCCTTTTACCCCTCACCTTTGACAGATTTAGCTATCTTAATGTTGGGCAGTTGTGTTCTCTTTTAAACATGGTTTCTACTAGTCTTATGAATGCTCAGATGACCACTCTGCTTCACCAGTATCCAAACCTTGGCCTCATACTGGAACATGATTTACCACCTTCTTGGAAATGAATTAGGTACTCTCCCATTACATGCAGAATAAAACCCATGGCACGATACACAAAACCCCAACCCACCGTTCCAGACTCTCCTTCCACCAATTCCTACCATACACCTGTATATCAGCCACATAGCCCACCACAATCTTTCATTCTTTCATCATTGTGCCATGCTGTGTCGTATCTTGAAAACACTTCCACTATTCTCTATTTGACACATTAATCATTGAGTATCAAACTTAAATGTCATCACCTCCAACCAATTTAATTGATTCAATGTATATGTTCCCTTGAAAATGCATATTTATCTCTAGCACACGTGCTTTGTAACGGCTTCATGTTCATCTGTTTTCTTCCCTAAAACTTGACTTTCCATAATGAAAATCAAGTGGTATATCTTTATATCCCCAGCACACAACAGAGTCTGTCAAATGATGGTTCCTCAACAAAGTGTTTGTTGATTGAACAAATAACCTACACCATACATTTGAGCATATCTTGATTTTTTTACTTGTACTGTCCAATAATTAAGTGTATGTCATCTATGCATTATTGCCTTTGATTACTCACAAGCATGATGTGCTGCAGGTATTATTTTTAATTACCTGTATACTACCTTGGTCAGTGTTCAGAATTTACATTTGATGAACTATCTTTTTTGATATTATCTTCTGGTTTCGGTTTTACCTATAATATTTTCACTTATTAATATTTCCTTTCAAACTTAAAATTTTAGCCTTTATCATTTCTTAGGAAGGCACTTAGATGATGGAGGATTAAAGTTTGTTATGCCAGTTAACCTGGAGGCCCAGGTGGAGGAGAATATTTGTCACTATAGAGATGTGTAATGATACCTCCTTTGGTCATGTTTGTGTCCTGCAGTCATTATTTAATTCAACATTTAATAATTGAGAGATAGCTTTGTTTCAATCCAGACTCTGTTTCTAAATAGATCTGGAGATTTTCATGTTGTTCTTCAATTTGTGTGTTCAGCCAGTTCACGCAGCTGCCTACTCAAGACTATCCCATCACAAAAGTATCTAAAACTCATTATGTTCAAAATGTGAACCAATGATCCATCTTTCTAAATGTGTGCATTCTGGAATGTCTTCCATTTTTATATTTAACATAACAATTTCCTGATTTTTTTCTAATTAGAAACTTGAGAATACCTTTAAATCCTTTTTCTTCGTGACCACCCCCCATATTCAGTCTAGCATTAAATCCTGTGTTTTCAAACCCATCCATTTTTCTTCACCCTCATTGTCATTATTCTAATCCAAACCATCATTGTCTCTCTCCTGAATTCTTGCAAAGTCCTTTTATTTGCTTCCTCCAATTTATTCTGCACATAGCATCCTAGGAAATCTTTTAACAAACAAATATGATTACTTCCCTCTCTTACTTAAAATCCTTTAATAGCATCTGATTGCCTTTAAAATAAAGTCCAAAATGCTTCTCATAGTCCACATGACTTTGCATAACCTCTTCAGTTCCATCTCAGCCTCCTCCAGCCTCTGTTTTCATGAGCCTCACTGAAACTATTCCTGATATACAAGCATTTCATGCCTCTACTTAGGCTGCTCCCCATGCTCTTCCTGAATCTTCCTCCCTCTTCACCTGGCCAGTACCTACACATCCTCTGGAACTCAATTAAAGCACCACTTCTTCTAGAAACCTACTACGACCCCTAGATTAAGTTAGGTACTTCTTTTGTACGTGCATTCATCTACAACTCATAACTTTCACATATATATTTTATCACGTTTGTAATTATGTAATTGTGTAATAATTTCTTTTAGCTTTCCCTGCTATCATGCAAGTTTCTTCCAAGAGGACAAGTATGTTTACATATTGCTCACCTCTGTATCTATAGAATATAGGAGAGTACCTGACAAATAGTGGTGTTCAATTAAAATACTAATTCACTGAATGAATGAATGGATGTCTCTTTTCTGTGAGGGTTCAGCTATTAGTTGAGACTCTGAATTTTTAATTTAGGCTTGGGCGAAAGATTAACATCTCAATGGCCAAGTTGATGATACTGTCACAGGATACTTGGGGAGTTGCTTCTCCAGGCAGAAACCTCTGTGGCTGGCAGTGCCTTATGCCTGAATATTGCTTGTGCCTGCTGGGCTCATTCCACCCACTCAGCCTGGTAGGCTGTACTCAGCTCGTGCTACTGGCTTGGATCCTACACCTGCCAAGGGCCAGCCAGGTACAGAGAGGCAAGAGGTCTGTGGGTGAGTGAGCATGGGTTCCGGCCACTGCACACAGCCAGGTGCTGGCACAGGTGTTGGCTCTGTGCAAGGCTGTGGCTGGACCAGATGTACCACACATGGCTTCTGCTCTGGGCACGTGTGTCTGGATGAGGGGAATGTGGTGGATCCTGGAAGCTTGCATATGTCAGGAACCACAGAGTCAAAGAAAGTGTCACAGCCCTGGCTTGGGGAGCCCCTAGGTCTGGGCTCCCCAGAGGGCTGCAGCTCTACTTTCCATCTTGTTGCCTGCAACATGGTGAGGTGGAGTGGGGGGCGGGCTTCAGCCCTGTTTGTGTTAGAGCTCTTTCAGTCCCACCATTTGGCAGGTCCCGAGGTCTTGTCCTGCATCTAGGAAAAATGAGGTACACAGACAACTGGAGGGTGAGCAAGGTGGAGAGGAGCTTCACTGGATGACAGAACAGCTCTCAGGAGACCCAGAGTGGGTAGCTCCTTTCTGCAGGCAGGTCATCCTGATGAGTGTCCAGTTCTCAGTGAAGAGGAGGCCCGTAGTGGGTAGCTCTCTGGACCGGGGACTCTACCTGGAACTGGCAGCCTGGTTTCTAGGCTTTGGGCCATCCCTGCATTGAAAGTGGAATTTCACCTGGGACCCGCCTCTTTCTGCTGAGAAGCCTGTCTGCCTCCTGCTGCCATCAACATCATCACAATGTCACAGCGCCCAGGCTGTTCATGGCTCAGGGGTGCCTGTGGGCTCTTGCTGAGCCACCCTCACCCCTGCTCAGTCTCCCTCCCATGCTCATCAGCACTCAAAGTCTGGAGGGAGCCAAGGTGGCAGGGGGCTGGCCTGTCAGTGCCACTGGGAGTGTGTACACACCAAGTTGGGTAGTGACAACACCTGGGCTCGGCCACAACTTTGTTCCACCCAGGAGCAGGTGCTGGGAGGAGGGAGAGGCCAGGGAGTGGGAGCAGGTACTTCTGAGCCTGTGGGGGACAGGGGCATTTCCTGAGCCCCCAAGAAGGCAAGAATGCCCCCATACAGAGCCTCAGCTGGGTGCTGCAGTTGCTCCCAGGAGTATGGGGCTCCCACCCCCCAACTCAGTAAGGGGCAAGGCTCCCACTAGCTCCGTGGAATGTGCAGCCCCAGCTGCACCTACCCGGCTGCAGCTGGCATCTTTGCAGCAGCCACTCCGGATGGGCCACTGCTGCCATCAATAACGGGTAAAACATATTACAGGTTATTCTTTTTGGTAAAATTGCTTTCCTTTTGCTTGCCTTGGTGAAAGCTCTTCACACTTGAAAACAGCATATATAGGAAAACAGTAGGTTCTATCAAGGTTTTCTCAAAATAGGAAGAGATATTGTGATTCTGAACTTGTGTTAATTGCTGAGGTTGGCATATCATTGAAAAGTTGTACCTTGCCCTTTTGTTTAGGTGCTGCAGTAACTATGTTTGTATGTTATTGTGCAGATACATGTTTTAGCTAATCACTGAAAGCCACCACTAAGCAGCTGTCGATGGAAAATGCAGAGCAATCAAATCAAATCAATAAAGATGGCTGAGAGCAGTTGCAGAAAGAGGGTGGTACAGACTTCATATGGTCTGACCTGTTTCAGGCCACTTTGTGTTTTTGGCTTAAATACATTTATTGTAACCATTTTGCTATTGGTAAGTATTTCAGGAGTCTTGAAAAAATAGAATAACTTTTTTTCTTTCTTATAACTTCTATATTTAGTGCAAAGATCATGAGCTTTGGCATCAGGCAGTCCTGGGTTTAAATTCTACTTAGAGATTTTGTAATGCTGAGAACATTGTTATCCTTTAGGAGGCCTTGCTCCTTTTATTGCATGGTTATCAAGGTTGAAATAAATAACATGTTCAAAATAACCAGAAAGCTTGATAAATGTCAGTTTCTCATTCCACACACCATCCCTTGAGTTTTTACTTTTATTTTTTCTTTACCTAAACTCATTTACCTGGTTTTTCTGGTCTGTGGGGCCCTTGGTAACCTTCTTTAATTTCTAAGGTATTGGAAATTAAAGAAATTACTTTTCTACTTGAATATTGGGTTACAGATTCTCCAGAATTCTATAACTTAGGGAAATTTAAATCTTCTTTAAACATATTAGTAACTAGTAAAAGATACTAGTTCTCTATTTTTACTGATGAAGAGTCTGTTTCGACTGACTAAAATCTTTAGAATCCTTCTTTAATATGCTATATGGCCACAGTTGATCAATTTCTAGTTGAATATTGTAAGCTTAGGTGAACTAAGGTCATCTAGAATCTTATTGATTTAATATAGTGGGAGGGAGATAAATGGCTGAGAGAAAGATGGGCAATTATAATGGAGTCTAGTACAAAGATCATGGGATCTGTAGTCAAATCCTGGGTTAAAGCCATCTTTTGCTCATGTAAACTTGAATAGATAATTTAAAATCCCCAAAACTCAGTTTCTTTATTTATAAAATTGGATACTTAGTATACAATTATACAAAATAATTAGTAAACAGTCATACTAAATCATAGTATTTAGAATGCCTTCCCTGTATAAAGTATTTAAATTTTATACATGCATTATTTCATTTAACAGTCACAAAAACTTTACCAAAATTGGACACTAGAACTTTACTTAGTATCCAATTTTGGTAAAGTTTTTGTGACTATTAAATGAAATAATGCATGTATAAAATTTATATACTTTATACAGGCAAGGCATTCTAAATACTATGATTTACTTTTTTCACAACAGAAGGTAAAGTGTAGTTCCCAATTTAGGCCTTTTTCTTGCATATGCAAAGGAGTGTCTGATTATGTATCTGGGAAAGAATATAATGAAAAATAGAGGGCAGAGGAAAGGGGAAGAAAGCAAGCAATATTTTTTCAATTCTTTGAATTTCCTAGGGCATGATATTCTAACTCATGCTTATCTGGTAGATGCTTGGAGGGAAGGAAGATGACTTTGGGTGCATCTTCCATCATCACGGTGTCCGGAATTCCTGGATGCCTACCAGAGTAAACTGGTTCAGCTTTTTCTGAAGCAGACATTCCAAGCAACAAAAGAGGCTCCGTCCTACCCCTCACCCGTAGACTTGATCTGGTGTCTATTGAGCTGCTGGGATTGGACAAAAAGATGGATAAGCTGGTCCCAAAGATTTTTTTCTGAGATGGGGTCTTGCTATGTTGCCCAGGCTGGTCTGAAACTCCTGGGCTCAAGTGACCCGCCTGCCTCAGACTTTCAGTATTACAGGCATGGGCCACTGTGCCCATCTTCTACAAAGCTTTTAAGTGATAGGAACAGAGCCTAGTTTTAGCCCCATCCCAAGGGCCCCATGGGACATAGTGGAATTGACTGGGCAGTCATTTGCATAACCAGGTTCTATTCATTGTGATACCACTCCCTGAATTCTCCTACTCTGGTTACCATTCAGCATTGGTAATTGGGGTAGATGAGATGGAGGTAGGTATCTTAGAATTAATGAAAACTAGAAAACAAAAAGGATGATAGATGACTAATACCCTTTTAGCCCTCTGCTTACCTTCAACAACAATTCACTCTTCCTCTCTCAGCTGATAAATTTGCTTTCAATTTCACTGAGCAAACTGTGGCAATCAGAAGAGGTCCACAAGTTCCCACACCACATCTATCCACCAACTGGCATCCTCACCCTTATACTCACTTTCCTCTTGCTGTAGATGAGGTGTCCGTGTTCCTAGTAAGGACAGCCTCTTCAATTGTTTATCAGATTCCAGCCTTCTCACATTCTCAGGAATATTACTCCAGAAATGCTCCTCTCTTGCATCATCAATTTTTTTCTCCAGTTGAATTATTTTCATTCATCTACTTATATGCTATTATTTTAATAATCTCAAATAAACCCTCTCTTTACCCTATTTTTCCCTGTAGCCTATCACTCCATTTCTTTGCTCTCCTCTACCACAAAACCCCTAAAAAATATGGCATATAGTCACTTCTAGTTCCTCCTTTCTCATTCTCTTTTAAACCCACTCAAATTGTGTCTTTGTTTCTATCATTTTAGTAAAGATGCTCTTGTCAACAATGATTTCAAGTTACTAAATCCAAAGGTCAAATTCTCAATCCTCATTTTATTTGTCCTTTCAGCAGCATTCAACCTGATAAATCACATATTTCCTTTCTTTTTGAAGTGCTTTTTTCACTGGGCTTTCAAGACACCACTCTCTACTGGTTTTCATCCTCCTTATTGACCATTCCTTAGTCTTTACTGATTCCACTCTACCTCCCTCGTTTTAATATTGGAGTGTTCCTCGTCTCAGTAAATGATCTTCTTCTTTTCTCTAGTTGCACTCATTTCCTTGGTAATCTTATTGAATCTCTTGGTTTTAAGTCTTAATAACTCATTAATGATTATCAATCTGGATCTTTCTCGTGAAATCCAGACACATACATGCAACTGCTCTCTTGACATCTGCCCTTGGAGTTTCATGGGTACATTTAATTTATCACATCTAGAGCGGGTCTCTGAACTTTACCTGCTTTTTACTTTTCTTCCCCCTTTTAGCTCATATCAAATCAAGTTTTCTTAGAGTCGTCCATGCTTCTTCTTTCCTTCTCACACCATAAAAAAGTTCAAATAGATTTACCCTCACAATATACCCATAATCTACCACATATTTTCACTTCTGCTGTTACTGGCCGACGTCATCATCTGTTACCAGAATTGCTACAGTAGACTCCAAACTGGTTATCCGTTTCTACTCTTGTCCCCTTCAGTCTCTTGTTAACACAGTGCCCAGAGTCATCCTGTTAAATCATAATGCAGATGATGTCAACAACTTCTCATCTCAAATAGAACCAAAGACAAAGTTCTGTTAAGGTCTATAAGGCCCTACATGATGGGTCCTCCGTTACCTCTGGACAAAATTCTATTATATCATCCCCCTTGCTCTGTTTGATCTTACTACAGTGGCCTTCTTGCTGTTCTTTAGCATGCCAAACACATATCCATCTGAGGATTTTGCACTTCTTTTCCAATTTGTGCCTCAGCATGTGCTACCCAGAAATGGAGGCATAGAGCTTATGTGATGTTTTCAGGGAGTTCAATCCCAGGGCACAGGTGAGAAGGGCAAGAAGAGTGATGCAGGGAAGGAGGAAGAACCAGGGCAAGGACACGTTATTGAGCCTGCTTCCAGTTACTGCAGTTAGCTGCTCAGTTCACTGGCATACACTCTTGAGCAACCTTGAGTGTTCCTGGGGAACACAAAGGAAGAAGAGCTCATCCAGATGATCTTCTCTTGCATTGGTTGAAGTTTATCCACGTGGATAAACTTCCAACTTGCACTTCCATGCCCTTCCAACTTGCACATGTGTGGGTTTAAGTGCTCACGAGTCTATAGTACTATCAATGGGAAGCCCTGGGGCAGAATAAAAGAAGTGAAATCAATCAGAGCCCACACAGAGCAGGAACAAGACACATTGGGATCTCAGAGATATATAAGAGATGTTGGATAAACTCTTGCTGGAGTGTTCTTCTCCAGGTGTTGGTATGGCTCACTTTAGCTTTGAACAAAGGTGTTCTTTTCTCAAACGCCATCTTCTCAGTGAGATGTTTTCTCACCTTCCCTTTTAAAATTGTAGTACCCTATCCCCTTTCACTGCTTTATTTTTCCCATATCACTTTCTAAAATGCCATAAATCTACTTTTTTATTTTGTTTATTGCCAGTCTCCTTCACTAAACTTTAAGCTACAGGAGAGCTGTGAGTTTGGTGTGCCTTATTCATAGTTGTATCTCCAGCCTATCACATAAATAAATACATTCAGTAAGTACTTTGTTAGTGGATTATTTATAGAAATTATTGAAACTGAGGTGGTGAGCTTTTGTGATAAGCTTTGAATTAGATATATGAAATATGTTAATCAATGCATAGATTATGTGTTTCTTTTGTCAAATAATCAAATATCCTAAGCATTAAAAGATAGGGTGCAGTATTTCTTAGGTGGATTCTAAAGCAAATTATTGAATGAGAAGATACATTAATGTTCACTGATCAACAAGACATTTGTTTACACAGCTTCTTTATTTCTCTAAATTGCCTTTTATTGAGCGGTTTATTAAGTCTCTGTGGAAATAACCACAAGGGTTGGCAACAAACTTATTCTTTGTTCTGCCCTCTCTTGGATGTTAACAGTGGGTCCCTGTGAGTTAGACAGTGATAGAAGGCTTATTAACATCACTTTCTGAGAAAAAGGGAATGTGGAAACAAGAAGGTGAAATGAAAAAAATTAGTAAAATTAGATCCCATAAGCTTACTTAAGAATCATAAATTATGATATATGTTATTAAAAATAGTCATTATTGATCTTCCTTAGCTATTCTAATGCTGCCAGAAGTAATGATGTCCTCTGCAATTATAAATGAAGGGAAGGGAAGGAAAGCAAATAGTAGCAATGGCACAGCTATTTTATAATTTTCTTCTAATCATTGACATTATTTTCTTCAGGGGCCATTATAGAGTACTGATGAGTCATTGATGTAGACATGCCCACATCCTGATTCAATGATTTATTAGCTTATATGGACTTGGTCAAGTTATTGAACTTGTCTAAGTCTTGATTTCCTTATTTGTAACATAGAGATGATAATATTCAAGCTTAAAGTGTAAATTTTTGATAAATAAATTAGAAAATATAAGGAAAGCACAAATACATAAAAGATATTTGATAAACTCTGCCTGGAGTTTAGGTCCTCTACTGTTAATGTTTGTCAGAAAACAGCAATGTAAAAATAAACGGTACGAAAAGCATGAAGTAAGAAAGAATAATTTAGATATAATATTAATAAGACTTTTAAAATAGAAATAATAATTCTATGTAATGATGGTTTCAATTTTATTCATAATAAACATAAAAAGCATTGTAACAGGCTAAGCATTGAAGGTCACTATGTTTAAGTGTTATACAAATAGAACGTATCATGTGACATATTTAGCCTCCAGTATTTTGGTGTTCCCTTAGCACTTGTATAATTTAGAGAAACTCTCTTGTCTCCACAAAAGTTAGTGTCCTAGCAGTCTAGAATACCTCATTAAGCAAAACATGATTGAACTCAGTTTACAAAGTAAGAAAATTGGCTAACCAGATGTGCCAATTATCAGTTTATTGCCTCAGCTCCAAATTCATATTTTAGTGCCTGCTTTGTGATAATATAGACTTTAAATAGGTTTTCTTTGTTATCTGGCTCAATGTTAGGCTTTACCAGTGGAGGACTTGGAGGGAGTTTAGAGGAAGAAAGTGTCATTTTCTTCCTGGTCCCAGTTTGTTCCGCCTGCCAGGATCCTGCAGCATGGTTTCTCTAGTACTGGGCTTCTCAATGCCCAGCTCCTGCAGTGCCCAGTTCCTGCAGTACACGGTGCCCAGAAGCACTCACTGACCAACAGCTGCCCCATGGAGCCCCTTAGATGGTTTTTTCAGCAAGGCACCCATGAAGGGGCACATCTCTGTGCACAGTTTTCCCTGAACCCTCTTGTGCAACATTGCAGCAAATTCTGAGACATTACCTCTCCCTCTGGATGGTTTTCTTCAGAGAGCAGACTGCCATCAGGTTCCAATGGCACAGCATCTCAGCCCCTTTTCTGACATCCAGTGAGCCATTGTTTTGCCCTCCCCAGTGAAGTATGAATCTCAGCTCTTTGGGAAGTTCTTACTTGGATGCTGTACTTAAGCCCTAAGGGTGAGTATTGCTCCTTATTTCTGCTATTCTTATATTCCTTGTAGTTCTCCTTACTTCATGGTAGCCTGCTGAGACCAGCTCGGTCAGGGAGACCCTAACGCATCAGCGCTAGAGGAATTAAAGACACACACACACAGAAATATAGAGGTGTGGAGTGGGAAATCAGGGTTCTCACAGCTTTCAGAGCTGAGAGCCTCAAACACAGATTTACCCAAGTATTTATTAACAGTAAGCCAGTAATAAGCATTGTTTCCATAGATTATAGATTAACTAAAAGTATTCCTTATGGGAAATAAAGGGATGGGCCGAAATAAAGGGAGGGGTTTGGCTAGTTTTCTGCAGCAGGAGCATGTCCTTAAGGCACAGATCACTCATGCTATTGCTTATGGCTTAAGAACGCCTTTAAGCGATTTTCTGCCCTGGGTGGGCCAGGTGTTCCTTGTGGTCATTCCAGTAAACCCACAACCTTTCAGCGTGGGCATCATGGCCATCATGAACATGTCGCAGTGCTGCAGAGATTTTGTTTATGGCCAGTTTTGGGGCCAGTTTAAGGCCAGATTTTGGGGGGCCTGTTCCCAACAGTAGCCAATATCCCATTTCTTCAATCCTCTGTTACAGTTAATAATTACATATTAAACTTTATCTGTTCAACTTAGTGTGGTTTCTGTCTCCTGTTTGTTTCTAACAGAAACACCAGAGTCTATCTGGTGCTATATGAGACAATGAGAGAGCAAACATGTTCTGTTTAAATGTCACTTTTAAATTTGTTAACACAGGGTTCATTCTGTTATATCTCTTGAAGTGCAATGTTTTGAAAAATGGTAAAATTTATTTAAAGAAGGACTATTGATCATGTAATCATTCTACCTGAGAAGAGGTCTACAGAAAAATGCAATGAAGAGAAGTTGTAGAAAAAATAGACTATTTGAGCAGAGTATACGAAACCATTATTTTTTAAAGTTACTTAAAAATGTGAGAATGTTTCTGAAGTCCAGGACTTGTATTTCTTTTTATATTTTCAGCATTGTAAGAAAAAATATTTCAAATGAATTTTTATATACTAATAATTTAAATTCTATTTCATGCTATTTTGATTTAAATTAAGTTCACTGAACAACTAACCTACTGAATTGTAGAAGGATCTATCAAAAGAAAGATGGATGATATATATTATTTTGTAACACATGGTGAATATTTCAGCATTTCTTTAGGTTATATACCGAGTTTTAGTGGTCTGAACAGTATCCCTCCAAATCCTTGCATACCCTGAATCTCAGAATGTGACCTGGTAAGGAAATATGGTAGTTTCCCCTTACCCATGGGAGATATATTCCAAGACGCCCAGTGGATGCCTGAAAGCAGGAATAGTACTAAACACTGTACATACTACACACAAATTTATTTTTCCTTCTTTATAATTTCATGGATAGGAGATGCATTCTTGCCATAGATCTTAGCATCCTCATCATACAACTTATTTTTCTTAAGAATTTTCACCTTTTTGCTTAAAGGAAGCACTTTATGGCTTCTCGTTGGCATATATGAATCATCAGCATCCCTACCCTTGTGCTTTGGGGCCATTTTTAAATAAAACAAGAAATAACTTGAACATAAGCACTGCGATACCAAGAAAGTCGATCTGATGACCGATCAGATGGGGACAGAGTGAGATTCCTTATGCTACTCAGAGTGGCAGGAAATTCAAAACATATGAATTATTTATTTCTGGAATTTTCCATGTAATATTTCCAGACCACAGTTGACTGTGGGTAACTGAAACCTCAGAAAGTGAAATGGTGAATAAGAGAGGACTGTAGGATTTTTACAGATGTAATTAGTTAAGATGAAGTCATACTGCATTAGGGTGGTCCCTACATCCAATGACTGGTGCCCTTGTAAGAAAAGGAGAGGACACAGAGTTAAACACCAAGGGGATGATGTAATGATGGCAGCAGAGATTGGAGTAATGCCTTGACAAGCCAAGGGATGCTGAGAATTGCCAACAACCACCAAAAGCTGGAGGAGAAGCATGGGATGTTTTTTTTTTTCCTTTGAGCCTCCAGAAATAACCAATACCGTTGACACTTTGATTTCAGACTTTTGGTCTTCGGGACAGTGAGAGAATACGTTTTTGTTCTTTAAACCATCCAATTTGTTATGGAAGCCTTGGGGAACTAATGTGCAATTACCATACGAAGTACTGGGGATTCACAGGTAAATAAGACAAACATTCTTGTGCTCATAGGGCTGCTGATCATATTTTGATATTTTCAGTATTAGTTTAAAAACTTATTTTTATTATGTGCTTTTGATTAAGAAGGTCTTTTTCTTATAACTCCATAAGAAATTGTAACTGCTGAAATAGTGACCAGAATTTGGGAATGTGGCCTTGTGGAAGGCCTTATTAGATGGAGGCATCTGAATTAGATTTAAAAAATATCTTTTAAGAGAAAACCCTGCAGAAAATCCTATGGAGCATCTAAATATTAACACACACACACACACACACACACACATACACGCACACCCCACACTATATTTCATCCACTTTCCTAATTCAGCATACCTTATCTCAGGTATCAGGTAGATGTGGTTCTGCCAACTATTTTAATAGTGACCCTGATATGGTTTGGCTGTGAATGAGTTACAATTCTCTCGTAACTCATCAGGTCAATAGTGACCCTGACATGGTTTGGCTGTGAATGAGTTACAAATTCATCTTGCACTGTAACATCCACAATTCCCAGGTGTTGTGGGAGGAACCCGGTGGAGGTAATTTAATCATGGGGGCAGGTCTTTCCCATACTGTTCTCATGATAGTGAATAAGTCCCATGAGACCTGATGGTTTTAAAAATGGGAGTCTCCCTGCACAAGCTCTCTTCTCTTGTCTGCTGCCAGGTGAGACATGCCTTTCACCTTCCGCCATGATCGTGAGGCCTCCCCAGCCACGTGGAACTGAGTCCGTTAAACCTCTTTTTCTGTATAGATTACCCAATCTGAGGTATGTCTTTATCAGCAGTGTGAAAACGGACTAATACAGACCCCAAGAACTGAACTGATGACGGGATCTCCTGCAACTTGTATTCATTGGGGAGGAAATAATTTGGTGCTACCAAGGCTGTAATTTTCCCCCACTGTTGAACCATTAATTTGACCATATTGGCACCTTCTTCTGAAAGTTGTCTCAGAAGAATTGCCTGTTACTTCCTCCACAGTGAGAATTCTAGCCTGCATCTTATTCAGACTAAACAGCCCACCTAATACCTTCTCACATATTATACATGATCGAAACTTTCTTTTCCCCTCTTTTTATATAAACCATTGAGTTTCTTTTTATATTCTCTGTGGTGCTTTAGTATAATGTGAATTTTGAATGAAGACCTACTTCATTATATGAATGACTGTGGGGATATAGGTTTTTAAACTTTTCAATTCTGACCTCTTAATTAAAAATTTCTTTCTGGAATGTGAATAATCATTTAAAAGCACACTGTTTTCCAGATGATAAGTTAACATTGAAAAAATATTAACTAAAAAGTGACTCTGAGGAAAATATATATGGATGTTTTCTCTAATATTTTTGCAACTTCTCTGTAAGTTTGACATAATTTAAAATTAAAAAGCAAAAGAAAAAAATCAAAAAATAAGAGTTAAAATTTGATTTAATGTTAGTTTTTACTTTTTAATCTCCTCTGGGATTCAGAACTGAAGTCAAACAATCAAGGCCACCCTAAAGAGTAAATAAATGCAATGCCCACCTATATGGCCTGGTTTCAGAGGTATTGGGAAACTTATGTAGATGACATCTGCTATTTGTGCCTGACTAGAGCACCTTCTAACATCTTGCAGTAGCAGAACTTAGGTTTTTCTTGTAAGCCCCCTCTTCCTCATTTGCAGTTCACTCATAGGGATGGGGCTGGCAAAGTCTCAGCCAATCAGTCCATTCTATTCTCATACCCAGTGCTTGTTTGGGCAATTGCCTTCAGGCCCACATCAGATCAGTGAAACTCATTATGTTTCTAGGTTGAAACTATTAGGAAAACGTATCTTTGGTCATCTTGACTCAGTATGGAAAGATCCTCCTTAAGGATAGTCAGTGCAGACAGAGGAAAATAAAACAGATGGAGAAAACTCAAGCCCGGATGATACTGTTTGAGACCCCAGATCCAGTTATCCCCAAAGCTGCTGCTTTTTCAGTTCCAATTAGTTTGAAAAGTGTCTCCCTACCTCATGTTTTTGGTTAAATTGATTTTAGTTGGGTTTCTGTCATTTGCAAACTGATCAGGTTAAAATTAGATTGGAACTGAGAATGTATAATCTGCGTGGCCATTTATCAGGTTGGAATAATAGAAAGATATAGATAAAGCCAACTCTGCAAGGAAGGAGACATTCACACGAGGACACATTGCAGCTCTAAGGTGTCAATACAACCCCCTTCTTGAATGAGTATGGCTGTTTTAAATTCTATCAGTAAAAATAAAACATTCCACTTGTGCATGTGGGACTTAAGTCACTTTGACACAGAGAAGCAGCCTCAATTCACAGCCCAGGAGCAGAGCTTTAGATAATGAGCTTCTGCACACAACATTCCATAGCTACATCACTTTGTAGGGTGAAAAGAAGCAGGACTCTGAGTCCGCTTTGCAGTCTAGACTCCACTAGACTTTACAAAGCCCTACTTTGCTTTGAGTCTATCAAAATACTGTTTTGTTTAAATTTCATCTAAACTCCACTCTTACACAGAACTCTGTAACAACCTATATTTTTCTTTGGTGAGATGAACTTTGCAGTGGGTAAATAAACCTGATTTTGTTAGACTTCAAGTAGTTACTGGTGGTTTTGGTTTGACTAGGACTGGAAACAAAGGGGTTTTTAATTATTATAGCTCTCTCTCCCACAATAATTGTTGCATTCAAACTGTTTTTATAATTAGAGATCTGGTCATTTATTCATCTGCAAAGCAAATCTCATGAACATTTGAGACTATGAAGCAGGTTTTTTGAAGCTGGACTCCATAGCCTAGCTACTGACAGTGGGATGCCTATGACAGTAGCATCAATATCATTGGGAGCTTGTTAGAAAGGCAGAATCTGGGACCAGTCTCTGACATGCTGAATCAGAATCTGATCTTTTATGAAGATCACTATGTAGTTGTTTGCACAATAAAGTTTGAGAAGTGCTAGGAGTTTCCATAGAGCCTCTCAGGAAAGCTAGGGAAAGGGGACACAAAGCCACTGGCCTTTCCCTATGACAGCCATCCTGTAATATATTGCTTTGTGATTTCATTTTTCTGTAAACACTCTTGTATAGTAAAAAAAAAAAATTGAAAAACTGCTATTTTAAGCCACATTAAATACTTCATTGTAAATAAACTCATCATTTTGTGTGTTTGTGTGAGGGAGAGAATAAGTTTTGTTTGGGGTGGACAGGGGAAGGAAGAATTCTACTAAGGAAAAACTTGGAACCCAAACACAAAGCTCCCTACTCAATTTTATCGTTTGCCTGTCTGTGTGGAGATGGCTGCTAGCAGGAGCTGCTGGTTCTTTTAGACCACACACATGTGGGGTTCTAGAATGATTCTAAATAACAGAGCTGGGAGGGTGGGTCTCTCAGAGCCCTATTTTTATAAAAATTAAGAAATGAACTAGGATAATGTCTTGAGAGAATGAGAAGCCAGGAAGATAAATTTGACCAAGAAGAAAGCTCTGGTCCTCAAAGGGGAGTGACAATTTTGAGAATAGTACAGTGGTTGTCACTGGAATTCATTTCTGTCTCCAGGCCATAGATGAGAGAGAGGGAGAGGGGGAGGGGAATAGGTAGTGGAAAAGAGGGAGGGAGAGAGAGAGAACCAGATCTAAAAATGATATGCCTGCAATCCCAGCACTTGGGAAAGGTGAGGCAGGAGGATCACTTGGGACCAGGAGTTCAAGACCAGCCTGGGCAACATAGTGAGACCCTGTCCCTACCAAAAAGTTTTAAAAATTAGCTGGGAATGGTGGCGCATGCCTATGGTCCCAGCTACTAGGTTGGCTGAGGTGGGAAGATCACTTGAGCCCAGGAGCTTGAGGCTACAGTAAGCCATGGTTGCACCACTGCACTGCACTGCACTCCAGCTTAAGGAACAGATGGAGACTCTTGTCTCAAAAAAAAAAAAAAAAAAAAAGAAAGAAAGAAACTTCCACTCCTCTGATCTTGGGTAATTTTTAAAATGTAAGAGCCCTATATCTGAGCCCCTGTGTTAGAATATAACATAAAGGGAGGAGAAGCATTTCCTCACCTAGCTTTAGTTGGCCACAGGCCAGTCACCCCTTTAGTCCCAGAAGACTCCACCTTTGTAGGATGCCCAGCTGTGGATAAGCAGTGCTAAGTGGGCAGATCACTGGGTCTGGCAGAGACCAGAGACTGCAGTGGGCATCAAGATGAGAAAGAAGCACAGGCAGTAGCCAGAAGTAGTGGAGTTTAATATGAATCAAACAGGAAATAATGGCAAAAACGGAAATTATTTTTGCAACTACCTAGTATCTTCTGGGCACTCAGAAAAGCATGGGGTAAGAGGTAGTCTTCCAAAAGGGTATGTGAGCAGCGGTCTTCTGTGGGAGCAAGAATCTGTGGAATTTTAGTTAACAGTTTATGCAACCCCATATCTATCTATGAGCGAATAAAAAATTTAATAGGGATTTTGGGAAAATTTAACAGGACATTTTGTTGAAGCTCAAAATGTAACCTCCTTCCCAACTCTTTTTCACTCTTTTTAGAATAGACAAGCCAAATTCCCATGGTTGAATATTCTTCAACAAGATTGAGAGTTGACTTTAGAGCCTAAGAGACAGGGTCTTTTACTCTTATAGAGAACACCATGCAGTGTATTTTCCCCTAAATTCTCCTGACTTTCTCAGTATTTCTCCAAGGAATACAACAGGTAGGGATACTGCCTTATGGTTTTTTGAGCCCTCATTACCACCTATCAATATTTAGCATGTATGTGGCCCTTATCAAGCAACTGTCCACAGTTTGATTGGGTCACAATCAGCTGCACTTTGATTTCATTGTTTCCAAACATGTTTTAATACCTGCTACGCGCTAGGAATACAAGAATATTTTACCTTCAATGCTTAAATCAAAGGCTAATATTCTTATAGTCCTAAGAGAAAAGGATTATTGGTTCTAAATTAAAATGTTCTGCCTTATCCCCATACAATGTAGAAACCAGTCTACAGGCACATTTTTTTTTTCTAAAGTGAAAGAACACAATTTAATAACAACTGGGTAGTTGTGTTGAGGCAAAAGATTTTCTCTTGTTTCTCAGTAAAACCCCAGGAGGTCAAGCTTACATATTCCTGTGAAGAAGTAAGTGCGAATAGAGTATAAGGGTTCTGCCAAGAGGTGCTTCGGGAGCTGCCAGCATTGGTGTTCTCAAACACCTTCCTCTCCCTGTCACTGTGGCACTAAGGCCCACTTGTTAGAGTTTAATGTGGTTCACCTTTGCTTCACAGATCCAGATGTTTCCAGGAATAGTTCTATCCACAGGACTGAAGAGTGAGTATGGTATCAATGCCCATCACATTTAGATTTACTTCTTGCTACTTAATTCCAGTGCAGCCATTATTATGGCTTATCGCTAAGAACATACATTGAACCACATGTCGAGAGCCAATGATGAAACCTCTTATTGTCCTACAGTATTTTTTTCCACCTGAAAAGAATTATCTCCTTCAATTCCAGATGATGTTTTTACCCCTTTGATGTAGGAAGCACCATTATTTTTACTTTATATGGAGGAGATACCTCTTTTATTTATGGGGTCAGCTTACCTGAGATGCAGAAGTCTACTAGTTAACATCTCAGTGGTGCTATCAGCCTCTCCTGTGGAGCAAAGGCAGTTTCTTCTGAAGTCTGGAGGTGAGGGGAGAAAGGAAAAGGGATAGAGCTCTGCTTTTTCTGTTTTAACGCTACAGATAGGAAGTGGCCACCAGCTTGCACACAGTGCCCTGTACGTAGTGGCAAAGTTTGTGTCAGGGAGAGAACAAGAGTCTACTCTTCATTGCCTGTGGTCATGACCAACCTATTTCCAATTATACTTATTTTAGAAGTTGTCCCTTTCTTCTCAGGCTTTCAGGAATAACTGTGCTCAAACCATTTTATTATCTGGGGATATTACTTTGAAAATGTCATTGAGAATGAATGCTTTGCTTGGAGACAAAATAGTGCCACTTGTTAGCTCAAGTGAGAGACTACCAAAGGTGTACTTTGTCCATTTTCCTAGGAAACTTTTTAGAAATGTTTTATAGTGCTTAGCGGGGAAGCTGCCACAAAGTAGGCAAATGTTTGCTGAATGACAAAATAAATGAATAAGAGCTCTGATGAAGCTATAGCAATATTATGTTAAAGACACACAGATATAGTTATGTGGATTATTATTTGCAGACATACACTACTTCTTGAATGCAGCAATCATTACAGCTTTATAAATAGAAATCCTCTAGTGTCATGAATCTTTGGGGGGATTTAGTAGAGTCTTTGGGAGGATTTATGTCCATGCTCAGCCCCAAAGATAATCTTGGACCATATTTATTTGCTTGACTATTTTTATAATAATATTACAATGCTTAAATTTTGTTTTAAGCATGATTTAAACCCAGCAGGTAGGGTTTACTTGGTGAAATACAAAGGCAATTCCACTTCTGAAATAATGTCTCATGTATTAGGTACCATGCAGGCTCAATAAAAGTAGATAGATTTCCTTCACCCGAAGCTTTTAACAAAAAAAAAAAAAAAAAAAAAAAGAAAGAAAAGAAATTGTGTTTTATATTAATATGCTATGTTACTATAATACTGCTACATTGATATGGGCCTTCTTCATAATATCAGAAGTGAAGTGTATTGGACATCAGATACCTAACTTTTATATAATTGAAGGACTCACAGCACTGACTTTATTGGTAGATAGTATACATATATATTTTTATGGTGGAAACCCTAATATGATGATTCATATTGTTAAAAAAGAATTACATTTTTTGATGCTCTGAGTCATGCCCTATTTAAGAGATCCATTTTTGAGCTTATAATGAAGCACTGATAAATATTAAAATAAAAAATAAAGATAATTGGTACCAGGACTTTATTAGGCATTTCACTGAATACAAATAAACTTTTATTTTTTACATTAAGAACACAATCTTATTTAAAAAATTCACATTTTCTATACAGACTGTAGCCATGGATTTTCTTTACACCACATTTATTAAAGTATCAATAACCAGATCCTAAAAAGAGAAGGCACAGATCTGTCTCTCTCTGGTGAATTTCTGGTGTCTAATGAAGGAAATGTCACCAGCTCTGCAAATTCCCATCCTCCAGAAATGAAGCAAATCAACACAAATGTGTGTAAGCAGGAGTCATGAGATGGACATGTTATATTAAAGGATTTGGATTTTCCTCTGCCACTTATAGGAATTTCAGGAGAGGAGGTAGCTACTGAAAATGTTTCAAAATTCCATCTGCATTCAGTCTCTGTCAAGGATTCACTGTTGGAAACAGTAGTATTTGAAAGCTAGAATTTAGGAATTCCAACATGGTTCTATTTTCTGCATTGTTTTAGAAACCAGCCTTTGATCTCACTGTTCTTATTTTAGGGCTTCTTGGGTTTTCAATTCCAAAAAAAAATAGTACTGGTCGTTATAATTTGCTTTGACGAGTCTCTCTGCCAGGTGATAGCTGCATGTCAGGGTCAGATTCTATCCCCTACTTGCGCCTGCCTCCCCTGTCCCCCAACAATGTTCTGAGAAGGTGTCACCAGGGCAGTGTCTATACCTCAGACTCTTTTATTCTTCCAGCAGTGAAGACAGTTCCTATGTCACCTTTCTACAATTCCGTAGATGACCAGTTTTAACCTGATAAAAATAATTTGTGGTAAGATGTGAATGGGGGAAATAATGAATTCGTTTGTTATCTCTCTGAAAGAAAAAAGAAATTGAATTTAAAAGAGGTCCTGGTACTGAGTTAGGCGGTGTTGCCACTTTTCAGGAGCATTTCTAATATGTCGGTGTGTTTTTGGTTGTCCCAGTTACTGGGAAATGCTATATAAGGGATTAATGGGGAAACTTGGACCTCACAACAGGCTGGCAAAGGGAAGTGTTGAACATGGTGGCATTGATCCTATGAAGATATTTACTTGATTATCCCATCTGTATTTGAGTTCGTCCTTCAAAAAGCATTTGCAGGACCTAGAGCTGACCAATGTTTTCTTTCTTGAAGGACATTATGACTGCAGATATTCATAAGGTGTCTGAACACAAGGGTATGGAGGGAGGTAGATCTCGCCCCTTATAGATAGCCCAGCTGAAAAAGATAGAAAGGCAGTGTGGATAGAATTGTGAGATTTAGGAAAAAATATATAGGACATACCCAGTTACATTTGAATTTCAGATAAACTTTTTTTAAAGTGAAAGTATGTCTGATTAAATATATGAGAAATATGCTAAAGAAATACTGTTTATCTGAAATTTAAATTTCACTGGATATCCTGTATTTTACCTGGCAACTCTAAATATTGAAAAGGAATAACTAAGGATGGAGAAAGAAAGGAAATAAGAAAGTTAATTAATATTCTGTAATCAGATCCAAGCCCAAAGAAGGTCACAGAATTTTTGCTTCAAGCATGACCACATGTGTAGATCCTTGTCAGTCATGAGTTTTCTATTGCTAGACTAATTCTACACGTGGGGCAGACCAGAAAAGTGTGTGGGTTGCATGCTTGTTTTCTCGAGAAGAGAACCATGTTGGAACCACCTAGTATGGATGGGCCTTTAAAAGCTCTCCTAACACCAAGGCAGTTCATCTTACTTGGGAAGATTGAATTTTAAAAAGTAATGGTTTGGAGAAACAATTTTTCATGGAAAATTTATCATTAAAGAAAAATGGGTGCCATGTTGGGAAGGTCAACTTTAAAGGTGTACTGGTTCTATTGTTGATGAAAACAAATTAGTCTGTATGAAAATGAAGTTAATATATGAATTGATGTTTGATTATTACGAAAAGCAATGGGGTACCTCACAAGGTGGACAGTTTGCTTGTGGGAACTCAGATAGGTTCTAAAGCCCATTCCTCACAAAATTAAAAGACACCATTTTTAACAAAAACTTAATTTCTGTTTCAATTTTAAATCCAAATTGCAAAAACAACAAAAAAGTGTTAATAAATTAAGGCTGGTCACAATGTGCCCTTTTTCTTTAGGATAAGTTTGATTTTTGATAAGATATTATATACTTACACACACATACCACATACAAGCACATACTTTTGACTCATACAAATATACGTTTAAAACTATTACCTACAAAATAGTATCACAATTGAAATAACAATTACACAATTTTCAACAGATTCAATTGACATGTTTTACAAATTCTACAGAACACTTTATCATTATCATTGGGAAAACAAACAATTTAGAGCATTATTTAAAACTGTATGTAACACAGGAGCCACCAATAAGTTATGGCAGATATAGCATTTACACCATAGTGTCACTGAAATCTAGCTGAAAAGACTAAAGTGCTGTAAAATAAAATGCTCTTAAAAACCTTGTTTAGCATATCCTGAGGACACTGTGCATTATTTTCTATTAGCAATTCAAAGTGAGCACTCTGCCTACGGAACTCCTGTTTGGTTGAGTGACCAAAGATTAAAAGATTGTGTCGTTGGATCTGTAAAACTGTGAAACTAAAAAACTCATGGAAACATGCATTTCCTGAGACTTCCAACTTTCCAGTCTGGAATCCTAACAAGGAAGAACCTGAACAAATAACCCTGGCTAAAAACATGTCAGAACTTCAAAGAACTTAAAACAACTTTAAGTGAAGATGTGTGTATGTGTTTGTAATTTATATTCTAGTCCATTATGGATTCTCTAATTTGAAGTGAAATTGAGAATTTAGATAGACTGTTCGTGCCAGGCATTTTCTATTTCTGATGGCCTCACTTTTCATTGGTTTTCTAGTTACTTTTCTCCTCTTAAATATTTAAATATTTGAATTATGTTTATATCTACTAATGTAGGAGATATTGATTTTAAGAGTTGAAACAGCAATAGACTCAGATTGATTAGAGTGCAGTTTCAACTTGAATAATAAGTATATGTGTGTGAAATGTGCATTCTGTGTGTGTGTGTAATGTGTGTATGTGCACATACAGGTGTATACATGGCAAACATTTTATACTCTAATACATTCACTGTTAGGTGGCACTCCATGAAAAGTAAGTTTTCCCAGTATGGCTGAAAGTCAATATTGAGGTCATCATATAGAATATCCTAAGGCTTTTAAAAGATGCCTCCTCATTCTCTGCATTTACATTATTGTGTGGTAAATAGGGAGACATAAATGATAATGGCAGAAGAAAAATTTGCTATATTAGTCCTTGAAAATTACAGACAGGAAATCAAACTTAAAAATGATCTCTTTGCATATTTTCTCTCATTCCACCCACTCCTTTGATTTCCTGCTGTAGATTGGGTAAAAGTTAGATTGTATTTGTTTGGTTGTTTTGTTTTGTTTTGTTTTTTTGCCTCACAGGACTTGTGAAATAGTCTTAAGAAACAAGTAAAACAAAAAGTGCACCAAGGTGTATCTACCACCATCTTGGCGCCCATGTGTAGCCCTTGTGCTACAAGCTCTCTGAAAAGACAATGCCCAGCTGAGACAAATGTGCATAGGCTAAGGATAAGCTTCGATTGCATATCACCATTTTTTACTTTTGGAAGGCCCGCAGCCTGCTTCCCCAGTGTGCTCCAGGGCAGAACTAATGGATAGAAGACAGTCAAAGGCACCTTCTCTCCATTCCCCTTTCCAAGGACTCCCTTTTAGTAAACTCCCCCTCTAGCTGGAGGACCCATGGTTCCCTTCTACCTCTTCCCTCCTTTATAAATTAAGGCAAGTCCATTTACTCTAAGTGCCTGCTACATAGGCACTGTATGTCCACATGGAAACCATAGCATTGGCTTGAAACTGCCTTTTGTCTAACAAGGTTTCTGGGTGCATATCATTAGCAGCAGTACAAAGCTTTCCCTAGTTAAAAAACTGCACAATTATTCAAAAGCTTCATCATGTTTGTTTTTTTCCAGAACCCAGTTGACAAATAGGACAAAGTTAATTCTAAGCAAACACTATGAGAAAGTATCTAGGTTCAAGAAAATACAACATAGTTACCTCTATATTTTATTCATGATATGATGAAAAATCTGTTTTCCATTATATTTATAAAATTAAATTCATGTGTCATTGCAAATATTCTTGGCTAAGATCCTCCTGAAGGATGAATGAATAGCCAGTTAGAGAGAAAGTCTGCCCAAAAACCAAATTTACGGGACATACATTTCAATAATCCTAATCATTTTAAAAGGATTCATATACATTTTCACATAAAGAGCAGGTGTAAAAGACAGAAAGATAATAAAACTACAAGGGAAGGGAAAATGGAAAGAAGAGAAGAAATATATTTTAAAAATAATTAAGTCCTACACTAGAATTCTTTTACAAAAATACTTTGATGTGATCATCTACTCTACTTTCAAAGGTTTTATTACTCTTTTTCACACAATATTAAGGGTTTCAGTCTTAAAATTAAATTATTTAATATTATCAATGTCTTCATTTGAAAAGAAGAATTGTACTGTGTCCATATCTGTGTGTGTTTCTGTATGTTTGAATTTGTATGCTATCACAGGAATGGGCATATGTTTGTATATTGTATATGGCAAGATGTATACACACAACCCAAATGTATACACACATTTTTGTGTGTACATGTATGCTATTTGGTATACCACAGGTACATACACACTCCTCATAAACATTCTCTTCAGTATAAACAATTTCTTTTCCTCCCTTTAATTGCTAATAAGTACTATTTTCTGATCATGAGTATTTATAATCTTGAAATCAACTCTTGATTATTTGTGGTCTTGACATATATGGTTTTGAATTGAACTCCCTTATCTAAGTCTAAGAGATTAAGCCATATGTGCTACATTTAAGTTCATTAAAAGCTGAGGGCATGCTTTTATTTCTCTATGACCCTACTTTGCATGGACTGTATTATCCTAGGAAACTATTGGGGTGTGATTATTTCTAAACATGAAAATAAAATAATTAATAATTGTAAGAATTTCATCAAATTTTATAATTTTATAAACACCTCACAATATTCCTGTGAAGTACATAGGCAAGGATTATTGTGCTCTAAGTTTTTTTTTTTTATTTTTTAGAGTTGTCAAATATCACAATGACACGAAGGAGGAAGTAACGCTCAAGCTGTGTCATTGTTCTTCCCTGTAGACCCGGACTATTAAACGTTAGGTTGCAGAAACTTTGTGTGAAACTTTTGCCTCTGCCTTAATCTCATCCCTCGGATAGGATGAAACTCAGAAGTGAGGAGTCAGAGCCAATTTTAAACAAGTCCATTCAGACCTCATAAATTTCAAGTTTCCTAAAGATATTTCAGAGATCCCTGTGATTTCATGGACATAATTTCAAACACATTGCTCTAACTGCTTCTACCAGCCTTCCTCTTTCTTTCCTTCAAGTCAAAAACTTGCAGTTTCTTGAAAAATCTTCCTTAAAATCTGGAATTTAGAATTAAATATTTGAAAATCCCAAATTGGCAGGAAAGCTTGCAGTCTTTTTCTTCTTCCTTCCTCTCTTCCTCCCTCCCTCCCTCTCTTCCTCCCTCCCTCCCTCTCTTCCTTCCTTCCTTCCTCCCTTCCTTCCTTCCTCCCGTCCTTCCTTCTGTCCTTCCCTCCCTTCTTCCCTCCCTTCCTCCCTCCCTTCCTTTCTTCCTTTCCTTCCTTCCTTCCTTCCTTCCTTCCTTCCTTCCTTCCTTCCTTCCTTCTGTCTTTTTCTTTCATCAAGAGCATCATTAAGAGGGCTTTTTAAAGAGTTATTTTCAGAGTTTTCAATTTTAACACACTTGTACCTTACCATTTACTGGGTACTTGCAGGGCAATATTATTTAAGAGATTGCCAAATTAAAATGCCATACATCTCTTTCACCCCTCAACCATTTTTCCCTCTGAAATTGGCATTCACAGCTCTCCAAAAACATTTTTCTCCTATATTTATAGCTGCCTTAAATAGAAATACTGTGAAACACTATTATTTTCATATAACAAAAATCACTGATTATGACCTTCAATATTACTGATGCATGGAAACTGATTTGATGCAGATTTTCTATGACCAAAAATTAGCTATGATTGCCCAACTGTGGATGACTATAGAGCATTATAACAAGTCCCACAAAACTAGTAAGTTTTAAGACAACAATGTAATACACAAAATGTTGGGCATTCAATTGTTTTGATTCCCATACAGCATCTGATTAAAAAGAGCGAGCAAGAGAGGGAGCAGAAAGGTTGCAGGGTATAGACAGCGTAGGAGTCATAGGCTGGAAATAGAGAACCTAATCAAGTAAACACTCATGAATTCTATGTTACAAAGACTAATTTTGAAAAACAAAGTTACTGGTCTTTTTTTTTTATTCCTAACACTAGAAGTAGATTTTGCTCATCAAATGGGAAATGAAATATTTATAGTAATGAAGAGTATGATTGTAATCACTGAAGAAACAGTTTTTCCCCTTTTCCCACCCACTACCAGCCCTATTCCCTTCAGAGACTCAGTGGAATAGGAAGATCAGAGTGTTTACAGATAGTATGCCCTAATACAATGAGCTTTCTCCATCTTATTCATGGAAACTCCAAGTAGTGCTATCAAGTGTTGGCTTCTCCTTCATCAAAGACATAGTTGAGCTTTATGACAGTGCTGATAAAGTCACCAAGTTCTACAAAATCGGCAGTGACAATATTGATGCCACTCTCTCCTGGCTTCTGCGTGCGGACCCACTGCATCATGGCAGGAAGAGCTCTGAGAAAGGAAACAAAAAGAAAAGTCACAGAAGGCAAGATACTATTTTTCAAGCTCTACAATTCTCAGTCTTCCCTTTAGTTTCTAGCTTATTAAAATAAATGTTTCACGTATAGGTACAGGAAGGGGAAAAGGCCAAATGGACTCTGGGGATTTTTTAACCTTTGAAGAAACTCTGCAGGAGAAATATTCACTATATTGATCCGTATTGGAGTTCTCATCTCGGCAGATCCCAGATACTGTGATAGTTTATAATGATGCTTCCCTACTAAGAAAACAACATTTTTGCATTTGTATTCTGATTTAACATGGTGTCATCACAAACCCTGCAAAACTACGGATTGGGGAGGTCAGAGATGAATACATGCACTTAGCAAACATTTATTATGAACCCACTATTATGAGGAAATGTGCTAAGATATTGTAAATAGACATAATAGTAAAATCCCCTGCCTTCAGAAAGTACACAGTTTGGTGGTGGGTAGGCAGACAAGGAAGAAATTGTAGCACAATATAATCAGGGCTCATTCCTTCAAACACATTTACTGGGCACCTATTAAGTTCCAGTCATCAGTGTAGGCACCTGGAGGATTCAAGTGAACAAAACAGATAAAAATATCTTTCCCTGTGGAGCTTACATTCTCATAAGGAGAAACAGACAATAAACAATAGTCATAAAAATATGTAGTTTGATAGAAGGGAATAAGTGCTATAAAAATGGAGCAAAGAAAAGAAGATTAGGAATCTGCAGGTAGGGAGGAGAGATGCAGATTGCATTTTAAAATAGGGTGGCTTAATAGGCCTCAGTGATAAAGGGACATTTGTGCAAAGGTTTGAAGGAGACAAGGGAGTTAGTCATGTGGCTATCTAGGGAAAGCATCCCAGCTATTGCCATGGCACTAATGGGGTAGCATGCTTAAGCTTAGAGAAAAGAAGAGAGTAGTAAAAAAAATGAGGATACTGAGGAAAAGGGGGCAGATTCTGTAGGGCACATTAGGCCATTATAAAAGTTTTGATGTTCACTCTGAGTAAAATAGGGGGCCTTTGAATTATCTTGAGCAGAGGAGTGGTGTGATTTGACTTTCACTATAAGAGCTCATTCATCACCATGAGATCATAGTGGAGAGTCACTTAGCATAGCCTGGAAAATCAAGGAAAGTCTTCTGAAAACCTTTCAGAAGAATGCTTGCTAAAATAAATATTGAAGGATTAGGAAGATTTAGCTGGATAAAGGTGAGAATGGTAGATGGAGGATGATGCAATGCACTTTCAGGCAGAGGAAATACCATTTTTTCATTTGCTGACAGAATCATGGTGTGTGCTTAGGAGCAATGGATCCAGGCAGACAGATACAGGTGATGTTAATGATGATGTCCAGCATCTTCTGACAGCATATTGGAATGAGAACTACTATAACTTGGTCAGGGCAGGAAGGGAAGTTTCCATGACAAAAGGATAAATGAACAGGCCAGAGACATGATAGTGTATTAATAAAGAAAGTTTGAGGGAAATACATGTGAACATTAAATTCCTGGATGAAATGGAGAGGGAGAGGGAGAGAAAAGGGAAGAAGGGGAGGAGAGTTTAAAAACCTAGAAGAAGTTGTATAAAAAAGGTAAGGTAGTTTTGAAAGATGTTAAAGAGAAAAAAAAAAACCCAGACAATAGAGGGCCTTGAGAAATATATAACAACTGAATTGGGAGGCTGAGCAAGATGGTGGAACAGAAGGCTCCGCATACCCCTGCAAGGTCATCGTCCTTCCTGCAAGGATACCAAGTTAACAACTATTTACACAGCAAAAAACACCTTTATAAGAACTAAAAATCAGATGAGTACCTTTAGTACCTGGATTTAACTTTATATCGCGGAAAATGCCACAGAAGAAATAGAAAAAGCAGTCCTGAATCACTGACACCCTCCCTCTCAACCTCCACCAGCAATGGCCTGTTGTGGAGAGCATCTCTGGGCTCTGGGCAAGGGAGAATACAGTAATTGTGAGGCATTAAACTCAGTGCTGTCCTGCTAGAGCAGAAATGAAAACCGGACCTAACTCAGCGGACGCCCAGTCACACAGGGAATATTTAAACCAGGCCTAGCCAGAGAGGGAATCACAGATCCCAGCAGTCAGAACTTGAGTGCCTGCAAATCTCACCACAGAGGGCTATAGTGTTCTGTGTCTCCAAGTAAATTTGAAAGGCAGTCTAGGTCATAAGAACTGCAACTCTTAGGCAACTCCATACTGAGACATCAGCTTAGGTAACCAAGGGAGTGCTGGCATCACCTCTCCCCTAAACCCAGGCTGCACAGCTTGTGGTTTCAAAAGAGACCCCCTTCTTCCACTTGGGAGAAGAGGGGGAAGAATGGTGAGGACTTTGTCTTGCCTCTTGGATACCAGCTCAGCCACAGCAGGATAGGGCACCAGTCAGAGTCATGAGGTCCCCGTTCCAGGCCCTAGCTCCCAGATGACATTTCTAGACACACCCTGGGCCAGAAGGGAACCTGCTGCCTTGAAGAAAAGGATGTAGACCTACCAGCATTCATCACCTGCTAACTGAAGAGCCCTTGGCCCCAGATAACCAGCAGAGATATCCAGGTACTACATCTTGGGTCTTGGGTGAACCTCTGAGGCTTGCTTGCAAGTAAGACTCAGCATATTACTAGCTATGGTGGCTGTGGGACAAAACTTCTTCTTGTTGAGAAAAGCAGAGAGAAAAGTAAAGGGGACTTTGTCTTGCACCTTTGGTACCAACACTGCCATGGTTGCTAGAGCACCAAGCAGACTCTTAGAGTCCCCGATTCCAGGACTTCACTGTTGGATGGCATTTCTGGACCTGCCCAGGGTCAGAGGGAGCCCACTGCCCTGAAGGGTGAGTCCCAGGCTAGGCAGCATCCACCAGAAGCAGACTTAAGAGATCTTGGACCTTAAGGGAACATCAGTGGTAGTCTGGAAGTACTCATCATGGCTAGGGTGGTGGTGGCTATAGGGTGAGGCTCCTGTACCTTTGGAAAGGACAGGGAAGACTGGTAAGGACTGTGTCTTGTGTTTTTAGTGCCAGTTCAGCTGCAATGTAATTGGATACCAGATAAATTTCTAAGGTTTTTGGCTCTACTCCCTGACTCCAGATGGCACTTCTGGACCCACCCAGGGCTTGGGGGACCTTGCCATCCTGAAAGGAAGGATACAGACGTGGCTGGCTTTGCCACCTGCTGATTGTTCAGCCCCAGGGCCTTGAGAAACCATACACAATAGCCAGGGACTGGTTACAGCAGGCCCTGCATGAGACCCAGTACTTTGCTGGCTTCAGGTGTGACCCAGCACAGCACAGTCATAGTAGTGGTGGCCACAGAGGTGCTTGTGTCATTCCATCTGCAGGTTTAGGTGGTTCAAAATGGAGTGGGAGACTCTGTATGTTTGGAAGAAAGTAAGGAAAGAGAACAAATCTCTGCCTGGTAACTTAGAGAATTCTCCCATATCTGGACCAAGGCCATCAAGGTGGTACCTCTACAAGTCATCAGGAATCACAGCATTACTGGTCTTGGGGTGCCCCCTAAAGCAGATACAGTTTAGATCACAATACCTTAGTCTTTTCAAATTTCCAGAAGGCCTCCCTGAGAAGGATGGCTACAAATAAGCTCAGACAGCAAAGACTAGAATAAATGCCTAACTCTTCAATGTCCAGACATTGAAGAATATCTAACTAGCATCAACACCATCTGGGGAAAGGTGACCTCACCATATGAACTAAATAAGGCACCAGGGACCAATCCTGGAGAAACAGAGATATGTGACCTTTCAGACAAAGAACTCAAAGTAGCTGTGTTAAGGAAACTCAAATAGGTTCAAGACAACACAGAGAAGGAATTCAGAATTCTATCAGATAAATTCAATGAAGATATTAAAATAATTAAAAAGAGTCAAGCAGAAATTTTCTGGAGCTGAAAAATGTAATTGGTATACTAAAGAATGCATCAGAGTCATTTAATGGCAGAATGGATCAAGCAGAAGAAACAGTGACCTTGAAGACAGGATATTTGAAAATATACAGAGGAGACAAAAGAAAAAATAATAAAAAACAATGAAGCATGCCTACAGGATGCAGAAAATAGGCTGAAAAGACAAATCTAAGAGTTATTGGCCTTAAATAAGTAGAAAAGAAAGACAAGGGTAGGATGTTTATTCAAAGAAATAATAACAGAGAACTTCCCAAACTTAGAGAAAGATATTAATATCCAAACACAAGAAGGCCAGGAGAGCATGACATGACATATTCAAGGTGCAGAAGGAAAAAAAACTTTTACCCTAGAGTGGGATGTCTGGCAAAAATATCCTTCAAACATGAAGGAGAAATAGACTTTCCCAGATAAACAAAAGCTGAGGGATTTCATCAATCCCAGACCCGCCCCACAAGAAATGTTAAAGGGAGTACTTCAATCAAAAAGAAAAGGACATTAATGAGCAATAAATAATCAGTAGAAGGTACAAAACTTACTGGTAATGGTAAGTACACAGAAAAACAAAGAATATTATAACACTGCCACTGTGGTATGTAAACTACTCTTATCCTTAGTAGAAAGACTAAACAATGAACCAATCAAAAATAAAAACTACAACAAAATTTCAAGGCACAGTCAGTACAATAAAATATAAGTAGAAACAACAAAATGTTTAAAAGTGGGGGGATGAAGTTAAGGCGTATTTTTATTAGTTTACTTTTTGTTTGTTTACTTATGCAAATAATGTAAAGTTGTTATCAAGTTAAAATAATGACTTATAAGATGGTATTTGCACACTTCCTGGTAACCTAAAACCAAAAACATGCAATGGATACACAAAAAATAAGAAGCAATAACTAAATCCTATCACCAGGTAAAGTCAACTTCACTAGAGGAAGACAGGAAGGAAAGAAAAAAGGAAGAGAAGACCACAACACAACCAGAAGACACATAACAAAATGCAAGGAGTAAGTCCTTACTTATCAATAACAACATTGAATGTAAATGGACTAAACTCTCCAATCAAAAGACATAGCCTGGCTTAGTGGATGAGAAAACAAGACCCAATGATCTATTGCCTACAAGAAACACACATCACCTGTAAAGACACACATAGACCGAAAATAAAGGGTTGGAAAAAGATTCCACACCACTGGAAACAAGCAAACAAACAAATGAACAAAAAAAGCAGGAGTTGCTATACTTATATCAGACAAAATAAATTTCAAAACAAAAACTGTAAGATGAGACAAATAATGTCACTGTGCCATGATAAAGGTTTCAATTCAGCAAGAGGATATAGCAATTGTAAATATATATGCAGTCAACACTGGAGGACCCAGATACATATAATAAGTATTTTTAGAGCTAAAGAGAGAAATAGGCCCTAAAACAATAATAGCCAGAGACCTCAACACCCTACTTTCAGTACTGAACAGATCTTCCAGACAGAAAATCAAGAAACATCAGACTTAATCTGCAGTATAGACCAAATGGATCTAATAGACATTTACAGAACATTTCATCCAAGAGCTTCAGGATACACATTTTTTTCCTCAGCGCATGGATCATTCTCAAGGATAGACCATATTTTAGGTCACAAAACATCTTAAAACATTCAAAACAATCTAAGTAATATCAAACATCTTCTCTGACCACAATGGGATATAACTAGAAATTAATGATGAGAGGAATTTTGGGAGTTCTACAACTACATGGAAATTAAACAGTACGCTCCTGAATGACCAGTGGGTCAATGAAGACATTAAGAAGGAAATTGAAAAGTTTCTTGAAACAAATAATAATGGAAACACAACACACCAAAACCTATGGGATACAGCAAAAGCAGTACTAAGAAGGAAGTTTATAGCTACAAGTGCCTGTGTCCCAAAAGAGAAAAAACTTCAAATAAACAATCTAATGATGCATCTTAAAAAACTAGAAAACCAAGAAAAAACCAAACCCCAAATTAGTAGAAGAAAAGAAATAATAAAGATCAGAGTGGTAATAAATGCAATTGAAATGAAAAAAATACAAAAGATCAATAAAACAAAAATGTCATTTGTTGAAAAGTTAAGCACAATGGACAAACCTTTAGCCATACTAAGAAAACAAAAGAAGATCCAAATAAATAAATAAAATCAGAAATGGAAAAGAGACATTACAACTGACACTGCAGAAATTCAAAAGTTCATTAGTGGCTACTATGAGCAACTACATGCCAATAAATAGGAAAACCTACAAGAAATGAACAAATTCCTAGACACATACAACCTACCAAGATTGAACTAGGAAAAAAATTCAAAACCTGAACAGACCAATAACAAGTAATGAGATCAAAGCCATAATAAAAAGTCTCCCAGTAAAGAAAACCCCGAGACCTGATGGCGTCACTGCCTAATAATTCTACCAAACATTTAAAGAAAAACTAATAGCAATCCTACTCTAATTATTTTGAAAAATAGAGGAGGAGGGAATATTTCCAAACTCACTCTATGAGGCCAGTATTACCCTGATAACAAAACCAAAGACACACCTAAAAACAAAAAAAAGAAAAAACAACAACTATAAGCCAATATTGCTGATGAATATTGATGTAAAAATTCTTAACAAAACACTAGCAAACTTAATTCAGGAATACATTAGAAAGACCATTCATCATGACCAATTGGGATTCATCCCTGGGATGCAAGGGTGGTTCAACATATGCAAATCAATTAATGTTTTGGTTTTTTAATTTTTTAATTTTTTGAGACGGAGTCTCGCTCTGTCGCCCAGACTGGAGTGCAGTGGCGCGATCTTGGCTCACTGCAAGCTCCACCTCCCGGGTTCACACCATTCTCCTGCCTCAGCCTCCAGAGTAGCTGGGATTACAGGCACCCGCCACCATGCCTGGCTAATTTTTTGTATTTTTAGTAGAGACAGGTTTTCACTGTGTTAGCCAGGATGGTCTCGATCTCCTGACCTCGTGATCCGTCCGCCTCGGCCTCCCAAAGTGCTGGGATTACAGGCGTGAGCCACTGCGCCCGGCCACATATCAATTAATGTGATACATCACATCAACAGAAAGAAGAATGAAAACCATATGATCATCTCAATTGATGCTGAAAAAGCATTTGATAGAAGTCAACATCCCTTCATTATAAAAAATCTTTTAAAAAACTGGAAATAGAATGAACATATCTAAACATAATAAAAACCATATACAACAGACCCACAGCTAGTATCATACTGAATGAGGAAAAAGTAGAAGCTTTTCCTCTAAGAGCTGGCACATGACAAGGATGCCCAGTGTCACTGCTGTTATTCAAAATAGTACTGGAATTTCTAGCTAGACCAATCAGACCAGAGAAAGACACAAAATGCTTCCAAATTGAAAAGAAAGTCAAATGTCCCTTGTTTGCAGATGATATGATCTTATATTTGGAAAAACATAAAGACTCTGTAAGAAAACAGAAGTGATAAGCAAATTCAATAAATTTGCAGTATACAAAGTCAACATACAAAAATCAGTAGCATTTCTGTATGCCAACAGTGAACAATGTGAAAAAGAATAAAAGAAGCAATCCCATTTACAATAGCCACACATAAAATTAAGTACCTAGGAATAAACCAAAAAAAGTGAAAGAGCTCTATAATGAAATCTATAAAACACTGATGAAAGAAGACACCAAAAAAATGCAAAAGTATACCATGTTTATAGATTGAAAGAATCAATACTGTTAAAGTGTCCATACTACTCAAAGCAGTCTACAGATTTAATGCAATCTACTGTCAAAATACTAATGATATTCTTCATAGAAATAGAAAAAGCAAACCTAAAATTTATGTGGAAACACAAAAGACCCAGCATAGCCAAAGTTATCCAAACCAAAAAGAACAAAACTGGAAGAATCACATTACTTTAAATTATCCTGCAGAGAAATACTAACTAACACAGCATGGCACTGGCATAAAAACAGACACATAGACCAAGAGAAAATAATAAATACAGAAGCAAATTCACACATTTACGGTCAACTCACTTTTGACAAAGGTGCCACAAACACACACTGGGGAAAAGACAGTATCTTCAGTAATGGTGCTGGGAAAATTGGATATCCAGATGCAAAAGAATAAAACTTGGCCACTATCTCTCACCTCTCACCATATACAAAAATCAGATCAAAATGGATTAAAGACTTAAACCTAAGACCTCAAACTATGAAACTACTATAAGAAAACTTTGGGGAAAATCTCCAGGACATTGGTCTGGGCAAAAATTTCTTGAGCAATACCCCATAAGCACAGGCAACCAAACCAAACATGGACAAATGGGATCACATCAAATTAAAAGGCTTCTGCACAGTGAAGGATACAATCAACAAAGTGAAGAGACAACCCACAGAATGGGAGAAAATATCTTCAAACTACCCATCTGACATGAGATTAATAACCAGGATATATAAGGAACTTGAACAACTTTATAGGAAAAAAAGCTAATTAATTAAAAGATGGGCAAAAGATTTGAACAGACATTTCTCAAAAGAAGACATACAAATGGCAAACAGACATATGAACATATGCTCAACATCATTGATTATCAGAGAGATGCAAATCATGTCATCCAAGTTAAAATGGTTTATATCCAGAAACAGGCAATAACAAATGCTGGAGGGGACATGGAGAAAAGGGAACCCTTGTATACTGTTGGTGGGAATGTACATTAGTACAACCACTATGGAGAACAGTTTGGAGGTTCTTCAAAAAACTGAAAATCGAGCTACCAAGTGATCCAGCAATCCCACTGCTGGGTATATACACAAAAGATAGAAAATCAGTATATTGAAGAGATATCTGCACTCCTATGTTTGTTGCAGCACTGTGTGTAATACCTAAGATTTGGAAGCAACCTAAATGTTCATCAACAGATGACTGGATAAAGAAAATGTGGCTGGGCGTGGTGGCCCACGCCTGTAATTCTAGCACTTTGGGAGGCTGAGGTGGGCAGATCTTGAGGTCAGGAGATCGAGGCCATCCTGGCCAACATGGTGAAACTCCGTCTCTACTAAAATACAAAAATTAGTTGGGTGTTGTGATGTGCACCTGTAGTCCCAGCTACTCAGGAGGCTGAGTCAGGGGAATTGCTTGAACCCAGGAGGAGGAGGTTGCAGTGAGTCAAGTTCGCACCACTGCACTTCAGCCTGGTGACAGAACAAGACTCTGTCTAAAAAAAAAAAAAAGAAAAGAAAAAAGAAAATGTGGTACATATACACAATGGAGTACTATACAGCCATAGAAAGGAATAAGATTCAGTCATTTGCAACGACATGCATGGAACTGGAGATCATTATGTTAAGTGAAATAAGCCAGGTACAGAAAGACAAATATCACACGTTGTCACTTATTTATGAGATCTAAAAATCAAAACATTGAACTCATGGACACAGAGAGAAGGATGGTTACCAGAGGCTAGGAAGCATAGTGGGAGAGCTATGGATGAGGTGGGGTGGTTAAAAAGTATAAAAAAAAGTTAGAAAGAAGAAATGAGATCTATTTGATAGCACAACAGACTGATTAGAGTCAATAATAACTATACATTTTAAAATAACTTAAAAAGTGTAATTGGATTGTTTGCAACTCAATGGGCAAATGCTTGAGGGAAGGGATACCCCATTCTTCACAGTAAGCTTATTTCACATTGCATGCCTTTATCAATACATCTAATGTACCCATAAATATATACACCTACTATATACCCACAAAAATGAAAAAGAAAAAGAAAAGAAATACATAGCAACTGAAAACTGTTAGCTAGGGGAATACTATGATTAGATTAGTGATTTAGAGATTAGTTTGACTTCAGTGTAGACAAGTGATGGGAGAGAGCAACACTAGGGGCAGAAATCACAATTAGATGCTGCTGAAGTAATCCAGACCAGAGATAGTGGTTGCTTGAATTGCAGTAGCAGCAGTGTATATATATATGAAAGACACCTGAAATCTAGATGTCATCTAAAATGACATCTGATATGAAACTGGATGTAGAAGGAGAGGAAGAAAGGGACCATGAATTATGCCTAGATTTCTAGAAGTATTCTGGCACGTGGACATCATTCACTCATCTTGGAAAGACAGGAGCGAAGCCTTTCCAGCAAGCATGATAAGTTCAGTCTGATATATGTTGATTTTGAGGTGACTTTGGAACACATGAGTTGAGATCTCAAGTGGCAGGTAAGTACAGGTCTTATATGCAGGACAGAGAGCTGCTCAGAAGTCATCACAAACAGAGAATAGTTGGAGCTGTGAACGTGGATAAGATCACTTAGATTTTGAGGAGGAGGAAGAAAAGAGAAAAAATCAGAAGCATTTAAGGGATGGGCAGGAAAATGGATTCCATAGAAGGCAATCAGAAGTAGATGCAGAAGTAGGAGGAAAATCAGGAGCATATAGTGTCATGAAAATCAAGAAAAGAAGGAAGCCATGCTCCTTTTGGAAACTAAGAAGAGCTGAGTGAGATTTAAGCAGGGAGTGTGATAAATGTGCATTTCCCCAGATCTCAGAAAGTATATCCAGTCTAAAGAAATTCAGCCCGTTCAGACAACACTGGGTCAATGACCTTGAGCTACACTAATCCCCGGCTAGTACCTTAAAAATCCTGATCCATAATTTCAGCATATACATTTTCCTGTCAGACCCAGATAGAGGAGGACTCAGTTGTTTCTAAAAGAGCATAATGTTGACCTAAATGGCCCAATGCCTTTAGGAAATAGAGCAGCAGGTGGAGACATTTGGTCCCCACAGCAATAGTTTTAGAAGATAATTCTATCTTAAAATGGACAATCTGGATCCCATGTCTGAATATACAGACATGAGTGTATTCAAGTTCATTAGAACGACAGATACTGTGACAGTATGTGTGTAGCCACTCTGGTTGAACCCACAACTTTCTCTTCTGGCCTTGCTAGAACAGATGAAGTGGCTCTGCTGTGCCTGTCGCATCACCTTTGCATATATGAGAAGACCAATGCTCTTTGGAAATAGTATCACAACCAGTGTATTTCCTGGGAAGAATGATTTTTCAACAGACTCATTCACCTTGAGAGGTGAGAGGCGGAGTAGATAAGTGTGATGCTGAGGCCAGTATTGATTCTGTGTTGGCCTTAACTGAGTAGCTTGTTCACCAGATCCCTTGGGTACTACGTCATGGGAGGTTCCTGAGCAACCATATTCACGTCTCAGAACCTTGATTATCACAGAAACAGCTCCTTAGATGCCGTCTGTTACTCAGAAGTTAAAATTTCTAGGCCTGAATTTAGAACAACTAATTGTTATCCCCACGGAGAGGTTAGGAGAACACAAGAGTGTTCTTTTTTGTTTCCCCATAAAATAGATTGCTTTGAGAATTGATGAAACATTGTTTCAAAATAACTTGTAGTCCTTAGATGAAATATGAATATTACATTTAAAATATCATTCCTCTGAGTCATGGGAATATTTCTATTTTCTGTTCAGGCATACGTTCCTAAAGTCAATATGATACCAGAGACAAAACAAGCAATAATGCCAAGTTAAATCTCAAATACTCAGACAGTCTCAAGTAGAATTATGTTAAACAAAAAGACTCACTGTACTGGATTAAAACTAGCAAATGCTACTGAAGTTACAACAATTATTTAGGATAGCATTTCTTAATCTTTTATCATTATTACCTCCCAAGGAGCTTTTTTGAATATTGTTTTCCTATTTGTCCTCCTCCTCCATGAAATTTTAATACTACAGATATATTGTATAACTGTTTATATATCTGTGCTTTACATGTGAAAAGAAAACATTTTTTGTTTGGTGTCTGAAGAACTAATTTTTGTTTTTTTGCCATTGATAATGTATGATGTACAGCTAATTAGGACATTGCTGGTTATACTTGGTGTTGGACAGGTAATAAGAATGAACTGAAAGATGACTCTGGTGGTAATAAAATGCCACCAATGTAACAATTTTTATGGTATAAGACTGTCTTAGTCTGTTTGGGGCTGCTATAACAAAATACCATAACCTGGGTAGTATATAAACAACAGAAATGTATTTCTCAAAGTTTTGGAGACTTAGAAGTCCAAGATCAATGTGCTAGTAGATTTGGTGTTTGGTGAGGGCTCCTTTCTTGATTCATAAATGGAGTTTTCTCATTGTGTCTTCACATGGTGGAAGGGAAAACAAGATCCCTTGTGCCTCTTTAACAAGGGTACTAATCTCATTCATGGGGACTCTGCCCTCACAACCTAATCGCCTCCCAAAGTCCTCACTTCTTAATGCCATCATCTTGAAGGTTAGGATTTCAACATATGAATTTGGAGAGACACAAACATTTGGATCACAGCAAAGAAAAACTGGTTAAACTTTATTTAAGTCACCTATCTTTCTATCCCTCCATTCATCCATCCATGCATTCATCTAACAAAGATGTATTGTGCATCAGTGGTGCTACCTGTAACTTCCTAGGGCCATTTCAGAGTTTAGACTTTCCTCATCTCTCCTGGAGAGATGTTGCCACAGTCTTGTGCCTATGTTCCTTTTTTGTGTGTGTTATCTACACCACAGTCAGGACAATGTTTCTCAAATTAATTTGAGCATTATTATTCCTCTTCATGAACAACTACAAATTCATCTCTCACCTGCAAGATATACCCAACTCTTCAGCAGTGTGTATGAGTTTTTCCTATCTCCCCATATCAGCTACCATCTCCTCCTCAACCTCATTTATTGCTACTTCCTGTTCATTTGTTCTCCAGTGATACTGAAATGCTTGTATTTTCCCCAAAACATGCTCTGCAGTTTCATGCTTATGTATTTTTTTCAGGCCTGTCTTCTTCCAATACCCTTCTTGGCCAATTGCTCCCTACCATTTAAGATTTGGCCTGGGCATTATCTCAACCCCTCCCATCCAAATCTGAGTGAAGATCCTTTTTCTTTATGTTTTATGCCTCTTAAGCATAGTTCTGTGAGTGTACATAGCACATAACATTGATTATCCATTTCCATGCCAATTTTTACCAGTACCTGCCCATTAAAATATCATATTGTATTCATTAATACATCCCCTGTACCTACCACTCCCTAGGATCCAAAGGGAAAACAACACATTCATTGAACTCCAATTTCCTGGGCTCAGGTGGCTCAAAGTTTAAGAAGCAAAATAGACGTAAACCCACCATGACAATATGATATGGTACAATAGAAGTGGGCATAGGATTCTATGGGAGCACAGTAGATAAAATCATTCATTTTACTTGGGAGAAACTAAGGAGGAATTTAAGGACCATTTCACAAAACAGGGGCTATTTGAACTTGGTCATGCCTAGGCCCTCTTAAGATAAAGAGAAAGGGGTTCCAAAGAAGGTGAAGGAAGGTATCATAAGAAAAGGGAACAGCACATGCAAAAGCATGTGGGCATGAAAGAGATGATGCAACTAGAGGGGACATGGGGACTAGAGAGCAGGGGCCCTGGAGGTGTGGGGGAATTGACTGCAGTTGAGAAGAAGCAGAAAAGGTGTTTGGCCAGGTCGTTAAGGACTTCCTTTGACATGCTGTGGAGTCTAAGCTTGACTTTATATGCAAATAAAGGTTTGTCCAATTAAAGAAATTTTTAAAAAATTTTCTCCTGCAAAGAATTTGATATTAATTCCATCCAAAGGCTCCTGAGACATTCAAACTTGTATTTTCTTCACCTATAAATAAAGAGCTCACTGTCTTCCTTTGAAACTTCTCAGATTGCTGTGAGAGTCTAAAAAAGCTTTAATTCATTCATATTACCCCTACCTTTCTTTATAGCCAAGATGTTACTAGTGGAAATTTTAATATTATCCACAAGTATCATGAAGGAAAATATTTCTAAGTGAGTTATGTAATCTGAAGAGATAATTAAATTCCCTTTGAATTTGTATATTAACATTTTAACATCTATTTATAGAATGGTCTACTTTAGTATAGAAGGATGTGATTATATAGTTACTGTGATGTTAAAAATGTCCCCCACCATTCTTTAATCTTTCTTTTCATTAGATGTTGGATTTTTTCTTTTTTAGAGACAGTGTCTCACTCTATCACCCATGCTGCAGTGCAGTGGCATAGTCATAGCTCACTGTAACCTCGAACTCCCGGACTCAAGCGATCCTCCTGCTTCAGCCTCCCAAAGCGCTGGGATTACAGGCCTGAGCCACTGTGCTTGGCAGATGCTGGATTTATAGTGTGGATTAGACTCTGATGGCTTGCAAGACCTCAGTGACTACCAGGAGAATCATTTCAAGATAAATGAAATTAAAAAAAAAATTTCATAGCACTACTGTCAGTTCTAGAGCAAGACTGTTTCTATTCAGGTTTAAGCTCCATTTATTATGAGCAAGTTGGTCATCACTCTAAGCCTCAGTTTTACCATCTATAAAGTGGGCATAATAATGAGGATTAAATTAGTTAGTACATGTAGAATGATGAGAAGAGTGCTTGTCTCTCTGTAGTGGTGTCACATTCAATAATCACTGAGTGACAGCCTGTCAATTCACTGCTTCAGTAGGGGATTCTGAGAGCTGGGGATTAACACCTGGGCATAATACAGTTGTGATATAAAAATGAGTCTGCAGGATTTCTTTCCAACTTTCACAATTCCAAAGACAGAAAAGAGGGGGATAATAACGTCCTGGTGCTGTCATACAAGACTGGTGATGAGGCATTTGGGGAAGTATTCTTGGAATGGCTTTGTTTCCTGGGCACGTAATTGTGGCACATGTCCGAGTATCCTTTTCCCACTGCAGCATCTAAAGTAAGTTGGTACAACAGCAGGTCCCAAATTTGGCATGTGAGGTCTCAAAGCCCCTCTGGAATGTGAAGCTCTTCTGTGGAAAGGCATCTTCAAACTGATTACAGGATTCTTAGAAGAGAAACAGGGAAGCCTACAGGAATCAGAAAACCTCCCTCCTTCAAAGAAGCCACAAGAATGAAGAGATGTGAGAACCAGAGGTCGTCTTCTCATATGCTGACATTAAGAACTGGTTTTAAAAAGATTTAAAGAAAAAGATTTAAGAGTTGGAAATGCTGAGGAGTTCTTTTGCAGGTCATACTATTGAGTTCAGTAACCTGCAATGTGCTGACCTTGACTTGTTATTTCATGTCAATCTCCTGCTTAGAATGTTTCAATTACCTCTCAGTGCTTTTAGAACAAAGGTAAAAATGCTTAACTGGCCTACAGGGCCCTGAACAATGGCCACTAGAGGTTTCTTCAGTTTCATCTCTTGTCATTCTTCCCATCAGTGAATGCTAGCCCCGTTATCAGTCTTGCTCATCTTGACCAGCCTAATTTTCCCCAGGGAAACTTCTGGTTTGTTGTTGTTGTTGTTCTTATTTGTTTTGTTTTGTTTTTCCAAAGATGCTTTATCTTCCCTGCCCCGTCACTTGGTGTTAAAAGAGAAATTTCAGTTCTGGTCCTGACTAGAGTAACGTACTTTCATCTTTCAGGTGAAAGTTTAAATGTCACTTCTTCGAAACACTAGTCAGAATTGTAATCGTATTTATGCGTTTGATCAATGTCTGTCTCCCCAACTAGACTGTAAGCTCTTTGAGGGCTGTTTTCCTACTGTTGTAGCCTGGGTGCTTAGCACAGTGCATGGCACAGGCTAAGGACTCAGTAAATATTTGCTGAATAAATGAACAGGCTTTTTGTTTAGAAACAAAGTTTACTTTTAGAACAGAAGTATATGCAGTAACATAATTCATAAAAATGCTACTCAGTATTCCTCATGTGGCTACTGCCACAGATTTTAGTTTGTGGACTCACTGCTTTTTTGCTGAATAAAAGTAATTTTTTACAAAAAATATTGACTTGAAGAATTTTAACTTTTACAAATTTTCAAATTGACCAGTCAATTTGAAAGGTGCCTTTCCTTGTGTTGTACATATAGTGTCAGGAGGTTCTGTGCTAATGATAATGAAAGCAGTAATCATCATCATCATCTTTATAAGAGTAAAGTTTATTAGAATTAATTTTTTTATATAATCAGATGTATTTAATCTATTTTATTATATATTAATTATTAATTATAATTATAGTTGATTATCATTTTATTAATTAGAATTAAGTTTATTAGAAATGTATTATAAATCCATGTCAAATTCTTTTTTAAGTATATGTATTTGTGTATATATAATACCTTTATAACAATTGTATTTCATATATGCTACTTCTCTAACACCTCTAAACTTATATTTTACAGTTATGGGCGAACAATTGTGGATAATAAAAAATTTGTGTCTTTTAATGAATTTGTTTTGAATGCATTTAATTTTCAATGAAGTGTATCTTTTATTGAATGAAATAAATTTCCAAAATCAATTCATTAATTTTTACAGAACTCTCTGATGCACTGGGGGATAAAGATTATTATAAAAATGTCAATGATAGACCGCTAGCAAGACTAATAAAGAAAAAAAGAGAGAAGAATCAAATAGACGCAATAAAAAATGATAAAGGGGATATCAACACCGATCCCACAGAAATACAAACTACCATCAGAGAACACTACAAACACCTCTACGCAAATAAACTAGAAAATCAAGAAGAAATGGATAAATTCCTCGACACATACGCCCTCCCAAGACTAAACCAGGAAGAGGTTGAATCTCTGAATAGAACAATAACAGGATCTGAAATTGTGGCAATAATCAATAGCTTACCAACCAAAAAGAGTCCAGGACCAGATGGATTCACAGCCGAATTCTACCAGAGGTACAAGGAGGAACTGGTACCATTCCTTCTGAAACTATTCCAATCAATAGAAAAAAAGGAATCCTCCCTAACTCATTTTATGAGGCCAGCATCATCCTGATACCAAAGCTGGGCCGAAACACAACCAAAAAAGACAATTTTAGACCAATATCCTTGATGAACATTGATGCAAAAATCCTCAATAAAATACTGGCAAACCGAATCCAGCAGCACATCAAAAAGCTTATCCACCATGATGAAGTGGGCTTCATCCCTGGGATGCAAGGCTGGTTCAATATATGCAAATCAATAAATGTAATCCAGCATATAAACAGAGCCAAAGACAAAAACCACATGATTATCTCAATAGATGCAGAAAAGACCTTTGACAAAATTCAACAACCCTTCATGCTAAAAACTCTCAATAAATTAGGTATTGATGGGATGTATCTCAAAATAATAAGAGCTATCTATGACAAAGCCACAGCCAATATCATACTGAATGGGCAAAAACTGGAAGCATTCCCTTTGAAAACTGGCACAAGACAGGGATGCCCTCTCTCACCACTCCTATTCAACATAGTGTTGGAAGTTCTGGCCAGGGCAATTAGGCAGGAGAAGGAAATCAAGGGTATTCGATTAGGAAAAGAGGAAGCCAAATTGTCCCTGTTTGCAGATGACATGATTGTATATCTAGAAAACCCCATTGTCTCAGCCCAAAATCTCCTTAAGCTGATAAGCAACTTCAGCAAAGTCTCAGGATACAAAATCAATGTACAAAAATCACAAGCATTCTTATACACCAATAACAAACAGAGAGCCAAATCATGAGTGAACTCCCATTCACAATTGCTTCAAAGAGAATAAAATACCTAGGAATCCAACTTACAAGGGAAGTGAAGGACCTCTTCAAGGAGAACTACAAACCACTGCTCAAGGAAATAAAAGAGGATACAAAGAAATGGAAGAATATTCCATGCTTATGGGTAAGGAGAGTCAATATCGTGAAAATGGCCATACTGCCCAAGGTAATTTGTAGATTCAAGGCCATCCCCATCAAGCTACCAATGACTTTCTTCACAGAATTGGGAAAAACTACTTTAAAGTTCATATGGAACCAAAAAAGAGCCCGCATCCCCAAGTCAATCCTAAGCCAAAAGAACAAAGCTGGAGGCATCACGCTACCTGACTTCAAACTATACTACAAGGCTACAGTAACCAAAACAGCATGGTACTGGTACCAAAACAGAGATATAGACCAATGGAACAGAACAGAGTCCTCAGAAATAATGCCACATATCTACAACTATCTGATCTTTGACAAACCTGAGAAAAAAAAGCAATGGGGAAAGGATTCCCTATTTAATAAATGATGCTGGGAAAACTGGCTAGCCATATGTAGAAAGCTGAAACTGGATCCCTTCCTTACACCTGATACAAAAATTAATTCAAGATGGATTAAAGACTTAAACGTTAGACCTAAAACCTTAAAAACCCTAGAAGAAAACCTAGACATTACCATTCAGGACATAGGCATGAGCAAGGACTTCATGTCTAAAACACGAAAAGCAATGGCAACAAAAGCCAAAATTGACAAATGGGATCTAATTCAACTAAAGAGCTTCTGCACAGCAAAAGAAACTACCATCAGAGTGAACAGGCAACCTACAAAATGGGAGAAAATTTTCACAACCTACTCATCTGACAAAGGGCTAATAACCAGAATCTACAATGAACTCCAACAAATTTACAAGAAAAAAACAAACAACCCCATCAAAAAGTGGGCAAAGGACATGAACAGATACTTCTCAAAAGAAGACATTTATGCAGCCAAAAAACACATGAAAAAATGCTCACCATCACTGGCCATCAGAGAAATGCAAATCAAAACCACAATGAGATACCATCTCACACCAGCTAGAATGGCAATCATTAAAAAGTCAGGAAACAACAGGTGCTGGAGAGGATGTGGAGAAATAGGAACACTTTTACACTGTTGGTGGGACTGTAAACTAGTTCACCCCTTGTGAAAGTCAGTGTGGTGATTCCTCAGGGATCTAGAACTAGAAATACCATTTGACCCAGCCATCCCATTACTGAGTATATACCCAAAGGACTATAAATCATGCTGCTATAAAGACACATGCACACATATGTTTATTGCGGCACTATTCACAATAGCAAAGACTTGGAACCAACCCAAATGTCCAACAATGATAGACTGGATTAAGAAAATGTGGCACATATACGCCATGGAATACTATACAGCCATAAAAAATGATGAGTTCATGTCCTTTGTAGGGACATGGATGAAATTGGAAATCATCATTCTCAGTAAACTATCGCAAGAACAAAAAACCAAGCACCGCATATTCTCACTCATAGGTGGGAACTGAACAGTGTGAACACATGGACACAGGAAGGGGAACATCACACTCTGGGGACTGTTGTGGGGTGGGAGGAAGAGGGAGGGATAGCTTTAGGAGATATACCTAATGCTAAATGACGAGTTAACGGGTGCAGCACACCAGCATGGCACATGTATACATTTGTAACTAACCTGCACATTGTGCACATGTACCCTAGAACTTAAAGTATAATAATAATAAAATAATATAAAATAAAAGACAAAAACAAACAAACAAACAAACAAACAAAAACGTCAATGGCTTGTGACTGCCCGTCCCAACCCAGCCTAAGAAATGAAGGCTTCATTGATCTGCAAAGTTTAAAATAATGATCATGGATCTTTCTTCCTTTGAGCAACTGAGCCCCCACAGACCAACTAATTAAAGTCAACTGTGACAGATTTTCAAATGTGTTTTCTTGTCAGTCTTGTCATTTTTGAAAGTTTAGAAATTTCACTTGAAAATGTAAAGAAGAGAATGACAACATGAAAAGAAACTCTTGCCCAGAAGGTTAGTATTTCATACACTGAAGCATTCAGTGGTAAAAGGCAGGGTCTTTGCATCTATAGGTTAAAACAATGGTGAGGGGTTCAAAATAACCTCAGGTAGACAAATGTGTGTCATAAATCATAGCATCTGTAAACACAAGGCTTATGGTTTTTGCTAAATTCATCTCTGTGTAGGAAGCAGCATATCTGATTTATGTCTGATGAAAACAGTTCATTTAAAAAATATTTTTCCCCTAAAATTACACTCAGAGAAATAATTAAGTCATATGAATTATCTGAAAAACAATACTCTAGCAAGCAAGTCTTGAGCTTTTAGGTGACCTGGGATTTCCTGAATAGGGCTAAAGTCCTCCTAAGTCTTACTATGTCCTTCATTATGTATTTTCAGAACTAATTTATTATAACTATTTAGGTGTAAAACAGAAAGTAATTAAAGGCACAGCTAAAGAAAACATTAATCTGAATTTTCCCCTTGTTGCTGCAAAAGGAAAAAAATCCCCTCACCTTGACTTTCCCAGATTCTCTGCCCAAATCAAATTCAAACCCCATTTATAGCTTGATAAAGACATCCGTTTGACAAATATTTATAAAGCAACCCTTATTTGCTAAATATTATTCTGTGTGCTGAGGACACAATGGTGATCAGAAACAAGCACAGCCTTTGCTGAGAGATTTATTTTTAAAACCAACAAACAAAAACAATCACATCAACTGAATTGATGTTAAAAATTTGAGTTTTGGTCCTGACTAGAGTAGAGTAATGTACTTTATTTATAATCTTACATAAATTATGCAAACCTTCTGAGTCTCAATTTTCTCCATTTGTAAGATTAGCAATGATAATACTTTGGGGTTACTACAAGGATCACAGTCATGCCACACCACCTCACTGCCAACACATACCCAGGTGACAATATCTTTGATACTATTACTCAAATGTACTCCAGGGTCATTCAAAACTACTCAGCCACAGCCTTGGGTACAGTCATATTTTGGGAGATGCAGGATTTGCATAGAAGAGCTGCTGTTGCACCAAAAATATTGGGCACAGGAACTGACCAAGCCTCACCCTCATCCTAACGACACTGGATGTTTTCAGTTTTCCAAGTGGAAAATTCCAAGCCCTCAGAAGTACATGGGACATATCTCATCTTATTTACATGCCAAGAAGGTTGTTAGTTTAGTTTAGCTTTTGTTTTGTTTAACAAAAAGTAATGCAGACAAATCAAAGCAAAATATGCCATCCGTTTCCTTTGATAATGGCAACAGCAGCCCTTATTTTTGTTGTGGCAAGGAAAACCATTAAAAATCCATTTTCAATTAAAATAAGTTCATATAAACTACAAGAAAAAATGGTGTTTAAGAGTTCATAAAATGCACTCTGTCCTCAGGCTCATCGTTTGCTCCAAGTCAGGGTTTCAAAATGAGTCACAAACCCTGCCAGGAGACAGAATGTGAGCACAGCCAGCCCTTGATGGGGGCCTCCTGGCGTGCAGGGACTATTTTGTCTTCTAGTTTTCCAGGGGAATGAAAGAATAAAGAAAGCTTTGCAATTTTTAAACAAAGAGACCCTTCTGTATGTTAATAAGATTTCGATTGCCAGGAAACAGACAATGGGTTTTCTTTCAAGGGCAGAACTCTTCTGTGTGGGATCACATGTTCTCACTTCACAGTTTCTTCCTCGGCACAAGTAGCCCCTCACTCAGTGCAAATGCACGGGGAATTTGGGTACTCAAAGCTCAAAAGCAATTTACCTTCCTCAAAGCAGACAGTTTCTATCGCTAGCACTGTCCTTCCTTTCCCTTCTTTGGAAAAATTTCCATTTGATAAGAAAGAGCTGTGATGAAAGGAAGTTTTACATTTCTGATTTTGCTTGGAGCAAATATCTCAAGGACTATCTAGGTTTATCCTTTGGCTCTCAGTAGTTAGATCCACTTAAGAGTTCTGGATCTAGTACTATTAGAGGCAGTAATGTTGAAACCCACAACACAAATCAATTACCCTTAATCCATAGTCACATGAGTTAACAAAAATGCTACTTCACTGTTGGCAGGATCGTTTTATTAATCCAGGTTTAGTATTGACTACCTACTGCTGATTGGAAGTTCTAGCGTATTCTGTGTGTCTTTAATTTTAGCAATGGGAAAATAAAGTATTACTTTAAAAATATGCATTTATTAAGAAGAGAAGGGCTTTGTGGAGAGAAATAGGGAAATAGGTCCTTGATGGTGAGATCCTGGAAACTGCTGGTCTCCATGGCATTCATACATTTGCTCATACTGTCAACAAGTGTTTATTGAGTACCCATCATGTGGCATTTGTTGGGGTGGATACAGGGATGAATCAGATATGGTCCCTGACTTGACTATGGGACTAGTTCCAGAATTACTTGAAATCCTACAGACAGAAATTGCTGAATTGCTCTGAATAGCCTTGCATGGAAACATAGGAAAAGGAGATGTCCATAAAGCCTCCTTTGGCTTCATGAACTAGCTGTTTGTCTCTTTATTGGCACACATTCCAATTCTAAAGGAAATGTTCCGTGGACTCTCACAAATTCATGAGGCTAAATAAAAACTACTCCCCAAGGACTCATAAGTAAGTGAGTATTTATCGACTTTTAATGGACTCCCTCCAATCGATTCAGGAAGATCAAGAGCTTTGGAATCAGACAGAGTCATATTTGAGTTATAATAACATGTGGCCTTTGGAAGGTTATTTAACTTCCCCAATTCTCATCTTCCTCGTTGTATAATGACAATAATAATGGTACTACTTCATAGTGTTTTTGTAACAATAAAATGAAACAATACATTATAGATAGGTGGTATGGCATAGAGGATAAGAGTGAAGACTTTGGAGCAGAGTGTCTGAATTCAAATCCTGGGTAAGTCACTTATGTAAGAGAATAATAAAAGTGAATAGTAAATTAAATGAAATAAAGCATATAAAATTTCGTAAAATACCCAAGAGATAAGAACTCAATGCAGGTTAATTGTTACTCCATTATTAGTGTTAATGCTTCAAGTGCTTAGAACATAGACAGTAAATACATGTAGTTACTTTCATTTTTTCTAGTTCTGAGTGACTTCAAGGCAGGTGACTGAACTCTATTCATTCAGGTATGTAGTGAATGCTTGTGATGAGCCTCCCAGAGCTTCCCTTCCAGATGGAGAGTGCTCATTCTTCTAGCTTCTGAAAGTGTTGTTGGCTGTCAATTCCCAACTAAGTTTCTGTCTGAGAATTGCCCTCGGCAAAAGAAAGCCACCTCACTCAATGCCACACATGCTCTTTGGAATAACTTGCATGCAATGATTGATGTCTGGGGAGGGGTGGGAGGAGAAATCTGAAGATCCCCCACAGCTCCTGCAGTCTTGGCTGAGGCCTTTGTTCTGACTGCATCACAGTCCAATTTCTTCCTCTACATAGTTCTGTTTCCTGTACTCTCCCATAGGTGTTGATCCCAAGAGAATTCGAGAGTAAACCTTCTGCACACAAATCTTGGTGTCTTAGAGTCTGCTTTCTGGGAAACCCAACCTACAAGTGTAATCTAGATGGCAGGAAATTCTGCGATCATAAAATTTGTCCTTTAGCCAGAGTAAGAATTACGAGTGGCCTCTGACAAACTTAATAAGGGAGAAAAATTACAACTACATTTTCATTTCCAAAATGCCACCAGGGTAGGTTTTCAGCTGCTTTAAGTGTGTTTTGTGGTGGTCAACCAAAAGAAATTGCATTTATGCTTAGGCAGTGTACCGTACATACCCACGTGGGTACCTCTACTTCCTCTGGCAAAGGTGAAAGGCCACCAGAACTAAATGACTTATTGTCAGTGACCACAGAGTCTTAACCTCAGCCAGGATTTCTCTCTGGATACCATGAAGCTATGAATAATATATAAAAGGCTCAGAAAATCTAAAGCTACCTCTCAGAAAACATTTGTCATGGGCACTTAATGGGAGACTTTTCCAGTCCAAACTGCCCAGCAGAAGCTGGAGGATATTGATTACATCATCAGGACTTTTTGTGTACAGTACTCTGTTCAGCTTCATGTCCCCAGTGCATCCTTTCCAAGATAAGAGTGATTATAGCATCCAAATTTGAGTTTGATTTTGTTTTTTAAAAGCCAAATTCAGAAATTTCACTTTCTTTAGAGAAAATGCTAACAGGCAGAAGGAATGAATATAAGTGGAATTTAATTTGACCATAACATCCCAGGTGCTAATATGTCAATGTGTCTTTGGACACTTGCAATCATGCATAATTATCAGAGGTGATTTCTTTGTTTTTTTCCCCTTTAATCAGTGACAACTGCAGGTGCAAAGGATAGAGAAATATGTCATCTGTTCTGTAAGAAAATAATATTCATTAAGTTGTTAATTCTATAATTTCCTCCTGACAGTGACCTTATGAAGTCAGAATCTTTTAACAGTACCATCAGGGAGAGAAATTTTAAGTCAATTAGTCTGAGTTAGAAGAGTATTTCCCATGATGTCATCTCTTCATTATATCTTTGGGAAATCATATTACCTGACACTTTTCTAAATTGTTTGACCATGTTAACATTTTTAAGCAAATTCCTAGGAACTTAATAATGTACAATAAATATTGTCAAGCCATAGAGGTGCCACATATGTGTCTTAATTTGTAATACATTCTCCCTCTTCCTTGTATATTTCCTCCTTGCCATGTTTAGAAAAGTCTCAGAGAATATCGGGTCTGAAAATGTCTTTAAGACATTATAAAGTAGTCATATTCTCTACAAAAAATGTTTCCTGAATTAAATTCCATGGAACAATGCTTCATGAGAGATTAAAGATGTGCCTAAAACAAAAGGTTTTCTTGGCCACATAAGTGTAGGGAATGTTGAAGCCTCTTTGATGTTCACAATACACATAATAGCATATGGAGACCATTATCATATTAAGAACATTGAAATGTCCTGAAGTTAAGGATTTATTTCCCTTTTTTTAAGTTGGGAAACAAATTTATTTGACCTGAGAATAGCCCTGCTACTACCGCCCCTACTAACATGCGTGCATGCATGTGCACACACACACAAATCACCAATGACATCTAGTGGACTTGGTGTTCTACAGAACACTGTTGAAAATATTGCAGTTTCTTTTCAAGGGGCTCAACTTGAGCATCCTTTTCCAGGGGCTCAACTCTAACATATGTTTTAGGGGCTTGGAATTCTCATAGCCTCCCTCCTACTATTACAAGTTTCTTTCTGACCACCCACTAGATCTACTTAGGTTAATGTAAAACAAGTCTATTCCTCTTCAACGTGATATTCCTTTAAATATTTGAAAATAATTGATATTCACATAACCACACCATCTGTATCTTCCCTTATTCTTCTTAAATACCCCCATTTACTTTCCTTAGATTTTTCAGCTTGGAGCCCTCTTATTGTCTTTGTCACTCTTTTCTGTGTGCTCCACTTTGTCTATACTTCCTCTAAAAGGGGTAACCGGAAAATAATGCAATGTTCTCACTTGGGTGTGAAGTGTAACAGAGTATTTCCGCCCTCATTCTGGTTCTTTTATTATGGCCAAAGATTATTTTGGCTATTTTTTCGTTAATGTTTCCCAGTAATTTCATGATCATCTTTTTCCTGGAATTCCTTCATGGCTTCTTCTGCAGTGAGTGGCAGGTATTAGGCAGTATTAGAGGAAGGGGTAGGGAGGAAGCTGCTCTATCTCTGGAAGAGTCAACAGTAGTTTGCTAGCATATATATTCTTCTCCCTCTTTAGCTCAGAGAATCTCCTCTCTGCTTCCAAAGAAGATATAAAGCATGCAGGAGCTGAGATCCCACCAGAACTGCAAGAAAAGTCCTCAAGAGTGATCCAAGGGTAGATAGTGGTCAGAAACTAAGGAATGGGAGCAGAGGAGAAACACGAAAATTTGGATATTCTAGGAGGTAGCTCCAGCTGGTAGTATCAATGGTGCTGCCAGGGGATAATAGCCATCTGAGTAAGTCTCTTCTGGCTGGCTTTAGAGTGAATATGTCAATGGATACAGAGAAATCATACTATTTTTTTTTTTCAAAAATTGGAATCACTGACGTATGTGAATAGTTGGTCATGTAAATTATCTGCCTGACTGACTGAGTCTGTACTTATCAAATACAGAAGCAGGGTTTCCAGGGTGACAAAATGACAGTAGTGTTGCCCTTCCTCAGGGCTTGTGCTCACTTTAGCTTTAAGTAAGTCATTGATTCACTAGCTATTGATTCTAATAGACATCATAGAATATGTCATATGGAAGAGAAGCATTATTAACAACTTGGTATGGTTGTATTCTAGGGAAGCATTTGAAAATGTCATCCTAAAAGAACCCTTGCTATACTTTTTATCTTAAATCTTCCTTCATATTAATCTATAATGCTATAAAAATGACCTTAAAAAGATGAATTAAAATGCTTCCTCATAATAGATCATATCCAGTGCTGGGTTATTTCAAGGGAGATTTGCAGGGATAGGTCTTTAAAAGTTACTTACAGGATTTATTCTAGATGGAACAAAAGGAAAGACACTCGCCATAGAGAGGGCCAGAGGAGCCTTCAGTCAGAAACATGGCGAGGTGTTGAAAATTCAGATAAATGGCTCTCTGTTTGTGTATGTGTTTCTGGAATCTCAGTTAACCTCTAAAGTTATATAGATTCACACCTACAATTGCATTAACTGCATGCCTTTGTATAGATGCTGCTCTCCTGGGTCCTTCTCTCAGCAGTGCCTCTTTTAGATAATCAGGAGCAGTTTTATTCAGGGAATGAGGTAACCAGCATTCACCAGTCTCTTTTTATCAGAGCATTTTTCTACACTGAATTTTGCAACTCACTGCACGTAGTGTCCCTAAAAACAGGTAACATGATACTGTGAAATGACTAATTAAATAGCTAATGTACTGAAATATCAAAATTATCCTAGAGGCAACAAAATATATTAGTTTCATCAATTAACTAAAAGTTGTAAAAATAAATGGAATGCCATGCGTTCTCAGTTTCTCTGCCCTAGACCAGAAGAACCATTTGAAAAATCCCATTATTCTTCACCACTCCACACTGGAAATTTTTCTTTCCACAGCTGGGGTTCAAATTTGGAAGACACCCAGCAAGGGGAGTTGGTGGTGAGCTAGACAATGACACTAGAGATGGCCATGGTCTCTGATGACTGCGTGCATCCGTTGCTCATCACCTTTACCAACACTGACCCCAGGGACAGGCCAAGGCAAGGAAAGAGTCTTCTCCAAAGCAGTTAAAGTCTCTCAGGCAGAACTGTTTAGAGGGATAGTGCTATTTTCAAGTGAAAGAATGAATAAATACTTTCTAACTTAAAGTTGCAGTCGGCAGGAAAGAACCTAAAGAATTTTGTTGCTAATTTTATTGGGAACTCATGTCCCACTGGAAGTCATTAAGTGGAAGTTATTTGAAAATATTTTTAATTGTGTGACCTTTTAGCTACTAATAATAGAATGTATTTTATAATAGGTCTTACTCCTGGCATTGAGTTACATTTTAGGAGATGAAAAAGTTTTGGTATTAAAAAAGTACAAATATTTGTTAATATCCCACCAAAGTAAGGTATTCTAAATAAATGTAAAAAATGTTGCTGACAAAATACTTACCAGTTTTGAAAGTTGCTCTATTTCTAATGACAAAAGTTTATAATGTTGATTTATTTTCTTAGCTACATTAAACCAGTATATCTAGTGGAATTCAGTGAAAAACCAAATAATACCATATATAGTTGACTGAAGAATTACAAATACTTGAGTCTAAACTGGGCTGTATCACTAATGGAGTATGTATGGAAGAGAGCACCATCAATATCGCATGTCTACACTGCCATGCTAATGTCCAGAGTGGACAGCTTCCTAGCTGACTCTGCGAAGTCATTCTTGAAACCAAGACTGTGACTCCACCTAAATCACGTCTACAAATCGCTGATCCTTTCTGTGCAACATGCAGCATGAAAATACATCATTCTACCTCATGATTACTAGGAAGCTTAGATATAATCACGACTATGAATACTCATGCAAATTTCAAAGTGCCATGCAAATTTCAAAGTGCCCTACAAATTTAAGTTGTTCCAAATAAATTAATGATTTTGGATTATGTAAATTGGAAATAGTCCTGTTCCTCAGCTGAACTTTTCACTTGTAAATGGATTGGGTTACCATTGGGTTTATAAGGTTTACCTGTTTGCAATATTACCTCTTGTAGCTATGAATCATTCCTCTACCTTATAAAAGGCCATAAAGGGTGGGTGGTGGATAAATAGGCAAGGCCATGGTAGAAAAAAAAAAGTTCTTATCACTTATTTTTACATCTCTTGGAATCTCCCCGTGTTGCTAATCTCAAATAACTTGAATCTAAAATGAAAGTTGTCATCTAGTTATTGTGTACCCATAGCTTATAAATTGTGATGCCATCATACTGCTTAGGTGCCAAACAACTCACCTGGATTACAAAGGAGCACATTCTTAGCCATGCTTTACCTCTCAAGATATGAGTCCACAGTAAGAAATTTCCACCATCTACAAGAAGGCTTTGTTCCAATAGTTGTAGAAAATGAGACTGGATCATACGGCTGTGATCTAGTGAGCTCCTGCCTACTCATCTTTCTATTTAGGGATAAATATGGGTAACTGGGAAAGGATTTGTTACTTTTGGAAATGAGCACAGGAGTATGCAGATGTGATTTTGAGGATACTGTGGCCTATAGGGTATCCATATATCCTTTAATTGATCAAGATATTATCAGCTCAGAGTATCCTACTTTGGAATCCCTCTAATGATGTAATAGTTTTTGTTCAATCCAGTTATGCCAAATGGTTACTGCCTGCCAGGCACTGTGTTAGGCAACAGAGGTGCTGTTTTAGGTGTTGAAGAGCGAGCCTAGAAAAGTATGTGAAAGGAGAGACTAAACTTTCTAGTTTAATCTAGAAAACCTGAATATATATTCAGGAAATAGTACTGATTTCACCATCTGTCAATAATTAGATTTTATTGACTCTGTTTCCCAAACTTGTTAATAATGGAAGAGAAAGTGTGGGCCTCAAAGCAGTTGAGGCCAAAAGGCAGTTTGATGATTAAAATGAAGGTTCACAAATGATATCTTCTTGGACATACAAAATTGTGCAGCTGAGTACCTTCCAAAACTGAAATAAAATGTACAGAAAGCTTTGTAAATTTAATGTGGGTATTTTATTACCACTTCACTATCTCATTCTTTATCTAGGTTTAGTATATCAATATATTGAGTCAATAGAACTTTTGTAGGAGAAATTTCAAAACAGAAGCAAAATCTCCAAATGCAGCATAAAATATTAGTAGAAAAGGAGGAGCTAATTCATTCCAAAAGTTAAAAACTATAAGAATTTATAACATACTTAGCTATTTTAATAAGCTGAAAATGCTTGCTTCACAATTTGAAAAATATAAACAATGATGCCTCCTTTTTTGTGGTGGGGATAGGCCTTGTATCTAAGAAGGATGATTTCTAGACAAAAGCAAGAATAATGGATGGGTCCTAGAAGTCTACAGTTCTCAAAACTAACAAATCAGCAGCTTCAAAAATCTAATTGTTTGAATGCAGTGGGTACAGATTTTCTTTTCATTAGAAAAATGTAAAAGTTTAGTGATAATTAACTCATTATCATCAACAAAACTGTGCTATCAAACTTGCTGCAACTTCGCACAAGCATAGGATCCTTAGAGCTAAACCTAGGTAGCTCCACCTTTTCCTGTTCTGGCTCCTTACCCATTTTGGGCTTCTAAGTAAATGAGTACATGAGGACCACTTTATTCACCATAATTATAATAGAAAATTGAATGAAAGATATTAAAATTATGATTTTTTCCTTCAAGTGGAATAACCTTTGTATGCAATCTGAAGTTTTTATGTTTACTTGAAAACTAGTTGTTTTGCTTCAAAAATCTCTTTTACATAAACAGAAAAAAAATCAATCCAAAGGCAAAGAAATCATCCATATATTTGGTGAATATATTGAAAATGAATTACTAGTAGGCAAAAGGAAAATTGTTTGCTTATATGCAAAGTAAGTGACTTATTTTGGCTAAAATAAATGGTCTATTCAGTTCTGAAGTCAGTCAAAATTTCTAACCCCAACAGGTGGTTTCACAGGTACTACTACTAAAATCACAAACTTAGTTTGTGTCTACATCTTGAACTTTGGATTGAAATAATTTAAAATCATAACAGTGTCTAGACTGAGAACGTTTGTAGTTACAATGAAAATCCAATATACTTAAACCTGAAGAAAACAGAGAATATCTTCAGCTAGAGGAGAATTCTGACATTTTTTCTGATCTTAATGAAAACGTGGTTTAATGTCAAGTCACAGTCATATTAAAACATTTTTTTCCTAAAGCCCAAGCATTATGTTTGCTATACACAAGGCCAACATTTTCATGAATTGTGTTATTTACTTGCTTAAGCACAATTGGATGATTTGTTTGTCTGATAAGAAAATTCTTCACACCTCAGGCTTCCATTTCAACTTCAAATAAGTAACAACTGTATTGCTTTTTTTTCTTACGTTCTTGTATTTGCTCTAACTTTTAAATGGCATCTATGATTCTCCATTAACCATAAAACATTATCTTGAACTGAAAAAGTAATCTTTCTAAATTGATGTTCTGAATTAATGGGCATGTTTTAAAGGAACGATTTCAGATGGACTTCTAAAACATGAATAATACATTGGTCATAAAGAGCAGGCATTAAGCTAGCATTTAGAATCACTCCATGAACACAGAATAGAAGAAGACAAAAGATAGTTTGTCCAATATTTTGTTGACATATTTGGCCAGAAGATTAAGTGCCAAGTCATCCATCCAGAAATGCGACTTATTTTTAGAAAGAGTAGACTCAATAATTAAGGTTTCAGATTTATTCAGCTCTTATTCAAATAAAAGGTAGAACTTTTCACATTTTTCAGTTATTTTCCACAGCAAAATGAAAATCTGAAATCCAAATGATCAACTCGTCAATTAAAGAAATATTTGAATCTAGAATGAGAAATCCATTTTCATTTGTCACTTAAGGAAAGTTATTTTTGTTATAAGTTTTATATTCATAACAGTTCCCATTATTTTGCTCTTATAATTTTAATTCATTTGTTTGCCTAGAAATTGTTTTAGATAAGAAATATAAAAATGCGGCTGATATCTATGACTGACATCAGTTAACAGAAGATCATTTATGGACAAGAAATTATATGAATTACTAAAAATTACAATATTAAGTTCCTGTTGGAAAATTTTTATTTCAAACCTACAACCATTTAGAAAAAAATATCCTAATTCAGAGCAAGCCATGTATCAAAAAATCTAAATTCTCTTTTACTTCATATAATTAAAAATTATATTTATGTTTCATTAAACTAATATAAAGAATCATTCATTCAATATATATGTATTGCCCACCTACTCTGGGCACTAAGCACTGAGGAGTTAATGGTGAATAAAATCAAATCATTCCCTTCCTTCATACAACTCATAATCTAGAGGTAGGTGGGTGTGTGCAGATGTTAGCAAGTAATCACAAAAATAAAAGCATAATTACAAACTGGTTCTATAAACAAAATGATTCTATTACAGCATATAATAGGGAGACTTGGACACAGTCAAAATAGTCAGGATATTGATTTGAGTATTTTCTTTCCAAAAGTCCAAATAGTAATTGATGAAGCAAGGCAACATTAGATTTGTGTCCAAATAATATGATCTCTGCAGACTTGGGCTTTCCTTGAGATTTTTCCAAATGATGTCTTTGGCTAAATCTAACCAGACAAGACAAAATAACTTGAGAGCAAAAATGGAATTCAGAGATCTAGTCTAACCCTCTTATTGGATAGATGTGGAAACAAATCATGAGAGAGGGTGAGTGGCTTGCCCCTGCTTGTTTTCACTCAGTGGCAAAGATGAAATTGGAACCCATTATGCTAAAATCCTGTCCAGAGGTTATCCTTCTTCATATTATTCTGGGTCTGGTTTATCTAACGTTATCTACTCTGATGCACTAAGGCAATAACTGGAATAGCAATATGATGATAAGAAAGCCTAGAGAATGAGAATATTCATAAGATAACATTGTTTTCTGAACACAGCCTGTCATTCAGCTCAGGCTAGTAGTGAATAGAAAAAAATAGCTTATGCAAACAGTCAAATATCTTGGTAAGTGTCCAATTATTTACCATGTTTCATCCTTTACTCCAAATTTATACATACATATGTGTACACACACACACACACACACACACACACACACACACATTCAGGTCACTAAAGCCTCTAACTTTACAGATCCCAACTTTAACTCATTTAACTCATGGTTAACTCCATATTTAATTTTTGCTACATACTTATTTGCCTTTATCCAAATGAATATTTATTAGAGCAGTTTCTTTTCTTTTTTTCTTTTTTCTTTTCTTTTTTTTATTTTTTCTTTTTGAGACGGAGTCTCACTCTGTCGCCTGGGCTGGAGTGCAGTGGCACTATCTTGGCTCACTGCAATCTCCACCTACTGGGTTCAAGTGATTCTCCTGCCTCAGCCTCCCAAGTAGCTGGGACTACAGGCACCCACCACCACGCCTGGCTAATTTTTTGTATTTTTAGCAGAGAGGAGGTTTCACCATGTTGGCGTGGCTGGTCTCGAACTCCTGACCTCAGGTGATCCGCCCGCCTCGGCCTCCCGAAGTGCTGGGATTACAGGCGTGAGCCACCATGCCCAGCCTAGAGCAGTTTCTAGTTTACAGAAAACTTACCCAGAAAGTACAGAGAGTGCTCATATACAACCCTTACTCACCAACACCTAGCTAGTTTCTCCTATTATTAACATCTTGCATTAGTGGAGTATATTTGTTAGAATTGATAAACTAGTTGTAATATAGTATTATTAACTGAAGTTTAGAGTTTACATTAGGGTTCACTCTGTGTTGCACAGTTCTATGGGTTTTGACAAATGCATGATGTCCTCTATCTACCATTACAGTACCACAGTTTCACTGCACTAGAAATGCTCTGTGCTGTCTACCTGTTCACCCACCCTCCCCTAAACCAAAACCTTACAACTGATCTTTCGCCTTTACTGTCTCTATAATTTTGAATGTGTATGTTGTGGTAAAATATATATTAATATATTTATTAATTTAACATATAAAATTTACCATTTTAAATATTTGTAAGTGTAAAGTTCAGAGGGATTAGGTACATTCACATTGTTGTATTATACAACCATCACCACTCTCCAACTATCTCTATAAACTTGCCTTTTACAGAATGTCATATGGTTGAACTTACATGCTATGCCGTCTTTTCAGAATGTCTTTTTCACTTATCAATGTGCATTTAAGCTTCCTTCCTGCCCTCTTGTGGCTCATTTATTTTTATCACGGAATAATGTTCCATTGTATAGATTTAACAGTTTGTTTATCCATTCAACTACCGAAGTACATCTTGTTTGCTTCATCTTCGTTCCTTCTAAGTTTTGGCAATTGTGAATAAAGCTGTTATCAACATCCACGTGCAGGTTTTTGTATGGATATAAGTTTGCAATTCATTTTGGTAAGTACCTAAGGTTGCTATTACTGGATCATATGGTAAGACTAAGTTTAGCTTTGTAAAAAACTGCAAAACTGACTTCCAAAATAGCTGTTCCATTTTGCATTCCCAACAGGAATGAATAAGAGTTTCTGTTGCTCCATATTTGGTGGGACATTTGGTATTGTCAGTGTTTTGGATTTTAGCCATTCAAAGTCGTGGTATCTTGTTTTAATAAATTGATATTTTAGGATTTTCCAAATTAAAATGTCAAAGAGATGCCTCAGCACAGTAAAGTTAGAAAAAATTAGAAAAAAATTCTTTACCTATTAAAATGATTTCTGGTTCACTAATGGCAAGGCTTGTCACTTAGTAGATTTGGTTTACTCTGGACATTTATTAGATCAGATTCATAGATCTTTAGCAATCTCTCACTCCAAGGAAAGTAATTTATCTCTCCTCTGAAATCTCACAGCACCTCAACACCTTATAGACACCATTCTACATTGTAACAGTGTATTGCTCTGCCAATCTTTCTCACTTAATTTTGGAGTCAAAAAGGCAGGGAGCTTGGTGTAGCTGTGTCTGTGCAAGCACAACATCTGTAGATACTAGTTACCAACCTATAGTTGTTTTTTATTATGGCAGCTATTAAAGGAAGACATGGAAGATGAATGTGAACTCACCCTGGTCTTCAGTTTTACTATTTTCTCTCTAACACCTTTGTCCTGAGTTATAATTGTCTCAGTCTTTCCCTACTCTTAACACCAGATCAACTGGAGGCGCTATTATTCAAAGAATCACCAAAGAGGTGCAGGAAAGACTGAGAGAGGAAAAACATATATAATCCAAAACCAGGTAACTGGGCAATAAAAAATAAAATTTAGCTGGGCTTCTTACTCTTTCTCTTTTATTCTATACCTCTCTTGTTAGCAGCTGAATCAGTCTCTGTCATAGGCATTACACTCTTTGGGATGGTGAGCAATTGTTCTCCAAAACACTAAGTAAAAATAGTTCAGTGGAGATTTTTTAGAGATGTTCTCTGGCAGCTCCAGTGGATATTTGGAGAAACAAATACTTTTTCCAAGTTATTAGTTAACATATCATGGAATTCCTTATTGTAAAATGCTTCTCACACTTTGAGGTAGGTTAATAGTATTAGCCCCGTTTACTAAATGAGTTAGAGGAGTAGCTGCTCTGGATGCTATTTTCAAAACAAGGACATCATTGCTTGTGTGACATTATGATCTAATAGACGTTCTAAATGGACCCTAATGTACCATTATCTTAAAATATAGATGAGTTAGTAATTGCGCAAAGGTAGGAGGATGAAAAGAAGTAATCATGGTACAGCTGAGAATTCTTGTCAGAAAGTCATTTTTGTTGTTGTTGTTGTCTTTGTATCTAATGTCAGATGTCATGAGAGTAGGATTTTGAATCAGTGAGGGAAACCAGAAAAAAACATTCCTGGTAATATTTTCCAATGTCAATAGGTAGCACTCTAGCTTAACTAGTTAATTAACAAGACAAGGAAGCTTGTGCAAATATAATAATAAAGGTCTTCCAACTTTGAAAATAGATGTTTTTCCTACAGAAATCCCATCACCATCATATAAGATGACCACTTACAAATACAGAAAATTACTGAGTTTTTTTGTTTGTTTGTTTGTTTGTTTGTTTGTTTTAGATTGCAAGACCATCGGGCCAGGTGTGATATTGAATATGTTTGGTGCTTGGCAGCCTCCGTAATGCAGACTTATTAAGTACAGAGGCACTGGGGAAGAGCAAGACCTGCAGCTGATACCATGACTGCTTGGCAAAGGAGAAGGAAGACTTTTAAACCTCCTGGGAATGAAAATAAGCCATTTCCTTCAGAAAAAGCATGGAAATACAGGACTGAGCTCTGGAAAATTTGCCAAAAGAAGTGAAAAATAGTAGGGTCTAAAAAGGTCAAATAATAACCACACATCCATGTACTTGCTCTGGTTTTCCAGTAGTTGGATCTAAAACCTGCGATTCAAAATTTCTGGATGATTTTAATGTGATTTACTCATCTTTTCTATGATTTATTGACAATATCCATCTACAGATACTGACAGTGCAAAGGATTAGAAAGAGTCCACATATCCATGTGTTACAAGTTCTGCACATGCAATGTGAAGACCCCTAGCTCTATCTAGTAGTTGTTTAAATGGTCAGAAAATTATTCTTAGGTTGGGTCTTTTGTTTCCAAAGCAAGATTTATTTCTTAAAAGGATGGCTGCACTTATTAGAGGTTGTTAGGATGCTAAGCATGGCTTTAGGATCAAAGAAGCTATCAGAAGTTCAAAATTTTATGTCAGGATAAAAAGTTTCATCATGATCATCAAACAGCTCCTATGGAGGACTGCTACTTTCAGAAGAATAACTTCTTTCAAATTTGGAGATGGTTAAATGCTCCTATTGGGAAAAGGGATGGAGTTCTTTAAACTTTTCCTTGTATTAAATTCTGCCACAAGTTGTGTTAAAAGGACATTATCACTGAGAAATCAACATTCCTTTAAACTGAAGCAACTAGAGCACATCCCACTTCATGCAGGATGTGGAGTTGAAGATGAAGAACTGACAAAAGCATTCCACACTTTCCCCTCATGAAATGGTCCAAGAGTTTAAAGCAGAGGTTCTTGTACTTTGGAGGTTTAAATAACACTTCAAAATCCTAGAATTTTTTGCTCCGCACTTGAGGAGATTTAAAGACTCACAAATGCACTAAGCAAGCCAGTGATCATTACAACACAATTGCATGCATCACAGGTCTTTAAATTATCCTGTAGTTACAGAGCACTAGCCCCTTACTTGTCCTTTAGCACTGTGGATACTCTGCTTACTTCCCTAACTGCTGTACCCATAAATTCCCAAAGGAAAGTTCTGGAATGTCCTAGTAAACATGCAGGATTGGATTTTTTTTTTTTTTGGTAGTGCTTTGCAACATTTTGTTGCAGAAAATTGTAGCCAGCTATTCACTGTGGTGCCCTACTTGCTCAGCTGGGCTAATATCTGTGGATGACTCCGCAATGGGTGAAGTTGATAAAGACCTCTCTCACACCTCCTGTGCCAGAAATTTTCACTGTCTCCTGCATCACAAGAGACCATAATATGCACACAGCTCCCTCTCTCACGTTTTTAAGCCCAGTTTAGGCTCTCCTCCCACTTCTATTCTTTCATAGCTCAGTTGTTTCATTTTTTAAATTCCGTCCTCTGTTTTCTCATTGAAAACGAATGAGGCATATTTGATTTAAGCTAAATCTACAGCATAGAGGTCCTCAGAGTTCTATTTGCTACAGTTCCCACTACCTGACCCCATGTCTACTATACTCTTCATCTTCTCTCTGATTCTTTTTCTTTACTTGCCCTGTTTCTCCATTCTTTTTCCTTTTTCTCCATCTGAAGCTCTAAGAGTAAGGGAAACAATCTTAGGATATTAGGTTCTATTCCCATAGGAAGAGTATACTATGAATTTTCATGGAATTCTTTCTTCTTAGAGTATAGATGCATTCCATTGAAAGACTCCTTCAAGGTATGGAATAATTGGGTAATTAGGTACAGATTACATCATTCTTACATCATGCTTAAAAAAATACAATAGGGTATTCTGAGCATATAACGTGAATCAGCATAATCAGGTGCAATTCTTTCCCAAGACAAGGTCAAGAAAAATTTCCCGAGTGTCCACCTAGAAAATAGAGTATGGCAAAAGTTCCAAAGAGCTTTATGAAGTACAGTAATTATAAACAAAATTATTTTTCCCAGGAAGTTACCTCTTAAAGTGTAATAAGTATATTGCATAAGCAAAATCTCTTATATGTTAAATTCCGTTTTATGTCTTTGTTTTTTGTTTCCTGTTTGTAGAATCTGGGACTGGTAACATAAGCTTATTTTGTACAACTTTATGGCTTTGTCTTCAGCTTGAGTAAAAAGCTCTAAAAAAAAGATTTCTGGTCTTATAGTTGACAGAAGTCACCAAACCATACTTTATACTATTGTTTGTGGCAAGGACTGGAGAAAGTATTAAATTATGTTTTATAAAGTATTAAATTATGCTTTATAAACTATAAATTATGTTTTATAAACTATCAAAGAAACCACAAATCCTCAGAGCAGATACCTTTTTTTTGAGGCAAACTTGTTCTAATTTTTGGATTTCTTAGATATTTAAGAAAACAAACAATCAGGGTAGAAGATATCCTAGCTCACTAGGTCCCTCTGACATGTGCTTTCATCATGCCACACACCTTTCTCACTCCCCATTCCCCACCTCTTGACATTTCACATCAGTGTGACTTTATTAGTATATCACACGAATGTCTCTTCCCATTGGAGTGTGAGCTTTAGGCTAGCAGGGTTCCTTTCATCCATCATTGTATTCCCAGACCTGGCACAGGGGCTGAGCACATGGTAGGCTTCGAGGCCTGTAAGGGATATGAGGCTCTCACCTCACTCCCTACTGTGGGCTTGTGGCAGAACAAGGGCAGTTCAAATGGATTATCTCAGTCATAAAAGAAGACACCTAGTAGAAAAAAACCGCTGAACTGAAAGCCCAAGGGCCTGGATTTTAGGTCCAACTCTACTAAATTGCACCTTGGCTTGTGGTCTTCAGTTTTCATATATTTAAAATGAAGTTTCTATAAGAAGAGTGATTAAGATCGCTTCCAGTTCTCAAATGTTATGGTTCTCACTGGTGCCAGGGTAGAAGATTGCTTATCATTGATTCAATGAATAAGAAATATTAATGATAGTACTATTGCCTATCATAGATAGATAATGCCTATTGCACTTTAAGAACCAAACAGATCTCAGTTTAAATGCTAAGTCTAGCTTATATTATTTTTCAATTAATTAATATCACTCAACTTCTACTCTTCATTTTTCTGTTTTGAAATATGTGGGAAATATGCCATTAAAATATTTGAATAAAGGAGCAAAATAATTGCAATGTTCTGGCAAGGTGAATATTAAATTTCATGGTGACTATTGCATTTCAAAACTATGTCATTTTTACTTAATTTATTTACTGTAGTATTAACTTATGCAAGCTAACAAGGCCAGACCTTATTGGTGATGTGGCCTATCACCCACATATTTGAAATTATAAAATAAAGAACTGTGTTTCCTTTATCAATAGAAAGTCTCAGCATGCAGAAGACACCATCATCTGACTTTTCTTAAACTTCTTGTCACTTCATCCGGCCCTCCCCCATATGAGTTTAGTTTAAGACCCATTAAACACTTTGTGCATCTTGCCCATGAACATCCTTGCCTATTTCATTCTTCCTCCGACTTGCATATAGTATTCTTTCTGCCTCAAGAGTTCTCTTTTTCCCCAGGTTCACCTGGCAAATTTCTACTTGCTTTAATTCTCAGATCAAAAATCACTTTCTTTGTGAGGTTTTTCTGGAAATCCCTGGGTTCATGAGGGCAGGGACAGTATCTTATTTATTGTAAAATCAATTAGCAACATCTAACAAATTTTGGCAAAAGCAGGTTCGCAGAAAATAAATTTATGATAATTAGCCTAGTCTTACATCTCTGCCTATTTTTCTGAATGTACTTGATTAGAATAAAAGGTAGCAATCCATTACATAAACCACCTTTCTCTATTAAGCATTCTGCACTAGTAGAATCTAAAATTTTTAAGACCTAGTTGTCTTAGTTATCCAAGTATAAAACAAATACACATCTGAAGAATTCTTAACAGCTGAAAAATTCTTTGTTCAGGGAGACAAATGGTTTTTTAACAAATCATTCTCTTTGTAGCTGAGTAATTTTTTTTTAAGTTTGAGGTAATTTTCTAGGAGAGTTCTAAAGAGTGGAGTTAATTACAAGAAAGGCCCATTGTGTCATCACTGATTGTAGAATACTTCCCAGGGTTTGACTTATTTGAAGGACAATCTCCTTAGTGAAAAATCTTAAAGAGCAAGAAAATATGACGACTTTCTCATATGATTTAAAGCCAGTGCCTATCATGGCTAAGAAGGTTTGCTAGAGGTTTGAATAATCCTCATGGCACAGTGAACTTTTGGTTTAACTACTGGAATGTTCAGTCAAAACCAACATGTTGCACACTCAGCTTTTTTTTTTTTTTTTTGAGACAGAGTCTCGCTCTGTTGCCCAGGCTGGAGTGCAGTGGCGCGATCTCCGCTCACTGCAAGCTCCACCTCCCGGGTTCATGCCATTCTCCTGACTCAGCCTCCCGAGTAGCTGGGATTACAGGCGCCCGCCACCATGCTCGGCTAATTTTCTGTATTTTTTTTTTTTTCAGTAGAGACAGGGTTTCACTGTGTTTGCCAGGATGGTCTCAATCTCCTGACCTCATGATCTGCCCGCCTCGGCCTCCCAACGTGCTGGGATTACAGGCGTGGGCTACCGTGCCCTGCCTACACACTCAGCTTTTAAGAGAAAAAGCAAAACACAAGAAAATAAATTCATATCAGGAGTTTTATATAAGTAGGATTTCCTGGGATATGGTCTGAGGTCAGTAAACACCTTGTATGTATGTAGGCTTGATATTTTTATTCATTCAACAAATATTTATTGAGCATCTACTATATGCCAGGAATTGTTCTAGGCTCTGGAGACACAAGAGTGAGCAAAAGAGAAAAAAATCCATGCCTTTGTGTAGCTTCGCTTTTATTGAAGGGAGAAAGATAATAAATGAATTATTAGGTAAAATATGGAGTTACGTTGTGTGATGAAATCACTCACTGGGGAAGCAATAGTTCAGGATTCTTTTCTTCTGAGTTTGTTCTAGTTGGAGACTTAGGAGTTGGTGGTGTGGTAGAGACACGTTTTCTCTGGGCTCCAGTAGTAACTTATTTCTCTACTGTGGGTATCAATGACTCTGAATTTTCTACTGAACTACAGATAGCTGCCTCACCAGAATTTGAACTTCTCTAGATAAGAACTGTTTCTTTTATCTTTATATCTTTGGTGCCTAGAATATGTGCCCATTTTTCATGAAATACCTTCCACTGGTTTCTGAGAATCCATACTTCCTCTAGACTTTTTTCTATTTTCTTCCAACTTTTGGTAGCCCCACAGCTTTTTTGCAACCACTTTTCTTCTGCCCAAGCCTAAAATGTGATGATTATCAGAGTTCCAGCCAATCCTTTATGGATTCTAATTATCTCTCAATGATATTCCTATAGCTTTAATTCCCAGCTAGATATTTACAACCTCCCAAACTACTTTTGCAGCCCGGACTTCTCTCTGGATGCTAGAGAACCAGGCTCTTCTATCCAAGCAGACTTATGATCAGCAGGACCTGAATGTCCTACAAACCTCTCAGAGTCTTCATATTTGAAGCAAATGGTCATCATCCCTCCCTCAACTTGCTCTATGCCCAATGTTTCTGACTTCAGTGAATGGCATCAGAAGTGACCTAAGCCAGAAGCTTCTCTCTTTTTTTTCTTTGACTCCTCATTTCCTCCCCTTTCCCTAAAACAAGCCAATTGTTCAACTCCTTTAGATTCTACCTCACTAACATATTTTAAATCTCTGTCCATTTTTTTCAATTCCTATGACCACACCTCAGTTTAGCCCATAGTCATATGGTATCTAAATTACTTGCCACAGCCTCATTCAATGACACACATGTACTGACTATATCATGTACCTAGATCCTGGGTAGCAAAAATAGAAGCCCGTGCTCCTTTGGGGATGTTGGTGTGATAACTCCTCTTTGGTTTCCCTACCTGTAATATTGTCTCACTCAAACTCATTTTTTTAAACTGTAGATAGAGTGATTTGTCTAAATCCAAATCTGATCATGTTAGTTCCCTGCATAAAATTCTTCAAATCCTTTAATTTGTCTTCACTCTTCTCAGGAAAACCCTCAAATTTCTTAGCATGAAATCCAAGGAAGGCCCCTTATAATATGAACCATTATTCTTTCTCTAGATTAATCTTTTGCACTAATTCCAAATGCCACATTACAGCACACAAAGCCACTTGAAGTTTCCCCAAATGGTATGCTGTCTTACCTCCACAGAAAACATGTAGTTTTCTATGACTAAAGAAAAATCTTCCATCTGAATATAGACACACATCAAGCTTCCCTTTCTCCAGTTGTTCCTCTTTACTCCAAGACAAACCTCACTGTGCCACCATCCTGCTCCTTCCTTAACACTAGACTGATACCAGGCCTTAGTCTACCAAGAGTGTAGAAATAGGTAGTCTCTTGATTATATGACAGACAGAAAATACCCGTGGAGTTTTACATAACATATCTCCTAATCTGATGGATTATGGAATGTGAATGATTCTTCTGTCTTTGGAGATCATAAAATGGACAGAGCTACAAAGAACTACAAAGTGTTTAGAACAACACTTTTCCAACTAGAATAGAGATAATGCATTCCAGAACACTGCAGCTTGCATAATTATCTTTCTAGGCAATAAGTACTTGTCTGAAGTAAGAACCATAATATCATAATCCAACCCCTATGCTCCTGTTTCAACCTGAAGCCACACCCTTTTCATGAACTCAGTCAGCCATCAGTTGTCAATGTCCACTTATGCTCCATCCAAGCCCTTTCCCTGCTACTCCTGGAGAGGACCTCAATATCAGCTAGGGGAGCTGGAAGACTATGCTTAGGGATTTTTTTGTAACTGCTTTGACACAGACTTTATATGTTTAAAGGAAATGAACATCTTTGCATTGCCTTCATTCACCAAATGATGTCTTCTATCCATGCATGCTGCCCTAGTCACGAGAGTGGGTTGCATGTAACATACTTGTGATTCCATGAAGAGTGGGCACAGGGGAGTGCTGGTCAGGCTAAAGTTTGGGACAGATGAAGATGATATTAGGAGAAGAAGAAAATAACTTCTGCTCACCACCATCAAAGATGAGTTTCCCATGAGTATATATTTTTTTCCTTTGGGCATCAAATGGCCTCCTTTGGCTTAAACTTTAACTTATATGAAATGATTTTTTATACCACCAGGCCATTTATCTTTGTTACCCAATAACTTCTCTAAAAAAAACCCATGATCATTGGGAGGCTGAGGTGTGTGGATCGCCTGAGGTCAGGAGTTCGAGACCAGCCTGCCTAACATGGCAAAACCCTGTTTCTACTAAAAATGCAAAAAATTAGCCAGGCGTGGTGGCAGGCGCCTGTACTCCCAGCTACTTGGGAGGCTGAGGCCAGATAATTGCTTGAACCCAGGAGGCGGAGGTTGCAGTGAGCTGAGATTGCGCCACTGCACTCGAGCCTGGGAGACAAGAGCGAAACTCTGTCTCAAAAACAAACAAACAAACAAAACCATGAACATGTTCATGTGCCTGAGAAATGAACTACAATGATAACTGTTACCAAGAGTTGGCTTTGTATCGGTGAAGAAAAAACTGGGGATGGTTACAGGATAATTTGGTTCTGGGTAAAAATTAATAAGGTGACACTGGGCAAATCATTTCATATGTGGAGATCTAGGAGTGTAGGCATCATAAATTGTCAGATGCTGTTATTATTAATTGACTTTTAGGTTATTCCTTTTAACTGTTCCTTGATTAATGCAAATGTTAAGCCTCTTATTATTGGGGATATCAACAATTCCCAAAATATGTGGATCCCTGTTTTTAAAAATGAAAACGGCCCCTTATTTTAATCCAGTTTATCTATCACTCAAGTTACAGAATATCATATCTGAACAAACCTTTTTGCCATTAATATTTACTGAAACACATGCTATGAGCTCTTAACAAAACTTCCTGGTGAAGTGACCCCCCAAAGATAAAACACGTATTTTCCCTTTCATCTTTTTGCTGAGAGGCTGAAGTAGGAAAGTCTCACTGGGTCATCCCTCCTGGAGGGCTGCATGTTGTTATCACAAGCTACAGGGCAAACAGGAAGGGCTCCATGGGGGTGTGAAGAACTCACACATCCCAGGGGCCCACTGTTAGCTGCTAGAATTAGCTGCACAATTATCCCGGTCACACCAAATGGTCACCAAGGGTGATAGAGATCCTAGATGCAACTTAATGAACCATATTCAGTTTTATGATAACAACCATGTGTAAGCAGACACGCTTGACCTAACTCTGAGATGGGCATATGCTTACTTGCAACAGAATCTGCTGGGTCACTTGATGTATTTAAATAAAAGAAATGTGATTAATGGCAACAAAACATGTCTTTCTCAGAACAGTGCCTTGTCAACAGTAACCAGCTAGCCTGACCTTTCAATGGCTCCCTGAAGGGTGGGTATATACACTATTCGTTAATTGTGGCTTATATTTGTACCTTGGTATAAAGCAATATAGCTGTCAAAAATACTGTATATTGAATTTTTAAAAAGTTGTTATCAATTAAAAAATTGTTATTGCCATAATTTAAGGTGGCATTGGCCAATTATAAATTTGTTGGATATTAGTTCTCACTTCTTAGATCATGTAAGACTCAGTTTCTGTTTGGAATATGCAACTTAATTTCTCTTTTATTATATTCTATGATATCTGACCTCCAAAACTACTCAGAAAATGCTTAACAGCTTTAGAACAATTTTAGGGGCTACAGAATTGAATAGTGCTCCCTATTTTCAAAGAGCTGACCAGGCAGTCAACCAGTGCTTCTCAAACTTGACGTGACACTAAAATAACACTGGGATCCAGGCCCACTGCAGAATTTACACAAGCTTGAGCAAGTCTATATTGTAATGTCTCACTGATAATTCTGATTACAGAATCGCTACAATAGATGTAAGCTTAGTTCTAAAAATAATTATAGCCAAATAAAAATAATGATATGTATAATAAAAAGCTATAATATTAGTGTTAGAGAAAAACAAAACCCCAAGATATTTGTTGCAATGGCCATATAGCATCTGACAATTAGTGTACAAAATTGTTATATGTGCCCACATCTATTGAAAACTCCGAATCATCATAATCTGTATTACAATAGGGTTCTATTTAAAGTAAACCTAATTATTCTCAATGATAAAATCAATTCCTAGGGAATAAGCTTCTCAAAGAAGATTATTTACTCTGTTAATTTAGCAGAGCACCATTGAATATCCTTACAAAAATATATTGTTAATGAAAGCTAACATTTATTGATCACTCGCTATGTACCAGACAGAGAGCTAAAAACCTTGTATGATTGTTACTTTATGCTTCACGGTAGTCTTGAGATAGGTTGAATTTTATTTTAATTTTACAGAGGAGGAACTGAGGTTCAGAGGGTTTATGGAACTTGCCTAAGATCACACAATGGCAAGTGGTAGTCAGGACAAGCCCAGCTCTGTGTCCAGAGTGAATGCTTTGGGCTACTTATTTTTTTTATTTCTTTTATATTTCAGTAGGTTTTTGGGGAACAGGTTGTGTTTGGTTGCATGAATAAGTTTTATCGTAGTTTCTGAGATTTTAGTGCACCCGTCGCCTGAGCAGTGTACCCTGCATCCAATATGTAGTCTTTTATTCCTCACCCCCACTCCCGCTCTTTCCCCCAAGTCCTCAAAGTCCAATGTATCATTCTTATGCCTTTGCATCCTCATAGCTTAGCTCCCACTTATAAGTGAGAACATATGATGTTTGGTTTTCCATTCCTGGGTTACTTCACTTTGAATAATAATTTCCAATTCCATCCAGGCTGGTACGGATGCCATTATTTCTTTCCTTTTTATGGCTGAGTAGTATTCCAGTGGCAGTTTGACTTCCTTTTTATTGATTTGGATGTCCTTTATTTCTTTCTCTTGTCTGATTGCTCTGGCTAGGACTTTCAGTACTACGCTGAATGGAAGTGGTGAGAATGGGCATCCTTGTCTTGTTCCAGTTCTCAGGGGGAGTGCTTTCAACTTTTCCCTGTTTAATCTTATGTTGGCTATGGGTTTGTCACACATGGCTTTTATTACACTAAGGTATATCCCTTGTATGCCATTTTTGCTGAGGGTTTCAATCATAAGGGATGCTGGATTTTGTAAAATGCTTTTTCTGCCTCTATTGAGATGATCATGTGATTTTTTTCTTTTTAATTCTTTTTATGTGGCGTATCACATTTATTGACTTGCATATGTTAAACCATCCCTGCATCCTGGTATGAAACCCACTTGATCATGGTAGATTATCTTTTTGATATGCTGTTGGATTCGGTTTGCTAGTATTTTGTTGAGGATTTCCGCATCTATGTTCATCAGGGATTTGGTATGTAGTTTTCTTTTTTTGTTATGTCCTTCCCTGGTTTTGGTATTAGGGTGTTACTGGTTTCACAGAATGATTTAGGGAGGATTCCCTCTTTCTCTATCTTTTGGAGTAGTGTCAATAGGATTGGTACCAATTTTTCTTTGAATGTCTGAGAGAATTCAGCTGTGAATGTATCTGGTCCTGGACTTTTTTTTATTGGCAATTTTTCATTACCATTTCAACCTTGCTGTTTGTTATTGGTCTGTTCAGAGTTTCTATATCTTCCTGGTTTAATCTGGGAGGGTTGTATATTTCTGGGAGCTTATCCATCTCCTCTAGGTTTTCTAGTCGATGTGCATACTATGTACACCTTGTTCATAGTAACCTTAAATAATCTTTTGTATTTCTGTGGTATCAGTTGCAATATCTCCCATTTCATTTCTAATTGAACTTATTTGGATTTTCTCTCTTCTTTTCTTGGTTAATTTTGCCAATGGTCTATCAATTTCATTTATCTTTTCAAAGAATCAGCTTTTTGTTTTATTTATCTTTTGTATTTTTTGTTTCAATTTCATTTAGTTCTGCTCTGATCTTGGTTATTTCTTTTCTTACGCTGGGTTCTTGTTTCTCCAGTTCAATGACTTTAAATAACCTGATGACTATGTGCCTAGGTGATAATCTCTTTGTGATGAATTTCCCAGTTGTTCTTTGAGCTTCTTGTATTTGGATTTCTAGATCTCTAGCAAAACTGGGAAAGTTTTCCTCAATTATTTCCTCAAATATGTTTTCCAAACTTTTAGATTTTTCTTCTTACTCAGGAATACCAATTATTCTTAGGTTTGGATGTTTAACACAGTCACAAACTTCTCGGAGCCTTTGTTCATTTTTTTAAAAAATTCTTTTTTATTTGTGTTTGATGGACTGGGTTAATTTGAAATCCTTGTCTTCGAGCTCTGAAATTCTTTCTTCTGCTAGTTTGATTCTATTGCTGAGACTTTCTAGTACATTTTGCATTTCTCTAAGTGTGTCCTTGATTTTCAGAAATTGTGATTGTTTTTTATTTATGCTTTCTATTTCACTGAATATTTTTCCTTTCATATCCTGTATCAGGATATGATGAATCAAAAATTTTTTGATTTAAGTTGGACTTCACCTTTCTCTAGTGCCTCCTTGATTAGCTTAATAATCAACCTTCTGAATTATTTTTTCTGGCAATTAAGAGATTTCATCTTGGTTTGGATCCATTGTTGGTGAGCTGGTGTGATCTTTTGGAGGTGTTAAAGAACCTCGTTTTGTCATATTACCAGAATTGTTTTTCTGGTTCCTTCTCATTTGGGAAGACTATGTCAGAGGGAAGACTTGGGACTCAAGGGCTGCTGTTCAGATTCTTTTATCCCACGGAGTGCTCCCTTGATGTGGTGTTCTTCCTCTTCCCCTAAGAATGGGGCTTCCTGAGAGCCAAAATGCAGTGATTGTTTTTCCTCTTCTGGGTCTAGCCACCCAGTGGAGCTACCAGGCTCCCAGCTGGTACTGGCGAGTGTCTGCAAAGAGTCTTGTGATGTGATCCATCTTCAGGTCTTTCAGCCATGGATACCAGCACCTGCTCTGGTGGAGGTAGCAGGGGAGTGAAGTGGACTCTGTGAGGGTCCTGGGTTGTATTTTTGTTTAATGCATTGGTTTTGTGTTGGTTGGCCTCCCGCCAGGAGGTAGGGCTTTCATGAGCACATCAGCTGTGGTAATATAAGGAGTTTGCAAACTCACCTTGGGGATACCTGGTTAAGTATTCAGGTTTCTCAGGCCATGGGAAGGGCTATAGAGCTCCTAAGAGGTTATGATTTTTGTCTTCTGCTACCAGGGCAGGTAGAGAAAGACTACCAAGTGGGGGCAGGGATAGATATGTCTGAGCTCAGACTCTCCATGGGTGGGGCTTGCTGTGGCTGCTGTGGGGGATGGGGGTGTGGATCTCAGGCCAATGAGGTTATGTTCCCAGGGGTTACGGCTGCCTCTTCTGAGTCATACAGGTCACCAGGGAAGTGGGGGAAAGCTGGCAGTCACAGGCCTCACCCCACTCCCATGCAGCCAGCAGTCCTAAAGGCTAGTCTCACTCTCACTGTGCCCCCACAGCAGCACTGAGTTTATTTCCAGGCAGCCAATGCCCAGGGCTGAGAATTTGCCCCATACCATGAGCTTCCCTGCTGAGAAAGCAGGCAGACCCGCAGTTTTTTGGTGTCTCAGGGAGCCTGCAGTAGTGATCCAGTTTCTTCATATAGTCTGTGGATTGTCTCAGCTTTCCTGGAATGTCCCTGCAGTAGTTCTTGAAGCAAAAGTTCATGATGTGAGTCTCCACATGTTGCTCCATTCATCCCTGCAGGAGCTGCAAGCTAGCCTTGCCTTGTATCTGCCATCTTTCAATCCCTAATATCCACTTTGGGCTACTTAAACCCCACAAAAAACATGAACAAAGTGCCAAATGGAATGAACAATAGAAACCTACCTCACTCATTCTCCAAATAAAAGATAAATAAAAGGATGAATAAATGAATGGATAGCCTGCTTTGTCACACTCTTCTAGAAGCCACATCTCAGAGCTGTCAGTTAATCTATTGTTTTATTTACCACATTAAAATAAAAAGTCTACATGATACAGAAGTAGTACAGTTACAATAAATATTTTACTTCATTGACTGCTTGAATATTGAACTAATTATCACAATTTTAATATACAAACTCTTGAATCATCAAAGCTCTCACAGATGAGAGTTAAAAACAAAACTAGAGATATAGAAAGTGGCTCTTTGGGCAGGCCACCAACTAGACCACCACGCTTACTTTCATGTTAGCCTGTCAGTTAGTACATTGACCAAGAGAGATAACCTGAAATTTGGATTGGTTTTTGCTCTATCCCTGAAGCTTTGGGGATTTAGAAATATTCTGGGCAAGAATCAGTGACACTCTTTGGAAGCCATTTTTACGTGTAAAAAGCTACTCATCTGACAGGACTTTTGTTTGTCCCTGAATTTGGAAGTAGACAAACATTTTCTTCTTTTTCATTTTGTAGTTAGAAAATGTGTGATACTTTCATATTACTTTTTTGAGTCACTGTGAAAAGAATTATATAATTTCAGATCTTCATCAGAGACAACTCAAAAAATGGAGTGATGTGTAGGGGGTGAAAAAAAGCAACAGAGACTTTGAAATCAGACTGACACATGTTTGAATCCTAGCTCTGCCACAGATGCTGTGCAAGGCTAGGTGAGTTGGTTTATTTGGCTAAGGCTCATTTCTTCCATAGGTAAAATAGAAATAAAAATATCTGCATCATTTAGTTGTTAGGAGGACTGAAATAAGAACATAAATAATATGTCTATTATAGTCATGCAAAAAATATTAGTTCTAATTCCAATCTCTTCATTTTACAATTGAGAATGTTAAAATCAGAAACCGACACCTTGAAAGTTAAACAAACTTCACCTTAGGTTTGTGGATGTCACTCCTGTTGTTTAAAATAACACAATAATTTAAATTACAAAAGATTTATGAGTTAAGTTTTAAATGTAGACATTTTATTTCGCTTTTTACTGCTTGCTATTTTACTGGGATACAGCAACTCCTGATCAACCAACCATGTAGTTTATTATAGTGCTGCGTAGTCCAGGAAGAAGAAATAAGGGCAATTCACTTGGTTTAGGGTCATTCTTTAATAATCAACTACCAGTAACAAGTCGAATCTCTCTCAACAGTTAGTGTTCATGAATGTCTACTTTGGCATCTCTTCCTGTTTCGGTAATAATTCAAATGAAACTAGTGTTTAGTATTTAGACATCATATGATCAGATTTTTTTTTACAACATATTATAGTACATATGTCCATAGAAACTGTCATTGTTACCACAGAATCAGCATAATGATGCTAGAAGAGGGGACAACTGCCTTTTCAGATAAGGAAACTGAAAGCAGATGAAATTAAATGACTTCTCCTGGCTTACAGAGTTAGTCGGTACATGGCAGCGCTGGGTTGAAAAACCAGGTAAATAACTGATTTTGACTTATCTTAGAAGTTACCACATGATGTGGAAATAAACCGTTTATTAATTTGTCTCTCCCACTGCAGGGTAACCATGTTGAGGATAAGGGGCTATGTCCTAATCATTTTAAAGTACAGTCACTAGCATACACTCAGTAAATGTTCTGTAAATATCTACTGCTTGATCCAAGTAATACAGATAATAATATATTTTTTTAAAAAGACTTTCTCCAAGAATTCAGGATATTTTCTCTTATCTTATTCTATGACAGATGACTCTAAAGTAGTGGAATTTTTTTTAACTGACATCCCAATACTTATAAGCTGAAGATGAGCTGTCATTCAGAATTATTACCCATGGAGATGACTGTTCACTTATCCCATCAATGACAGAATGACTCCGAATCTTTTTAAGACTCCTTTATTGAAATTGACTTTAGTATCTGTTCATGAGGAAAGAAAAATCCATCTCATTATTGTTTCACCTAGATTTTGACTCCAAAGAGCCTTCATTAGCTTTGCTCACTTACCTTATCTGCTAAACTTGAATGAGCCTAGCTTGTTTCAAAAAGCAATTTATCCTGAAAGGAGAAGGACTTATCCCTGACTAAAATTATTCTTAAAATTGCTTCAGTATCACTTGGATAAATGAGTAAATTCCCAAGGTGACTAATATGCAGGTGTCAGTAGACACTAAAAATGTGTAAGCTTTGTCATATTTGTTTAAATGAAAAACATGCCATATTTCTAAGTATTTTATGCTTCTCTAATCCCTGGACAGTTGGTATCATCTGTTTAATGTGTAAAGAAATAGAGCATCTGCAAAAGTAAATGACTGTCACAAGATTTTTTGTGCAGTGGCAGCTCTAGTCCACCAGTTTCCAGCCAGGGTCAACTCTGTATCCTCCTCCAGGGGTGGGCATGGGGGGAGGGCATTTGGCAATAACTGGAGACATTTTTTTCAGTCATAACTCAGGGGAAGGTGCTACTGGAATCCAGTGGGTAGAGGCCATGGATGCTGCCAAACATCCTACTATGCACAAGACAGCTTCCCGCAACGAATTACCTTGCTTAAAATGTCTATATTGCCGAGGCTGAGAAACCCTGTTCAAGGATAAGAATTCTCACCCTCAGTCTCTTCAGGATCCTTCACTACAATCAGTGTTAAGACCCCTGTGTCCTCATGTTTCCATAAGCAAAAGTGAGTGCATGTATTTTTCTTTGGTAATCAAAGAGTAAAATTTTTTTCCATGCTATTTTGCCAGCAGAAAATCCTATTTGCCTTAGATTCCTTCACCAAAGGATACGAAATTGTCACAAAGGTTGCCTGGAGATGGGTTTGGCATCTTAAAAGCCTAATTGGCAAGAAAATTAAAGCAACTTAAAATGTGTGTGCTCTTTAGGGAGATGTGCTATTCCCACTCTATATTATTAGATCTCAGAGACAGCTGGGGCAAGAACATCTGGGACTTCCTGCACTATCATTTTGCCAAGTTGCTATAAAATTGTCCTTTCTCATTACAAAATTGAGAAGGAAAAGAGAAAAAGCAGTGCAAAGGCCAACCACACTTGTTAGAAGGTTGCTCCTCAGCTGTCTTTCAGAAGTCCCAGCAGTGGCTCCCTTTTTTGTCAGGTTACTTCAATAAGGGAGGGAATCTACTTCATTTGATGTGTACTTTTGATAATCAAGGAATGTATCTTGGCATGTAAACTGTGCAGGACAGAATGTCAAATCTCAAAGCATATTTTTCCACCTTGAATTTTAAAAATAAAATACGTAACATGCATTTAGCAAATTTTCTCAGGGAACTTGCTAAATTTTATTGTCAAAATACAGACCTTTCACATAATGCTTTCACTTTTCTCTCTTATGTACATCTGCTCCTAACACCAATAGGCACACAAAGTGTTGTAAATCTGTGGCTGGATCTTTCAAGCCTCCAGGGAACTCTCACTTGTTAGCCTAGTCTAATATCTTATTGTGTGGAAATGTTTTCAAATCCAAGCACAATTTTTCACCATAGAAATTTTTCTTTTTTACCGTTTTTTGGTGGTCAGTGATTTAGACAATCACAAGAGAATATCATATTTGAGTAGAGAAAATAGACGTGCACCTGATATATGGGCATAAATTGCCATGTCGCAATGAAAGGTAAAGTTCAGAAAAGGTCAGAATATTTCTGTCCTAAGATGCTGAAGAAGTCACTTTTGCCATCTTTCTTTCCTTGGAATCCCTATGGCATATGTCAACTACAGATAATTTTAGTACACAGTTGCAAGCAATGTCTCATGCCATTCTCTAGGTTTGCCTTTTATAAAAATCTCACACTCCAAGGAGATTGTCCTGTAACTGAAGGACTGCCTCTCCAGTCCCCACTCTAAGCCCACAGCACATTCTATGTTCTTGTTGCCTAAGTGACTGGCCAACTCAATAAATGGATGGATTCTTGTTTCTATCCCTGGGTAACCTGAAGAGTGCTGGGACACTGGGAAACACTATTTTGGTCTACTTCAAAGAAATTAGGATTCTCTAAAGTCATACCATAAATACCATCCTAGTATCAAGCGGATTATATTACTTTCTTCCCCACCTCAATTTTTTTTAGTATTGTATCTGCTTCATTTTAATGTTTCATTCACTTTTCCTAAGTTACATCTACTCACTTGAAATATCTCAAGCGGAACCCTTTTTGTAAAATAGAGTTTTGAAGCTATTCTTTGTCCTTGTTCTCAATAGGTCACCATTTATTTATTTATTTATTTATTTATTTATTTATTTATTTATTTTATTATACTTTAAGTTCTAGGGTACTTGTGCACAACGTGCAGGTTTGTTACATATGTATACATGTGCCATGTTGGTGTGCTGCACCCGTTAACTCGTCATTTATATTAGGCATATCTCCTAATGCTATCCCTCCCCACTCTCCCAGCCCCACGACAGGCCCTGGTGTGTGATGTTCCCCACCCTGTGTCCAAGTATTCTCATTGTTCAATTCCCACCTGAGTGAGAACATGCGCCCCACCTCAATTTTTAAGAAGAGTCATAGCTATACAAAAGCCCCCCAAATATCACAGAGATAAGCCACACAATGTTGGAAACAAAATACAACTTTTGAAACTACAATGCCAAAGAAATCCTTCAAGAAAAGCACTAAAGGAAAACATGAGGTTCAGAGCAAGCTAAAAGAATGTAAATGCATGTCTCCTAGGACAATCATGAACTTAGGTGAAAAAGTACCACATGGGGTATCTGAGCACTTTCAGGAGACCATCATTTATATCTTCAATTGGGAGATAAGATCACACTGCATGTGAAACTCTTCTTTCCTTAATAAGCAGGAAGAAAGCAATGTATGCTTACAGGTGTAAAGAGAAGACTATGTTAATACTTATTTTCAAACTATTTCAACACACAACATGCATCCACACACACATGCACAAACACATATATGCCCAAGCACACATCAACATATTCTTTTTCTTTTGATTCCGAACTTTTAAGTTCAGGGCTCCATGTGGAGGATGTGCAGATTTGTTACATAGGTAAATGTGTGCATGGTGGTTTGATGCACAGATCAATCCATCACTAGGTATTAAGCCCAGCAAGCATTAGCTATTTATCCTGATGCACTCTCCCGTGCCCCAGTGTGTGTCATTCCTCTCCCTGTGTCCATGTGTTCTCATTTTTCCTCTCCCACTTATAAGTGAGAACATGCAGTGTTTGCTTTTCTGTCCATGCGTTTATTTGCTGAGGATAATGGCTCCCAGTTTTATCCATGTCCCTGCAAAAGACATGATCTCCTCCTTTTTATGACCACATAGTATTCTATGATGCATATATACCACATTTTTAAAACTTAGTCTATCATTGATGGGCATTTGGGTTGATTCCATGTCTTTGCTATTGTGAGTAGTGCTGCAATGAACATACACATGCATGGATCTTTATAATAGAATGATTTATATTCTTTTGGGTATGTACCCAGTAATGAGATTGCTGGGTCAAATGGTATTTCTGGTTTTAGGTCTTTGAAGAATTGACACATTGTCTTCCACAATGGTTGAACTAATTTACATTCCCACCAACAGTGTAAAGGTGTTCCTATTTCTCCACAGCCTCGCCCGTGTCTATTGTTTCTTGACTTTGTAATAATCGCCATTCTGACTGGCATGAGATGGTATCTCATTGTGGTTTTGATTTGCATTTATCTAATGATCAGTGATGTTGAGCTTTTTTTTCAAATGTTTGTTGGCCATAATAACGTCTTCTTTTGAGAAGTGTCTGTTCATCATGTCCTTTGCCAGCTTTTTAATGGGGTTGTTTTTTTCTTGTAAATTTGTTTAAGTTCCTTGTAGATACTGGATATTAGACCTTTGTCAGAAGGATAGATTGCAAAACTTTTCTCCCATTCTAGAGGTTGCCTGTTTACTCTGCTGATAGTTTCTTTTGCTGTGCAGAAGCTCTTTAGTTTAATTAGATCCTATTTGTCAATTTTGGCTTCTGTTGCAACTGATTTTTGCATCTTCATCATGAAATCTTTGCTGTGCCTATATCCTGAATGGTATTGCTTAGGTTTTCTTTTAGGGTTTTTATAGTTTTGGGTTTTACATTTAAGTCTTTAATCCATCTTTAGTTGATTTTTGTATATGGCGTAAAGAAGGGGTGTAGTTTCAATTTTCTGTATAGAGCTAGCCAGTTCTCCCAGCACCATTTATTAAATAGGGAATCCTTTTCTCATTGCTCATTTTTGTCAGGTTTGTCAAAAATCAGATGGTTGTAGGTGTGCAGTCTTATTTCTGGGTTCTCTATTCTGTTCCATTTTTCTATGTGTCTGTTTTTGGGAATGGGAATAACTTTGAATCTATAAATTGCTTTGGGCAGTATGGCCATTTTCACAATTTTGATTCTTTATATCCATGAGCATGGAATGTTTTTCCATTTGTTTGTGTCATCATTGATTTCTTTGAGCAGTGGTTTTTAGTTCTCCTTGAAGAGGTCCTTCACTTATCTTGTTAGCTGTATTCCTAGGTATTTTATTCTTTTTATGGCAATTATGAATGGTAGTTCATTCATAATTTGGTTCTATATTTGGTTCAGTCATAATTTGGCTCTATATTTGGTTCATTCATAATTTGGCATAGAGCCAAATTCACTATGAGCTACTTGCCTGTTGTTGGTTTATAGGAATGCTAGCAATTTTTGCACATTAATTTTGTATCCTGAGACTCTGGTGAAGTTGCTTGTCAGCTTAAGAAGCTTTTGGGCTGAGACAATGGGGCTTTCTAGATATAGGATTATGCCATCCACAAACAAAGATAGTTTGACTTTCTCTCTTCCTATTCGTATACGCTTTATTTCTTTCTCTTGCCTGGTTGCTCTGGCCAGAACTTTCAAATACTATGTTGAATAGGAGTGGTGAGAGAGGGCATCCTTGTCTTGTGCTGGATTTCAAGGCAAATGCTTCCAGCTTTTGCCCATTCAGTATGATGTTGGCTGTGGATTTGTCCTATATGGCTCTTATTATTTTGAGGTAGATTCCTTCAATACCTAATTTATTGAGAGCTTTTATCATGAAGGGATGTTGAATTTTATCAAAAGCCTTTTCTGCAGCTATTGAGATAATCATGTGCTTTTTGTCTTTAGTTCTTTTTCACATAAACATTTTCAATCTACAGCTGACCACCCTTTGCTAACTGGAGTAGAAAATGGTGGACCATTGAAACAGCCTTTCTATAAACAACCCGCATCAGGAGACATGGAAATGTCGTTGCTCATGGTTTACGATATTGAAAAGCCTCTCCATCTTTATTACTTGTAAGAGTTCTCAGCCATATTGTGTTTGGGGTCTTGTTGGTCTGTGGACACATGAGTGATGTGTTGAAGTATATGTATACAGTGGCAATAAGTTGTGTGTGCTGCAAGGGTGTGGAATTCTCCTTATGTCATGGAAGACCATGTAGAAATGTCTGTGGCACTTGCTCTGCTTGTGAACGGCAGTAGAGTCAAATTTATTAAATAACCACGTAACCCCTAACCAGCCAATGTGAAAGTGAGACAAGAAAAAACTAAGTTTTCAGGATACTTAACAATAGTCCATCATGACTCTTCTCAATCAACATATGCTGTCTGTTAACAGATTGAATTTAGTGAAACTAAACTACACACTTGATCAAATTTTCCTACAATCTATTCATTATAAGCTAGCTTTATTTTGAAAAACAGGCAACCTGAATTAAACTCTTGAAAATGAACCACAAAAACTGAAATATGCCCATTAATTAATAGCTTTTGTTTTTCATTGTCTTTTTTTGGTTGGTTGTTTTTTCTTAGACAGGGTCTTGCTCTGTCACCCAGGCTGGAGTACAGAGGCTCCATCAGGGTCCACTGCAACCCCGGCCTCCTGGGTTCAAGTGATTCTGCTGCCTCAGCCTCTTGAGTAGGTGGGATTACAGGTGGCCACCACCATGTCCAGCTAATTTTTTTAGTTTCGTAGACAGGGGTTTCACCATGTTGGCCATGCTGGTCTCAAACTCCTGACCTCAAGTGATTCACCCAGCTCGGCCTCCCAAAGTGCTGGGATTACAAGTGTGAGCCACCATGACCAGCCAACTAATAGCTTTTGATAGAGTTATCTTATTTATTTTTTGACTGGTTAATTTTTGAACCTGAGCTAAATTATATAGGCAACAACTTTTCTGTTCGGTATTCAGACAAGTAGCAGACAACACAGTGAATTTGGTCTGTTTTATATTGGCCACATATCACATCCATTTCCAAAGGGCAGTCTGTGCTTTTAGCATTCACTAATGAAATCACACATTACAGTCTCACTGCCACATACCGCTTCCTCCAGATAGGATGTCACAGCCCCAGAAACAACTTGTAAGCTTTTTTGCTCTTAACAGCTGAGGCTACAGGGAAATAAGTGATGAGGGGGTGGAAGGAAAGAATATTTTAAAGGAAAAGTTCAAGATACAATTGTGATTTCTGCAAAAAAATGAATTATGACAATCAAGTCTCTAGCCATTCTTGTCTAATTATTGTTAATACTTTAAAATAAGTTAATTAGCAATAGGCTACAATCCCAGACATACAGAGCAAGAGCCAGAAGATCTGTGCTGTAATCAACAAAGCCAAATATTAGTGCCTGCAATTGATGCATGCAGTATTTTCTGTAAAATCCTCCAAGGTCAGGTATTCTGAGAAAATTTTATAGTTTTAACTTTTTTATTGCTGTTGTTACACTGAAAATATTATAGAAAACATCATTTTATCAACCAAATGTGGTAAGTTAAAAGCTGATATCTCATTGCCTAGAGTGATGTTAGTTAGTTATTTAATATTTCTATTAAATTTGGTTAGGTAGGACACGCTTACAGCAACTCCTTGCCCTTTTATCTTTTTTGGGGGAGAGGATTTGGCTTATATCACCTCACTCGACTAGCCATTTATACTTGTCAGAGTCACCCTTGTTTATCAGTAGGTCAGTCTCTGAAAACTGTGTCTATCAAGTACACTCAACACAAACATCTGGATCGCAAGCCCTCAGGGGCACCCATGCAAACAAGCCCAAGAAAAAATATGCCTCCCTCTGTGAAAGAGGACAACAAACCAATTTGTTGAAAATGTGACAGTCTGCATCCCATCTCCTGCTTCCTTGTGCCCTGAATGAATTGTGAAACCTCGGGAAGACAAATGGAATGTTCTCAAATCTTAAAAAATCAGCAATTCCCTTTACAAAGAACTATGTTCTTCTATTTTTTTCCTGCCCTGGACCCCTTCTCTCCATCATCTGGGAAATTTCAACAGTTTTCCAAGGGTAGAGGGAGAAATTTAAGATCACAGAGAAAGAAAGTCAAGTTGACTGAAAATATAGCCTAATTTGAAGAGTTTGCATTTTCAGTAGCCAATCCCTCAGCTAGGATATTATCAACTCTTTGATTTGCCTCATTATCAAAATGGTCTGGGCTTTTGCATAGAAACAGCCTCGACTGTTTTAATGAGAAAAAGAACAAAGAAAAAGCACATGGACAGACTAATTTATACTAGAGGCTTTTAAGCCAAATGGCAATAAGTGATATTCCTCTTTTGACATTTTATTGAAAAACGGGGAAAGAAAAAGCAGCCCCTGACAACTGAGAGCTCACCAGACACTCACAACCAGGCCATGTTATTCTCCTGTTGGACATAAGCAATCTCCCACAATACCGACTTCAGATAAGGTCACCACCTCTCTTGACTAAAATGAGTGACTGAGACTCCTTTACCAATTACAGTTTGACTTTGCTCTAGCCCTATGGATTAGGCTTGTTGAAATATCCAAATATAGACTTGTCCTTGCTTTCTGACAGCATCTGATCTACAGCAAACCCCTGCTTCCTTAGACCCTTCCTCAAGTCACCCAACCTAAGCCCAATCTTGTAAGTCCCTTCTAGCATCCTCTTACTGGGATGTCTCATGTATGAACCCCATGGTATGTTCTCCCTTGCTGCAACAGATAATAAATCCTGCACGTTCAACTACATGTTTGTGCCTGGGGATCTTTGGCTAAAGGACAATCACAAAATATTTATGTCTCTTCTCTTGGAGCTTTTCAGCTGAATGGACTTGTGCCCCACTCAGGAGCCCTGCCTGCATAGAGCAGAAGGGAAGATCTGGCCTGCAGGCCTCCTTCTCATGACCTTGGAATGTGAACTGAGATTTCCACATCTGGTCCATTTTACTTCTTGAATCAGACACCTTTTACTCATTCATCTACTGATATCTCATGATATGGTTCATTTGAAATTCCAAACGAATCTCCCTTTTCCCTCAGTTGCTGACTAAACTACACAAATTATTGTGTCACTACTTGACTGAGTAAATATCCCTGCTGCCTAGATACTCCATCCTTATTCTCTCTACCCCCATCGACCTACCTCCTTTCAACTTTTTTTTGTGAGTGCTAGCTATACATACTAGTTATATTTTAAGCTAGTTTCTTTTAGAAATTAAATTCAATCTGCCCAGCAATTCCATAGAAGAAAACTGAGATCCAGAGAGGTTTACTAGAGTGGGAGAGTCTCCATCCTATGCCACAGTTTTTCAGAAAAGTATATGTATTCATTCTCTCTCTCTCTCTCTCTCTCACACACACACACACACACACACACACACACACACACACACACACACACACCAGGCACTGAATAGATATCTGACTTCTCAACAACTTGGAAACTTCTTTAGTCTTTAACCTCTCTAAAACTGTGAAAATTGCTTGCCTGTATTTAAATGTATTTTAATCTTCTTTAATCTTACAACATCAGCAGAATGAAGGAGAAAGAGAGTTTTTATGTGCACTCTTATTTCAAAAGTTTTGGGGTCAAAAGTTGTTAAAATGGAGAATTACAGACAACGCTTCCTCTTGCCATACCCCGGAGGACATAGGATGAACTCCCTCCTCTGTCATACAGTCTCACAACTGTAAGCTGGTACAGAATCTTCTTCCTTCTGAGAAATAAAAATTAAATCTTGAGCCCCGCCACCAACTGAGTGTACCCCCTTCTTGACCAAAAGGACCCCAGAGAAACCTTAAAAACTGAGTTCTTGGCCATGCATGGTGGCTCATACCTGTAATCACAGCATTTTGGGAGGCTGAGGCAGGAGGATCACTTGAGGTCAGAAAATTGAGACCAGCCTGGCTAACATGGTGAAACTCCTTCTCTACAAAAAATACAAAAATCAGCCAGGCATGGTGGCATACACCTGTAATCTCAGCTACTTGGGAGGCTGAGGTGGAAGAATCAATTGAACCTGGGAGGCGGAGGTTGCAGTGAGCCAAGATCATGCCACTGTACTCCAGCCTGGGTGACAGGCTGTCTCAAAACAAAACAAAACAAAAAAACAAAAACAAATGAGTTTTTGGCCATGATGGGATGTGAGATTGGACATGCCTCGTTATACCCCCTTCTTCACTAACTGCCACTAAAAGACTTTCTTTCCCAAGAGTTAAATGGAAATCAATCCATCCAACTTCCCCACTTTTTTGTGGTTTCAACACAACTGACCAGCATTTCTTCCTCAACAGAGACAGCAAATCGTAGACTGGTTCTGGTCAGTTTACAGAGGCTACACATAACATGTCTCTGTGTCTTCTGTTTCACTTTTTGACACATAGGACCTAATTTTAATGCATTTAAATGTTAAGTCTCCACCCAGAAGTGAACATGGGACTTATGAAATGTGCATGTTTACTTATTTATAAATGCAAACGTCCCATTTTGTGAATATTCATAGATTCTTCTGTAAACTGTTGAATATGTATACTTAGCTAACCCATTCAGCCTAAATTTTTGTCTCACCATTCCTTTCCTTAAAGTGCCTTTCTCAGTTTCTACTGGAGGCTACATTTCCCAGCCCATGGAACGGCCAGCCCGCAGGCCGCAATCCTTTGTAAGAAATAAAGCTCTCTCCTCTCTGAATTTATGAACCTCATAATTCTTCAGTTGAAACTCCTCCTCCCCCTTTTCCTCTTCTTCTTCTTCTTCTGCTTTCTCATCTTGTTTGAAATTAGCACTGGGGAGGAAGTTGGGATGCAGTGCCATAATGTTAATTGGCTTTGGTGGGAGACACTGAGTCTAGAAATTATTAAGTCTTCTTACATGAGAATGTGCTTTTTAGCCCAGGGTAACAAATAATTTCTCACCAAAGGTGAGAAATTGTTTATGCTTATTAGTGCAATAATCCTAGGGTCAAACTAAGTAACACAAGACAGAAGATGCCAAAAGCTGAGTGCTACTTTTTGGAAATCATTGATAGGTAGTTCTACCTGAGTGATACAGCAAGCAAATATGAACTTGAATCTGGCAGGCCCTGTGGGTAGAGGAGCTGTAGCTTAGATTTAAGGAAGAACTAACTGAGCCTAGGGAGGAGGGCACCAATAAATATTGGGGTTTATGTTCTTTAGGTTAACTAAAACCAGGTTATTTTGTCAGTAGGGATGATTAAGGTGCAGCTTGTTTGTGAGTATGAGCAGTGCTACTTGAAGTGGGGCTCACTTGAGTCTGTTAAGAATGAAACACTTTGAGCCACAGACTATTAAATCAGAATCTCTGAAAGTGGCATCCAGGAACTTACATTTTAACAAAATTTCCATAAGAGCATTCCAGTTTGCCAAGTCCTAGGCTGGGAAAGGGTTGCTTTCTGGAGCTTCCTTTTGATTTACAAGCCAGAATCCCCTTTCTAGTGTTTCAAAAAGATTCTGAATTGGTCCCGGCACTGGCTTATAACATCATCCGAATAAATTATTTAGCCATTCTGACCTTCAGTTTCTTAAATTGCAAATTAGGAATAACACTTGTACGAATGAAGCCACGTACAATACATACAAACAGACATACACAGACACACGTACATATATGTATCTGTATGCATACATATCTATAGAGACAGGGAGTGACAGAGAGAGAGAGACAGATCGAAGAAATGAATCTTATGGTGAAAGCTTTTTGTAAATAATGATTATTGGAACACTGGCTTTCCATAGTCTCCTTGTTGTTCTTTCTCCTCAGGGATATGTAGCTTGAGGAGATCGCTTTCCCTCTCTGTTGAATAGAATATTCCAAATATCCATTGTCAGCTGCTCTGCTCTGCTGCTGTGCTGACCTGTCTTGGGACATGGCCTAGGGTGGAAGGGTGGGGCTGGAAAGCTTCTCTTTATGGAGATGGGTACTGTCTTGTGTCTGACTTTAAGCCATTTGAACAGCTGACTTTGAACCATTCTGAGTCTCAACCTCTAAGTGAGGCTTTTCCTGGCTCTCCAAACTGCTAAAATGACTGGCACTGCAGCTGAAAAACTTCCAAGAGACTAGACCCATCCCTTCCGGGTACAGGCAAGGAAACGGCAAATTGGGCAGTAGGAGGGTTGTGAGCTGGAGTGTGTCCCCATTGGAGAGAAAAAAAAGAGTCCGTTGGGTTCATGATGCAGAGAGAGATAAAGAGAGGAAGAAAGAGAGAGAGAAAGAGAAAGAGAGAGAGAGCCCAGAGAAAGTAGGCCCAGCACAAAATCTGTGGCCTAGACCTTTGGCTTTACCCGCTATCCTATCCAGGCAAGGCCCCAGGGCACCATGCAGTGTTGAGTGCAGTGCAGACTGAAAGCCCTTCCATGTTAGTATGTGCAGCCTGGTATGCTCTGCCCCCTTCACCCCTAGGTTTTCTGTTTATCCTCTGGCCTTATCCCTCTCTGGGGTGTCTCTTCTTTTGACTGGGAGCCAGGAGTCCTGAATTTTAATCCTTTCTCTGCTTCCAGTCAGCTCTATGTCCTTGGGCAATCAATTAGCATTCCTCTTGGCCTCAACTTCCTTATTTAATAAAAAATGGTGAAATGAGCAATAGGCACAAGGCAAGAAGGATTAAGCCCAGTCATCTCTAACTCCCTTCATGTTCTATGTCAATGCTTCCTTAGGGGGTTCCATGCTAACATCCTACCAGGGTTTGCTTTCTTGAGGCAAAGCCACACACTTCAAACCTTCTCTTCTCTTAGCTTT